>NC_000013.11:96877979-97502979 GCF_000001405.40 Homo sapiens
CCACTCAGAGCCCCACTCCCTCTACCTCCCCAAACACCCCAAACCCCCGCTAAGAAATTGGAGCTCCGGAACCCTTTGGTAGCCAAAAAACCCTTGATGCAATTCAACCTCTGACTGGTTTCATGCCGAAATGTGGAGACCAGCATTATCCCCCTACAACCAGCCATATGTTCTTACTGAGGCAATAGGACACTAGAAAAGAACTTCTTGTCTTCTGACTATGGCTCCCATCCCCCTTGGCCTAAGCTCCATGCCAAAGGACAGGTCTTCAGAATATGTTTGCTACCTCTTTAGTGCCTGAGCTCTGGGATTTTCCCATGAGAAAATTAATCTGACTCTTAATTTGCCCACTGCCATGATCCAAATGCTTGTGTCTCCCCAAATACATGTTAAAACCTAATCACCAATGCAATGGAATTAGGAGGTGGAAAGTGATTAAGTCATGAGGGAAGAACCCTCATGAATGAGATTAATGTCTTTGTAAATGTGGCCCTAGAGAGATGCCTGGCCCTTTCTATCATGTGAAGAGACAGCAGGAAGGCATCATCCATGAACCAGAAAGCAAGCTCTCAGCAGACAATGAATCTGACAGCACTGTAATCCTGCAATTCCTAGACTCCAGGAATTAAATTTCTGTTACTTATAAGCTACCCAGTGTATGGTATTTTGTTATAGCAGTCTGAATGGACCAAGACCACCCCTTACCCCATCACCGCAACCCACCCTACTATGCATCAACATCTTCAGATCCCAACAGCGGGCTCATTACAGGCTAGAGCTTGGACCCTTGCTACGAATACAAAGAAAGCAATTGATAAATAATTAAATCAAATTCAGAGATTGCCATTATTAACCTTTTAATGTTTTTCTTTCCTTCTGTTGTTTCATTGCATATTTACTATAAAATTGGGACTGTGTGGGATATGAATTGAATACACAGCTCTTTAAAAAAAACTTAGAGCTAGGCATGGTAGCTCACATCAGTAATCTCAGCACTTTGGGAGGCTGAGGTGGGCAGATCATGAGGTCAGGAGTTTGAGACCCGCCTGGCCAACATGATGAAACCTCATCTCTACTAAAAATACAAAAATTAGCCGGGTGTGGTGACATGCTCCTGTAATCCCAGCTACTCGGGAGGCTGAGGCCGAAGAATCGCTTGAACCTGGGAGGTGGAGGTTGGAGTGAGCCTAGATCACACCACTGCACTCCAGCCTGAGTGACAGAGTGAGACCCCGTCTCGGGAAAAAAAAAACAAAAAAAAACAAAAAACATAACAACTTAGGTACAGAACATTGAATGCATCATGTCTTTGGTTGTAGAATACTTAGTCATTGATCATTGATGTAAGCAAGGCTCTTTTCTATTATAAGTACAATAAAATAATAATAACAATAACAACTACCATTATTTCTTTCTGACAAAGATACTTCCCTACTAATTTTGATATACAAAATACGTTGCAGTGATATAAATTGTTTTTGATATATGCAATATATTGCATTCCTTTATGTATGTGTTCTTTTTTTTTTTTTTGAGACGGAGTCTTGCTCTGTTGCCCAGGCTGGAGTGCAGTGGCATGATCTCAGCTCACTTCAAGCTCCGCCTCCCAGGTTCACGCCATTCTCCTGCCTCAGCCTCCCCAGTAGCTGGGACTACAGGCGCCTGCCACCATGCCTGGCTAATTTTTTGTATTTTTAGTAGAGACGGGGTTTCACCGTGTTAGCCAGGATGGTCTCGATCTCCTGACCTCGTGATCCGCCCGCCTTGGCCTCCCAAAGTGCTGAGATTACAGGTGTGAGCCACCGAGCCTGGCCTGTACGTGTTCTTTAATATTCATTTTTCCTAAAATCTCATTCTATCCTTCCCTTTTTTCCACTGAAAACTATGTTTTTCATGTTTATTGATGTGTGCACCATCTAGTTTTTGTCATTATATAGTATGCATTTACTACATTTTGCTTATTATTTCCTCCAGTGTTGACCATGAAGGTTACTCTAACTTCTCCTTGCCATAGTCATTGTCATGACAGATATCTCTTACGTGTCCTCATAAGGGCCTGTGTAAGAATGTCTCTGCAATACATATCCATGTATGCAATTAGAAAGTCATGGGACCTTGACTATCTTAAGTACTACCATATTGCTTTCCAGTGTTATTCAAGTCTCCATCTTCCCACTTTATTATAGACCCCTTGTATCATGTGATCTTCAAATTTTTTGCTATTATGGTACCTGTAAATCAGTATCTCATTTTTATTTTTATTCTTATTTTTCTGACTGCTCTGGAATTCTGACATCTTTTCATAGAATTGCCAACCTCTGAGGCTTCTTGTTCTGAGAAATATACATTCATAGATTTGCTCACTTATGCTATTTTTGCACTTAACATTATCTCTTGAATATTTTTCTCATAATATCCATGAACATTATAATGGATTTATAATATTCCATAATATGCCATATATTGTTTAGCCATTGCTCTTTTATTAGGCCTTTATGTGGTTTCCAGTTTTGGCTAACTCTGATAAACATCCCTGTGCATACATTCTTGTCTACAAGCATGCTTATTTCTTTTTGACTGTCTTGGAAGAATGATTGATTCAAAGGACATGAAACAATTTAAGTCACTTAGTACATACTGCCAAATTGCTTCCCTGAAAGGTTTCCATTACATTACAGTTTCATTAAGAGTGCATACAAGTACTTATCTTGCCATATACTCATATTTTCCAAATCACCACCAATCTGAGGCATGAAAAGCTCTAGTTCATTTGTGCTTAAATTGCTTACTAGTGACACCTGAACCTATTTAACATAGATTAGAGATTTGTATTTCTTCTTTTGTAAATTATATTCTAGGTTCTCTAGGTGCTTTGTGCTACATTGTTGATTTGCAAGAGCTCTTTACATAAATAGTATTTACTGATATTGCTTTCCATATCTGTGGCATATGGTGGTAGTTCTAATACTTGAGAAGATGGCAGTTGTTTGGAGCTTGTCTTTTGTAGGTGGCTAAGAACAGTGGATTGCAAGAATGCCACTAGATATCTGCAAAAGCAAGATAAGTAGCTGGAAGCAGTGGAGGAGTTTCAGGTAACACTTTACAGCAGTAAAATAATTTTCGATGAGCTGCAAAGTCTCTACCAGAAGAGCCAACTATTGCCTCTCAGCAGAGAGGTGCCAAGAATCCCCTCTGCTCTGCATCTCAGCTCATTGCTTCATCTTATTCCTGTTCATACTTGACTGCATTGGGAAACTCTCATTGACTATGGAAGGCCCAAGGCCTTGGAGGGAAAGCAGGAATAATGATGAGTATTTGCTAAATCCAAACTTTAAGACAAAGGCTGTAGGTGAACGCTGTATTTTCTTAATATCTGTTTTTAATGAGAGTTACAGATCATTCCATTTTATGTAGCTTCCAAATCAGATCTATTGTACCATAAACCTATTTGTAATTCTCAAGCAGCTAAGAGCACAGCACACCTTATTCTCTGCTGTGTCAAATTTTGCTGAAAGCCAGTACATTCACTTCCAGAGGAGTCTTGAAAATATGTCAACAATGCTCCTGTTTGCACTTAAGGCTGGACATGTGTAAGGCTAATCATAGAACAATGTAACTGTCATGCTGCAAGGGCCACTGAAATCCCACCTGTCTCTGCTTCACTTCAGGGATTTTTGTCCCCATTCTCCTGAGACAGCAAAGTAGTCATTTAGCCGATACCTGTTTGCTAAGTGGCTTCAGAATAGATAGCTTGTGCTAAATAGTGCTTGACACTTGATTTCTCTTCAAATCTTCAGCTGGACAAATGTCTGCCCAGTCCCAAGCCTCTCTTTCTTAGATACCAGGTGCAGAACCTACACACAAGTCTCTGGAAACGTTTAAAGGTTAGATGCTTCCTATAGGGCAATCGAAAGTAATTTTCACTACTTGTGTGCACGTCTTTATGTGTTCCAGAGGGAAGATGTTCATACGCCTTGAAAAGCTGGATGAAATACTATCTCGCTTCTATGAGCCTGATTCACTCTGATCACGCTACTTTTACGTCATGGCTTCAAGTTCTTTATCTAATTACTGCATGTCCTCATGGGTGTCTATAGAGGGGGAGGGGTGCTTTTTTTTTTCTTTTCCTTATTTCTCTAAGAAAGAAAGGTGTGCTTTTCTTACTACAAGGCTACAGTAACCAAAACAGCATGGTACTGGTGCCAAAACAGATACATAGACCAATGGAACAAAACAGAGGCTTCAGAAATAACACCACACATCGACAACTATATGATCTTTGACAAACCTGACAAAAACAAGCAATGGGGAAAGGATTTCCTATTTAATAAATGGTGTTGGGAAAATTGGCTAGCCATATGCAGAACACTGAAACTGGACCCCTTCCTTACATACTTTCAAATTGTAAAGGTACTTATTTAAATTGTAAATTATAAAGGTACAAATTAAATTAAATTAAAGGTACAATGTACAATTTAAATTGTACAATTAAATTGTAAAAGTACAATTTACTTATAATAAAACGCACAGATTTTAAATGTAGTTTGAAGTGTTTTGACAAATGCATACATGTGTGTAACTACCACTCCAATCAAGATCTAGAATATTTCTATCACCCTGTCATCTTCATGCTCGTTCTAGTCAATTCATCTTCATCCCTGCCACCTTGCTTTCTATAACTATATTTTAGTTTTGAATGTTCTAGAACTTCATAGAAATAGAATCACTCAGCATGAATTCTTTTGTACCTTGTTTCTTTTGCTCAATACAACGCTTTGAGAATTAATCTATGTTGTTGTATCAGCACTTCATTATTATTGTTATTATTGTATTTACGTTAAAATACCACAGTTTGTTTATCCATTAAATTGTTGATAGGCATTTGGGTTGTTTCTAGTTTTTGCTTTTTATGTCATTTTATGGACATATGTTTTATCAGGACATAAAAAGCATTAACTGTAAATAGAAAGACTGATAAGTAGGACTACTTTAAAAGTAAGAATTTCTGTTTATCTAAAGGCATACTAAGACAGGGGAAGGCAAATTGCTGAGTGACAGAAGATAGCTGCAATACGACCAAGAACGCATAACCAGAATATACAAATAATTCCTACAACTCATTTCATTTATTTTGAGTAAATATCTAGTAGTATAATTCCTCTGCCTTAGGTTAAGATACATTTGCTTTTATTTAGAAAAATGAATAAAACTACTGAACCGTTTTCCCAAGTGTTTGTACTGTTTTGTAGTCAGCAATGTATGAAAGTCCGTGCTCTGCCTCTTGGCCAACATTTGGTATTATCATCTTTAATTTTAACCATTCTAGTAAGTATAAAGTAGTATCTTACTTTGGTTTTAATTTGCATTTTCCTGATAACTAAAGTGTTGAGCACGTTTTCATTTGCTTACTGGCTACTCATATGTCTTCTTTTTTTGCATAAAATGGCAGCTTTTTTATTTTTCATAGATTAATTTCAGAACAAAATTAAAAAAAAAACCACAATACACAACATCCAATCCTGTTGTCAAATTAGGGAGTAAATGGGGCTTGATGCCCTTGTTTCCTGCCTTAGATACAAGGATGGGAGAGAAAAAACACTAGAAATCACTGGAGTGAGGCAGCTGGGACAGGGCCACTCAAGGCTGTGGTGGGAGCCCTGAGAACACTACACAGAGCGCACAAGGTTTCCAAGCGTGAACTCCTGATCTATTCCTTTCATGTGAGACACATCCTCATTGCCCTCAAATGGGGGGATCTCATCAGGAACAGTAGCAGTGGGTTCCTCTGCTGTCACTTCATCTTCATTGATACCTAGACCTAGCTTGATCATGCAGGTGTAGTTGGAGTGGGTCTGTGGATCCTCAAGGAAGAAGCCAGAAGAACAGCTTGGTTTTCAACAGCAGCACCACCCGGTCCTTGACAGCCTTGTCGTTCTTGTCCGCCTCAGCCTTCTGCCACAGCGTCTCCACAATAGTGTAGTCACGTTGATCTCCAGGTTCTCTTTGGCCATCACATAACCCATCATAGAGTTGTCCCAAAGTGCCTGGGCTTTCACAATCTGCTCCATAATGGCTGTCAAGCCATAGATGGTAGTCACAATGCAGCAGGTGAAGATTCAAGTCTATTGGAAGCTGTCACCTTCTCAGCCTTCTTATCCAAGATTATTTTCATGAACTTGCAGAGGTTCTCAAGCTTCACCTTGCACTCTTCCATTTTCTTCTTCTCCTCCTCACCCTCTGGTAGCTCCAGACCCTCCTTGGTAACTGAGACGAGGCACTTCCCATCAAACTCCTTGAGCTGCTGCATGCGGTACTCATCAGTGGGGTTGGTCATATGCACTACCTCAAAGGCCTGCTTCCACACTCACTCCACGAAAGCAGAGCTGGCCACCTGTTCGTTGCTCTCACCAGGGATGTAGTAGGTGGATTTCCGTGTCTCCTTCATGCAAGAGACATATTCTAACAGAGATGTCATCCCATCTCCAGACTGGGAGCTGTGAAAGTGCAGCAGCTCAGACAGGTGTCACCAGTTAGGGGAGTCCTCGGGGATTCCAAACATTAGATTTTTAGAGAATGCCTCATAGAATTTCTTGTAACTCTCTTTGTCTTCTGCCAACTCAGAGAAGAGCTCAAGGTACCAGTTAACAATGTTTCTGTGAATGACTTTCAAGATTTTGCTCTCCTGGAGCATCTCAAATGTTCAGGGGTAGATCCTCAGAGTCAACCATACCACAGATAAAGTTGAGATCCTCTGGTATCAACTCATCACAGCTGTGCACGATGAACACATGAAGGACGTAGAGTTTGATGGTGTCTTTATTCTTATTGTTCTCAAAGAGGTCAAAAGGAGCCCGATAAGGGATGAACAACAACGCCCTGAATTCCAACTGACCTTCTATAGAGAAGTGCTTGACTGCCAAGTGGTCTTCCCAGTCATTAGTGTGGCTGTTACAGAATTCTCCATACTCCTGGGTGATGTAATCATGGTTTCTTGTCCAAATGGTCTTGATCTTGTTTAGTTCTTCCTGATTAATGTATTTCTCTTTGATCTTCTCGGTTTTCTTTTTCTTATCCTTACCACTGTCATCCTCCTCATTTGAACCCACATTTTCAATCTTGGGTTTTTCCTCATTATATTTATCTTCCTATTATTTCTTGCCTTTCTCTTCCTCTGCCTCATCATCACTGATTTCCTTCTCTCTTTCCTTCCTCAGATAGAGGGTGATGGGTTAGCCTATGAACTGTGAGTGCTTTTTCACTGCGTCTTTGACCCATCTCTCTTCTAAGTACTCTGTCTGGTTTTCTTTAAGGTGGAGGATCATTTTGGTACCCCTGCCATGGTCAGCACATACAGTGAAGGAACCCCCACCGGAAAACTCCCAGGCTCACTGTTCATCATCATTGTGCTTTGTGATCACAACCACTTTCTCTGCCACCAGATAGGCAGAATGAAAGCCAACACCAAATTGACAATCATGGAGATGTCTGCACCAGCCTGAAGAGCCTCCATAAATCCTTTAGTCTCAGACTTGGCAATGGTTTCCGAATTATTTATGAAATCAACTTTGTCATGCAAATGCCTGTGTCCACCAAAGTCGGGGTGTATTCCTGAGGGTTGGGCATGATGTCAGTGTTCAGCTCTTTACCACTGTCCAACTTGTGTCTGCCAGTCTCTCATAGAGAATCTTGTTCAAGGCATCAGAAGCATTAGAAATCAATTCTTGAAGGAAATATCTGCTTGTTGGAATAGAAGATATTGATAATAAGAGACCTGAGTTGGGCAATTTCTGTCTGAAAGGCAAAAGTCTCCACCTCCTCTCCATGGTGTACTTCCTCAGACATCTTGAAAAGAAAAGCCTTACAAGTACTAGAGAGCAAGGTGGGTTGGGACTGTCCCACATGTATGCGGCACCAAGGCTGTGCAACAGTGACTTGGAGCCCATATGTCTTCTTTTGAATTGAATTGTCTTTTCAAGTCTTTTGTACATTTTTCAAAATGAGGTTATTTTCTTTTTATTATTGAGTTTTAAGAGTTTCCTAATATACTCTGGATAAAAGTTATTTGTCAGATATTTGTGTTACAAATGTGTTGTATTTTGTTATTTTCTTAATTTTGTCTTTTGATGAGCACACACTCATACACATACACACAGTGGCATACTGTAAAGTCTCAAAAAAAAGAAAATGCTGTCATTTACAGCAACATGGATGCTACTGGAGGACATTATGCTAAGAGAAATAAACCAGGAACCAAAAGACAAATACTGTATCGTCCCATTTATATGCAGAATCTAAAAAAGTCAGTCTGGTAGAAACAGAGTAGAAAGGTGATTACCAAAGGCTGGGGGAAGGGAGAGAGATGGGGAAAGGGAAGATGTTGATCAAAGGATACAAAATTTCAGTTAGACTGGAGGAATAAGTTTTAGTGATCTATTGCACTGCATGGTGGGCACAGTTAATAATGTATTATATATTTCAAAATTGCTAAAAGAATAGATTTTTAATTTTCTCACCACCAAAAGAAAGATAATTTGGCACTATGATGTGAATATCCCAAAAATGATGTGTTGAAAACTTGATTCCCAGTGAAGCAGTGTTATGAGGTGAGGCCTAATGGGAGACATTCAGGTCATGAGGGTTCCACCCTCACAAATGAATTAATGCCCATTGTAAAATGGCTTGAGGCTGCAAGTTCAGTCTCTTGCTCTCTCTTCTGTCATAATATATGCAGCAAGAAGGCCTTCCCCAGATGCCAACCACTCAGTCTTGAACTTTCCAGCCTCCAGAACCATGAGCCAATACATTTTCATTATAAATTAACGTACCTCAGGTATTCTGTTACAGCAGCACAAAACAAATTGAGACAGTTGGTGAGGTAATTAACATGTTAATTAGCTTGATTGAATCTTTCTACAATATATACGTAGAGCAAAACATCATGTTATACTCATAAATATACACAATTATTATTTGTCAATTAAAAATTCAAAAATAATTTTTTAAGTATGTTGTTCAGTGTCCTAATAATTGGTGAAACCCCCTTTCTTTTTGTTATTGATTCATAATTTAATTCTGCTATAGTCATATAATATTTTATATTACTCAGCTCTTATGGATCTTATTAAATTTACTTTGAGTTCATTTATATACTAGAAATAACCTACGTTGGTAAATGTTCTATGTGTGCTAACAAAAAATGTCAATTCTGCTGCTAGTAGATAGAATGTTTCATAAATATCAATTAGAACAAGTTTGTTAATTGTGTTCTTCAGATCTTATATAGCCTTACTGATTTTCTGCATACATATTCTATCAATTATTGGAAGAAAAATATTGAAATCTCCTATATGATTTTAGATGTATTTATTTCTTTTTATTTATAACAGTTTGCTTCATATATTTTGGTTTTGTTTTGTTTTGTTTTTGAGATGGAGTCTTGCTGTGTCGCCCAGGCTGGAGTGCAGTGGCATAATCTCAGCTCACTGCAACCTCCACTTCCCAGGTTCAAGTGATTCTCCTGCCTCAGCCTCCCAACTATCTGGGACTACAGGCACGTGCCACCATGTCCAGCTAATTTTGTATTTTTAGTAGAGACAGGGTTTCACCATGTTGGCCAGGCTGGTCTCAAACTCCTGACTTCAATTGATCTGCCTGCCTTACCCTCCCAAAGTGCTGGGATTACAGGCATTAGCCACCATACCCACCCTATTTTGAGGTTTTGTTATTAGGTATGTAAGATTTTATATTATTGTTGGCAGACAATTGTCCATGGTTTGCTTGCATATCTACAAGTTTTCTGAGCAAAGCCAAGGCATTAACAGTCTGAGCCATTTCACATTGTGATTATTTTACCTTTTTTTGGTAAAATAGTTTTGCTGGGTATAAAATTATATGTTTATAATTTTCCTCTTTCAGTACTTAAAAGATGTTGCTCTCCTGCTTTTCCCTTGTATTACTTCTGACACTGCTGCCATTCTTAACTTTGTCCCTGTGTATATATGTTCTTTCTTCCCTTCTGACTACTTACATTTTTTCCCACTAAAAAAAAAATTTATTATCATCTTGTATTAGTCCATTTTCATACTGCTATGAAGAAATACCTGAGACTGAGTAACTTATAAAGAAAAAGAGGTTTAATGAAATCACACTTCCACATGGCTCGGGAGGCCTTACAATCATGATGAAAGGAGAAGGAGGAACAAAGGCATGTCTTACATGGCAGCAGGCAAGAGAGCTTGTGCAGGGGAGCTGCCTTTTATAAAAGCATCAGATATTGTGAGACTTAGTCACCATGACAAGAACAGCACAGGAAAAACTCACCCCCATGATCCAATTACCTCCCACTGGATCCCTCCCATGACATGTAGAGATTATAGGAGCTACAATTCAAAATGAGATTTGGGTGGGCACACAGCCAAACCATGTCATTCCATATCCAGCCCCTCCCAAATCTCATGTCTTCACATTTCAAAACCAATCCTGCCCCCCAACAATCCCCCAAAGTCTTAACTCATTTCAGCATTAACTCAAAAGTCCACAGTCCAAAGCCTCATCTGAGACAAGGTAAGTCCCTTCCACCTATGAGCCTGTAAAATCAAAAGCAAGTTAGTTACTTCCTACAAACAATGGGGGTACAAGCATTAGGTAAATATACCTGTTCCAAATGGGAGAAATTGGCCAAAACAAAGGGGTACAGGCCCCATGCAAGTCTGAAATCCAGCAGGGCAGTCACATCTTAAAGCTTTAAAATGATATCCTTTGACTCCATGTCTGACATCCAAGTCATGCTGATGCAAGACAAGGGTTCCCATGATCTTGGACAGCTTCTCCCCTGTGGCTTTGCAGGGTACAGATGTTCTCCTGCTGCCTTCATGGGCTGGCATTAAGTGTCTGTGGCTTTTCCAGGCACACAGTGCAAGCTGTCAGTGGATCTACCATTCTGGGGTCTGAAGGATGGTGGCCCTCTTCTCACAGCTCCACTAGGCAGTGCCCCAGTGGGGACTCTGTATAGGGGCTCCCACCCCACATTTTTCTTCCACACTGCCCTAGCAGAGGTTCTCCATGAGGGATCTGCCCCTGCAGCACACCCCTGCCTGGACATTCAGGCATTTCCATATATCCTCTGAAATCTAGGTGGAGGTTCCTAAACCTTAATTCTTGACTTCTGCATACCCTCAGTCCCAACAACACAGGTGAGCTGCCAAGGCTTGGAGTTTGCACCCTCTAAAGCAATGGCCTGAGCTCTACATTAGCCCCCTTTAGCCACAGCTGGGATGCAGGGTATCAAGTCTCGAGACTGCACAAAGCAGCAAGGCCCTGGGCCTGGCCTACAAAACTATTTTTCTCCTCCTAGGCCTCCAGGCCTATGATGGAAGGTGCTGCCATGAAGACCTCTGACATGTTCTGGAGACATTTTCCCCATTGTCTTGGCGATTAACATTTGGCTTCTGGTTATTTATGCCAATTTCTACAGCTAGCTTGAATTTCTCCTCAAAAAATGGGTTTTTCTTTTCTGTTGCATCATCAGTCTGCATATTCTCCAAAGGTTTATGCTCTGCTTCCTCTCAAACACCTTACCACTTAGAAATTTCTTCTACCAGATATCCTAAATCATCTCTCCCACGTTCAAAGTTCCGCAGATCTCAAAGACAGGGGCAAAATGCTGCCAGTCTCTTTGCTAAAGCATAACAAGAGTCACCTTTGTTCCAGTTCCCAACAAGTTCCTCATCTCCATCTGACACCACCTCAGTCGGGACTTTATTGTCTATATAACTATCAGCATTTGGGTCAAAGCCATTCAACAAGTCTCTAGGAAGTTCCAAAGTTTCCCACATCTTCCTGTCTTCTTCTGAGCCCACCAAACTCTTCCAACCTCTGCCTGTTACCCAGTTCCAAAGTCACTTCCACATTTTCAGGTATCTTTACAGCAGTGCCCCACTACTTGGTACCAATTTATTGTATTAGTCCATTTTCACATTTCTATGAAGAAATACCCAAGACTGGTTAATTCATTTTTTAAAAAGAGGTTTAGTGGACTCCAGTTCCACATGGCTGGGGAAGCTAACAATCATGGTGGAAGGCAAAGGAGGAGCAAAGGCACATCTTACATGGCGGCAGCCAAGACAGCATGTGAAGGGGAACTGCCCTTTATCAAATCATCAGATCTTGTTAGACTTACTCACTATCATGAGACCAGCATGGGAAAGAAAAGCCCCCATGATTCAATTACCTCCCACCCTGTTTCTCCCATGACATGTGGGGATTATGGTGAAGCAGCATCATTCGTCTGGGGTAATACCTGAGGTTGGTTGCCTCTCACCAAGGAAATCAATGATGCAGACACACAAGGAGTAAGGTTAAGAGCAAAGGTTTAATAGGTGAAAGAAAGAGAGGAGCTCTCTGCACAGAGAGGGATCCCAGAGAAAATGGGTTGCTGCTTCCTCAATGAAATGTAGAAGGTTTTATAGATGAGCTTGAGGAGGTGGTGTCTGATTTACATAGGGCACAAAAGATTGGCCAGACCAGGTGTGCCATTTGCATAGTGCATGAAGAAGCTGGCCACCCTACCCTAATCTTTGATTATGCAGATGGGTTCTGTACTTGGCTGGCACCATTTTGCCTGTTCCTTTACTGTACACATGGTGACAAAGAAAAGGGAAGATGAAGCTTCCATGTTGAACATACCAGGCTTCCAGGTAGCCCTTTTCTTTTTGCACAGCTGCTGGCATTCACCCATGCAAGCTTCCAGCTTGCTTACCTATGTCTGCAGCTCGATTTTTCAGGCTGCTGTTTATTAGAAAAGAAATGATTTGGGGGCCGCTTTTTTTTTTTTTAAAGAGAAGCCTTGCCGAGGACTCCTTTACCCTCACTATCTGCCTAAATAATTTCTTTCTAGCTCCTGTATCAATGAGAGCTACAATTCAAGATGAGATTTGGCTGGGGACACAGCCAAACCATATCAGATATACCCTGATGTAATTTTCTTCATGTTTCTTTTACTTGGAATTTATTAAGCTTCTTGGAAAATGTTGGGCCATTATTTCTTCAAATATTTATTTTTCTCTTAATCTCTTCTTCTAGGACATCAATTTCTTGTGTTAGGCTACTAAAACCTGTTCCAAAACTCACAAATACTGTTCTTTTTGGTTTGGGTTGGTTTTTTGTTTTGTTGTTTTTGTCTTTTTTTCTCTGTGTTGGATTTCAGGTTGTTATTATTGCTGTGTTTTCAAGTTCACTAATCTTCTTCTGTAGGTAGAATCTGTTATTAATTCCCTTCATGTATTTTTTGGTCTCAAATATTGTTGTTTTCATCAATATTACTTCAAATTGGATCTTCTAAAGATATTTTCTAAAAGTCTGTTTATCATGTGCATGTTTTCCTCTACCTTTTCTAGTCTACTGTTTATATTTATGTCATTCTTTACTAATATTATTATTGATGTCTGCAATAGTTATCTAGGGCCGCCATAGCAAAGTCCACAAAATGAGCTTAAACAAAATAAATGTATTATCTTATAGTTTGAGAGGCCAGAGTATGAAATCAAGATGTTGGCAGGGTGAGCTCCTTTTAAGGACTATGAGGGAAGGATCAATTCTAAGCCTCTCTCTTTGGCTTGCAGTTGGTAATCTTCTTTCTGTGTCTCTTCACATCATCTTCCCTTATACATATTTTTCTCTGTGTCCAAATTTATCCCTTTTTAAAGGATACCAGTGATATTGCTTTAGGAGCTACCCTAAAACTCATCTTAACTTAGCTAATTACTTTTGCAATTACTCTATTTCCAAATAAGATTCCATTCTGGGTATTGCAATTTAGGACCTCAACATACAAATTTGGTGCAGTGGGGGATACAATTCAATGTATACAATATTATTTCTGCATAGTTTCTATTGTTTTACTTTTTTCTGCTCATTATGGGTTGAATTTCCTATTTCTTTGAATGCCTGTTTATTTTTGTTTGGATGTCAGATGCTATGAAATGTACATTCATTATGGTTTGCTAGAGAATTTTGTATTCTCTTAAATATTTTTGGTCTTTGTTCAGAGACACACTTAAATTACTTGGAAACAATTTGATCTTTTTCATGTTTGTTTTCAAGCTGTGCTAGCTGGGTCCAGAACAACTTTTAGTCTGGTTCTTCTTTACCTCATTACTGTGACAATATCCTTCTGAGGATTGTACTTGATGCTCTATGGGTGAGGAGGCATTTCCACTCTGGCTGGTGCAATCATTGAGGATGATTCTGTCAGATCCTTCCTGCTATTTTTTCCGGGTCTGATGTAGTTTCTTCACATGCATGCACTGATCAGTATTCAGCTGAAAATTCAAAGGGATCTTCCCATGGATGTCTGGAGCCTCTCCATGTAACTCTCTCCTCTCCATTCCTCTTCCCTGTGAGTTCTAGCCACCTTGGGCCCCCTAGATTTTGTCTCCTCAACTTGGGTATATTGCTGAGCCTCTTCCTGCATTGCACCCTGTAAATTCCTTTAAGGCACCAAGCTGGGGCAAGTTTGGGGCTCACTTTGTTGCTTGTCCTTTTCTGTGCTTCCCATTGTCAAATATCTGAAAAAAAAACCTCATCTATTTTGTCCATTTTTTATTTTTTTTTAGTGGCAACATTAATTTGATCCTCTATGTCCTTCTGGCTAAAGTGGTCTTCAAATTTGATATTTTATTTTCATTTAACAGCTATTTATTGAGCGGCTACTATGTGTCAGACACTGTTCTAAATGCAGGGAAATGCATCAGTAAACAAGAGCTGATAATAATCCCAAAGAGTGTATAATGTGGGAAACCAAACACTAAAGAAACAAATATATAAGCGAACTGTCAGATGGAATTGTGTGCTAAGAAGCAAAATAAGGCAAAAAAGGCAAACAGAGAGTGCTAATGGTGACAGAGGATTGTAATTTAAAATAAAGTGGACAGGGAAGATGCCGCAGAAAAGTAATCATTACAGTAAAGACGTGGAGGAGGCAAATTAGCAAGGCATGGAGATGTTTGGGAAAAATGCTTCCGTTTGGGGGAACAGGAATTCCAGAAGCCCTGAGGCAGGAGCATGCCAGGAGTGCTTAAAGAAATCAAAGAAGCCAGTGTGGCTAGAATTGAGTGACTGAGGAAGGAGGGAGGGGAAGTGAGGTCAGAGTGTTCATGGCTGGGGATGGGGAGGCTGATCTTGTAAGATGTTCAAGCCCATTATAAGCATTTTGGTTTTTATTTTGAATTATACAGCGGAGTAAAATGCTTTCACTTTTGTTGGGCAGGATCTCCTTAGCTATTATGTTAAGAACAGAAAGTCAAAGTGCAAGGGCAGATGTCAGGAGACCTTAGAATAATCTAGGCAAGAAATTCTGGTGATTGGAGACAAAAGGGGTAGCTGAAGAGGTAGTGAAAACTAGCTAGATTTTGGATATATTCTGATGGTTGACAGGATTTGCTATTATTAAGTTTTAGACTTAAGAAATGCCTCCTCCTCTGTTCAATGAAGGTTCAATATTACCTTGTAATACTACAAATAGAAGAACTAGAAGTTCATACTCTTTATGCTATTTTATTATGCTAGGCTGAACCCTGTGGGAGAGTCTAGAGGCTTCCTTCAGAGACAGTGACAGAAGCAGCCTTTAATGTGCTTCTCCTAGCAGTATAAATCTGCCATTGACTTCATTTGTATTACACACAGATCCCAATAAGTCTGTTTTGTAGTGCTTTTGACTACCTGAAACAGTAGGAAGACTATTTTTTAATCAATGTGCAAATGAAGAGGAGTTTATATTTTCTTCCAAATCTGACCTTGAATATTCTTTACAAACACCTAGGTGGTATTTTAAAACTGTCAACAAAATGAGTTCTTAAAAGTTATCCATGTACTTAAGCATTTGGGGGTCTTTCTGATTCTTTTTTTTAGCTTATCTGTATTTGATTACATTTGTTTGGGGTTTCAAAATGTACCACCTCCAGTTTTGCTATTTAAGTCAAATATGGCTTGTTTTAATAATATCTCTGAAGGCTTGATCATTTATTCATGTATTTATTCATTTCATTTATTCATTCATTAAATAGACATTTATGGAGGGATGCGGTGGCTCACACCTATAATCCCAGCACTTTGGGAGGCTAAATTGGACTATAGCCTGCACCCAGGAGTTTAAGACCAGCCTGGGCAACAAAGTGAGACCCTGTCTCTACAAAAAATTTAAAAATTTAAAAAATTAGCTGCATGTGGTGGTACATGCCTGTAGACCCAGCAACTTGGGAGGCTAAGGTGAGGGGATTGCTTGAGCCCAGGAGTTCAAGGCTGCAGTGAGCTATGGTGCCTTTGCACTCCAGCCTGGGTGACACAGTGTCTCTAGAAACAAAACAAAACAGTCATGTATTGAACAACTACTACATATCAGCCTCTGTGCTGTGCAGTGAGAGATAAGCTATTTCTTAACTACACATTGCAAATTCCTAGTCCTCAAGGAATATGTTAATACATATAGAATATATATATATAATAGATGATGTGATAAAAGTTAGGAAAGCTAGTAGTAACCTGCTGGCATGGGAAAATTTAGGAGTACTTTTCATGCCAGTTTTGGGGATATGAGTTTTCCAATTGGAGGGTTGGTAGTACAGGATAAAAGAGTGAAGAATGGACATTCCTGTGACAGCAATGTGCATAAAGGCTGTGGGGTGAGGGAAATCATGAGGCACTGGGGACCGGCAAGAGCTTCAGAATGGTTGGAGCTCTCCATTAGGCTAAGGAGCAGGGCTACCAAGGAGTCATGCATAGGACAGATTATGAGAAAGGTTGCTCTGACTGCAGTGTGGACAATGCATCATAGATGGCAAGATCAGAGAAAGGGAGACATGTTAGGAGGCTGATGCAGTTGCCTGGGAAAAGGATGCTTATAGCCTGAAATAAGGACTGCCAGGAAGAGAATTGGAGAATTTCAAAAGATAAGAGAGAGTCCAAAGAATCGGTGTAATTGGATGTGGTTTGTGGGAAAGAAAAACGTAAATAAAAATCCATGTTTTCTGGCTGAGACACAAGGTAAAATAACAGTGCCATTGAGATATTGGGCATAGATGGAGAAATAGATTTTGATGACCTGTGATGAATTCAGTTTGGAACAGTTGAGTTTAAGCTGTCTGTGGATATCTATCTGAAGATGTCCACTGGTTTTATTCACATAGGTCTGGACCTCAGGAGAGAAATCCTAGCTTGAAATATAATTGAGGGTAAGAGCATACAGATAGTCATTAGAGCTTTGAGGTTGGAAGACATCACAGAAGAGGAGAGTCTACAGGATTGAAGATGGGCCTCTGACATTTTAAAGGATTCACAAAAAGGAACCAGCAAAGAAGACTGTGATGTATCAGCCAGCGAGGTAAAAAGAAAATCATGGTATGAGAATGGAACTGCCCAAGGGGTTCTTGCTGCCTGCTGCACAAACAAAGACCACAGCATTGCAGTAAAGAAAGTTTAATTGACATGAGGCCAGCCATGTCACAGGGGAGACAGTTAATACTCAAAGCAATCCCCCTGAAGTCCTGTCGTTTTCAAAGGCAATTTGGGGAAGGGAGTGGGAGTGGTCACATAATGGGTGCTTGCTGATGACTGGTTGTGTTGGAGGTGAAGTCATAGGGAGTCAAAGCTGTTCATCTGAGCTGAATTGCTCCTGGGTGTGGCCACAAGGGAAAGGTTGGGGAGTCCACATGGAGCCATCCCCACATGGAGCCAGGTGGAGCCAGGGATGTCAGACATGCAAAAAAAAATTCCTGAAAACGTACCTCAAAAGGCCAGTCTGCAGTAGTGGTGTTATCTGCAGGAATATCTGGTGATAAGTGCACATACCTTAGCAGAATCAGGGTCCTCTCTTCCTTGTAGCCTGGTGGACTTCATTAGCTTTGCAAAGATGGTTGATGGTTGAGTTTTAGAGAAGGGCTATTATCATTTAAACCATAATCTAAATGTCTTCCAAAGTTAGCTTGGCCCAAAAGCCCAAGAATAATTAAGGGAAGGGCAAGATGGGGGTGGGTTAGATCAGATCTCTTTTACTGCCGTAATTTTCTTATTGTTAAATTTTTTGCAAAGTCTGTTTCAAGGGCAATATGGAAGTGTGGAATCTGAAACAGGTAAGGACTTCCAGAAGTTGGGATAAGTCACCAGTGTTAAATCATGATGAAGACTTGGGTAAGAGGAAGCCTGTAGAGCCATTGCATCTAGCAAGAGCAAAGTCATCCCCTGTTCTTAACAATAGTAATGTGAATGAAGTAAGGAGCGAGGAGGCCATATTTTAGTGAACTGAGTGAATAGGCTATAAGCAAGTGGAGAGAGCTGATGTATACTGCAAAGGAAAAGAGAGCACAGGGCCAAAGCTCACATGGGATGTGAGGCTCATGAAAGCCTCTGTTGTTGCAGTTGTTTCTTGAGGTGGGAGAAAGATGAACTTGGTTAAATGCTGATTAGAATGAGTTGTATGAAAGGAACAACTGTAGTTGTTGAGAAGCAAGGAGGCGCCTGATTAAACAGTGTTTCTGAGGTAGCAGCAATGGTCAGACTCCAGAACATCTGTGGAGGGAGTAGCCACACCTAAAAGGAAATGTACTTTTGAAAAGATCAGTCATGGGTTAAAGGTGGATACTTATTATGGATTGAACTGTGTCTCCCCCAAATTCATGTATTGAAATCCTAACGCCTACTGCCTCAGAGTGTGACCTTATTTGGAAATAAGGCCATTGCAGATGTAATTGTTAAGATGAGGTTATACTGAAGTAAGGTAAGTCCCTAATCCAATATGTTTGATATCCCTGTAAAAAGAAGAGGACAGGCATGGTGGCTCATGCTTGTAACCCCAGCATTTTGGGAGGCCAAGGGGGGCAGATCTCTTGAGGCCAGGAGTTCAAGACCAGCCTAGCCAACACGGCGAAGCCCCATCTCTACTAAAAATACAAGAATTAGCTGGGCATGGTGGTACATGCCTATAGTCC
The DNA here is from genome assembly GCF_000001405.40 of Homo sapiens. Taxonomy (NCBI): domain Eukaryota; kingdom Metazoa; phylum Chordata; class Mammalia; order Primates; family Hominidae; genus Homo; species Homo sapiens. Next base: position 96,896,957 of record NC_000013.11, read on the forward strand.
CAGCTACTCGGGAGGCTGAGGCAGGAGAATCACTTGAGCCCAGGAGGCAGAGGCTACAGTGAGCCGAGATCATGGCACTGTACTCCAGCCTAGGTGACAGGGTGAGACTCTGTCTCAAAATATAAGATAAGACAATATAAAGGGGGAGGCTGGTATGGTGGCTCATGCTTGTAATCCCAGTACTTTTGAACCAGGAGTTTGAGACCAGCCTGAGCAACATGGCAAAACCCCATCTCTACAACATACTATATATATATATACTCTATATATATACTCTCTATATATGCTATATATATACTATATATTAGTATACATATATACACCCTGTATGTATACATATATATAGTATACTATATATATGTGTGTATATATATGTGTGTGTGTGTGTGTGTATATATATATATGTATGTATGTATCTCCAGGTGTGGTGGTGCATGCCTGTAGTCCCAGCTACACAGAAAGCTGAGATGGGAGAATCTCTTGAGTCCTGGGGAGGTCAAGGATGCAGTGAGCCATGATTGCACCACTGTACTCCAGCCTGAACAAAGAGCAAGGCCTTGTCTCAAAAAAAATTTTTTTTTAATAGTAGTGGGTGGGAATTTGGACACTAACATGCACACATAGAGAGAAAGCCATGTGGTGAAGGCAGAGATCAGGAGATGTTACAGAAGGTGAAAAAAAAAAAAAAGCCAAAGATTGTCAGCAAACTACCTAGGAGAGACATGGGACAGATTTTCCAAGACCACCTTCAGAAGGAATCAACCTTGATTTGACACTTCTAGCCTCCAGCACTGTGAGAGAGTAAGTTACTGTTGTTTAAGCCACTCAGTTCGCACTTTGTTACGGCAGGCCTAGTAAACTAACTTGGTGCCAGTGAAATTAAGTTTGCCTGTTGAACGACAGAAAGTCAAGGGAGTACTGACCTGCTGCTTTTACTTTTATTAAGAACTTGGACCCAGTGTTATCTCTGGGGAGTCTTTGAGGAAGGTGGCTTGGGACACTTGGAGATAAATGGAGAAGACTTGAAATAACCATTCTGAACAATGGAAGATAGCAGTCTAAAAGGAGCTATAAGAATGCTGGGCAGTACTGAGGCTCCAGTTGAGTTTGGACCTCAGGGATTTACTCTGTGTGTGTGTGTGTGTGTGTGTGTGTGTGTGTGTGTGTGTGTGTGTGTGTTGGGGGGGTTTTGTTTTTTAAAGAGTTCTTCCAGTGGCACTCCATAGTCCAGTGTGATTATTTTGGGAATATATTTTCCACCACTGAAGTCAAAGACAACTATCTTTTTCTGCCTGCCTGACTTTCCCTAGACCCTAGTCCTTAGCAAAGGTACAAAGTAATAATACTATTTTATTCATAGGGAAGGCCATTACAATTATTCAGCAGGCTCTTTGCCAATGTGCCTCTCACATTCTTCCACCACCAAGAACTAATCCCTGGGGTTTAGCTTATAAAATCCATGACTAAAAAATATTTTTGTCTTTCATCATCAGCTTTCTCACAGATTTGGTGGCTCTGAGCTGTACTCTGGAGCTGAAATGTCTCCTTAAGGCATTTTTCTTCATCCTTAAGTTCAAGGATGCCTTAAGAGGCTTATTTTCTCTTATCATGAATGTGAATCAAGCCACAGCAGGGTCTGTAACTAACCAGTGCTAAGGAAATACAATAACATGGTTGATGTTGGAAAATTTTCCATTGCAAACCTCACAAGAATACATTTTTTTTTCACACATAGATCCATTTCTTAAGGTAAAATATGGCAATGGATGTGAATCACGTGAAACTAATGTGAAATACAACAGAAAAATAGGACTTTGATGTTTATGAAATTTGTATTATTCCCACTGCTAAGTAAGCCAGTTTCATTTTTAGATCCCATCCTCTGAGCAAGCAGCAAAGTTCAAAGCCTGCCAAAAAAGTGATGAATTTTTCAGATGTATTGCAGGAGAATTGTAGCTGCTAGGTAACGTTTATTAGGGAAATGGAGGAAAAGGCTGGAGCCTCGGGCACCTTCAGAAAGAAAACAACCAGGAGTAATGGTCAGAGCAAGACAAAAGCGACAGTGTCTGATGGTTTGTGCTGGCCTCAGAGGATCATGTGAATGCTGTTGACAACATTCCCGTGAGTACCCCTCCCCCCACCCCACACTGAAGAAGTCAACAACCAAAGCCCTGACAGCAGGGTCTGGCTGCCCAAGGCTCCAAGGGCTCTTTAATGGGGGAAGCTATCCAATTAGAAGGTACTTAGGGATAGATCCACATTCGAACTAACTCCAACCCCAGTGGAAGTAGGTCCAACCCTGCAGCAGGTTTACTTGCGACCTCTGTGTGTAAAATGTTTTCTTTTAGCGGGAGAGGGGAGATGGCATTCTGGATTCTCATTCTTTATCCATGACCCTGCGTGCTCATACATATACCTCAAACTCTAAGCATCCATCTTATTCACACCACTCTCTCCAAACTCTAATTTGATCATAATAATAAGGCTGCAATGTCATTTAGAGACAATTTAATCCATCCCCTCCCGTTCCACCCTCTCCCTCCATACACATAATTATCACCACTACTACCATCATTGTTTTATAGAAAACAAGATAAAAACTGAAGCCCAGGATTTAAATAACTTGACCACATGGCTTATTGCTGACAAAACTAATATTAAACCTATATATTTTGATTCTGTATTCATAGATCTTTCTATAGCACCATGCAAAATGATTCAGAGACTGGAGATCAGTGATCAGCAAGAAGGATCCACTGGAACAGGCTCAGTAAACTCTGATGTTACAGAAACAGCTCTGATCTCTATGTCACTTGTATAATGGTCTCTTCCAATCTAGGCTAAACCTTTCTATAAGCAGATATTTGAGAAGATGGATTTCATTTTATCCATACTGCATAATGTATTTGAAAATTCTTTCCTATATTGAATTTTATTTAATCCTTACTACAAACCTGTGAGAAAGAGAAGTTTGGTCTGATTTGGTGTTATTAGCTCCAATTTAGAGATGAGGAAAATGAAGTGCAGAGAAAAGTAGTAGGCCCAAGTTCACAAGGTTTATAATTATTAGGACTGAGATTGGATCCCATCATTTACTGGCTTGTAGCCCAACATTTTCCCACTACTCAACAGATATTCATTAAATTCTTACTATATATCAGGGCCAACACCAGGGGCTGAGGCATTAGGGATCTAGCTAGAATATGTCTGATTTCAAAGATTTAGGAAACCTGGCAGGAAATCAGATAAGTAAGCAAATGAATCATATTCAGGAAAAAGAGAATTATTTACTTGTGTCCACCAAATAAGTCATGTAGTTACTCTGAGCCTTTGTTTCCTCATCTGCAATAATAATTTCTTTGTAGGGTTATTTAGAATATATGCAACATAGAATATATGCAAATTATGATAAAATAATAGCCAAATTTTGAATATGTAAACATTTCATTTTCATACCTACAGTATTATAAAGAAGCTCTGAAGCTCTGAGAGCAGGAACAAGATGCTTACATTTGAGAGCAGTGAGTGAGAGAGTTCCAGGCAAAATTGCTCTGACAAAACAGAAATTTTGCTTCACTGAACTTACAAGAACCAACTTCCCACTGATTTATACAATACCCTGTTAGCCCCTGTAATCTTTAGGGGTAGGGACCAAAGCCTGTAGGGTGCCTCCATACAGTATAACAGACCTTGGAGAGATCTATTCTGACTTGAAATTTGCTCACATGCTGAATGAATAAGAATACATTGGTTACTTTCTCTGATTCTGAGCCCCGGAGGGATAGAAAAGCATAATTATCCCAATAAATAACATAGCATTATAAGTCAATAATGGGATGGCACCTTCCTGGCAGCTGGATTGTAATCATGTGAATTCAGACCTTGAATTTGCCAAGGTGCTTGTTACTGCAGGGTTACCATGGGCTTATTAAATTCTTTTGGTCTGGAACATGGCTGTCTCTGCAGCTGAGTTCATGAGGTAAACAGTTGATGTAATTGATAGTGTGAATACCACTTCATTTCCTGCTGCTCTAAGAGAATTTGCTTTGAGGTAGAAGAAAATGACCCATTCTGCTACTGTGAGTTCTGGCTAGCTTTCCTCAAGGAGCATACTTTAGGCTGAGTGTTTGCAAATTGTCTTCTTTCCTTTAAGAGAGAGGACCATGGGAGGGGCCCTATCAGTCACTCTGTTATGGAGGGGTGGGGCTTCCAAGGTCACATCTCACTTGGCTATCGACAGTTTGTCAGAGAGCTTCCCAGACCTCCCTGGAAAGCCGTGGCAATGCCAGAATAGATCAGTAGGTCGATTAGGAAGAAAAAAACATGATAAGCATTTTTACTGCTGTCAGCCCAAGACAGATTTCTGAATGTGGACAAAGGGTCGTCCTGTTTCATGGGGCTTAAAACACATTCAATTAAGGAGAAATTGAATTTCTTTTTGGGAAAAAGAAAGGAATATAAAATTCTACTGGATGGGAAGAAATACTTTAACTTGTAAATTAATTTATACATTCAAAGCAATTTCAATAAAAACCTCAGAACGGCTTGTTTAGCTTGACAAAATTATTCCACATCATGTCCAAAAATGTATAATAAAATATGCAAATTTTGAATAATTTAAATAAGACATGACTTTCACTTGCAGAAAATAAAATATACTACCAAACAACAGTTGTTAAACAATGTGTTTCTGGGACTAGAATAGAGAAACGTATCACCAGAAATGAATGATTCCAAATGAAAAGAGACCCAAATTCATAGGGGAATGCAGTGCAAATAACATTATTTGACATCAGAAATTACTATTTTGTTTTGCCTTCTTGGATATCAGGATTGGGGGGAACAGCAGCATTACTGGGATAATCATATCAATGGGTAACTAATATTTATCATAAACCATTTAACAGCACAGAATGCCTGAAGGAGACTTAGGAATTTATGTTTTTTCTTTTTAGTGGAGTGAATGTGGGCATTTTTAAGAATGATACTAAAAGCAAGTTACATAAATGGAAAGATTATTTGGTCCACAAAAATAAATGGAAATGTGAGTTTCGATTTTGAAAATAATTTAAAATTATATGTTAACCTGGGAAAAATATTTGTAACATATATTATAAAGGATTCCTAGTATGCAAAGAGCCTAACAGAACAATCAGGAAAAGATAATTTTCCTTGTTAGGAAAAGATAAACAATTCAATTTTTAAAATGGGCAAAGGAACTGAAGAGGAAGTTCACAATAAAATGCATAAAACACAAATATTCACACGAAAAATTGGTTTAACTTCACAAATAAAAAAGAAAACAATAATGACATTATTTTTGCTTATCACATTGACAAGCATAAAATATACTTTTAATAATCATTGTTGAGGAAGTAGCAGAATGCACAGCTGATAGAAGTGTAAATTGATAATGCATTTATGGGTGGCAATAAGCTGGGAATTTGAAAAATGTTTATGCTTTTTAATCCAGCAAGTTCCCTGCTTGGCATTTCTCCTGTCCAGACTATCATAGGTAATCACAAAGATTTATGTGTTAGTAATTTACGCATAATGTTCATAATTTAGAAACAATAAAAAATGTCTCTCGACATTGAACTGGTGGGGTGTACAATGTAATGCAAGGAAAACCAGGCAACTATTGTAAAGTACAGTATAGAAGTATATGCAATAATATGGAAAATATTCTTTAGTAAATTACCTGAAAAAAAGTTTACGCACCTACATGATTATAATGATTTTCTCTTGGTAGTGAGATTACTGTGATTTTTTTTCCTTTTATACTTTCTTGCACTTTCAAAAATTTCAACAGTGAACATTTAATGCATTTAAAATGTATAAGCCATGATGTACTGTTATATTTGCTTTCTAGATAACTAGTATAGAAAAATTTAAAGTGTATTACAGTCAGAGCCTGAAGTGACCATCTACCTATTCCATTACAGTGGTGGTGGTGGTTTGTGCTTGCCCCAGGTGCTTTGTGCTAGTCCCCAGGACTACAGGGTACTTCAGGTAGCGGACATTCCATTTGCGGCTACTAGGGTGGACCTATACCTATGATCTTGACCTGGATCATCAGAGCATCCCTTCTCCTAGCCAAATGATTGGGTCATAAATAGGCAAGGGACATATATGCCAGCTCATCAAGTCCCATTGGACTAATCCCAGAATTTTTCTTGGATGACCAGAAAGTCAGTGTTCTCTTTCTTATTCAACTGGACTTAGAGCTGTGAAGTGTCTTCAACTGTCACTGAAATAAATCTTTCCAAAAATGAGGCCAAGAAGGAAAGACAGAAAGCAGAGGGATGGGGAGATAATGAATCCCCATGACGTCACCTAAGTCTTTGGATCAATTCACACCTGAAACTCAATTGACTCCTCCCTGCAACAACAACGACAACAACAGAAACAAAATGAAACAAAAAACAATGTTTCAGTTAAGAGAGAAAAAGCAAAAAGCAATGCTTTTAACCACTTTAGGCTGGTTTGGGGTTGGTGTCTATTACTTGCAAATGAGAGATATAATCAACACAGAATTCAAAGAGCTTGCAACTGATCACTAAAAAATAAACCAGAAAAAATTTTAAGGATTAGGATAAGGTGTTCAAAGTGAGAACAGTTCACCTTTACCACCTACCTCTTCCAAGCTGAAACATCCAGCCAAGCTGGACCAACGTCAATAGGCTTCTCAGGCTCTACTACCTCCATTTAACTAGTTCTAGTAATATAAATAAGGGACACTCACCAAAAATTGTAAGAGACCTCCAAATCTTCCTGCAACACTGATTGAAAAGCATCCACATCATTCAGATAAATTCTGTAATGGCATGGGGCTACAGGCTTGCTGAAAATCTTTAACTAGCAATGTTTCTTGTGAAGCATACATGCAGCTTAGACCAGTGTTTCTAAACATCAATGTATTACTAAGGTTCTACCAAGAAAGCAAAACCGCTATGAGTAATATGGAGTAAGGGGGTTTATTAGAGGCATTGGATCCCTTAGAACAAAGGAATGAGCTGGGAAGTAGAGTTGGAGAATTAGAGAAAAGTCACTAACGAACCTCCCTTTCCTGAAGCTTTGACATGCAATGTCCATTGGTGAGGACCAGCTGGAGCTTCCAGGGAAATCTTAGAAGCCAGTGGGAATGAGAAGGGGTGACAGTGAAGTCTACGGAAGGCTACTGCTTCTGTGTCTGGATGTGGGCTGAGAGTTCCTGTGATGGAAAGGATGACACTTTTGTCTTTCCTGTGAAAGAAGAGCTGGATGTAGAATGGGAGAGAACTAAGAAAGACTGGAACTCAGGGGACTATATTTATATGTCTCATGGCAGCCATGGAGACCGTTGGAGAGCAAAGGGTGCTGTTTCACTTCTGCCTTGTAAATCTCATGGAGGTTTCTCCTTTGGCCAATTCTAATTTGAGGCCTTACAGCAAGGAGACCCTGGGAAATGTAGTTCCAGCTTGCCAAGGTGACACTTATAAAACCAGCATGGACTTGGATACAATCCACCTGGAGATATATTCAAATGCAGATTCTGATTCAGTAGCTCTGCAGGGAAGAGGGGGACAGGGAAGGCTGAAATTCGGCACTTTGAGTAACTTGGTCCCTTTGATGAAAGGAAAAATAAAAGCACATTAATGAGCATCAGAACAAGTGAGGAAGCTATTGCCAGCTTCATTTTATTCTATTTTAGAAATAATAAATACCACTTAAGCATCCCTCATGAGAAAGTAGAAAATTGGCTCATTTGTGATGAACAAAGGGCAATTTAAAAAATTCTTAATATTTTGCTTAGTACTACGTTAAAAGAGACTATGGCAACCACTCCTCTCTACTTGAGACTGAATATTTGGACTTATCTTTGATCCAAAGACCCTTCACCACCTGGCATTACATCAGTTTTTTTGTAGGGTGCTTGTTTCCATCTTTTCTCCCTTGGTCGAAAGCAGCAAGACCAAATGCAGAAAACTACTGTTAGCAGTGAAAAGGGATTTTTTTGAGTATGCATTTCATCAACTTGCTTCTTTGTGAGAAGCTGCCCTAGATTTTGATTTGTGGAGTTCATGACCAAGTGATAAATTAGGGCACAGAGATCACATTATATAAGAGATGAGTTATCTGAGTAATAAGCACGTGTAAATAGCATTTACATATTTAATGATCATTTTATTCTATGGCAATTTTGCATTAAATATTCAGAAATAATGTTCTCTTTACTCATGTAAAAGCCTTTTCTCAAGTGCATTATTATTACTCTGGGAAAAGAAACTCTATTATGCCATTATGTGGCATGTGATGGCATTTAAGCCTCATTTCTATGTCAGTCACCTGGAAGTCCTCCTCTCTGCCAGCCTTATGGGGTCACCTTTCACTGCAATAGTGAGGTGAAATGGCTGGAGCTCCACTCTCATGTGACGAGGAAACCCCATTCCCAGTTTCTCCATCCTCCACCTGCCATTGCACCAAAGACTTTCAAGGGCTTTTGATTTTTCTCATCTCTTTTTGTTCCCTTGTTATATTTCAGTGTTATTCTTATTTTCCCCTGAAGCTCACATTTTGTGACTATTCCTTTCACTTCACCCCATTACCAACCTACAGAATACTGACTCTTTTTGGTTTTGTTTTGCCTTGTCTTCAAAACCCAATTCATGAAAGCCACTTGTGGTTAGTAGAAAGATTTCTACTAACTAACTTGGTGTACAAGTGAGGCTAGAGATAACAGCACAGCTAAGCACAGCAGATAACTTTAAATAGAGCATTGGACCACCATGCTCTACAGTGAGTTTCTGCTTCACAGGTTTCTCTCCCCAAGGCCCAACACCCTCACCGTGGTCTCAGCCTTTCCTGTAGTGTCTGCTTTTACCTCCACTATCCAGCAGAGCATGTCATCCATCACGATGATTTCCTGAAACTCTACAGTGTCTTCCACTTTACCAGGCAGAGTGGCGTGGCTGTCTCTCGTGAACCCTGCTTAACTAGGCCATGCCTGAGTGCTTCCTAACTCTGGCCCGAATGACCCATCAAGACGTCTTGCTACACATACACAAATGTTCCTCATCTCAGTAGGAAGGACTCTTACTACAACTGATACGTCATCAATGCAGTCAATCCTTGAGCAACACAAGCTTGTACAGGTCCACTTATATGTGGGTTTTCTTCTGTTTCTGCCACTCCTGAGACAGCAAGACCATCCTTCCTCTTCCTCCTTCTCCTCAGCCTCCTCAATGCGAAGACAAGGATGAAGACCTTTGTGATGATCCACTTCTTCTTAAGCAATAGTAAATATATTTTCCTCTCCTGGTTATTTTCTTAATTTTATATTTTCTTTTCTCTAGCATAGTTTACTATAGGAATAAAGTATATACTACATAGCACATATAAAATATATGTTAACCAACTGTTTATGTGATGAGGAAACCTTTTGGTCAATAGTAGGTTATTAGTAGTTAAATTCGGGGAGAGTCAAACGTTATAGTTTTTTGTACCGTGTAGGGGTTGGTGCCACTGATCTCTGCATTATTCAAGGATAAACTGCAATTGTTTTGTTTGTTTCTCTATTACATTCTTCTCTCAACAAAACCTTTTTTTTCCTCTCTCTCTCTTTTTTTTAGAGACAGAGTCTCGCTCTGTCATCCAGTCTGGAGTACAGTGGTGTGATCTTGGCTCACTGCAAACTCCGCCTCCCAGGTTCAAGTGATTCTCCTGCCTCAGCCTCACAAGTAACTGGGATTACAGGCATGCACCATGATGCCCGGCAACTTTTCATATTTTTAGTAGAGACGGGGTTTCACCATGTTGGCCAGGCTGGTCTCCAACTCCTGACCTCAGGTGATCCAACTGCTTTGGTCTCCAAGAGTGCTGGGGTTACAGGTGTGAGCCACCACACCCGCCCTCTCATCAAAACGTTTGCATCCCCTGCAAGGGCATCTCTCCCTTAAATTTGTACCCCAAGAGATGCGTGGGAGTTCAGGAAAGACAGAAACACATCATTTTCTGAGAAAGCCTGAATTATTCAAGTTGATCCCCAAAAGAAGATGGTTTACAACAATGCACCTGCATCATTTATATGTTTTACATCGTGAGCAGTGCATTTAAGCTTCACTATGAAGTGAGCTTCTCACACTCCCCATGCAAGATCTCTACTATTACAGCTCTTATTTTCTTCTTCTTTCTTAGGGAACCTCATTTCACAGAGTGGAGTTACTAGCAGGCTTTCTGAGAGGGAAGCATAGGTGTTCAGCATCCCCTTAGTGGCAGGGCTCACAGACAAGAGCACTCCTCATTCTGAGGCTGGCAGACTCTTTCTCTATAGGAAGTTTTCCCACCAACACCCCTATTCAGAGCAGGGCAATGCTCCTTCTATATTGGGCACTCTGTGCAGCCGGCATTCCTCATCAGAGCTCTGCTTGCCCTTTCCATACCTGGAGCCCTTACCAGCAGGCTCTGGGACAATGCTGAGTTCCCAAAACCTGGGTGGCTTGGTTTCCATTCTTCTGTACCATTTTCTTTTCCCAAACAGACTCTGGGTTCTTAAGTACAAGACGAATGAGCAGCAGCTCTTCTGTTCATGGCCATTTGCCTTAGAGTTGCAGCAGAGTGGACGGCACCGGAGTGGAGGTCAAGATTGGCATAACGTCTTGGTGTCAGGGACACAATCTCATTGCTGAATCTGACCTGCAGCGACTTCCACTTCCTGTGTCTGCTTTGGACTTTCAGTGCTGACCTTGCTGTTATAGATTTTTCCTAAGGACAGCCAATTCTGCTCTCAAATGTCTTTATCCTAATTTAGCTTACCTGGAAAGAATACTTCAAGAATTCCTATAAATCCCTTGTGCTATTCCAGTTCATTTTATTCCAAAGGGTTCCCAATAAAATAGTCTCAGAAATACTTTGTTCTGCCATATATTTGACAGCCCCTCTATACATTCCTTTGCAGTAATCACTCTAATATGTGTATCCCTCAGTGGTTTTTCTCCTTACATTTGGTCAGAGTAAAAATTTGTACCTATAAATGCTGACTATATTTCATCCTAACAAACATTTGTGGGCTGTAAGTCAGAAAACTCATGGCACTGAGGCATTTGAAGTTCTATGCCCAAGATCTCAGGATAGAGGCTCCTAGCTTTTCTATCTCAGAGATGTGCCAATGTTGTCACAGATGCTTGGTGTATTTCTTTCCATGTTTCAACAACTTCTTCTCCAATTTCTGCCACTCTTAAGACAATCCCCAGCTTGGGGTTGTATGCAGTCTATATTAACTAGACTAGACCACTAGGGATCCAGTCTGAAATCTTCTATTTTCAGAAAATAATCGTTTTTCTTCTGTAAGAAATTCTGTGTCTATAGATGTTGACATGAAGGGATTTGCTCGTTAGCTTTCTTCCTTGCAATTTAATTGGGCTGTGTGTGTTCTCAACAGAACATTCTCTGCAAAGTTGGAAGACCAATTTCAGAGAAGTTTTCAAGTGTCCATGTCAGGGTTGAGACTAAGGTGAGACAATGAGGTCCTTGCTCAGGAGCGAAATAGAAGAGAACACTGAACATTACACTAATCAAGATAAATGGTGTGTTTGATAAACACTATTTAATGCAATACATGAAACAATCCAAATTAATGCAGAAATCCATGGTGAACATAATACCAAAGTTTTACATAAAGGCAGCATCAATATTACTGGTGTTTCTTTGGGCCTTAGGCCAAGTATGGCTTGACACATCACTGGGACGGATCCTGACTTTATTTAAAATGTTAATATTTTGTTGAAGTTGAATTTTTTGCTTTGATTTGATTTTTCAAATACTGCATTAAATATTTATCTTGTTTTGGCAGCCAAGGTAAGTATGACACTCACCTAGCCCCACTCTCAGCTCTGATTGATTTTCCTTTTAGGTGATAACTCGGGGGCCAGCACAGCTCAGGCCCTGGCTAGTTGAGCTGCAGGACATTATGGGGGAGTACTGAGACCTTAAGGTTTGAGAATAATGGCAAGGCATTGTAAAACAATGAAGCAAAACAGAAGAGTTAACGTTGGACATTGTGGTTTGCATGAGATTTCTCTCTCTTCATGGTCCTCCACATATTGCTAAACTTTTGTATTCTTCTTCCCTATCATGGATACTTTGGTAGCTATCTTTCCATGACCAAAATAGAAAATTAATGAATTTATTTAACCAAAATGTGCTATTTCCCACGAAGGAATTAGAAAACCAGTTTTTAAGCAAATATATTTCTTGCTATGGCACTTTTTTTTTTTTTTTTTTTTTTTTTTGAGATGGAGTCTTGCTCTATCACCCAGGCTGGAGTGCAGTGGCATGATCTCAGCTCACTACAACCTCCACCTCCCGGGTTCAAGTGATTCTCCTGCCTCAGCCTCCCGAATAGCTGGGACTACAGGTGCCCACCACCATGCCTGGCTAATTTTTGTATTTTTAGTAGAGACGGAGTTTCACCATGTTGGCCAGTCTGGTCTCGAACTGCTGACCTTGTGATCCTCCTGGCTATGGCACATTTTTTCGCAAAAGTTTGTGCCCATCCACTAGTGGCAGGCACTGGTAATACAAAGATAAATAAAACTTGCTTCTGGCCTGGAGGCAGTGATACTGTCTCCATGGTCCTCAATCAGGCTGTGCCAAAATCTGTCCCCTAGACTGAATGTAGCTGAGTGTCTGAAGGTCGTGCCTGGCGTCTATGTTGTAGTCGGGTTCCCAGTTGATTCTGACTCACAGCAAGAACTGAACATTGCTGTGTTAGCTGATGAGCAAACACAAATAATTGTCAAAGAAGACAATGTGTTCTGACAAAAAGCCAAGTGGAATAGAAACAAAGTGGAAGTGAGGATTAGTTCTGCCTGGGGTTGGGAAGGTGTTTACAGAGGATGCAACACTTGAGTGAGACCTTGAAAGATGAAAAGATATTGCTAAGCCACCCATTACACTCTGGACACTAAAGAAGTTTTTGTTTAGTTTTGATGGAGCAAGGTGACTGCATGAGTTGGGACCTGAAATTACCTACAACTTGCTCAGCAGAACTCTGGGCATGCCGAATGCCTGTGTGTGTGTATATATGTGTGTAGTGTGTGTGTGTATTGGAGGGAGATGCTGAGATGTGATTCTGTGGTCTGCTGTGTCTTTAAAAGGCTGCATATTTATTTCCCTTTTGGGAGATACATGTTCTATATTAACATATTGAAGGCTCTAAGACAAGGGTCCCCAACCCCTGGGCTGTGGACCAGCCCTGATCCATGGCCTGTTAGGAACTGGACCACACAACAGGAGGTGAGCGATGGGCAAGCAAGCTTTACCACCTGAGGTCTGCATCCAGTCAGATCAGCAGCTATATTAGGTTTTCATAGGAGCACAAAACCTATTGTGAACTGCATATGCAAGGGACCTAGGTTGCACGCTCCATGTAAGACTAATGCCTGATGATCTGAGGTGGAACAGTTTCATCCCAAAACCATCCCCCTGGATCCCCTCACCGGGCTGTGGAAAAATTGTCTTCCACAAAAGGGAATCCACCAATGGTCCCTGGTGCCATAAAGATTGGGGACCATTCCTCTAAGGAACCATATAGTGACAACTTTGACATCAAATGTATATAACATTCATTTCATCAAAATCTCTTTTTGTTTTGCTTTCTTTTGTTTTCGCTGAATGCCTTAACATTTTAGAACTAACTAGTGTCCTATGAAACACACTTAGAAAATATTGGCAGAGACCAGAACTTCCCAATTGCTTCTCTGCAGAACAGCTGTTTCAAAATTAGACTACACGGTAACCACAAAAGGAAAAATAGAAACAAGAACGATCATCTAAACTTCCATCAGCAACTGCTGACAGTTTTGTTTTGCTTTCCATTCCTTTCTTTTCCTGGTTCTTATAAACAACTTTAAAATTTGTAATCAAAACATAGGTGATAGTTTATGTTCTTGTTTTCTCACTATTATTTAACTGTAAATCTCTTTTCTTATTATTCCATGGTTTTAATAATAATAATTTTTACTAATCCATCAAGAAAATATCATCATTTATATACCGTCCCTCTTTGTGTGACTCTAAGGTCAATCCCAATGGTTCTGCAATTATAAATTCTTTTGCATCCAAAAAACAGGTAAAATCATATCTTCTCTTTAGAGTTATTTCCTCAGAATAAATTCCCAAATGTATGATAACCCAGTTATGGGATCCGAACAGTATTATGCTGATGGAAATATTTGGTCTTGATGGAATTAGTACATTCGTATCTCTGGAGTGAAGTTAAGAAATGGATGAGATTCTCAAAAGCTGTCAAGCCATCTCTTACATGATTTACCTGTTAAAATCAGATTTCCCAGTGGACAGATGCAAAATACAGAAACAGTCCTCATACTCAGAGAGAACAGAGTCTTTCCAATACCATTTATTTAACTGTTGAGTTTATAGAGATAGAGAAGCTGTATATTTGAATCTCCATAATTCTTAAACACCCTGCCAACCTCTGTCCTTGCTTTCTCCTGGTGTCCCTAACCCCAGGAGCCATTTATTTCTGGCATTGAGGTACTTAGATGTTACTACCCACTCTCCACCTCTGGAACTGGAGATAAATGCCAATTTAGGATATATCTTTTAAATAGAGGACTGCCTGTGGTTGAAAAGCTTTAGCATCTCATCTCTGTAGCTGTAGAATTTCAGATCTTAATATCCAAAAGAAGAACAAAAACCAGGAAAAAAATTGTATTTTCTTGTTAAAATTCAATCTGAACAGAGTACGGGTACATGAATATGAGTACAATTACACTTTAAGTTTGAGTTGTCAATGAGAAAGTTTGCAAAAGCAATGATAATTCCAAGGGGCCTTTCTGACCCTCTGGAGCAGATCAAAGTAAAAGCACCCTATCTTATAATTCTGGAACTGAGCAGAAGGATCAACAAACAGTCTACACTGCCCTCACTCTGGAATGCTGATTTTCTGAATAAAAGTATCGAAGGAGCTACAAGCTCAGAGCTCAGGCTTTGCCCGCTGGCTTGGTGACAGTGATTTTGTACTCCTTCCATGTAAGGACTTGGTGATAATGTGGTTCTTTCCTCAAGCTTCTGGTTCAATCAGAATTTTAGAAGCAAGATAAACCTTGAACATGGGCCACTAGAGCCACAGGAGTATCTCAACACATATGGCCACAGAGGGGTTACTGAAGTAGAAGAGTATTGATCATGTTTATTCCAGTTTTAAAACACCTTTATAGTCTTACGGGTTTTTGTCCTGGTGTGTTTGTTGTTTATCCTTCTATCCTATCTTTTAACTGAAATGATGCTACTAAGAAGAAAAAAAATGCATGAACTAAGGTAGAAAGTGAGGAATAAACTTTAAAGGCAGTATTTTGAGGAGAATAAACTTTAAAAAATTATTGAATAGATGCTATTTGCAAAACACTGAATAGAACAATAACAATAAAACAAAGCTGGAAAAATGGAAGAAGAAATACAAACAAATTATATAGTCAAGTTATAACATACAACATCTAACTAAAAAAGCATTTTAAAAATGAAAAGCGTTACATTTACTTTCCCACTTGCAGTGGGAATGTAAATTAGCACAGTTACCATAGAGAACAGTGTGGATGTTCCTCAGAAAAACTAAAAATACCAAATGATCCAATAATTCCCTGTCTAAGTACTATCAAAAAGAAAGGAAATCAGCATACCAAAGAGGTACCTGCATTCTCATGTTTATTGTAGCACTATTCACAACAGTCAAGATATGGAATCAATCTAAGTGCCTATTATTGGAAAAATGGATAATGAAAATGTGGTACGTATTTACAATGGAGTACTATTTAGCCATAAAAAAGAATGAAATCCAGTCATTTGCAGCAATATGGAAGGAACTGGAGGACATTATGTTAAGAAAAATAAGACAGACAGAGAAAGACAAATGTCACATGTTCTCAGTCATATGTGGGACCAGAAAAGTGGATCTCATAAAGTAGATTGTTGGGATACGTTCCCACCAACAGTGAATGAGGGTTCGTTCCTCTTTCTCCACATCCTCGCCAGATTGCCTATCTTTTTGATAAAAAGCCATTTTAACTAGTGTGATGATTAGTGATGTTGAATATTTTTCATATGCCTGTCAGTCATTTGTATGTCTTCTTCTGAGAAATGTCTAGTCAGATCTTTTGCCCATTTTTTAGTAAAATTATTTTTTTGCTATTGTTTGAGTGTCAGATGGATAGTTAGCAAATATTTTCTCCCATTAGGTGGATTGTCTCTTCACTTGGTTGATTGTTTCCTCTGCTGTATAGAAGCTTTTTAGCTTGATATAATCTCATTTGTCTATTTTTGCTTTTTTTGCCTGCCCTTTTGAGGTCATACACAAAAATTCTTTGCCCAGGCCAACATTCTGAAGCATTTCCCCAATGTTTTATTCTAGTAGTTTCACAGTTTCAGGTCTTAGATTTAAATCTTTAATCTATGTTGATTTTATTTGTGTATATGGTGAGAGGGGGTCTAGTTTCATTCCTCTGAATATGGTTATCCAGTTTATCCAGAACCATTTATTGAAAGGACTGTCCTTTTCCTGTTATACATTCTTGTCAAAAATGGGTTGGGCTAAAAATACATGGATTTATATCTAGGTTCTCTATTCTATTCCGTTGACCTATGTATTTGTTTTTATGCCAGTACCACACTGATTTGTTTACTATTGCTTTGTAGTATATTTTGAAGTCAGGCTGTGTGGTGCCTCTAGCTTTGAAGTCGTTCATATTTCCATATAAATTTTAGGATTGTTTTTTCTATATCTGTGAAGAATGACAGTGGTATTTTGGTAGAGGTTGCATTGAATCTTTAGATTGCTTTGGGTAGTATTGTAATTTTAACAATATTAACTCTTCCAATTTATAAGTATAAAATATCTTTCCATGTTTTTATGTCCTCTTCAATTTCTTTCATCAGTGTTTTATACTTTTATGCTTTTCCTTATACAGATCTTTCACATCTTTGGTTACATTGATTCCTAAGTACTTTATATTCTTTGTAACTATTGTTAATGGGATTGCTTTCTTGATTTCTTTTTCAGGTTGTTTTCTGTTGGTGTATGTAAATGCTACTGATTTTTGCATATTGATTTTGTATTGTGCAACTTCACTGATTTTTTTTTATTAGTTCTAATGATAGTTGGGTGGAGTCTTTAGGTTTTTCTAGGTATAAGATCATGTCATCTGCGAACAAGGCTAATTTGTCTTATTTTCCAATTTGGATGCCCTTTATTTTTTTCTCTTGCATAATTGCTCTGAGCAGAGGACATCTGGTGTTCTGCTGAATAAAAGTGGTGGAGGTGGGCAAAGAGGAAAGGTTTTCATTTGCTCTTCATTCAGCATAATGTTGGCTGTGGGTTTGTCATATAGGTCTTTATTATTATTACTGTTATTATTATTTTTCTCATCCAGGTTCTAGAATGAATATATAGGCTTTTATTATTTTGAGATATGTTTCTTCTATACCCAGTTTGTTGAGGGTCTTAGTCATGAAGGGATGCTGAATTTAATCAAATGCTTTTTCAGCATCTGTTAAAATAATCATAGGTGTTTTTTTCTTGGTTCTGTTAATGTGATGTATCATGTTTATTGATTTGCATATGTTGAACCAGCCTTGCACCCCTGGAATGAATCCCACCTGAGCCTGATGAATGATCTTATTAATGTGTTGTCAAATTCAATGTGCTAGTATTTTGCCGATAGTTTTTGCGTCTATATTCATCAGTGATTTGGCCTGTGGTTTCTTTTTTGTTGTGTTCTTGCCTGGTTTTGGTATTAGGGTAATGCTGGCTTCATAGAATGAGTTTGGAAGTATTCCATTCTCTTCAATCTTTTTTGAAGAGTTTGAGTTGAATTGGCATTAGTTCTTTTTGAAATGTGAAGTGAAGTCATCAGGTCCCAGGTTTTTCTTTGATGGGAGACTTTATTATAGCTTTGATCTCATTACTCATTATTGATTTGTTGAAGCTTTCTACTTCTTCATAGTTCAACTTTGGTAGGTTTTATGTGTCCAAGAATTTTTGCATTTCTTCTAGGTTTTCCAGTTTGTTGGTGTATAGTTGTTCATAATAGTCTCTAACGATTCTTTGTATTTTTGTGGTCTCAGTTATAGATTTCTGTTATGTCTCCTTTTTTGTTTCTGATTTTGTTTATTTGGGTCTTCTCTCTTTTTTTTCTTAGTCTAGCTAAAGATTTGTCAATTTTGCTTATCTTTTCATAAAAGCAATGTTTTTTTATGTTGATCTGTATTGGGTCTTTTCAGTCTCAATTTCATTTATTTCTGCTATTATTTTTATGACTTCTTTCCTTCTACTAATTTTGAGTTTGGTTTATTCTTGCTTTTCTAATTCTTTGAGGTACATCATTAGGTTGTTCATGTGAAGTATTTCTACTTTTTTGATGTAGGCATTTATGGCATAAACACAACCTGTACTACAGCTTTTGCTGTATTTGGAATCATGTATTTCCCTTTTAATTTGTTTCAAGAGATTTTTAATTTTTTTTCTTAATTTCTTCATGGACCCATTGGTCACTCAAGACTGCATTGTTTAATTTCCATGTGTTTGTGAAGTTTCTGAGGTTTCTCTTGTTATTGATTTCTAGTTTTATTATATTGTGGTCAGAAAAGATACTTGATATGATTTCTACATTTAACAATGTGTTCAGACTTGTTTTGTGGGCTAAAATATAATTTATTCTGAAGAATGTTCCATGTGCTGATAAAAAGAAAGTATATTCTACAGCATTTGGGTGAAATTTTCTGTAAATGTCAGTTAGGCCTATTAGGTATAATGTGTAGTTTAACTTCAATGTTTCTTTGTTGATTTTCTATCTAGATGATCTGTTCTTTACTGAGAGTGGAATGTTAAAGTCCCCTACTGTTATTGCATTGCAGTCTATCTCTCCCTTTAGATCTATTAATGTTCACCTTATATACTTCTGTACTCTAGTATTGGGTACATAGGAATTTATAATTATTATATCTTCTTGCTAAACTGACCCCTTTATCATTATATAGTGACCTTCTTAAATCTTTGACTTGTAGGGTACTTTATCTGATATAAGTATAGCTTCTCCTGATCTTTTTTTGTTTTCACTTGTATAGAATATCTTTTTCAACTTCTTTACTTTCAATCTACATATGTCTTTATAGGTGAAGTTGGTTTCTTGTAGGCAGCATACAGTTTGGTCTTTTTTCTTTGTCTATTCAGCCACTGTATGTATTTTCATTGGAGAATTCAGTCCATTTATATTTAATGTTATTATCGATAAGTAAGAACTGAATACTACCATTTTGTTGTTTGTTTTCTGTTTGTTTTACAACTCCTTTATTCTTACTTACTGCCTTCATTTATGGTTAAGTGAAGACAGTGGTATGTTTTCTCTGGTAGTATGTTTTAATTTGTTGCTAATTATTTTGAGTGTATCTATTACAGATTTTTGCATTGAGGTTAACATGAGGATTACAGAAAAAATCTTATAGATATAATAAGTAATTTTGAAGAGATGACAACTTATTTTAGATCACACAAAAAAGAATAGAAACAAGCAAATAAAGAAAAAAATAAAAAAGACACCCTATGCTTTAACTCCATCCCCCATCCAATTTTTACTTTTATTTTTAATTTTTTCACTCTGATTTGGTATCTCCTCTGGCTAAGTTGCAGAACAGAGTTTCCAGGGCTGGGGATGGTAATCCCACCTCCCATCATTGTCTTTGGTTGTCATCAAAAATATTTCTTCCCTCAGGCATTGATGATGTCTCCTTTGGGTTAAAGCAGGGACAGGATCTCCTGCCAGGGAACCCAAGATCTTGGGGAAGCTGATGTCCACCTTGATTTCACTTTTTCCAGTGTAGAAACCCATGAGTTCGGGGATATTTTCCATGTGTTTAGTGCCAAACAGATTGTGGGGAGGGGTGCTGCAGATAGTGAAGTCTGATTTTTTGCTGCCTACTCAGAGTTTCTTTACATCTCTGTGGCCCTGGTAGTTGTTTCATCCTCATATTTGAGTTCTGGGATATCTCAGTGCTGTATATTTGTTTTCTATTTTCTGTGGAGGAGAGTGAGGCCAGCTTGTTTGTATGCCACCAGTTTGGAACCAGAAACTGAATAATAATGTATTGCATATTTCAAAATGTCTAAAAACTTAGAATTTACATATTCTCACCACAAAAATATTAATAAGTATGTAAGGTGATGAATATATTAATTAGCTTGATTTGGCCATTCCACAATGTATATAAACATCACATATCAAAATATCACATTGCATCCCCAAAATATATACAATTATTATTTGTCAATGAAAAACAAAATTTAAAAAAATCTATGTACATGGAGGCAAAAAATAAATAAATTCCACTCTCCCCCAGTAATACTGTATTGAAAAGGAGAATTGCCCCTCTAAGTGCATTTCCAGTTAGGTGAATTTCAGGCTGGGGGGTTAGTCTATCAAGATGAAAAGGCTTTCCTGGTGACTTGCCAAACAAATGAGGATAATTATTTACTACTGTCCTCTGAGGACTCTACAAATGAGAGCCATTGAACTTGAGAACTAGAAGGAATCTTTGAGGTTTTGTTATTCATCTTCTTTATTTTATAGCTGAGAATAATGAAGACCAAGAGGAAAACCCAATCACAGATAACTGTTTGGTGGCAGAAGCAAGGAAAAAATCTGTTTCTCTAACTCCCTCTAATGCTCTCTTTCAATGCCATCTCCACTTCAAGACCTCAAAGTTTTTTCTTACTGTAGTCTGATATCCCTTGCCTTCCCCTGTATCCTCAGAAAAATATTGACATAGAACCTTATATTTGGAAAAGTATTTACATATCACAAAATGTAATTCTTCTTCTAGAAAATGATTTCAAATTACATCCTGAAAAGGTGAAAAGATGGTCGTGTATAACTCTTTGTGTTTTGTTGGTTTGGTAAAGAACAGTAGCTACCAAACATGATTCCAGTAGATAAGGGATGGCTACTAATCCACAGTCCCACTACCAGATTATAAAGAGAGTATGTTATACATGCTGAATCTCCATGCAATACATTTATTAAATAACATTAAGCCAGGAGGCAAAAATGATTTGCATAAAATGTTCTGTAAGTTTAATGAAGTTCCAGCTCTCAGTCCTTTTAAGTGTTCTTGCCTTAATTTGCATGAAACGTTCTCTTGAACCCAACACAACATTTCAGAGACAATATTTTGACTCTATAGTCAGCATCAGATAATCAGAAATCGTTCTAGCTAATTGCTGGACAAAGGGCTGTTTAGGGATCTCAGGTGCCAGTCCTGAATGTGCAGTGTATAGGCCTTACTGGGCTTTTAAACTCTGATCATTGCAAGATGTGAGGGGCGCAGAATGGGGAAACTGTCTCTAAAATATTTCAGCTCATCTACATATCTTGAAAACCTTGAATTTTGATTCCAGGGAAAGATGGATGAATAGGAACAGCTTCAGTCTGCAGCTCCCAGCAAGACCAATGCAGAAGGTGGGTGATTTCTGCATTTCCAACTGAGGTCAATGGCTCATCTCATTGGGACTGGTTAGACAGTAGGTGCAGTCCACAGAGGGTGAGCAGAAGCAGAGTGGGGTGTTGCCTCATCTGGGAAGTGCAAGGGGTTGGGGAACTCCCCTAGCCAAGGGAAGCCCTGAGGGACAGTGCAGTGAGAGACAGAGCTGTCTGGCCCAGATACTACACTTTTCCCACTGTCTTCACAACCTGCAGGCCAGGAGATTTCCTCGGGTGCCTACACCACCAGAGTCCTGGGTTTTAAGCACAAAACTGGGAGGCCGTTTGGGCAGACAACAAGATAGCTGCGGGAGTTTTTTTGATTTGTTTTGTTTTTTTGTTTTTTTGTACCACAGTGGTGCCTGGAAAACCAGTGAGACAGAACCGTTCACTCCACTGGAAAGGGGACTTAAGCCAGGGAGCCGAGTGGTCTTGCTCAGTGGATCCCACCCCCACAGAGCCCAGCAAGCTAAGATCCACTGGCTTCAAATTCTCGCTGCCAGCATAGCAGTCTGAAGTCCACCTGGGACACTCAAGCTTGGTGGGGGGAGGGGCGTCTGCCATTACTGAGGCTTGAGTAGGCAGTTTTGCCCTCACAGTGTAAACAAAGCCAACTGGAAGTTTGGACTGGGTGGATCCCACCAAAGTGCCACAAAGCCGCTGTAGCCGGACTGCCTCTCTAGATTCCTCCTCTCTGGGCAAGGCATCTCTGAAAGAAAGGCAGCAGCCCTAGTCAGGGGCTTATAGATAAAAGTCCCATCTCCCTGGGACAGAGCACCTGGGGGAAGGGGCAGCTGTGGGCGCAGCTTCAGCAGACATAAACGTTCCTGCCCACGGACTCTGAAGAGAGCAGCAGATCTCCCAGCACAGTGCTCAAGCTCTACTAAGGGACAGACTGCCTCCTGAAGTGGGTCCCTCACCCCTGTGCCTCCGGACAGGGAGATGCCTCCCAGCAGGGGTCGACAAACACTTCATACAGGAGAGCTCCCTCCAGCACCTGGCAGGTGCCCCTCTGGGATGAAGCTTCAAGAGGAAGGGGCAAGCAACAATCTTTGCTGTTCTGCAGCCTCTGCTGGTGATACCCACGTAAACAGGGTCTGGAGAGGACCTCCAGCAAACTCCAGCAGACCTACAGAAGAGGGGCCTGACTGTTAGAAGGAAAACTAACAAACAGAAAGCAATAGCATCAACATCAACAAAAAGGATGACCACTCAAAAACTCCATTCCAAGGTCACCAACATCAAAGACCAAAAGTAAACAAATGCACGAAAATGAGGAAAAACCAGCACAAAAAAAGCTGAAAATTCCAAAAACCAGAATTCCTCTTCTCCACCAAAGGATCACAACTCTTCACCAGCAAGGGAACAAAACTGGACAGAGAATGAATTTGATGAATTAACAGAAGTAGGCTTCAGAAGGTGGGTAATAACAAACTCCTCCAAGCTAAAGGAGCATGTTCTAGTCCAATGCAAGGAAGCTAAGAACCTTGATAAAGGGTTACAGGAACTGCTAACTAGAATAACCAGTTTAGAGAATAACATAAATGACCTGATGGACCTGAAAAACACAGCAAGAGAACTTTGTGAAGCATACACAAGTATCAATAGCCGAATCGATCAAGTGGAAGAAAGGATATCAGAGATTGAAGATGGACTTAATGAAATAAAGCATGAAGACAAGATTAGAGAAAAAAGAATGAGAAGGAACAAACAAAGCCTCCAAAAAATACAGGACTATGTGAAAAGACCAAACCTACATTTGATTGGTTTACTTGAAAGTGACAGGGAGAACTGAACCACGTTGGAAAACACACTTCAGGATATTATCCAGGTAAACTTCCCCAACCTAGCAAGACATGCCAACATTCAAATTCAGGAAATACAGAGAACACCACAAAGATACTCCATGAGAAGAGCAACCCCAAGACACTTAAATATCATATTCGTGAAGGTTGAAATGAAGGAAAAATGTTAAGGGCAGTCAGAAAGGTTAGGTTACCCACAAAAAGAAGCCCTTCAGACTAACAGTGGATTTCTCTGCAGAAACCCTACAAACCAGAAGAGAGTGGGGACCAACATTCGACATTCTTAAAGAAAATAATTTTCAACCCAGAATTTCATATCCAGCCAAACTAAGTTTAATAAGTGAAGGAGAAATAAAATCTTTTCAGACAAGCAAATGCTGAGGGATTTTATCACCACCAGGCTTGCCCTACTGCAGCTCCTGAAGGAAGCATCAAATATGGAAAGGAAAAACTGATACCATCCAATTTGTGTGTTTTTGGTACTGCAAAAACATATCAAGATGTCAAGGCCATCGATGCTATGAAGAAACTGCATCAACTAATGGGCAAAATAACCAGCTAGCATCATGACAGGATCAAATTCACACATAATAAGATTAACCTTAAATGTAAATGGGCTAAATGCCTCAATTAAAAGACACAGACTGGCAAATTGGATAAAGAGTCAAGACCCATCAGTGTACTGTACTCAGGAGACCCATCTCACATGCAAAGACACATATAGGCTCAAAATAAAGGGATGGAGGTAGATTTACCAAGCAAGTGGAAAGCAAGAAAAAGCAGGGGTTGCAATCCTAGTCTCTGATAAAACAGACTTTAAAACAACAAAAATCAAAAAAGACAAAGAAGGGCATTACAGAATGTAAAGGGATTACTGCAACAAGAAGAGCTAACTATCCTAAATATATATGCACCCAATACAGGAGCACCCAGATTCACAAAGCAAGTTTTTGGAGACCTACAAAGAGACTTAGACTTCCACACAATAATAGTGGGAGACTTTAACACCCCACTGTCAATATTAGACAGATCAACGAGACAGAAAATTAACAAGAATAATCAGGACTTGAACTCAGCTCTGGACCAAATGGACCTAATAGACATCTACAGAACTCTCCACCCCAAATCAGCAGAATATACATTCTTCTCAGCACCACATCAAACTTATTCTAAAACTGACCACATAATTGGATGTAAAACACTCCTCAGCAAATGCAAAAGAATGAAAATCACAATAAACAGTCTCTCAGACCACAGTGCGATCAAATTAGAACTCAGGATAAAGAAACTCACTCAAAACCACACAACTACATGGAAACTGAACAACCTGCTCCTGAATGACTACGGAGTAAAAAACAAAATTAAGGCAGAAATAAATAAGTTCTTTGAAACCAATGAGAACAAAGACACAATGTACAGAGTCTCTGGGGCACAGCTAAAGCAGTGTTTAGAGGGAAATTTATAGCACTAAATGTCCACAGGAGAAAGCAGGAAAGATTGAAAATCAACACCCTAACATCACAATTAAAAGAACTAGAGAAGCAAGAGCAAACAAATTCAAAAGCTAGCAGAAGATAAGAAATAACTAAGATCAGAGCAGAAAAGAAGGAGATAGACACACGAAAAACCGCTCAAAAAATCAATGAATCCAGGAGCTTGTTTTTTGAAAAGATTAACAGAATAGACTGCAAACCAGACTAATAAAAAAGAAAAGAGAGAAGAATCAAATAGACACAATAAAAAATGATAAAGGGGAGATCATCACTGATCCCACAGAAATTCAAACTACCATCAGAGAATACTATAAACACCTCTATGCAAATAAAATGGAAAATCTAGAAGAAATGGATAAATTCCTGGTCACATACACCCTCCCAAGACTAAACCAGGAAGAAGTCAAATCCCTGAATAGACCAATAACAAGTTATGAAATTGAGGTAGTAATTAATAGCCTACCAACCAGGGCTAGATGGATTCACAGCGAGATTCTAACAAAGGTACAAAAAGGAGCTGGTACCATTCCTTCTGAAACTACTCCAAACAATAGAAAAAGAGGGAATCCTCCCTAACTCATTTTATGAGGCCAGCATCATCCTGATACCAAAACCTGGCAGAGACACAACAGAAAAAGAAAATTTCAGGACAACGTTCCTGATGCACATCAATGCGAAAATTCTCAATAGAATACTGGCAAACCAAATCCAGCAGCACATTAAAAACCTTATCCACCATGATCAAGTTGGCTTTATCACTGGGATGCAAGGCTGGCTCAGCATACACAAATCAATAAACATAATCCATCACATAAACAGAACCAATGACAAAACCCACATAATTGTCTCAATAGATGCAGAAAAGGCCTTCAATAAAATTCAACACCCCTTCATGCTAATAACACTCAATAAACCAGGTATTGATGGAACATATCTCAAAATAATGAGTTATTTATGACAAACCCACAGCCAATATCATACTGAATGGGCAAAAGCTGGAATCATTCCCTCTGAAAACCAGTACAAGACAAGGATGCCCTCTCTCATCACTCCTATTCAACATAGTTTTGGAAGCTCTGGCCAGGGCGGTCAGTCAAGAGAAAGAAATAAAGCGTATTCGAATAAGAAGAGAGAAAGTCACATTGTCTCTGTTTGTAGATGACATGATTGTATATTTAGAAAACCCCATCGTCTCAGCCCAAAACCTCCTTAAGCTGATAAGCAACTTTAGCAAAGTCTCAGGATAAAAAATCAATGTGCAAAAATCACAAGCATTCCTGTACACCAATAATAGACAAACAGAGAGCCAAATCATGAGTGAACTCCCATTCACAATTGCTACAAAGAAAATAAAATACCTAGAAATACAACTTACAAGGGACATGAAGGACTTCTTCAAGCAGAACTACAAACCACTGTTCAAAGGAATAAGAGAGGACACAAACAAATGGAAAAACATTGCATGCTCATGGATAGGAAGAGCCAATATCATGAAAATAGCCATATTGCCCAAAGTAATTCATAGATTCAATTCTATTCCCATCAAGCTACCATTGACTTTCTTCAAAGAATTAGAAAAATCTACTTTAAATTTCATGCGGAACCAAGAAAGAGCCCATATAGCCAAGACAATCATAAGCAAAAAGAACAAAGCTGGAGGCATCATGCTAACTGACTTCAAATTATACTATAAGGCTACAGTAATCAAAACAGCATGGAATTGGTACCATAACAGACACATAGACCAATGGAACAGAACACAGGCCTCAGAAATGACTCCACACACCTACAACAATCTGATTTTCAACAAACCTGACAAAAACAAGCAATGGGGAAAGGATTCCCTATTTAATAACTGGTGTTGGGAAAACTGGATAGCCATATGCAGAAAGCAGAAACTGGACCCCTTCCTTACACGTTATACAAAAATTAACTCAAGATGGATTAAAGACTTAAACATAAGACCTAAAGCCTTAAAAACCCTAGAAGAAAACCTAGGCAATATGATTCAGGACATAGGCATGGGCAAAGACTTCATGACTAAAACACCAAAAGCGATGGCAATAAAAGCTAAAATAGACAAATGGGATCTAATTAAACTAATGAGCTTCTGCAAAGCAAAAGAAACTATCATCAGAGTTGAACAGGCAACCTACAGAATGGGAGAAAATTTTTGCAATCTATCCATCTGATGAAGGGCTAATATCAAGAATCAACAAGGAACTTAAACAAATTTACAAGAAAAAACAACCCCATCAAAAAGTGGATGAAGGATATGAACAGACACTTCTCAAAAGAAGACATTTATGCAACCAACAAACATATGAAAAAAAGCTCATCGTCAACGGTCATTAGAGAAATGCAAATCAAATCATAAGATACCATCTCACGCCAGTTAGAATGGTGATCATTAAGAAGTCAGGAAACAACAGATGCTGGAGAGGATGTGGAGAAATAGGAAGGCTTTTATGCTGTTGGTGGGAGGGTAAATTAGTTCAACCATTGTGGAAGACACTGTGGTGATTCCTCAGTCTAGGACTAGAAATACCATTTGACCCAGTAATTCTATTACTGGGTATATACCCAAAGAATTATAAATCATTCTGCTATAAAGACACATGCACATGTATGTTTATTGCAGCAGCACTATTCACAATAGCAAAGACTTGGAACCAACCCAAATGCCCATCAATGATAGACTGGATAAAGAAAATACGGC
Source organism: Homo sapiens (assembly GCF_000001405.40). NCBI lineage: Eukaryota > Metazoa > Chordata > Mammalia > Primates > Hominidae > Homo > Homo sapiens. Next base: position 96,924,501 of record NC_000013.11, read on the forward strand.
ACATATACACCATGGAATACTATGCAGCCATAAAAAAGAATGAGTTCGTGTTCTTTTCAGGGACATGGATGAAGCTAGAAACCATCATTCTCAGCAAACTAACACAGGAACAGAAAACCAAACACCACATGTTCTCACTCATAAGTGGGAGTTGAACAATGAGAACATATGGATACAGGGATGGGAACATCACACAGCAGGCCCTGTTTGGGGATGGGGGGCTAGGGGAGGGATATCATTAGGAGAAATACCTAATGTAGATGGCGGGTTGATGGGTGCAGCAAACCACCATGGCACACGTATACCTATGTAACAAACCTGCACGTTCTGCACATGTATCCTAGAACTTAAAGTATAATTAAAAAGTAACAAATAAAGAAAAAGAAAACCTTGAATTTTACCAGTGAGATCCCACTTCTAACAGTCCTCATACTAGTCAACAGAGCAATATTTCTTACCAATAAAAAACCATTTCTGACATCCAGTATACAAATTAACACAGTGTAGGTTGATGAAAATTTGTCTACCAGAAATATATATAGTAGCTGCCTCTGAAGAGTGTCATTTTCCAATGTAATGACATCTGATTTCCCCCGGATCACGCACTCTTGAGTAAAACAATCAATTGCGTGTGGAGTTAAAGCTGTACTTTACTGGCACATTTAGAAGCTTTCACTCTCTAAGATGAAGTATTTAAGGTATATTTCAGGTTTTGTGACAAAGTGGAATATCCTGACCTTGAGTCAAGTCTCCTGGACTCCATTCATCTAGGCCATGCCTTGTTCCATTCTTTTGTTTCCATAATGGTTGAACAGTTCTTACTGGTTTACCTTGGTCTATGGTTTCTTTTCCTAAGGTCAGAGCATGGCCTCCCTTAGAACACAATCCTAGAAAAGTCATCTTCAACCTCCTAGATATTTTACCCAGTTGGTAATTTACCACTAGGAACTAACATAGGCTTTTAGAAGTGGGATGTTACAATTGCTGCACTTTTATTAAGCAGCTAATTAAATTATTTTCATCATGGTCCATGTCAGCAACTTTTTGCTCGTAATGTAGAACCATAAGCAGGAAAAATAGCAAAAGCAGAATACAGTGGCCACAGTCTAAAAGGTCTAAAAGGAACTGGCTACATCATTAGAGTCCAAGTGGTCCCTTATCTATTTCCACATAAGTATCAAATTATAGCCCAATGTCCTTGGACTTTGACCTGCCATGCTGAAGCAAGTATCTCTACTGTAGACTAACTGATGTTGAATTATACAACTTGAGATTTACTCCTGCAACTTAAACTCTTGCCACGTCTTGAAATGCAAATACCCCCAAAGAATAATATTTGATATTAAGCAATAGACCAATGGGGGAGATAGATTTTATGGAGGATAGGGATTTGGACAGAGACCTGTCCCTTTGCCCTTCAAATCAAACTTTGTATTTACCTGTTTCTTCCTCTTACTTGTAAGATTTGCATTGATAAGAAACAGAACTAAATCCTCTTACTCTGGCACATCCAAATAACCTTGTGATAAGAGATCAAAAGGAGTTCAGGTGGATTTGTACTCCACATGTATAATATTTGCCTTGTCTGATTTGTCATTTTGTGCAAACATTGGCTGTTACTTTTATGGCTAGTAGAAGGGCTGAAGCCAAAGCTCTGGCAGAGAGTAAATAAGATATTCCACAGTGACGAAAGAAGACATTAAAAGCTCATAAGGAAGAGAACTGCTGCATGTGGAGCCCATTCTTGTGATTTACAGTGTTAATGCTCGTTGCTTACAGCCCCTCCCTGTCACTGGAAGCTGACCCTTCTTGAAATGGAAAAATTGTGATAGTTTTATCAGCCTTATTTGGGATCTGTTGTGTGTGAAAGTGTGCATTTGAAAGAAAGAAGACTGGGAAAATGGCATTTCTGAATCACTGTGCTCAGCAGTTTTTCTGCACGTGCCCCCATGCCTCTTGCCTTATAGGTAACCACAGGCAGAGCCTGGGGGATTGGAAGGACCAACTCAGATGCCTCACCCAGATTCAGACTCTATGCCATGCTTGCTCCACAACTACCATGTAAGAGACCTATCCACTCACCATAATCCGCCCTGGGGCTCTAACTTGTTTTGTCTAACCATTAAGTTTAAGTGTGGGAGGGGTCCCTCCTCCCCATCCTGCAGAAGTCCAAGGGATTCTGGAAATGGGCGTGTGTGGTCAGGGTATTTGGGCGCTCTGTGGGAGAAGATAATAATTGCAATAGCAGCTGACACAGATAATAATGCTCCAGGCACTAGGTTAGGAAATTTCCATGTATGAATTCCTTTATTCATACAATAATCCCACAAGGTAGACACAATTTTAGAAGAAGAAACAGAACATAGATGGGCAAAGCTAGGAACTGAGTGGCAGAGAGAAGATTCAAACCCATGCAGTCTGGCTTCAGAGTCTGCGGTGAATCAAAGCCTGATGGCATTGGTAGCTTGTTGCCCTCCGCCTGCAAACTCAGCTGCCATCTCTTAGTGCAATGCTTAGTTAGGTGACGGCGGGGTGAGTTACTGATGAGGACTGACTCAGAAGTTGCTGGGAACTTGAGCAAGGCCCCTGCAGCTTTGGGGGCAGTAGTAGCCCCAAGTGTGGACCACTTTTCTGTCTGGAGGGCAAGTTTCCTATCACTCCTTCTCACTTTAAGCTTCCTACCCTCCCCCATATCATCATTTAATATTAAAACCCTTATTTCCCTTTCCAGGTTTCATAAAGGGGACAGGAGAAAAAGCAGCCCCTGATGGCCATCAGCTGGGGTGGCATTCACCGGCATGCCTCAGGGTTTCCTTGTTGAACATAATCAGTCTCACAGACCATGACCTTCAGACAAGGTGAAAAAAAAAGATAAAACCAAGGCCAGTTGGTGACCATGTCAGAACACAGACAAAGACATGGTCACTGTGCAAACCACAAGAAATAGCCAAGCATCTCCCTCTCTTTGTTTTTGTTTGCTTGTTTGAGACACAGTCTCACTCTGTCACCCAGGCTGGAGTGTAGTGGCGCGATCTTGGCTCACTGCAACGTCTGCCTCCTGGGTTCAAGTGATTCTTGTGCCTCAGCCTCCCAAATAGCTGAGATTAAAGGTGTGCACCACCATGCCCAGCTAGTTTTTTAATATTTTTAGCAGAGACGGGCTTTCACCATGTTGGCCAGGCTGGTCTCAAACTCCTGACCTCAGGTGATCTGCCTGCCTTAGCCTCCCAAAGTGCTGGTGTTAGAGGTGTGAGCCACCGCACCTGGCCACCCCTCTCTTAGGGAACTTGTGTGACTGCCTCTTCTTTAGAAATTAAAGCTTTAATCTCTTTCCATTTTTTCTGCTTCTAGATAAAATTCATTAAGATACCCAGTCATAGATTATGCCTGCTTTCTGACAATACCTTATCCAGAACATATCCCTGCTTCCTGGAATTCTCCCAAAAAGCACCTTGCAGAAGCTCAGATCCTGGAAAAAAAAAAAAAAAAAAAAAAAAAAGCCCTGTTAAAACCCTTCTTGGGATGGCGCACATTTCCCCACGGTGTGTGATCTCTGTTGCTGCAATGAATATGCATTAATCCAACTTTGCATACAGTTGCATTCCTGGTGAAACAAAACAAACAAAACAAAACACCTTGAATGAAGAGCCTCAACAGCCATTAAAACTAAAACCCAAGTCGCCTGGAAGAAAAAGTACACCCATTTATGAAGACAAGATACCCAGTTCCCACTTCTCTTGAGGGCTGGGATGGTCAGTCTGCAGAAGCATAGTTGCAGGGTCTCCCCTTCCCATCCGCCGTCCATCACAATGAGATGCTTGAATTCTACGCAATATGAAGAAGCCCAAAACCAACTTAATTTTCAAAAGTAAGTGGAATATTAATATCCCTGCTGCTGCAGTCTGGAAGCACTGAGGTCTGAACTGCTCATTCACATATATCTAAGCTGCATAGAAATGCTGCTTAAATCCAGTGTCGCCCTCTGTTCCATTGCCTCTGTTTAGTTGCTTAGTTTAGTTGGGAAACTCGTCCCCTCTCTCCTAAATTATTATAATAATTTACTACTGACTCTCCATCTATCCAGCCGTAATCCCCTCCAAGTAAGCTTCCTGATTTGGTCCAAGAGATTTTTCTGAAGCAGTTAGGTTACCCATGTTGCTCTATTGACTAAAACCTTTCATGGGGTGACTGTCCTTTCTGCCTTCAGGCAAAACCCCAAAAGCAGAATCAGAAGTGCCTCACAAGCTGCAACCCAATCACCTTTCCAGGTGCACCTCTCAGATTTATCCTAGCACAATTCAAGACTTCAAATAGTCCTTTTTAAAAAAATGCCACTTGCTAATTGTATTCATTGGGGTTCCCTAGAGAGACAGAACTAATATGATACACATATATAAAGGGTAGTTAATGTAAAGGATAGGTAATTAAGTAAATACTTAATAAAGTATTAACTCACACTATCACGAGTTCCCACAATAGGCCATCTGCAAGCTGAGGAAGGAAAGCCAGTCCAAGTCCTAAAACTGAAGAACTAGGAGTCTGATGTTTGAGGGCAGGAAGCATTCAGCGCAGGAGAAAGATGGAGGCTGGGTGGCTAGGCCAGTCTAACCTCTCCATGTTTAGATGGTGCTCACGCAGCTTAAGAGTGGGTCTGCCTTTCCCAGCCCACTGACTCAAATGTTAATCTCTTAAGGCAACAGCCTCACAAACACACCCAGGATTAATACTTTGTATCCTTCAACCCAATCAAATTGACACTCAGTATTAACCATCACACCAATGTACATGTGGTTGCTGCCATTTAAACTGTCCCCAACTTTGCCTCTCTCTGGAGAAAACCTTCTTCTTACCGGTACTGCTACTTGGTTCAGGTAATGACCATCAGCTGGCCCACACCAAAAACTCATGGGAAACCAAGGCAAGAGTCCAAACAGGCCTCCATACCACTTAAAACTTTTAATAGTTAGAAGTCATAAGTTATGGTAAAAATCCATTAAATAGAACATGTTTTGTCACCCTATCTGGATATATGTATTTCTTTCTATAAACAAAATAGATATATAGCTATAGCAGATACATGACTGAAAAGCAGCAAAATACCAAAGTAACTGAATTCTATTATTGTGCAAGCCTGTACATTCTGTGAACGAACCAGCAATATTTAGATTAGTAATAAACTAGAGACAATAAAGAACTCATAATTTATTTTTTCATGAAATCTATTTTTCTTGTCTGTATTTCAGCAAAATTTGCTAATTGTGCAGTTTTAATTAATATTTTCACACAATGAGCATTCTAGTTTACAAGTAATTTTCTAACTAATTAAAAATTAAATAATTGCAGTAAAGTGTTTAAAGTTTGAATATATTTTATTGAAATGCAATTTAAATAGACATAAAAATTAAAAACATCATTTTTGTATCTTTTCAGTTATTTTTCCTTTGAAATATTCAGAATGACTATTAAAACTAAAAGACAAAAAAAGAATTATAGTTAATATATACCGAATATCTTTAAATAAAGCTAAAATTTTACAATACTTTAACAATTAATAACATAATTATGAACATATTTTTTAAGATAAAATTTAAGATGCTATTTAAACTAGTATTAACAGTTCTCCTAGTTGCCCATATGAAGAATAAGCATTGACCCTCATGCATATCACATCTAGGCATATATTTATACAAATTTAACAGGAATATGACTTGTTAGTGCTTCAAAATGTCCCTCAGCCACGCATGTGCAACTGCTGCAATATCTCATGAATTCTTGAGTATCTGCGGAACCACAAATTGGAACACCAAGAGACACAAGAAGATGAACAATTGGCACTAGTCAGAGAAAAAAAACCCACTTTGTTATTCAAGAATATTGTACTCATGCTCTTTGAAAGGAAAGATCAGCATGTTCATTCTCTCTGACTTGGCAGCAGAACAACCCACATGGCTTCCAGAGGACCCACAGGGCAAAACATGGAGAAGCATTTTCCCTGGGGCCTGCACAGTTTTGGTCTCCAAAATAGATGTTTACCATTAGGTCACTGTGCTCACCCTGAGCACTGGACCCTCAGTGATAGCAGGAACCATATATTTTAATTCAATTAACTTTTATCATGTTATGTAAAACGTAGGGCCCTATCGCCCATGTCTAACGGGGCTACTGGTGATCAGGTGAGGCAAAAATTATCCTCTAAATTATGCCAGATACTGCCTCCAGTTGAAGAAAGATTTTAATTTGTTTGTTTATTTATTTTGAGACAGAGCCTTGCTCCGTCACCCAGGCCGGAGTGCAGTGGTGTGATCTCAGCTCGTTACAACCTCCATCTCCTGGGTTTAACCAGTTCTCCTGCCTCAGCCTCCTGAGTAGCTGGGATTACAGGCGCCCACCACCATGCCCGGCTAATTTTTGTATTTTTAGTAGAGACGGGGTTTCACGATTTTGGCTAGGCTGGTCTCGAACTTCTGACCTCAAGTGATCCACCTGCCTCGGCCTCTCAAAGTGCTGGGATTACAGGCATGAGCCACCCTGCCTGGCTAGGATTTTTATTTTGATAAGAAGAATCTTCCGTGTAACATTTCTTAGGTAAATGCAAGGCAAAAAGGTAGGCATCCATTTTCATGTGGTAAGGTTATAATAGAACATCTTGTGGGTTGGCAAAAGTTGCCTCTCTGAGACCTGTTTGAAACACGAATCTGGAATTGGTATGAACCAAGTTGCCTAAAAACTTCAGGCTTTCTGTGCCTGGCGCGGTGGCTCATGCCTGTAATCCCAGCACTTTGGGAGGCCGAGGCGGGTGGATCACCTGAGGTTGGGAGTTCAAGAACAGCCTGACCAACAAGGAGAAACCCCGTCTCTAATAAAAATACAAAATTAGCCGGGCATGGTGGCACATGCCTGTAATCCCAGCTACTCGGGAGGCTGAGGCAGGAGAATCACTTGAACCCGGGAGGCGGAGGTTGCTGTGAGCTGAGACCACGCCATTGCACTCCAGCCTGGGCAACAAGAGCGAAACTCCACCTCAAAAAAAAAAAACAAACAAACAAAAAAACTTCAGGCTTTCTGGAAGGAAAAAACACTGAAACCTCACTCCCTGCTCACTGAAATTGAAAGTTAGAAGGACTTGTAAGAGTGGATTCCGGTGCCTCTAAGTAAGGTGTGCCTGCTCTAAAAGACATCAACAACCCCGCTTCTCTCCAGGAAAAAATCATTGAAAAGAAAGGAGGATCCGGCCTAGCCAACCTCAACACAAACCCCTCAGGGGGTTTGGGAAGAGGGATGGCCTTAACCCAAGTTGGCATCTGACTCTAGAATTCCTCTGAACACCGTCGCCCTGATCCAGACAGGGGCACTGCTACGGTTGTACACTGAGATCTACACCACGCAGTCTTTTGCTCAAATGCTTCTGGGGCTGCAGGTTATTGGACTTTCCAGGACTCTCTCTCTTCCTTACATCTGGAAGCAGTATTGTCTTCTTTGGACAGAGTAGGCCCCTAAAATTCTTAGCAATAGAACTAGGAATTGAGGAGACACTAAATATTTTGCTAAGGAGGGCAAATTGTCTTGAGTGAGTTGTTGGACAAACCAAAAGGAAGAGCCTTTTGGTTGGACAAACCAAAAGGACAAACCAAAAGGAAGAATCACTACACACTGGTGTAGTGACTGACATGACTTACATTTCCATTCAACCATGTATGTAGTAAGCATTTAGAACATCTTTTGTTTTCAGGAAGTTTAAGCTGGTGAGGGCGAACACGATTAGGAGTGTCAGGTTTTGCAAAGGGGAGTTAGATATTTAGACTTTTCTTTATGGATTTTTAAAGTATCTCCATCTAGATTTATCAATTGTACCTAACATTTTTAAAGCATTTGACAAAGTTCTTTGTAAGTATAAACCAAGCATTGTGGTACAGTGTGAGGAGTGTCATGATAAAAGTAAACACAGACAACCAGTGAGCATGGAGGAGGGGAGCCTTCGCTGGTTTAGAGAGGCCAGGGAAAGCTCCCTACTTAAGGTGATGCTTTTGCAGAGCCCAGTAGTTACTGGCCAGGCATGTGGTCTTGAAGGCATTCCAGGTAAGGGAAGCCACCCCCATAGGTAAAGGAAAAGAGGTCAGGTCCCTTGAGAGAAAGTCCCATAGACCAGTTTGACTTTCTTGAGAAAATTTCCAAAGCCTTCAGGCTGTGTTAATCTGGTTTTGCTTTTGAGAAGCATGTGGCATATGTGTAGGTACATTGTTCTTGGGTTATTTTCTGTGTGTCTCTGCATTAGAAGGAATGTTCTGGAGCATTCCTGAAAGCAGTGTGACGCATGAGACTGAGAATAGGGCTTCAGTGTCAGAGAGACCTGGCACTGCCATTTATTTACCATGCCACTCAGGCAGGTGTCTGGAGGCACAAAGCAGGTGCCCAAAACCATTTTTGAATGAATAAAGACATTTGACTCCTTTGAACTTTAGTTTTCTAATGTGTAAAATAGGAATAATGCCTATGTGGCAGCAGGAACATCAGTGAGGGACTAATGGAATAATCTAGATAATTAATGATGGTGGCTTGGATTCAGGTGGGGGCATTAGAAATAGAGAGAAGCAGATTGATTCAGGGTGTTTTCCAGATGAAGTGCTCTCAGAACCTTCCAATGAATTAGATATGAGGAAGAAAATAAAGAAAACGGGAAGAACTTGATCTTGTTCTTAACCCTTAGTTCCAAGAATCACTTACTGATATGAGAAAGACTGGGACATATGTTGCTGAGTAAAGCTAATAGGTAATCAGTTAGATGTAAGAGTCTGGCATTTAAAAGAGCTGGATATTTGCAAATGTGAGACTTATTTCCCTCTAAATGATATTTAAATGGGACATGTAGAGCTACCTAGGAAGAGTATAGATTGGGAAGAGAAGGGGCCCTAGGTCATATCCCTGTGGACATTCCAACGTTTCAGTGTCATGAAGAAGCAAGATGCAGCAAGAGTCAAAAGAAGAAACTGAGATTGAGTAACTATGAAGGCATGGCCACAGCAAGTGATAGAAAAATCAGGAGAGAGTGCTATCGCAGAAGCCAATGAGAAAGAGTGTTTCAAGAGGGAATGATGTCCACCTGCATCAAATACTGCTCAGAAATCAGGTAATACAAAATATTTTGCCTTATTTTGCAAAGTGACGGTCATTGGGAACTTCACTGAGCAGTTTTAGTGGAACACTAGTGTGTAAGTGAAGATGGAAACTCTAGTAAACTCTTTCCATGATGTTTGCTTGAAGAGAGTAAAGCAGGGTAATGGATTAGTAACTATGGGGAAATGTATCAGGAGAGTTTTTTGAAGTTCTGTTTTGTATTGTATTAAAGATTGAGGGCACTTTTGTTTTGCATTGGACTGAGCTGGAACAAAGAGGGAGCTGGTGATGCAGGAGAGAGAAGGGGCACTTACATGAGTGAAGTTCTCGGGAAGGACGGAGAGGATGGTGAATATGTGGTTGATAGAAGCAGAGAGAGTTTATTCACTGAAGATGAAGGGAAGGCAAAAAGATTAGGTTCACGTTTTGTGTGTTGGTCAATTTAGTGGAGGCAAGGGGAAGAAGGACTTCTCATTTGATAGCTCCCAATTCCTCTTAGAACTTTAAGCCAAGGTTTTCTGTTGCCAGTGAGAGGGTAAAGGGGAAAGAAGAAATTTGAGTCAAGAGAGTAATGTGTCAAAAGGTCATTTTAGAGAATGAGAAACAGACTCTACTAGAGATCTATAATATGATTAGCAAGAAATATTGAAATGTCTGAACCTGTATTAAAGTGAGACAAACATAAAACTGTGTGCTTTGCTAAATCAATGTGTGGCTGCTCCGCTGCAGGAATGGAATAAGTGAGTATTTCATTTGTCCAGTGTTCGTCTTGCCCAGGCTGGTTCAGAGGAGCAAGAGAATTAAAGGTGTTTACAAAGAAAAGGAGAACATGAGTGGGGTAACAGCTAGGGCTGAATCAATGTCTGATAAATGGATGGATGATGTAGGACAGTGAAAAATTCAAAGTGAAAACACGTGTCATTATTGACTTACTTATCCTCTAAATACATTTTTCTTTTCTGCTGCAGTTGCTGTTGAATATGGGTAATCTACATCCTGTTGCCTGAAGCTTGAAGTTCTCATCTGCCCCCTCTCAGTATGTACTTGTGAAAGATGCAGACCTCATCTGAGTTGAAGTAACCTAGGAGACCAAAATAAATGATTCCTGCAGAAAGCTTGAGTGACATTTTCAGAGCTGCAATCCCTGCTTCTTCTTAAAATGGCTATATACATTGTAGGTTGGGAGGGTCAGAAGGCTGATCACGGAAATATCTCGGAGGTAGAGTGGTGTGTGGGAGTAGGCAATGAGAGAGGTAAGAGGACAAAATGTAGAGAAGGAAGCAGAATGGGCTATCACCTTCTTTTGTTTCTTCCCACTGTATGTGCCCCCAAGGAAGCCCCTCAGCTGCTCCCTTCCTTGCCCCCATGACCCACAGACGGTGGTTGAACCACAGCTCTCTCTTTCTGATAACACCCTTTGGTGTGAAACAAGTAAGACTCCAGATTCCTGTTTGCTCTAAAAATCCTGAATGGCCTTCTGTAATCATTACATTTTATTACTCTCATTTGATTGTTTTGTTTTTTTTTTCCCCGTTAGATATTTTCTAACTGCTCTTCTGCAGACAGGACACTCGCAAATGAACACAGCAAGCACACAGGCATCTGTGTCTCTATTCAGAAGTATCACAAGTGAAAGGATGATGCCCATTGCCTGGGGCCCTTTTTATTCCACTTAGCCTGACTACTGAACTGGCAAGTGCAGGTAACGGCTTTCTCGCAGAGTCTCTGAGCACCGTGACTGTGTAATGACAGCTGTGGTTGGAGGGCCCAAAGCTGCCTCACAAATACATTTACTGTTTCTGAGGAAATGGTATATGAATTGGGTTTTTTGAGTGTTGGAAAGAGAAGGCTAAAAGGTGCTTTAGTTTATAATTTTCAAGTATATGAAAGGGCGGGGTATTTTTCCTCCTAAGGAGAATGAAAGCTTTTAATGCTTACAATGAAATATGAAGTAGTAAACTTAAAGCAGACAATCTTTCCATTGGCGTGAGAAAGCAGCTCCTAACCGTCATGCCTGTGGAAACACTCAAATGTGCTACGCAGCAGATTTGCTGGTGTCTCTCTTAGATATAGTAAAAGTGTGCTCAATAAACTTAGTTTTTCCCCTTTCTGAGTATAGCAGGCAGGTCACACACTCTGTTAATGTTTCTCTCAGTGCCCCCTTCCAAGTGCACTTAATATTTTGGGCAACATCCAGTTAGAATTTGCATGTCTGCTCCTCTTGGAATACATGTCCACCTCTGCCCATCCAGTATCACCTACTTTCCCTCTCCTAGGAAAGGAAGAGAGGTGGAACCTGTATTTATTAAATACCTGCCATGCACCATACCCAACAGATGAGAAAACTGAGATTCAGAGACATGAAGTCATCTGCTCAAGGCCTCTAGCCAGCCTGACTCAAATGCAAGCATCATCCAGTCTGCAGCCGCACATTTCTAAAGCCTTTATAATTCACAGCCTCTCGTTTTGCAGAGACTCTCTCTGCCTGGCCTATTTGTTCCAGCTTCATGGCAGCTTTATTTAGGTGATAATAGAAGAATCCTGCTGCTTTATGAGGTGATAATCCAAGCCTTATGTGGATAACTATTCTTTTAGGTTGAGTGGTTTATCCCTTTGATAAAAAGAGGTAGATTATTGTTCCGAAAACCCAAAGTCTTCCTTTCATTCTTGCATTAGATAAAGAAACTTACATATTTACTTTTAGCAGAGGCCTCAAAGGGAACCCCAAGCTGAGATGAGCAGACCCTCTGCCAGCAGAAGCCAGGTATCAGAAATGCTCTTCCTTCTCTGTTGGCTGAGATTTGAGGAAGTCACCTGCAATTTTGGGGATTTTCACCTTTTTCCTTTTATTTGTACTTTTAAAGGGGTTATAGGGTGAGCAACTGTCCCATTTTTCCCTGGGACTGTCCTGGTGTTAACACTGAAAGTCCTGCATCCCAGAAAACCCTTTAGTTCTGGGCAAACCAGGATGATTAGCAACCCTGCTTAAAACCTCAGCTGGAAGAAATAATAAAAAGACAAAGTGGACAGTTAAGTGGGAACTAAAAGAGAAGTTTGTTAAAAAATAATTTACTATCTCGAGGCATTGCAGCCACTTTCAGGTTTTTCTGGTGACAGAGTGGGGTCTTTTAGGAAAACAACCTAAAAATCCATAACTGGGGACTGGCTAAATAAAATTTGAATGCTCAATCACTGGAATGTTATGCGGCCTTAAAAACTAAGAGGGCAGATGTATACATGACCATATTGAATAATTTCCAAGGTTGGAACAAAAATAATCACGTATAAATATTTTGCACATACAATTTATGGAAAGATACTGTATCAATTTTCTATTGCTGTATAACAATGTCACCTTAAACTTAGTGCTTAGAACAATGCACACTTACCTCCCACTTTCTTCGGGTTAGGGGTCTGGGCATGGCTCAGTCAGATTCTCTGCAAGGCTACCATCAAGGTGGTGGCTGGGGCTGTGTTCTCATTTGGAGTTTTGACTGGAGAAGGAGCTACTTTTTCAAACCCATGTGGTTGCTGGCAGAATCCAATATTGTGGTTGTAGGACTGAGCGCTTTCCTCTACCAGCACTGTCTGTCCGTGGGAGGCCACTCTCACCTTCTACCAGCTGCCCACAGTTTCTTGTCATGTGAAGTTTTCAGCATGGCCATTTGCTTCCTCAAAGTCAGCAAGCAAGCAAGAAACTCAAGCAAGATAGCACTACAGTCTTCATAACATAGTCACATCATCACATAATTGTCATCACATATAGCCCGCCCCCTTTCCTGTGTTCTCTTGGTCAGAAGCAAGTCATAGGTCCTGCCCTCTTCAAGGGATGAGAGAGCTCAAGGGTGGGAAACTAGAAGTCGGGGGTCATTAGGCCACCGTAAAGGTCTCTGCTACAGTATCTAAGAAACTGGCAGCAGTGCTTGCCTCTAAAGAGAGGGCCCAGAGCACAGAGTGGGGAGAGACTTACTTTCATTCTTTTTCACACATTAATTTTGGTTTCCTTTGCCAAGTGCATTCATTACATTTTTTATTAAAACAAAACACATACCATAAAACAAAACAACAAAACAAAAAACCTCCAGACAAACACATTTCACTACTTAGTTAAGAAAATAAAAGACAAAGGACACAGCCTTTTTCCCCTAGGCAAATGCCATCGCAACCCTTTAACTCCAGCACTATACGTGCTCAGCACCAGCGCCTGGCCAATGCTGACAGATAACTTCACCTATATATCAAATTCAAGGCGTGTTTTATAACAACTTTAAGACTTTGCAAAGAAATGCTATTGTATCTCAGCCAGGTGCAGTGGCTTACACCTGTAATCCCAGCACTTTGGGAGGCCAAGGCAGGTGGATCATTTGAGGTCAGGAGTTCGAAACCAGCCTGGCCAACATGGTGAAACCCTGTCTTTACAAAATACAAAAAATTAGCTGAGCATGGTGGCCTGAGTCTGTAATCCCAGCTACTCTGGAGGCTAAGGCAGGAGAATCGCTTGAACCTGGGTGGCAAGGGTTGCAGTAAGCTGAGATCACGCCACTGCACTCCAGCCTGGGCAACAGAGCAAGACTCGGTCTCAAAAAAGATGGTATTGTATCTTTTAAAGACTTTGTTATGGCGTATTCAGTTTTTTGGAAAGGTTATCCTGTGAAAAGTGGTCCATTCAGTATTAAAGAGTAAACCAGAATAATGCCATTTGTGGTATAGATGAAGAGACTACAAGCATGCTGATGTTTCCTCACAGGGATGTACTAAGAAGCTGCCTGGAAAGCAAACAGCTCTGAGATCTCATAAACGCCCAGCCTGGTCCATGGCCCAGCAACATTGCCATCACCTTGGAGCTTGTTAGAGAGGCAGAATTTCTATTTGCACGCTAGATTTACTGAATCAGAATTTGCATTTTTAGAAAGTTCAAACGCATGTTAAAGGTTGAGAAGTTTTCTTCTAAACTACCCCATACTACTCCGTAGAGTACAATACAGACCCAGAAAAACTCACCCACATTTTCACAGTAAATATCCACACAGGAATGCTTATTGCAGTATTGTTTATAAGAGCCAAAAAACAAAAAACCTGGAAAAATAAAACTAATTGAACATCTGTAGGGGACTAAAAAATAAACTGCAGTGTATTTACCGAAGGAACACTATAAGAAGTTAAAATTAACAAGCTACAGCTACATATATCATGGATATATAGATAAATTAACATGTGGATAAATTTCATAAAGATAATATTTAGCTCAAGAAAAAGGGAATAAACAAAAACCCAAGTTGCAGGAAGGAATATACAATATAATACCATTTATGTAAAGGTCAAAAATGTGGTGTATGGATACATACATAAGTAGTGAAATAAGCATGAAAAATGACAAATGCCAAGTTCAAGACAGTGGTTTCACTTGAGATGAGGAAAAGGGGAATGAGGAAAGATAAACAGAGCATTTTCAGTGTATATTTTTCATGCTAGATGGAAGGTACATAGAGGTTTATTATATTTTCTCTACCTTTTTTGTATACTAAAAATATTTCACAATAAAAAAAATGTACAGCTTTTCTAGATGATGCCAAATTTTCCTTCAAAATATATAGATGTGTAACCTCACAAGCAGCGAGTGGGGTTCCCATAACACCATGTCCTTACCCAGTCTCAGGTAGTCAGACTTCTAATTTTTGGCTGATCTGCTAAGCAGGTGAGAAATGGCATCATATTGTTTCTTTAATCTTCCTTTCTCTCTTTTATAAGGGAGGTTGAACATGCCCTCATGAGCTTATTGACCGTCAACCTTCCTCTTCCAGGAATTGAATTTCACGCCCCTTGTGCTTTTTTTCTGTTTATTTGCTTTACCTTATTGTTTTGTAGGAAACACTAATTAAGAGCACAGGGAATGCAAGTTGATGTCCTTATTCTGTTTAAGTTGAAAGTAGGATCTCTCTTAAACCAGTCAGAGCAAAGGCTAACGGAAGATGTCTAGATAGAAACTGGGTTGTATCTTAGGTTTACCGCTGAAACCATACACTTAACATTTGTGTTCACTACAGTTAAATGCATTACTATTAATGCATTATTATTAAATGTGTGGCTCTGAAAAAGTAAGGTCAACCCTAAAAATCAAAAGAAGCAAAAAATGTTCCTGTATGAAGTTAGTATCTAATGGGGTCTTCAAGTTGATGTCACTCTTCTTGCATTAAAAAATATAAAAACAATCAATTAAACAACTAAATGCATGGGATTAGCAACTCTACATGTTTCTTCATGGTAACATTGTATTACTGTGCAGAGCTTCACAATTTTATTCATTTTTGCTGCCATTTTTAGGGGGAAAAAGCCAACAAAATAAATTAGCAAAAATTGTTGAGATTTTCCCAGTTAGCTGTAATTTGTATTAGTCCTGTGTATGTGTGGGTGTGAGTAAGCGTGTGTGTGGTCTTTAAGAAAATGACAACCTCTGGAAGTGACTTAATGGAAGAAATTTCTTTTTGTATTTGATCCTTCTATAGCTGTCACTGTTTATATCTTTAAAAAAAAGACACATTTTCTTGTTTAAACTAGGAGGAATCAATTTATTTAGAATGCTGGAAAATCTTTATGCTAAACAATTAAGGAATCTCGTTTATGTGATAGATGTTCCTCAGCATATTTTTGGTAGCAGCCCAAAAACAGCTTCAGTTCCATTTATCATGGGAAAGGTAGCGTTGCCTTGGTGAATGACACACTTATTGCTTTAAGTAAAAATGGGCCTTTTCTCAGCCCCATAGTGTCAACGGGAGTTTTAAGCATTGCAAAACAGAAACTTCATAGACATGTGTTATAATGCTTAAGTTTGAAATTTAACCCTGTTTGCAGGGACTGGCTGTATTGCTCCAAGATTTCAGATATATTTAAACTCCTCAAGGACTCGGTCATTTGCTCATTGATTCTCAACCTTTCTGTGCTCCCTCAGCTCTCAGTGCGCCCCTCAATTGTGATTCAGCCCACATCCCTGCATTGAGCCTGACATTAGGAAATGGAGGGATTGCACAGGCACAGTGACCACCACCAGGCAACGCCAAGCTGAGCAGGGCAGGCAGCAAAAGCACATCAAGAACACTGTCTTAGGCTCGCCAGGCAAATGGAAGATTTGGAGACATCCCATCTGCCCTAGATAAACTTTTGCATAACAAATGGTGCCAAGATACTGGGGCCATGAAAGGTCTGTAAAACAGGATCAGTCTGAGCATTCAAGGAAAGGGGATTCTTAGGAACTACCATGAGTTCACCTAGCTCCCTTCATCAACTTCTTTTTCCAGATCTATTTGGAAATTAGTGATTGAGAGTGAAGCCCGCCACCTCTGGGCCCATGCAGTTGTGTGTTGTGGATCCATTGGCTGTGTGTGAGCAGGAACAGATGGGGTCAACCAGTGCCATGAAGCAAATAAGAACAAAGGAGAAACTTACAGAGTAAGAAATTGAGGAAGCTCTGGGACATGAAATAGCTTGCCCACAATTCTCATGGCTAGTTGGTGCATAGCAGAGATTACATCCATAGGTATGACTCTCAAGCAATTATAAATATCTAATATGGCATAATATGATGACTAACTCTCCCTGCCATCTCAGAGTGACAACATCTTATTGCCACACTTCTTGGCTTAATCTTAAGACTTCCAGCTCTCTCTCCCACCCCCCGGTTCACCCTGTCTCTCTCCACTCCTGTTTCTTGCTGCTCATCTATACTTTCTGGCCAACTTGTCACTAGCTCACCTTGCTTCCCCAGCTGATCTGGGGACTGCTGTGCCCCAAAATGTGAACATACACAGCACTTCTTCTCTCATCTCCCTCATTTCTCCAAACACTTACTGCAAACACATAGTCAGGTCATGAAAGCACCAAACTTTGTCTGAAGGATTTAGCACAATATCAGTGCTGGACACAAAACAGAAGGTAAATAAAAATAACGTTAACAAATGTAGGTATGATGGAAAGACGCTGTGTATATATTTGACAACTTATAATTGGGTGTCAGACCTCACTGGCCTGACAGTTCATTTGCTGCTTCCTGCTGCAGGGAATATCATAATGATCTTCGTCCTCCACAGGTCCCAGCTGGCTACGGTGTAGCTGATCTCTCCAGAGACCTTTCTCTCTATTTTATCACCTCTCTTCTCTGAGTTCAGCCTTCCTCAAATTCTCCTTCCTTCTTGAGCTGTTAAGAAAAAACAGAAATTTCTTATTATTTAATTTGTAGAATAATTTTGCTTTTTTGTCTCTGTCTTCCCAC
Source organism: Homo sapiens (assembly GCF_000001405.40). Lineage (NCBI taxonomy): Eukaryota > Metazoa > Chordata > Mammalia > Primates > Hominidae > Homo > Homo sapiens. The sequence continues at coordinate 96,941,875 of NC_000013.11, forward strand.
TTTAGACTACCCTTGGGCCCCACCTGTTATCACCAAAAATGTTGTTCACGTGTTTTCCCTAAAAAAAAAATTTTAAGTCTCTACAATTTGTAATACAAACACAGTTCCTTCTTGTTCTTGTATTACAAATTTTAAATTCCTTTAAAATTACAATGTTTTTATGGCTTTACATATATTAGATTAAAAATCTCAGAATAATTATATTAACATTTCCTCCAACAATTACTGAAAACAGTTTAAGTGATTTTTTGCAGGGAATTTTTTTCCTTGGGGTATATCCCTCTGGGGTTACACAATCATTTACGTTTTTTAAAATCACTTAGAACAACTTTTCTCTGTGTGGTTTTGTCACCAAGTGGATAAATGGGTAAGGTCATTTATGGAATTTTACTTTCAATTCTAACTAATTCCTTTTTAATTTATTTAAAATTTTTAATAGACTATTTACAAGCTTCCAAAGTAAAATCTGCAATGTGTGGTATGCATCCTTTTTCTCCTCTTGTTCCTCTCAAATCAATCTGGACCTGGCATTCATAATGGTCTTTGCAAAATGCAGATCCTGGGACCCTTCCCCCTTCCTGCTTGCAAACATTCACTCACTGCTCCAAACACTTTAGCATGGTTGACTGGGCTGTGCGTGAGCAAGCCCTTACCTCCCTCTCCAGCTCCTTCTCCATCCTTACTCTTGATGCTCCACTTAAAACTGAATTCAGTCAGAGGCTTGAAAGTATCAGGCCTTTCTTTTGCTTCAGCTTTTGCCAATTTCACTCCCTTTGTCTGAAGCACTCCCATTGCTCACATACTGTGTGGGTTTACCCCCATTGTTGCTTTTGTTCAGGCATGTGGTTGTGGCTAATCTGCCTTATGGAACAGGAACTGCCCCTTCTTGAATGCCCAAGCTCTCTGCCTCACACTGGGAGAAGATCTTCTCCACATGCAGACAACCTTTATAATAATTAAGGAAATATGTCATTTGAGCAACAAATGTACAGGTGTCAGCCTGTACTCCATGGTGCCAGCTATAGCCGCTCCAGAAGGATTCTCTGTGGATCAAGGTCCTCTTCCATGCACCCATGACACTCCACATACATGACATTCAACACACTGTCATATACATGCCTACTAATGTGTCTGCATCCTGCACTGAAATGTACGCTCTGCGAGGAGACAGACTTTTTCTATTTGATTCACCATTTTATCCCCAGACAGAAGAACTTGTCTGACTCTAGGGCCTCCACCACCCTATATAGTTTCTTTGTGAGCAGCTGAGTGCTCTTCTGCAGTCTACACACTGCACAGTCATACACAGCAGCCCTGCCTGGCATAAAGTATTTTCTCATTAAATATATATCGAGTTAATTAATCCTTGATTTTGACCTGTATTTCCTAATAGCTTTACTGCTGATCCTCTTTTTCTTTTTAAATTTTATTTTCAGTGTTTTGAGCATTCTTTAAACATGAATTTCTCTGAAGAAGATTGCATTACCATTTTTCAAAACAAACTTCATTTCACAAGCCACACACCCCAACCCTCTGCACCAAGATGCCCACCTGATCCACCAACAATGACGCACACTTTTTTTTTTTTTTTTTTTTTTTTTTTGACACAGAGTCTCTCTCTGTCGCCCAGGCTGGAGTGCAGTGGTGTGATCTCGGCTCACTGCAAGCTCTGCCTCCCGGGTTCACACCATTCTCCTGCCTCAGCCTCCCAAACAGCTGGGACTACAGGCGCCTACCATCATGCCTGGCTAATTTTTTGTATTTTTAGTAGAGACAGGGTTTCATTGTGCTAGCCAGGATGATCTCGATCTCCTGACCTTGTGATTCGCCCGCCTCGGCCTCCCAAAGTGCTGGGATATGCACTTTTTATTTGAAAGCTGGCTTCTTCTATTTTCAGTTCTTTGAAGGAATAGTGGATGGTATAGGAGAGGATGCAGCTGGAACCATTACTATTTGTTCAGCAGAGACAGCAGGCCCTGTACTTCGCCTACTTCAAAGCTTGGGAGAATTTGGAAGCAGAAAGTTCACAATCGCTACTGTGTGGTTTTACCCTCATTATTCCTTTTGTACGTGCATATGGTTGCAGCTAATCTGCCTTGTGGAACAGGACCGACCCCTTCTCCTTGAATGCCCAAGCGGTCTGCCTCACACTGCAAGAAGACCCTCTCCACATGAAGAGAAGCTTCAGAGTAATCAAGGAAATACATCATTTGAGCACCAAGCCTCCTTTCCTCCACATTGTTGAGAGAATTGTCAAAATACCACTGTTGTTATAATTAAGGTTCTTCAAAATACAAAGATATTCATGGAGAATGCTTCCTCCCACATTCCATGTGTGCTACGATGAGAGCCTGATGTCCCCTTCATAGCCTGCATTCTAAAGACAGGGCAGCTACTCTGTCAGCCCCTAGCTGGGCCCTTTTTAGGCCCTCTCTAAAAGTCTTCAAATCTGGAAATATTGCACTGATAAAGTATTTTTAGAACTGTGCTTTTTGTTTTTCTGCTTAAAGAACAGGGAGAACACATCTAAGTGTTATAGGAGGAGGATCTGGACATAGATCTATCTCCTCTTCAAGCATTCCTTCCAAGTCTCCTTGTATTGCTTCCTGAAATATTTATATGAGCAAATACCTCAGCTTATCGTAAGGAAAGTCTGGGATGACATAGTCAAATACACTCATCTGTAAAAGAAGATAAAAACTCGCAATGGGTACAGAGGTGGCCAACTGCTGTTCAACATTAGATCTGTTAACAGCAATAAGTAAATATTGGTGAAATCAGTTTTTTTCTTTCACTTCAAGAACTAGGCAAATACATCATCATGGAAATAATTTTCTAAAGGGCAGATTTAAAGATTTGTGTTGGGAAAGACTAAAGGTGACTCTTTCTCAGGTACCTAAAGCATGGGCAGAGCTCTTAGGCTGTCCAAAAAATTCACTTATTTTTTTTCTTCTGCACTTAACAGTTTTACAACCTCACTTTTAAAAAAGCATTTAGCATGATGTATCTGAAATTATTTTTCTATTAGTTTTATATGTTTCTATCTTTTCATAGGCTTATTTTTTATCTTTCTAAATGAATATTAATTTTTAATGAACAAATCATGTTTGCCTCACTAGAGTGTAAGCTCTATGGGGAAAAACCTTTCCCCACTATATTCTCAGCAACAAATACATAGCAGAACATCAATAAATATTTGTTAAATAAATAACTTTTCAGAACCACCTACTATGAGTAATAATGTCATTAAAATAAAAGTGTTTACTGGGCTTTTATTCTGTGATTGATACATGCTGAGGGTTTTACATAGATTCTTTCATGCAATGTTCACAAAACTCTACAAGATAGGGTTGGTCATTATTATAGTTTTACCAGATGAGAAAATAGAGGAGCAGAGAAAAACAGGTGTGAGACAAGTTCCAGACAGGAACCGGCAGTCTAGTCTGCAACCAAAGGCAATTTAACTCCAGGATCAGTTAAGCCATCACCCTCTACTGCCTTTGAGGTCAGAGACACAAGGAAGGAAAGTAATCAATATGACAAAAAAAAAAAAGTGGAGTCCATCCCAGAATACTCCAGGGTTTGATTATGTTTATATAGGTAGCCCTCACTGTACATGACTCCACTTTGCGTGAATTTCAGTCATCATGGTTTAGTTGAATAACATCAGTGCCCCAACAACTTAGGGGTTTTGTTTTTTGTTTTTTTGAGATAGAATCTCACTCTGTCCCCCAGGCTGGAGTGCAGTGGCATGATCTCAGCTCACTGCAACCTCTGCCTCTTGGGTTCAAGTGATTGTCCTGCCTCGACCTCCTGAGTAACTGGGATTACAGGCATGCACTACCATGCCTGGCTAATTTTTGTATTTTTGGTAGAGATGGAGTTCCGCCATGTTGGCCAGGCTGGCCTTGAACTCCTGGCCTTAAGTGATCCACCTGCCTCGGCCTCCCAAAGTGCTGGGATTATAGGTGTGAGCCACCGTGCCCACCCAACATCTTCGTTTAAATTTTAGTTCCCATGGTAGATTGTGAATAATGACATGAAGTACAAATTTTGCTGCAAGCTCTTCACTACTTAAATCACTTTGTAAATAACAGATGTACATCATGATCAGTAACCAACCTAATCACTTCTTTTAAAGTGTACTGGTGATCGGTCACTGTTGCATTTGTTATTTGTTCAGTTTCCACACAGACAACAAAGGCATGTAGTTGTGTTCCCTCTTTGTCTCCCAGTGATAGACCTACGAGACATTTTATAAAAATAGGCAATCAAGAGAGGGAATTGGCCAACAAAGCTGTCCAACAAAAAATGAAAATTGATAGCATTGGATGTGAAATTCAAATCAAACATAAATGGATTCATAGAAGCAATAGCCGGCCATGGGAATGTTGATGCTGCTGCCATTGAGAGACTCAGTATGCAGCCAGAGGAGCTTAGTGAAGGCGAGCTTGTCAGCCTAAATGAGAGGAATGGTTGTGAAGAAAAGAATGAAGATGTCATAGAGGAAGTGAAGCTGGTAAGAAGAAAACTTCACATTATAGGAATTCTCAGAGATACTTCAAGACATCGAAGACACAAAGAATACAACGGTGCAAGCTGATCTAAATTTAGAAAGGAGTATGACAATCGGATAAAGCATTGAAAAGATGCTGGCTCCATGTCGTCAGTTTTATGATGAGAAGAAGGTAAGCACTGCCTATTCTCTCTTTTTCTATGGAAATTAACTTTTATTTCTATAACATATAAAAGGTATAAATAGGACTTATATAAAACCAATAATTGCACACACAAACGGGAATTATGTGAAATTAGGTTATTTATATATCTCTTTAAGCCAGAGGGAGGAGGAAGAACAGGATGAGGTCCAGTAGGCCCACCGTTAAGTTCTCCTTAGCTTCTGTGTTCAGTGAAGGTAGCTTGCCAGGCAGTGCCTCAGGATGACAGTGTGGGGAAGGGGAGTGGAGAGTGTGGGAGGAGTGATGGTGACGAGTTGTGAGGCTTCTGGGCACGGCTGTGCGGGAGGCACTTGAGGGGAAGCATGACTGAGATGGAAACAGTCTTGTCCACACCCAGCAGGTGGGACTTGTCAGTGGGAGATGAGCCAAGGGTCTTCGCAGCTCCCAGTTGGCTCTCCTTAACATGCTTATCTAATATGGTGTAGCATAGGCAGGGATGAGAGGTCAGTCCACAGAAGGGACATCAAAGGGAGCAGCCGCCACAGGTGCCTCGCCCAATGCTGGCAGTTATGTGCACAAGGGCTGTGGCTGAACGGTGCTGACAGCAGAGCTCACAGAACTCTTGCTTTCTCAAGTTTCAGACACATTCTGGGAAGGGCAAACTGGTCTATGAGTCACATAATACGCAGAGGGGTGCTGATAATCCAAAAAACTTAGCAAAACACCTTTCGTGCCCATGATCCAGGCTTCAGGGAGCCAAGAAGAAAGCCCAAAGCCCTGCCTAGGCCTGCAGGGCTCGCGTTCACTGGGAATCCTCCCCAAAGCCTCTCCTGCCACCTGTTTTTTTTGTTTTGTTTTTTGGTTGTTTTTTTTTTTGAGACAAAGTCTCGCTCTGCCCAGGCTGGAGTGCAGTGGCACGATCTCGCCTCACTGCAACCTCCAGCACCGGGGTTCCAGACATTCTCGTGCCTCAACCCCGCGAATACCTGGGATGACAGGCGCGCTACTGAACCGGTACATTTTTGTATTGTAGAGCCAAGATTTCGCCACGTTGGCCAGGCTGGTCTCGACCTCCTGGCCTGGTCTCGACCTCCTGGCCTCAAGCCATCCACCCGCATCTGCTTCCCAAAATGCTGGCATTACAGGTGTGGGCCACCGCACCCGGACCATAGTTTTGTTCTGCCATCTTGAGAACAAGCTGCCGTCGTTATTTCGTGGCTGAAATGGGATCTGCTCGTGATTCACCGTCATTCCGGGAATGATCACAGACATTTTCCTAGGACCTTCAGATCCCACTTCACCTGTTTCACAGGAAACGACAGCCAGCTCCTGCCGTGTGTGAGCCTTCCCTACCAGACTCCGGCCATGATGGGGCAGACGCCGCGGTCATAAACTGTAAACTTGGTTCCCCTGAGGTTAGATCTAAGTTTGCCAGTATACCTTTCTCCTTCACGAGATAAATCAGTTGGATCAGTGGAGATAAGGCAGTTGGATGATTTGCTCTTTTCCCGCTTTCTAGCTGTAAGAAGAAATGTCTTCTGATTTTCTTCTTTTTCCAAGTATATACAGTAAGTGGAGCAGGGGCCCCAATCCATTCCTTTTTTTATCCCTGATTATATGACATCTTACTGTGACACTTCAAGGGGCAGGACTATGCTTAAAAGTCCTCCAGGCCCTCCACTTCTCGCAGCCGGTTATGCAGCGGTTGGGCTGCAAAATCGAAAACGGAAGCAAAGTCCTCCAGTTCCTCCACTTCCCCCAGCTCGTTACCGGCCGGTTGGGCAGCAGCATAGGAACCGGAAGCATTTGCATCTGTGGTCGAGTGCAGGCTGGATGTGGAATTGGGTCTTTCTTTTTCTGAATATGTAGCCTGGGATCTTATTTTCTTTCCTTCTTCTTCCTCGCCATCAGTCTCCTCATCAAAGTTCAGACTATCTGAGATACTATTGTTTTTGGAAAATCTTCTGAAGATCTGGCTTGGAAGCAGTATCCAAGGTGTTTTCCCCATCAACACTCTCTTCAGCATTTTCTCCCAGAACAGGGGAGCTGACTGAAAGAACATGAACTTTGGTTTCCAAATCTTGAGCATCTGGCTTCATGACTGCAGCCGGACCATCAATGCCATGAAGACGACATTGCTGTGGGGGGTATGAGAGTCCATCAAAGGAGTCTGCTCCTCATTGGCCTTTGGCTTCACCCAACTTAGCCTGACTTCTGGATTTGGCTGCACCATGAATGGCTGAAGGTGCTTTTTTCTCTGCTTCTTCTTAAGCAGTGCTCTCTGATTATCCAGTGCCAGCTGTTAAAGTTTCATCGTCTCATCGTGAAAGACACTGTCCCCACTGGAACCAAGCCGGCAGCAACTGGCATTCATGCCTGCTGCTGTTTAAGTGGCAGCCATGTCCCCACTCCTAGCCACCCATGGCTCTAAACTACTTTTAAGAGCTTGTTGGCCAGGCGTGGTGGCTCACACCTGTAATCCCAGCGCTTAGGGAGGCCAAGGCGGATAGATCAGGAGGTCAGGAGATCGAGACCATCCTGGCCAACATGGTGAAAACCCATACCTACTAAAAATACAAAAATTAGCTGGATGTGGTAGTGTGCGCCTGTAGTCACAATTACTCAGGAAGCTGAGGCAGGAGAATCACTTGAACCTGGGAGGTGGAGGTTACAGTGAGCTGAGATCGTACCATTGCACTTCAGCCTAGCGACAGAGTGAGACTCCGTCTTAAAAAACAAAAGAGCTTGTTTGGAGAGTGTATCATGGGGGTGCAGCTACTCCTATACCTTTGCTCAAAGACTGGTCCTCTTCTCTGGGGGACGACCTCTTCCACGGAGCGTGCACTTAGGGAGGGACAGGAGGGATGCACATAGAGCGGTGAGCGAAGAAGAGCACACACGCCTAGCCAGCCAGGTCAGCCGAATCAACCCTGGCGATCAATAGGGTAACAGACGTCTCAGCCAGATCACCCTCATATCCTAAAGCACTCTTAATTAATTTTTTACAAATAATAAAATGCTTTCATCCTCAGTGTTTGTGTTTTCAATTATAGTATACTAAACATTAATTTTACTATTTTCATTATTTTTAGTACATTTACAAACTTGACAAGAGTAATGATTTCACAAAAAATTTTTAAAAGTTACAGAAAGAATTTTCACATTGACTATTAAAACCATTTTGCATGGTTTCAGCTTACATCTGCAAAGTAGGGACAACTAGTATTCAAAAGAACTTCATGAGTAAATAGTAAACATGTTTGAACTATGAACCACAAGTTTAGATGGTTCAAATTATTGCTATCTTCTTGCAACATATATCAAGGGAAAGGCTTTAAGACTCTAACTAGCTTATAAGTCCCATGGGAAAAGCTGATTCCATGAGAACAGGAAGGTGCAAGGAGAAAAGGGCTAGCTTTTGAGAAGCAAGAATCTGAATTATATATTGGCTTATCAATTCTATAGTCTTGAGCACTCATTCAGTAGCTGAGACTTTAGTCTCATCTGTAAAATTTAGAGTAATACAGATTTTGCAGGATAGTTCTGTGTATGAGAAAAAATATGCAGGCATGTGTATACATGTGATGTGGCAGAGAGCACTTCAAAAGGCAGCCTGCTGGTTTGGATGACTGTGGACATCCCCATGCAGGGCATGGCCAGGTCTGCATGGTTAAGGTTAGGCCAATAGCTGGCACTAGCTATGTGGCATCTTGGATTTTCTAATAAAAATTTTAGATATTCCAGAAAATATTTGCAAACTCTGCAGTTTCTTTTCACATATACTTGTTTCTCTGATTCCACATTCATAGAAAACCTACCTTAGGTTCTCTGTTTCTCTTTTTGTTTGAGTACAGTACAAAAAGAATAAAATTTTAATAACTACTATTATGTGTTAACATATAATGAGGCTATTTCCATGTTCGCACAGATGGTCTCAAATAACTAAAGTTATTACAACCAGTTCTCATAAATATGGAGCTTCTCTACTAGTTTCTTCGATCTCTATCAATAAAATATTGTTATTTTGATATGCATTTTTGTAATAAACTTTTATACTATGCTAGAAATTTGCTAGAAATGTAAATTAGTTATGTTTCTTCTGCAGGAGAGTCAGAAGAAGGGTTTTTACGTTAAGCATCCTCCTGCCTGGAGTTTGCATAAATACATTTGGGTTGGTGGTTTGTTAGCTGGGATCTGAAAGAGAGTTGAGGGATGCCAGAGTTGTCCTTGGAAAGAGTCTTGGCTACTGCTTGTCTCTCCAGCTTGAGTCTTACTACTTCTCCACACATTTTCCTCTAAACACCCTGAGTTAGGGGTCTATTTTCCTGAAGCTCATTTTTTTCCTCATCTCTGTACCTTAAAACAATGAAATAGTACAAGAAAGATGTGACGGACCCAACTAAGGTAGTGCCAGAGTGGATGGGGAGCAGGTCTGATTGGGAAAGAGGTTAATGAACCAGATCCAAGTGCCCTGGATCCTCATGTAAATTCCTCACCAACATAAGAAGACCTATTGATATCTGCCCCTGTATGCAACTGCCTATCATTTTCTCCCACCAGCCATAGGAACCATGAACTTTAGGCACCCTCTACCCCCTGTAATCTGCCACTTGTACTATATTCACCTTTACCTGGTCTATTAGCCTGATATAATTTTCTCCCCAATTTTGCCTCCTTTTATTCCCAGAGAAAACTTGTTGCTTTATCTGACTCTGGTGGACTATTTGTGCCCCACCCCTCCAAATTCATATGTTAAAGACTAATGCTCAGTGTGATAGTATTTGAGGGTGGAGCCTTTGGAAGGTATTTGTGTCATGAGAATGGAGCCCTCATGAATGGGATTAGTGTCCTTATATAAGACACAAGAGAGATGGTCTCCCTCTTGACTATGTGAGGATACAGCAAGAAGGTGGCCATCTACAAACTAGGAAGAGAGCCCTCACTAGACACAGGATCTGCTGGCACCCTGATCTTGGAAGTCCTGGCCTCCAAAACTGTGAAAAATATAATTTGTTGTTTAACCCACACAGTCTATGGTTTTATTTTTTTCATTATAGCAGCCCAAATTGACTAAGACAGTGACCTCCCTTGGTAGAATTAAGCACTTTTGCCAGTTGTTCAAAAAGCCCCTTAAGTATACTTCTGCTAAGATATAATATTTATAAAATATAACATATATATATTATTTTGTTGTTGGCATCAGAGTTACTGTTAGGGAAATAACTGTTTTTATTTAAGAAAATACACTAAAAAACTGAAGTTAACAAAAAGTAAGGCCTCAAGGGGATGATTTAGCAGGAACACAGAGTTAGATTAAAGAACTGTGTCCCCAGAAAAGCAGTATGGAGCTGGGAGAAGACACAAGAGAGAGAAGTTGGTAATAAGCTGAAGATATATAAAGAACATGGTGGAAATTACCAGAAGGTAGAAATTGCCAGAATCATTGAGAGATTTAAGAAGGGAGAAATCTAATATTCAGCTTAATGTCTTCTCCCATATCGTGATGAGACAAAATCCTTTCATGCCATTACTCCAACTTATCCCCAGTGAAAGTCCATTTCCTATGGTTGCATCAAGAGAGTGGAATTTTGGGGCATAAAGGAGAAAGATCTGTAGCCTCTGTTTCAGTTGCCATCAAGACAGAGAAAAAGGGACAGGGATCAAAGAAAACACATAGTAGAGAAAAAGAATTCTGAAGACAGAGGGTCACCGGAGTTGACAAGGAAATTTAGAAAAAGAAATCCAAATCCCATCCTTCCTTCATTCCACATCCCTGCCTCTACTCCCCACTGTGAACCATGTACAGTGCCAGTAATTTCTCCACCTGTAAATTTAGAGGGATAAACTAGATGGTCCCTCAGGGCCCCTTATGCTTTAATATTCCATGAATCTATAAAGCTTTGCACCGAACTAGGGGAAAATATTAAAAGTTGTGTCCTATTGTAGAAAAATGTTTGGTGATATGCATTAACTTGATTAGGCACAGGAGATGATATAAATAATGACAGTCATTTAACACCTAAGTAAGAAAAAGAAAAAATTAAGCAAAGTATTCCCATGGCACCCAAAAATGGCTTGTTTAGATTCTTCTGGTAGCTTTGTAGCATCTGTTCTAAAAATTATGATGTGTTTTGAAATTACTACTTGAGTTTATATACAATGTGTGTCAGACATTTATGTAATTATGTTCTTTAAAAAAAAATAGTTCCAGTATCTGTTGGATACAAACATGCTGATATAAGCAAAAATCAATTTCCCTTTCTCTCCAAACCTGGCAATTTAAAGATAGTTAATATAGGCTGTCAGGCAACAATTAATAATAAAGGATTGATCCAATAAATTGATTAAAATGCAATTATGTGGAAGGAAAATATTAAATTATTTCTATTTATCCACCAGAAGCAATTATCTGATTGTGTTTAAGTCAATCCATTTACAAAAAGCTACTACCTGGAAGAAGAGGAGTAAGTGTGTTGGCTGGGTCTACCCATATAAATGATGGTAGGTCTGTCTGTTTTCCAATGGAGGTAGTAATGCAAGGAGGGAGGGAAAACTGTTGAAATTTCTAAAATGAGCAGATATTGATGTGACTTAGTCAATTTTCCATTAGTCATATATTAACTTGATGCATACAGAGCCAGTGGTGTACTGTGCAGAGTTCTGGCTCCAGTGCTTATTGTTTGCATGACCTTAGTTATTACCTGTGCTTCCATTTATTTCTGATATAATATATATACATCATATATATTATATTCTGATATGTATATTCTGTATATATATTATGATATATTCTGTATATATATTATATTCTGATATATATACATAGGTGTGTATTATATTCTGAAATATATACATATGTGTGTATTACTTTGGTTAGAAAATTTTGTCAAAAGAAGGGATTTAGAGAAGGTATTAATTATGTAAGAAATAAGCAAGTGTTTTTTGTTGTAATATTGGGAGGAAAATTAAAGGATTTAGAGGCAATACAACATAATTGTAGAATGGATATAGGCACCTGGGGAAACAGAAAGGACCTGCTATGTATTTATTGCCTACTATATTCCAGACATTGGAATAGGCCAATTACCTGTGGCAACTCATAGAAACTGTCTAACATTCTAAGCAGTTATTATTATATCCATCTTACAAGTAAAGGGATTGAGGGCTGAGGGATGCCAAGTTAATTAGCTAAGACCACAGAGCTGGTAAATGGGTAAGTCATGATCAGACTCAAGTCTGTAGACAACAACCTTATGGCCTTTGCACTACTGCATGGCACTTCTGTGATGATAAGACATGGAGCTTGTAGCCACTAAGACTAGATATCTAAAGCAGAATTTCTTAAACTTTTGGGTCTCAGGACTATTTTACACTCATAAAAAAAGTATTGAGGACTTAAAAGAGCTTTGTTTAATGTGACTAATATTATCACTGCATAGCATTTTAGAAATTAAAATGGAAAAAATTTAAATTATTATTTTAAAATGAGAATTATAAACCCATTACACAGTGGCACAAATAATATATATTTATAAAAACTAAGACTTACCAAAGCAATAAATACTAGTGAGAAGAGTGGCATTGTTTTTCAGTTTTTGTAACCCTCCTTAATGTTTGGCTTACTAGATGATAGATGGGCTCTAATTAAGTAATTTGGATATGTTGTTTTGGTTGAAATACATGGAAAAAAAGGAGTATATTTAGGAGTCATTTCAGATAATTTTGGACATTCTTCTTTGATGCAACACCAAAACGCAACACACGGTAATTTCTTAAAGATTAGTTGCAATGTGAAATATCTGAAACAACATTTCATGTCTTTTAGGTTAAAATTTTTGCCTATCTTCACTTGGAATAGATCTTTACCCTTGTTTGATTTTTTAATGCTTATGCAATGGTCATTTGGAACCTATTGGTTTATTAAGTATTTTCCTAATATTGACATATTTCATTATTCAATGCAAAAAAATAACATTTGCTAATATTACCACAAATCTCATCAAAAAAGCCTTTTAAAATTGGGAAGCTGTCAAACTCATGGGACAGATACAAATTTTCCGTAATTCTAATTTTCACATGAAAGCTTGAACTCTATTACTGGAAACAAATGCTGTCAGTTTTGTTCCTTGAAAGGACAGGTGCATTTTGTTGATTTTCCGAAACTCTTGGCCAAATGCAGAAGTCTGAAAAGCACAGTTTGTCTGTTAGTCACTATTTCAAAAGAAAATAATGTTCCATGAAAAAAGCAGCTAGTTCGGCTTGCAACTTAAGTAATTGCACAAGTGTGTTTGCACAAGACAGCTATGGATTGAAGAATACAGAAATTCTTTACACATACTCCCCATTTTGTCACACACAACCTTAAAAGCATGTTCATTTCAGAATCTAGATGTTTAAAAAATTAATAATAAATTTTGTTGCTTCATTAGAAGCATTCTGAGTGAGACTGAAATATTCCTTTTTTGCTGCAAGTATGTGGAGGTGAAGAAAGTGATGACTATTAGCACAGCTTAGTACCACTGCCTTGGTTTGTGCTATGGGACCAGCAGTTAGACCTACCATTACATTTGCATCAGCAGGGTAAATGACAAACAGTGAGAAGAACAAAATACATTTTTTAGTAGTATTACAAAAATAGCTTTGACATCTTGGATCCCTCAAAAGAATCCAGAGGACCTTCAGAGATGTGCAGATCACACTTCGAAAGCCAGGGTCTAAAGGATTATCTTAATGATTACATAATTAAAAAATGTCAAGCCAATGCTCAGATAAATTTGCTAAGCAAAAGCCTTAAATGTGTATGATTTGATTAAATAGAAAACCCAAGTTTTACAGCATTTAATGTTTGCACGGAGTACAAGAGTAGGTAAATTATGTCAATGCACACAGAGCCACATAGATCCTCCCTCAACCTTTTTTTGGTTTTGGAGTTCCTTCAGGTTTGATCAAAGTCATGGAATATTATTATTATTATTATTATTTTGAGCTGGAGTCTCGCTCTGTCTCCCAAGCTAGAGTGCAGTGGCAAGATCTCAGCTCACTGCAACCTCCACCTCCCAGGTTGAAGTGATTCTCGTTCCTCAGCCTCCCAAGTAGCTGAGACTACAGGCGTGTGCCATCATGCCAGGCTAATTTTTTGCATTTTTTTAGTAGAGACGAGGTTTCACCATGTTGGCCAGGCTGGTCTCGAACTCCTGACCTCAAGTGATCCTCCCGCCTCAGCCTCCCAAGGTGTTGGGATTACAGGCGTTAGCCACCATGCCCGGCCTATGTTCTATTTTAAAATGATTAATGGGAGGAAAACTTACCTTCAGAGAAAGACCCAACACTTTATCACATCAGCCATGTTAAAGTTTCTGAACTTCTTGGTGAAAGCAAATTTTTTATGATCCTTCAGTGTTAGGACAGGTCTAGAAAAGAAAGAGGAAAAAGTGGGAATGAGGAGGAGATAATAAAGGAGGAGATGAGGTGTTGAGTAGGCGACACCAGTGGCTGAACTTGCCTTCTTTACATTACTCCAAACAACTCCTTCCAGGTGACAAGAATCTGCAAAATTGTGGAGGATTCCCTTTTAACATGGTGTATTAGTAAGTTCTCTTATTGCTATAAAGAAATACCTAAGACAGGGTAATTTATAAAGAGAAGAGGTTTAATTGGCTCACAGTTCCACAGGTTGTACAGGAAGCATGGCAGCATCAGCTTGGCTTCTGGGGATGCCTCAGGAACCTTACAATCATGGCAGGAGGCAAAGGGAGAGTGCACTTCACATAACCAGAGCAGGAGGAAGAAAGAAGGAGGAGGTGCTGCACACTAGATCTCATGACAACTTACTATTGTGATGACAGCGCCAACAGAATGTGTTAAGCAATGAGAAATCACCCTAATGATCCAAACCTCCCAACAGGCCCCACCTCTAACATTGGAGATTACAGTTCAACAAGAGATTTTCGTGGGGACACAGAACCAAACCATATCACATGGATTTCCATTTAACATTGTCATAAGTAGATTTGTTTCCTTAAAATGAAATATCTGTGGTACTACTGTATATTTTAAAATACACAATCTGGATGATAATGTGTACAGATAACAAGAAGTCAGCATCGATTTAATGTTCACCATACATGAGGCATACTTCTTAATCTGCGTAGGGATCCAAGTCAGCTGGGCTGGGACACCTGAACTACATGGGTTTACAGATTTCTACATTTTACTCACACAACAATAAGTACTAAGAAAAATGTGAACAAAGCATTTTTTATTGTGTAGAAAAGCAGCTTAACCAATGGTTAAAAGTGTAGCCCCTGAAACAGACTTGCTTGAGTTTCAGCTCCCCTTCCACCATTTACTATATATGTGACCTTGGGTGAGTCCTCTAATCTCCCTGTAGTTCAATTCAGTTCCTTCCATAATATGGACATCAAGATAATAATTTCTAATTCATAGAGTTATTATAAGGGCTAAATGAGTTAATATATGGGAAGTGCTTACAACCAAGCACTACAAGGAGTTTGTTCTCATTGTCACCAACATCATAATCATTACCATTATCATTATTATATGTTTAACAGCTTTTCTCACTTACTTCTAAATAAAATGTCTCCACTGCAGTACACTCCAAGCCAAGTAGTGAATTAAGCACACATACTGCTTTTTAGAAGGAAACTTAATCATTGTGGATTCTGCTTACTTGAGATCCCTCTGACATCCAAGGGGATTTTACATGAGTTTTTACGGAATTCTTTGATCTATTCTGAAGATGAGGGTTCCATTCAAAAGCTTCCAACTGCACTTCATCCATGTTCCTATTCTCAAAGACAACATAACAGCAGTTTCCATGTGGAAATTTTTTTCCACATGCACTCAATTAGAATAGGGTATCTCCTTTGGTTCATTTTTCATTTTCATTTGTTTTTCTAATCTTCCACAAGCTCCATTTAACCAAATAACCCATAAGATTTTCTTTTTTACTCTTTTTGCACAATTTATCTCCTGACTTCCATTCTTCCCACAGATTTGAAACTAATGATTGCCAGTTGGGATAAATAAAAACTTCCCTAAGCATCTCCTTTTCAGCCCACATACTCTGCTCCATTCTTTACTAGGCAGGTGCAGCCTCAGGGTAGGTTATTTTTTCTTTATGCATCAATGCTTATTTGAGTTAGCTTGTAGCTCACAGGGATTTTGGTTATATGGAGATATTTTGTACCTCAGCAGACACAGAAGGAATGCTGTTGGCAAGGGAAGTTGTAGCACGACCTAGAAATTCCTTTTTGTCATGAAGCAGGACCCTAAAGCTGAAAAACATTTCTTTCATTCTGGAGAGAAAGACACACAGAAACACAAGATGAACATCACCACCAATAACAACCGCCTGTGTCAATGCAAACAAAAGCCAGAAATCAACCAGTTGAAGAATTAGCTAGCCACATGGTCATTACCTTATATCCCAACAAGCCCAGGGCAAATTAGGATTCCTAAAACAGGATCCTGATTTTCCCAAATGAAATCTCCACACACTATATCCCACCATCTCTTTGGGTTTAGGGTTCCCTTCGAATCTTTTCTAAGAATAAATTAGGAAGGTGTTGTTTTTCTAACATGCAGTCTTTAATGGATACTACTTTTCTTTTTACAAAGGACTCTAATGGATGGAAAAAATTTTAAAACAGTTATCTGTGGGTTAATTGAATTATAAGGTAGGTTAGGAACTGCAGCTCATCAGTGAAAAAAAAATATGTACATTCACTAATTTTGCCAGTTTGGTTCATATTTGTTGGAAGACTCAGGTTTTATAGAAAGAGATTTTATAAACAACCCACCCTCATGTTGTCTTTCGCAGCAATTAATATATATGGCTGAGAAGGCATTTCAAGCTTTCCATTCTTTGAGGCACTTTTATTTCTAATAAGGTTCTCTGCCCTCTAGTGGTTGTTTTGTTTCAGGCATTGGCGTCAAGGTGATGTATGATTAGGAAGCAAAATTTTGCCTAAGGATTTTTAAGGAGTGGTTGTGCTCTCAATTTAACATTGAAAGTGGTTTCTGGAGGGCCGTTAGGATGCTAAGGGATTCTAGGATGACTTCACCTCATGTTGCACAAAGATAGGTGTAAACCTCTACTTTATTTTTCAAACTATTTATCTGTGCTTGAGGATCTGTCTCATTTAGGCTACATATTACAGTTTATTATAATAATTCATTATTTCCATTTGAAAGTTAAAAGAGAAGAGTTTATGTATGGCCTTAAATTCTGGCTGCTGCAGCAAACGCTTGAAATTCAGTCCTCCGAAAAAAGGAAAATGAGTCCCCTCAATTTTGAAGGCCAGAGGGTAGATCCATATGCTGTTTTGTGGGGCCCATCTTCCTGTTTTCAAGTCCAAGGAACTCTGTGGGAATCTGGTCATACTCATGCTTGGGCTTTGAAAAAGCCAAGGTGATTTGGAAAATATGTTCTGAGATGTAACAGCTGCGGCTGCATGATCAGAGGCAGATTTATTTTGGTACAGCTGCCAGGCCCTTGTTGTGCCTTCTGTAAATTTTAATTCCTAGTAATTATTGGAAGTGACACCAACTCTTGTTAATTAACCCTTTTGACATAAACAGAAGGTGTGCTTCCTCCAGAGGACTGGGGGGTGAGATGGAAAAGAGATCTTGGCGTGGCACTCTCGCCCCCTTATTCATCAACCCTCGGAAGATTAAGATGATCAGGTGGATTGGTTTGGAACTGCTCTTTCATATTAATCTAAGAAGCTATGCTATCCATTACTTATATGATGATGGGAGGAAGGAACAGTTCTAAATATGAAACTAGAATGAAGAAGAGGTATCAAGCGTTACAGAATAGGCCCAGTGCGGTTACAGCATGACTTCAAATCACCTTTTCTACAATTCTGATGTCATATTCTCAAAAGATTATTGTTTTAAATATTTATACTGTGGAATAAATTATATATGTGTTGTGTGTATGTGTGTGCATAGCTTAAAAGAATAATGAGAAAATAAATACCCTTGTACCCACTACCTTTATGAGGTAATGCCAAACTGTTTTCCAAATTGGCGTGTAAATGTTCTTTCCTAACAGCTCTGTAAAAAGTGTTTACTGCACCACACTGCCTCAGAAATACTTCATATTATCCAGCTTTTAAATATGTACCAACCTGATAGACATGAAATGGCAGTTCTCTGTAGCTCAATCTTGCGTGTCCCTGAATTCTAATGAGTTTAAGCAACTTTTCATGTATGTATCGATATATTTTTACCTATAGTTTCTACTGAACCATTTGTCTTTTTATTCATTTGTAAGTCCTTTATATCTTCTAGATATGTAAAGTCAGGGGTTTATATTGCAAATATCTTCTCCTGGTTTGAGGCTTGTCTTTTTGCTCTCCTTATGGTATATTTTGGTGAATAGAAGTTCTTAATGTTTTCATGGAGTTGAATTTATCAATAATTTGTTTGTGGTTTATGTGGTTGGTGGCTTGTTTAAAAAATCCTTTTTCTCCTAGATTCTTAGAATAGTGTCCTATGTCATCTAAAGTGTTACTGCACCCTTTTGGGTCTGTGGTAAAGCAGGCTAACTGTCCACCAAGTCCTTGTGCTTATTCTCTTCAGAAGATAGAATTGTCAGGAAGAAGCTGCTCAGTCAGTGATTGGTTAACCCTTGTTTGCATCTAGATGGGATCATGTGACTAGTTCTTGTTAATGGAATATGAGTAGACGTGATGTCATGCTCATATAAGAAGTGATAAATTATCTCCTTCCCCATCCACAAAAATGCAATTACTCTGGGATCCTGGGATCTGATGAAGCCACAAGTGGAAGGAACATAGATGCTAGAATGACTATGTGTAGGTAAATAGCCCACTACTATAAACTGAATGTTTGTGTTCCTCCGAAATTTATATTTTAAATCCTAACTCTCAATACAATGATATTAAGAAGTGGGGACTTTGGAAAGTGATTAGGTCATGAGGGCAGAGCCCTCTTGAATGGGATTAGTGCCCTGATAAAAGGGACCCCAGAAAGAACAGCAAGAAGATAACTTTCTATGAACTAAGAAGCAGGTCTTCACCAGAACTCGACCATGCTGGCACCCTGATTGCAGGCTTCCAGTCTCCAAAACTGTGAGAAGTAAATTTCTGTCATTCATAAGCCACCCAGTCCATGGTAGTTTATTGCAGCAGCCTTACCTAAGACACCTGCCAACCAGGAACACGCATATTCAGCAGCCAGTTGAGCAAAAAAAAAAAAAAAAAAAAAAAAAAGGATTTCTATTGTGTTAGCCACTAAATTTTTGGCTATTTTATTTCATCACGTAGTATTACCCTAACCAATGTGGAAATTGGTACCTACAAGTGGAAAGCTACCTTAACAAATTCTAAAATATGTGGCATTGACATAGTGGATGGGTGATAGAAAGCAAGGAAAAAGATAAAGCAAGACAGAAATATGGAGATCTCTGTTATGCAGTAGCATAAAATGGTGCCTGCTGTAATTCTGAAAGCAGATCAAATGCCTCGTAGATATGTAGCTCTACAGGAAGTAGTTGCAAAGAGCTAAAAATGTTACCATGTGTTGGTTTCTACTCACTCTTATCTCAAGGTATATAAAGAAAAAGATGCGTCCAAGCAAGAAGTGGTTGTCTTGAGAGCAGAGATAGAAAGGAGTGGAGAAAGTCCAGAAATTTAGTGATTCAAGGATTGGCAAAGCTATTTCTGTACCGTAAACCATGATTTAAAAATTAGAATGAAAAAATATTTAGAGCAAGAAAGACTCATTAGGAATTCTCAGTTACACAAAAGGATTAGGCCTTGTGGCAAAGATCAAATTAAGGTTGTTTCTTTCCAATTCAAGGTTATTTTATGAGATGGCCTCAAGGTATCTGCCATTACATTGAGAAAGCCAATGGTGGGATACAGGGAGCAAAAAGCAAAGACATAAATCAGATTGAGAATTATGTCGAGGGAAGAATGAATGTAGTTATTCATACATGGGATTTACTGAAATTGAATAGATGAGAAGTCTACTGTGTCCATGGGAATTATATTGTTGAATAAACTGCAATCTGGCTTTAAAAAGCCTGTGATTATAAAATAGTCATGCCTCCAATAAACCGGCCCCAGCAAGAAGCTGGCAGTGAAGATCCAGCCCTCTCAAGGAGGGCAGACCCCTCAAAGCTCATTTCAGATGGGTTCTTAGGCAGTGGGGCTCTCCACATGTAGTCCCCAGGCCAGCAGCATCACAATCAATCAGGAAAATGTTAGAAATGCACATTACCCAGACTTACTGAATAACAAACTCTAGGGATAGGGCCCAGCCATGTGTGCTGTAAGCCCTCCAGGTGATTCTGATGCTTGCTGAAATCTTGAAACTGCCTTAGAGGAGAAAAAATAAGAATCTCTGAGAGAGTGGAGAAGTGCGGAAAGGAAGTTTCTCCTAGAGAACGGACTTGAGTCTCATCAAGGAACTTCCTCTGTAGCTAGGGAACGTAGTCTTCCTAATGCCTATATGGCAGGATTTTGAAGTTCATTTGACTATTGTCTCCTATTCTTTTCTGAAGGATATTTTATATTGCAGTTATCTTTAATCTGCTTTTTCTTTATGTTTTGAGGTTGGGGACAGTAGCCACATAAATTGTCTTTTAGTCCCTAAATAGCCATATAATAAATATCTACAACTGGACCAATGGAGAGAACAGGGACCAGTGATTGCCATTGGAACAGAAGAAGAGGGTGATGAAAAAGAAGCATCTGAGGTGCTGGGCAGTGGAGGAGCCACGAGTCGAAAGGAGTTTGGGTCCCCGAATCATTGTGTGGACAAAAGCTACCTTCTGACCAGGAACACCTACACTGATTCAGAAAAACGAATAATAAATTTTTATTGTGTTGAGACACCAAAGTTTTAGAGTTTATATTCTTATCAGTACTACGTAGTTCCATTTAGGTTATCAATCCTCTGAGAATTAATTGTGTAAAAGCTGTGATATGGGAATCTATATTTCCATATGAATGGTCAGCCTTTCCAGCACTATTTATTGGTAAGCAATTCTTTCCACACATACCTGCAGTGACTACTCTATCATAAATCGAATTTCCAAATCCATGAGGATCAGCTCCTAGGCTTCCCACTACCTCGCAATGTTTAATTTTCATAACCCCATACCAACACTGCACGGTTGTAAATTCACATAACTGTGTAGTAGAGCTTGATTACCTCCACCCAATTATGTTCTTCGACATGTCTTGGCTATTTCTGTCTTACAACTTTTGTATTTTTTTTCTGCCTTTCAGCCTTATACTTTCGCCATTTCAATTTCTGGGCAGGATAGAGTAATAGACATGGATCCTGAAAACTACAAAAAAGTTTCTGAAAGAAATTAAAGAATTCCTGAATAAATGGAAAGATACACCATGTTTGTGGGTCGGAAGACTAAATATTGCTAGAGTACTGTTCCTTCTCACTTGACCTGTTGGTTAAATGCAATCTCAGCCAAAATGTCAGCACATTCTTTGGAGAAATTAATAAAATGATTCTAATATGTATATGGAGAGCCAAAGGACATAGACTATTCAAAACAAATTATAAAAAGAAGAACAAACCTGGAAGATGTGAAGTAATTTCATGACTTACCATACTACATCGCACTCACTACTCATTACTACAGTAGTGAGTGTGATGTTAGACTAAAAATAGATGTATTAAATAATAGAACAGAATAGACAGTTAATAAATACATTATAAATAAATAAATAGACCCTTATAGACCATTAAGTTTTCACAAAAATGACTAGGTAATTCAGTGATAAACAAATAATGTAAATTGTTGCGGTAACAATTTGATATCCATATGCCAAATAAGGGCCTTTGACACTTACCTCACACCATGCAAAAAATCAACCCAAAATCGATAATTAAATGTAAGAGCTGATTAAATGTAATTAAATGTAAAAGCTAAAACTGTAAGATTTCTAGAAGAAAACAGTGGAAAATATTTGTGACCATTGACTAGGCAAAGAGATTTCTTACAGGGAAGAAAAAGCACAAACTATACTATCAACTGAACTTTATCAAAATTAAAACCTTTTGCTCTTTAAAAGACATTTTTAGACAAATGAAATATCAAGTTACAAACTGGGAGGAAATATTTGCAAACTATATATCTAATAAAAGACTTATATCCATAATATATAAAGAATACTTAAGATTCAATAATAAAAGACAGATAACCCCTTTATAATTAGGCAAACTTTACAAAAGAAGATACACAAATTGCCAATGTGCATATAAAAAAGATGCAGCATTTTTAGTCATCAGGTAAATGCAAATTACAACAACGTGCTATCACTACACACCCACTGGAATGGCAACATTTAAAAAAAATTACAGTACCACCTGCTGGCAAAGGAATGAAGCAACTAGAATGCTTATTCATTGCTGTTGAGAATGGAAAATTGCACAGCCACCTTGGAAAGCAGTTTGGCAGCTTCTAATAAAACTAAACACACCTTTACCATGTGAACCAGCAATTTTATCTCTAGGTATTTACCCTAAGGAAAATATATAGTCACACAAAGATTTGCACTCAAATATTTATAGAAGATTTATGTATAACAGCCAAAAAGTGGAAACTACCTGTTCCCTTCATATGGTGAAATGTATAAATAAATTCAGTCATTTCTGCACAAATGGAATACTAATCATCAACAAAAAGGAAAGAATCACTGACACAGCAAAAAAAAAAAAAAATTGACAAATCTCTAAAGCTTTATGCTAAGTGGAAGAAGTTCAAAAACAAGATGACACAGTATACCATTATAGAAAATTTTAGAAAATGAAGAGAACAGATCAGAGATCCTCAGGGACTGGATGTGAGGGAAGAGAACTCACAGAAAAAGAGCACGTAGAACTTTTTAGACTGATAAAAAATGTTCTATATCATGATTGTGGTGCTGACTACACAGCTGTGTATATTTTTCAAAACACAATTAATGGTACATTTAAAGTTGATTAATTTTATTGTATGTAAACTATACCAAAGCAAAACTAACTTTTTAACTAATTAATTTGTTGTCTTTCTGCCAACGAAAGCAATGGTCTTCAAGCTCTTCCTGTAAGGGGCCTGATAGGCTTTGTGGTCCATACAGTATCTGTTGCAGGTATACAAGTCTGTAGTTATAGTATCAAAATAGATGATACGTAAGGAAATAAAACATCACTGATGGACAGTTAAATTTAAATGTTGTATAATTTTCATGTGTCAAAAATATTCTTTTGATTGTTTTCCAACCATTTAAAAATGAAAAAATCATTTAGTTCGTGGGCCATATAACAACAGAGAGTAAACTAGATTGGGTTAACGGGCCACAGTTTGCTGACCCCAAGATAGGGAATTCTGTACAACATTGAATAAAAATAACAATAGTGAACATCGTCATTTTGTTTCTGATATTAAGGAAAGGCTGTTGATGATTTACAATTAAGTACTATATTTATTAGAGGTTCCTTGGTAGATAGGTAGGCTAAGGAGGTTCTCTTCTATTTCTAGTTTGCTAAGAGTTTGTATCAAATGTGTATGTCAAATTTATTAATATTTTCCTATTTATTAAGAAGCTTATATTGTTTTCTTGTTTAGTTCATGAATAAGGGGAATTACATAAATTGATTTTAATATTTAACCAATCTTACATTCCTGAAATTGAAAACTCATTTTAGGTATGTTGTATTGTTTTCTGCTAAAAATGCATTATTGATTTAGTTTTTCTTTTTTTCTTTTTTAGGACTTTTTACATCAGTGCCTAAAAATGTGTTTATTTTATTGTATGTAATACAATAAAAACTCGTAAGTTTTTCTTCCTTCTACTGTTCTTTTTCCAGCTTTTGTTAAAAGCTAGCCTATTATCCATGTTTCCATTCATAATATTTTATGGAAAACTGAAATTTGACTCTTTTTGCATCTTTGATAGAAGTTACTTGCATGTTCATATAGACTTAGTGTTTCTTAACTGGAATATCTGAAATTTCTAATTCTATTTCTTTCTTTCTTATAGCTCTGTTCCATTTTTTAAATTTATTCATAAGTTAGTAAGTTGTTTTAAATGTGTCTTAAAATCTACAGACAAAAATCTACCAATGTGTCTATACTCTATATTTGTCTCTTTAAAAGAGCACACATTATACTACTTTTGGTGTAGTCTGAAAGTCTTTATTTTTTAACTGGAACATTTAGTGTTTTTACATTTATTGTGATTACTGACATATTTGTATTTATTCTTCTATCTTATTTTATGGCTTCTGTTTGTTTCTTATGCTTCTGTTTCCCTCCTCTTTCTTGATTTCATTTGGGTTAATTGATATTTATTTATTCATTCATTTATGTATTTATTCATCTTTTAAAACTCTCAGGTAAACAGAATTAGATTAATAATACTCCTTGGTTCATGACAGATTCTCATCACTGGTCTATGCAAAGTCTTCCTTTGCCTAATTTATTTCTTTGCTTGTTTATTAAGACAATAAACACTTGTGATCTATTAACCCAATTAAAGATAAATAATATTGACACTAACTTACCTATGTCTTCTGTGCTACTCCTCCTATGCTCTCTTTTTCTTGTTCCATATTTTCCTTCCATTGCCTTAGATTTTAAATTCTTTAAATTTATTTTTTGAGATTTTTTTCCTTGATGTTCTCACATTGAAATTTAACACAGCCAAAGTTAGTCAATGTGTCTACTCTCTTCCCAAATGTAAAGATCTTGCTGTATTAATTACAATATCACTTCTCCCAAAGTAAATGCTAATAGTATTATAGGAGTTATTAAGAAATTGTTTTAGGCAGATACAGAGTTTAAGGGGTCCTTGGTTAGGTTTTTTTTCTTTTAAACCAGCTCCAGAAATGTTTCTTGTCTAGTAGAAAAGTGGCTTGAAGGGCCAGGCCAGCAAGCTTTAATATGCAAATACCAGCCGTTAGAAACTGGGTCCATCCAATATGGCAATTACCGCCCTCTTCTCCTTGTCACCCTGTGTACTAAGCATCATGGCCGCCCCCAGATAACCTCACTTTGCAGGACATCATGGCACCCTGCTTATTAAAAGGCAAGGGTGGGAGGGCCAGTTTTTTTGTGGGCTACGTGAATGACATACCTGGTCAAACCAATCCCCTGGGCCCTATGCAAATCAGACGTCACTTTCTCCAGCCTCCTAATATAACTGACTGTTTTGCACCTCTCGGAGTTTCCTCTCTCAGCGTGGAGCACCCTTCCCTATGTCTCTGTACGGGGGAGCTTCTTTCTTCTTTTTTGCCTATTAAACTCTCCACTCCTTAAAACCATCCCACGTGTGTCTGTGTCATTTTATCTAAATCACCACGAGGCAAACGACCCTGGTGTTCCTCCAGTCATCAGAGCCATATCATTTTAGTGCATTGGCTGGGAAACCAAGGTACAGCGTGGTAAGTATGGGAGTGAGCTTAAAATCTGTTTTATCATTCTGAGGTGATCTTAGCCTCTATTTTAAAATCAAATCAAATCAATCAATGGGCATCCATCAGCTGGTTAAATAGGCTGATCGTGTCTGCTGTTCTAAAGACTCAGATGACAGACTTGCTGGTGAGAACATGGAGAACCCCCAAATACCCACAGGTCATTAGGAATGTTGGCCATGTTTTGAATCAGTTTCCTTTTGTGGGAAAACCTCACCATGGCTGGAAAAAGTTCTGAGGCAACTGAGAATTTCTGGCCAGGGCACCCCCTGGCGTTACCCAAAGGCCTCTAGACCGAACCTAGCCTCCAACAGCCCATTTCGGGTATTGGCAGAGATTCCCCAGCTATCCTGTCCCAAAACGCTCCTTCCTTTTCCTATCTGCAGTCTCTTACTCTCTCTGTGTCAAATGTGTGGGAATTTAGTAACCGGGAGTGTAGCTCAGGAATGCTGTTCCAATCTTCTGTTCCCCTTACCCACAGTCTCTCTCTCGCTCTCTCTCCCCCTACCTCCCCTGACTCCCCCGCCGCCACGCCCCACCCCCACCCTGGCGAGCACATAGTATTTCTAAGCCAACATCGCCACCTACTGGAAATAGAAATCCTCTTCATGAGGCTATGAGGCTATTTTATTTTTTTTTTTTATGGTAACATGAGCTTCCTTTTGCACCACTGGAAATCAGGCTCTAAGCCTCTTCCATGAACGGGAAAATTCTACTCTCAACAGTTAGGAGTTAAATGTCTTCCGTAGGCAAATTTTAGTCTCGATATCGTCCCTTCAGCAGGAAAACCGCCATTAGGTTCCTGCGTTCCTTCAAGGTACCTATTCTGTCTCCGATTAAGACAGTACTTAACTAGTAAGGGC
The DNA here is from genome assembly GCF_000001405.40 of Homo sapiens. Taxonomy (NCBI): domain Eukaryota; kingdom Metazoa; phylum Chordata; class Mammalia; order Primates; family Hominidae; genus Homo; species Homo sapiens. The sequence continues at coordinate 96,967,895 of NC_000013.11, forward strand.
ATTTTAAGTCCAGAAGTTAACTGGAACCATTTTTCTAAGGGTAAATGCTTTAGCATGGGCCATAATAGCAGGATATAGAGTTCAATCTAGCATGCCTTGCCATTAAAGGGGCCTTGTCCAATTATAAAGTTTTTCCTGAGATCCATTTTATTTTTAGGGAGGCACACAGGTCACACAAGTCTATGAGGTCAAAGGGAAATAATAGGCAGAGGACTAGGACTACTTGAGTAAGCGTGACTAGGTCTCAAAAGTCTAGTTCCTCTGGTGCTGTGGCTTAGAGGATCACACCTACAGTCATGGGCAGCATATTTAACAGGGTGCCAGGACCCAGGAATAATTGGGGGGACACCCCCACTGTTTTCTTCTCCACCCTGGCTCACACACAGAAAGCAAGGAGACTAAAAGGACACCTTTATTCTCACTTCTCTTTCTACATGGGTAACAGATTGTCCAGCATGCACTCTCCTGGAGTGTATTTTAAAGCACTGGGACTCCTTCGATTCTGAGACTTTGAAGAAAAAGCCCTTCATATTGTATTGCAGAAGGGCACGGCCTTCTTACCGTCTTGGGGACAGACAAACCTAGCCCGTTGGGGGAAGCCTTGATTTTAATATTATCCAACAGTTGGATCTTTTCTGCAGGCAGAAGGGCAAATGGATTGAGGTCCAGTATGTGCAGACTGCCTTTGCCCTGTGAGACAGCCCAGACCTTTACAAGCTCTGTACAATCAACCCAGTTCTTTTAGCAGCCATGGCAGGCAAGCCCACAGGGAATAGTTCCCCAGAGCTGAAGGAGGTTCCAGAGGAGCAATCTAAGACAGCTATTGAATGTCATAACCCTTCCAGTCCCCCTCCAATTGTACCGTCAGCTACTCCAGCTCTGTTATCTCCAGTATATCCTACTCTCCCCACTTCACTCTTAGCTCTGCAGGAGATACCTGATGGGACATGGTATGGGAGCACTTTCAACTGTGTAACTAACTCCTCTCAGGAGAACACTCTGCCCCCAGTGCCAAAGAACACTCTCCCCACACCCTCAGGCTGGGAAAAGTTGATTGCATAATGCCTCCCTCTGCTTAAAAAGCAGTGAGAAAGGGCCATACTTAGGAGATCTCAGATATTGTAACATCACACTTGCAATTGCTGATAGTTCAAAGATGTGGAGGAGGAGAGTGCAACAAGGGTGATCTAAAAGGATCAGAAGGCCTAGTGGGGAGCTTTCAGAATCTAGTCTTTCCTTCTGGTTGGAAGTCCCGATGGGAGTAGCATGCTCTAAGCAACCATCTTGACTATAATGTAAAGAATGACACAGGGACCTTTCCAAACATGCCCCCTCATGGAATTCCAGACCCTTGTATGATGTTTGCTAATAGTAGCTGCTTACAGATCTGTGGGCAAACTGGAGACATCTGGACTAACGGCCCTTGCCACAAGGATCATCTGAGATATTGGTCAGGGCATATTATGTCTCTAATTTTTCAAAACTTCATTTGTCAGGTGGACCCTTCTCACTTGGCTTGTCAAATTCCAAACGGCATTGTAAATGACTATCTTAAATATGGATGTCCTGATCCCAAGGATGCCCCTATTACATGTAAAGAAGGGAAACTTCTAAGATATGAGAAAAATCTGCTGGTGTCTCTCACAAGGCACAACTTAGGATCGTCCCTACAGGGAATGGGGCTATATTTTTTTGTGTGGCTCCTGGACTCCTAATCCTCCCAAGGCGTTGGAAGGGAACCTGTACTATAGGAGCAGTAGTTTCCCACTTACTATGTTTAAGTTCTACTGAGAAGGCAGCATCATCTGGGGGCATCACTAACTTAGGCTCTTTTCTAGAAACTACACTATCTCTAATATGCCGGACAAAGAGTGCTATCATATCTATACCCTAATATGTAGATTTAACTGAAAGGGCAGACTGAGGAGGGCATGCATATGACAATCCCATCTTGGAAAAACCATGGATGGAAAATTCCATAGCCAGAGGTCTATTCCGGTTTACGAGCATCCCTCTCTTTGAAAGATCAGTACTTAATATCTCCATTATGACGCAGTGAGGATGGAAGGCAATTGTAGGTGCCATAGACACACAACAACAATGTATAGACTCTTTAGCCTCAGTAGTAGCACAAAATAGATGGGCCTAAGATGTCCTTACAGCTGAAGTAGGAGGCACCTGTGCACTTTTAAATTAAACATGCTGCTTCTGGATTAACACCTCTAGTAAAGTAGAGGAAAATCTACAGGTACTTAAAGATCAAATCAAAATTATTGACAGGCTAAGAGAAAATGCATCACATCAAAATTATTGACAGGCTAAGAGAAAATGCAGGCTTCAGCCCCGAGTGGCTGTTAAATGAATTCCAGTCTTCTTTATGGAATTGTTTAGCTCTTTTATTAAGCCCCCTCTTGCTTATATGCCTTGCATTAATATTTGGACCTTGTATACTCAATACTATAACTCGAATTGTTTCATCTTGTCTAGAAGCAATCAAACGCCAAATGGGGCTGCAAACAGAACCACCTATGGACATAACATTCTGCCAAGGACCCTTAGATCGACCCCAGGAGGAGCCCTAGCTGCTGTTCCCACTGGACGCCCGTTTGCGGCAGGAAGTAGCCAGAAAGAGTTGTGGCCCAAAGCCCCCTAACAGTAGTGAGGATGACATCTCCTCCGGGGGAAATATTATAGGAGTTATTAAGAAATTATTTTAGGCAGATAGAGTGGATAAGGGGTCCTTGGAAAGGTTTTCTTTCTTTTAAAGCAGCTCCAGAAACATTTCTTGTCTAGCAGAAAAGCAGTTGGAAGGGCCAGGCTGGCAGGCTTTGATATGCAAATGCTGGCCATAAGAAACTGGGTCCATCCACTATGGTGATTCCCTCCCTCTTCTCCTTGTAACCCCATCTGCTGAGGGTCATAGCCACCCCCAGATAACCCCACATGTGCAGGACATCATGGTGCCCTGCATTTGCATATTAAAAGGCTAGGGTGGGATGGCCAGTTTTTTTGCAGGCTATGTGAATGACATACCTGGTCAAACCAATCCGCTGGGCCCTATGCAAATCAGACACTGCCTCCTCCAGCCTCCTAATATAATTGACTGTTTTCTGCCACACTCAGGGTTTCCTCTCTTGGCTTAGAGCCCCCTTCCCTCTGTCTCTGTACTGGAGAGCTTCTTTCTTCTTTCTTTCCTGTTAAGCTCTCTGCTCCTTAAAACCACTCTACTTGTGTCTGTGTCATTTTATCTAAATCATCACAAGGCAAAGGACCCTGGTGTTTTTTCAGTCATCGGAGCCATATCAATAGTTCTCAGTGTTTAGGTTTTGCCTTGTTTCTTAAAGCCGCAAACTAGACATTATAATTATTGTTTTACACAGTCAATTTTGTTTAGCTTTACCTAGATCATTATGTTAGGGGTAGAAGGTATCTGAGTTACTTGGCAGCAAATCTGTACGTGTGTGCACCAGCCACAATTCTTGCCTCCTCAGAAGAAAGAATTCAACTGAGGGGCATAAGGCAGAAAAGAAAACTGAGGCAAGTATCAGAGCAGGAGTTATTAAAAAGCTTATTTAAAGGAGTTTATTAAAAAGCTTTAGAGCAGGAAAGAAAGGAAAGTACACCTGGAGGAAACTCAGGAGGGAAACTGGAAGGGAAAATGCAGTGCTTAACCTTGATCCTAGGACTTTATGTTCTGGCCCACCTCTGGCTTCTTGTGCCCCTTTCCCATGATGCTTCCCTTAGGCTGGGCTGCCTGCATGCATAGTGCCCTCTTTATGCTTGGTGAGCATGCACACCGTGTTGAGGAAGTGTTTTCTCTGTTTGGAAAGTTGCCTCTCCCTGGTGCCTGTGTTCAATTAACACTTTAGTGTGACAGCTGTGGGCCATCAGAAGATTGTCTCTCCCTGGTGCTGGCTGCTAAGTTATCACTTTTAGAGAGGCAATATGATAACTCCTGAACCATCAACTGATGATCACCTGACATTCCTGGTGGGTGGCTGGGGGGAGCCCTCTCCTGCCCCACTTATGCCTGTCTTACTACCTGTAACAATTACAACCATCCCTGCACTCACTATTTCTTCTTGTCTCTAAGACCATCCATTTGACATGATTGCCCTTCTTCCTGAAGCACATTCCTTAGAATTTTCTTTTGTGAAAGTCTTTCAGTGGTGAACATTTTATCTCTTCTTTACCTCTAAAGGTCATCATTTCCCCTTTATTTTCAAAAGCTACTTTTTCTAGATATGGAATTCTTGGTAAACAACTATTTTCTTTCAACATACTAAAGATAATATTTCACTTTTTTATGACTTATATTTTTGTGATTATGATTTATATTTTGCAATTTTGAGATCATGTCCTTTGCAGGGACACGGATGAAGCTGGAAGCCATCATCCTCAGCAAACTAACACAGGAACAGAAAAGCAAACACTGCGTGTTCTCACTCATAAGTGGGAGTTGAACAATGAGAACACATGGACACAGGGAGGGGAGGGGAACAACACACACTGAGGCCTGTTAGGGAGCAGGGAGTGAGGTGAGAACATGAGGACAAATGGCTGATGCATGTGGGGCTTAATACCTAGGTGACAGGTTGATAGATGCAGCAAACCAGCATGGCACACATTTACCTATGTAACAAACCCGCATGTTCTGGACATGTATACCAGAACTTAAAGTAAAATAAAATAAAATTTTTAAAAAAGGAAAAAAGTCAGCTTTCAGTCTTACAGATCCTTCTCTGTAGGAGATTTTTCATTTCTCTCTGGCTGACTTTCTGATATATCTTTGATCATCTGCAGTTTCATCTGATGTGTCTAGTTGTCAATCTGTTTTGATTTACCCTGCCTGTATACATTGGACTTACAACATGGGGGCTTAGGAGCTTTCAAAAATTCTCGAAAATTATCAGCCAATCTCTCTTCAAATGTTGCTTTTTCCTCCATTCTTTTCTTTTTCTGAAAATCTTCTCACATATATATTGGATCTTCTCGCTCTCTACTGCAGGTTTAGCATTCATATTTTTCATTTTCTTGTTTCTTTTTCCTTTGGGTTGTATTCCAGATAGTGTTTTTGGATCTTGCTTCCAGTTCATTAATTCTCTCTTTGCTGTATCTAATCTTCTGTTTTACCAATCCATTATTTTTTTAAATTTTAATTTATTATACTTGTTATTTTTAGAAGTCTGTTTCTTTTAAAGTTTAGTCATTCTTAATAGTCTCATTTTCATTGCTCATTTCAAGCCTCTCTTTTATTTTTTGAAATAAAATAAACTTCCTATTTTACAATCAGTTTCAGATCTTTCTCATCTGTGAAATCTTTGAGGTTCTAATTCTAATTCTCACTGTGCCTTTTTCTTGGCATTTCTTGTGATTTCCTTTTTAATGTGAGTTTCTCACTATACTTGGAAACTTAACCAATAGGAGCCCTTTGAGACCTGTGTTAAATTTGTGATCTCTTAAAGAGATTTCCGTATGCTTCTGCCAGTTGCCTGGTGGTATTGCCCATCTGGAAATCACTTTAAAATTAATTCCCCATTCAAGCTTCAATTTTTAACATGCAAGTAACAACAAGTTGACATGTAAGCTTGATGCTGACTATGATTTCTCAGGGGCAAATTTATTTTCCCTCTACCCAGTGTCAAAGTCAATGCCGGTTATTTTACATGCTGCCCCCTTCTCTTCCCCAACCTTATTTATTGTTCACCCTAACGTGGAGAACATGGCCTATTGACATTCAGAGTTTTGCAAGAGTCTACTATTACAATCCCCACCTTTGTTGAATTGCATACCTCATGTCCTTTCTCCCATGTTTAGTGTGACTATATATCATTCCAGACGCTTTTGAGGATAGAAGTAGGTACTATTAATAATTATACCAGGGCAACTGGCATTAACTAGTACTATCCTGGGAAAACCAGGGTGTATGATCATCCTACACATCCCAACACAGATATCAAGATGTAGGTGAAAAACCCACCAGGATTTTGAAGAGACTATTGGGAAAATTGGTGCTTTTACTGCCTACTGACTTCCAGATTTCTCACCTTTATATTTATTTTTTCCCTTTGTGGATTCTTTAGTTTCTTAGCTCAGTGAGCATTTTTATAGGGGTTTATGAGAAGATTTTACTTAGCCATTTTCATTGTTTTCAACTGACAGGTTGTGCAATGGATTTAATCTAACATGTTACCAGAAACATAAGTCTTTTCTCTCATCATCAAAGGCAATACAAAGATTCAATTTAGGCGTGAATTTTCTGTACTCAGCTATTGGTCAGGTAAGAATTGGGATTTAAAAGGCAGATATTTCTCATTCTAAAAGAGGCTCATTTTTTGCTGTTGTTCTGTGTCATAACTTCTAGTGTATTATTGGGTGCTGGGACCACACATAAATATGTGACCATGTGTTGGAGAAGTTCATAATCTCGCAAGGAAAAAAAAAACACATTGACATAGAAGAGTGATAATCCAAGTCCTGTATGATAAATTGCCCAAGTGCTTCAAGAATACAAACAACAAAAGATGGAACTGCCCACTCTGAGCTAAGCAGTTAGAGCAAGAGCCACAAAAACTGAACTTTATCAGTGCTTTCACAAATGGTTAAAACTTGAATAGGGGATTTAATATTGGACTTGTTTTAATTTTTTAATATGAATGCTGTCTGGCTTTACCCCTGAATTTAAATTTTAAAAAAAGCACTGTTATTTAAACTTTTTGACAGACTATGTAAATCAGAAAATGTTTGGGAAAAAGATGGCTTGTTGTTTGACCATCTCTTATGGTGCATATGTAGATTTTTTGGCTTTCTTGGTGTAAGATTCATATGTTTACAGTGTTGCCTCTGATAATGAGATAATATTAAGTATGTAATACCAAATACTGTCTTACTGTTCATCTCCTAGAGGGTTTAAACAGATAAATGGGGCATTTAGCCAGGTACAATTAGCACCCCAGGATATTTGTGTATACTTAGAATACACTTTAGGGTTGTTGGTGAGAGAGATTTAGATAGCTACATAAGTTCCTGAAATGCATCCTTTGGGTGCACTCCTTAAAATACAAATAGATAATGATAACTGGTAATGGCAAAAAGAACTAGACAAACATTTCACTGACTTTTGATAAGTAAATGTAGCATAACAAACACTCAACCTAAAAGGCACATATGAATAATGCAGTTAGTTTCCAAGAATGTGGTATTTTTGAAAGTAGTACTGTTTCATTATTAAGATTTATATCTCAAGGGTATAGCACAGTACTTTGCACATAGTCGGGGTTCAAAAGATGCTGGTGTTAGTTTACTCAAATAGACGTTAAGCTGATATTGTGATCCTAAACACATAAGTTATGCATTCCTCTGTTTTATAAGTTTCTGTGCTCAACAAATAAATATACTAAATAAATAATATTTTCTGCATCTGTGTTTCATTTTTCAAATGTTTGTGGAGGCTATTGTGATTAATAAAAATTATTTACAAGCATTAATGTAGTATTAGCAAGCATTTTCAGAAAGAAAAACAATGTGTTCAGGCTATAGGAATATTTCTAAACTATGGAAAACAAATTGTTACTATGTAATCATAGAAAATATATTCATATGTCATATAATATGCAGAGACAGAATAAGAAAGAAGACATATAGCAACTCTAAGAAACCAAGTGGTTTAGGTGCACTTTAAAAAAAATCTCCTCTAAAACCTCTGAAATGCATATAAAATAAAAATGAAAGAATGCTTCACTTGAACTAAAATCAGCAAATAATTCTGGCCTCATAGTACTAGCCTCTAAGACTTTCTTCTAAATATCAAACAGTTAAAATAAATGGAAAGGGGATGCCAGGAGTACCCCCCAGTTCCCTGGTGCAAACCTCATGTTGTAGGCAGTTAGTGGAGGGCATTAGAAATAACCCCACTGAACTACCATGGCTTGATAACTAAGAGCTCTTTTTTGTTCTTTAAAATTCATTCTTTTAGAGCCTCCTGGTCTGTTTTAAGGATGTCTCTGAGAGTCTTGTTGGTTTTTTGAAATTTTCTTATGTTTCCTACAGGGTTTTTGTTTCTCTGAGTGCTTTCTTTTTAATTTTTCTTGTCTGATCATTTTGGAGTCTCTGATTCCTGTTGTTGACTTTTCCCAGTTGCTGTGTTATTCATGACTGTCCATGCTGATATTTAAGAGTATGGCACTAAGAAGCTGAGTTGGTAAGGCAGGTCAACTGGTGGGTGCCATTGTGGGGTGGGCAGGCTGAGCTGTTCCTCAACTGTTGGTATCTAAATAGTTTCTCTTTTTGTGAAAAGCAGCATAGTGTAGTGGTTCTATACATGGGCTCTGGAGTCAGACTGTGCATTCATAAAGAGAGCAGTTAAAACACAGCCCAACACATCACTAGTGCTATATAAGTTGTATCTATCATTGCTGTAGTTTCCATTTCCCTAGAGAAGAATGCTACAATATTCTGGCAGGAAAGGTAAGTATGAGCTGCCACTGTTATCAGAGCCAAGTGTTTCTATCCAAAATTTAGGACCTCACTTTTACCGTTCCTTTGACTATATGTATTGTCCTCAGGTCAAGAATCTTTCTGCTCCTTCTTTCAACCACTCCAGAATGAAAAGCCAAGAATTCTCCTGGTGTAGAAGAGAGGTAATTATTGGTTTGCACAGGAAAAGGGATGATATCTAGGGGCGTAATTGCTTTTTGTTCAGGCTTTACATGAAACTTCCTATTGTTAGGTTTACTGATAATCCTCTTTCAGACGTAACTGGCAGCCCTAATTCCTGAACATTTTGGAGTTAAGCAGAATGTACTACTCTGTCTCTGGGTTCTCTCCACTACCAGCTTTGGGTCCCTTTTGTTTCACCATTTATCTGTAAGCTTTTAGCTTTCAATATCTTTACAGTTACATTGAAATGGGAGAGTTCCCTGACCCCCTTGTGGGACTTATGACAGGGTTGTGGCTTGTTTGCTCAGCTGCCACATGCTCCAACCACTTAAGGGACGGGGAGCATGCAGATGGGCAGGCGCAGGAGCCAGGGCAAGTGCTTTTGGGTTCCGGCCCTACAGTAGCATCTAGGGTGTGTTACAATTAATGTTCTCTTAGTAGTTGCCATCCATGGACAGCCAAGTGTTAAACCAGCTCAGTGGAGAGTCAGGGTGACAGCCTTTTAAACTCTGCCCTTGTGGTAGTCAGGTGCTTATCTGGCATCCAGGAAGAATCAGGTCACATGGACTTGAAGGATGGTGAACGTGGGATTTTATTAAGTGATGGGGGTGGCTCTCAGTGGGATGGATGGGGAGCTGGAAAGGGGATGGAGTGGGAGGATGATCTTCCCCATGAGTTTGACCATTTGGTGGTCAATCTCCTCTCCAACCCCCTCAATGTTAAGATGCTCCTCTCTTCTCCTCTTCTCTGCTGTGTTGCTCTGTTGCCTTTCTGCTCTTCTACTCATGGAGCTGGGGGTTTGGGATTTGTATGGCTACAGGACTGGGGGCCATGGAAGGCCACGGTGGCTTTGGAAAAAGAAACATTTGGACATGAAAATGGGAATGCTTGTTCTCATTTAGGGCCATGGGTCCAAGCTTAAGGGTGGAGCCCTTGACAGCGACCCTGCTCTCCTGCCTCCTGTTCATATCAATATTACCATTATTATTTTAGTATCATTTTAGGGGAGAAGAGTCATGGTTAAACTGCCATATTTAAATTGAAGTATCTCACACTTTAGAAGGATAAATAGTAAACAGCATTAATGGGAAAGGCAGGAGGCATTCCACATAGCTTCTGCTCCCTCACCTGGAATAGATCACAGTGGAATATAAGGGAGAGCCTCTCCCACTGGTAACAATGAAACTAGATCAAATACATTAATCAAATGTTTCCAGGCATGGGATGATAGATAGAGCAATATTGTGAGCCCTACAATCATCCCACCTCTCTGGCTCATGGTCTGGCATAATTTCCTGACCACAGCACAAAAATCTGGAATAGAAACAGAAGACAATGGTCCCTTTGAGCTGAGGAGGCAGAGGTCGGTGTTCAACATGAAGTGTCTGAAAGATTTAAAGCAGGGCACCAAGGCAGAGGGAAGCATGGTCAGAAGAGGGAAAAATTCTCTGATTTCTCTGCCAAGGGCTGTGTTTGCAGGGAGAGACGACTTAAGGCTAATCAGAAAGAAGCTACGGGAACAGAGATAGCAGTGATTAAGCAATGATCAAGAACATTGGAGTTCTAGCCGACACCAAGGAAAAACTATCTCATTACCATCTTACTAACTCATCTAGCTGAGGCAGCAGAAAGCAAAGACCATGCTCCAGAGTAAGCCCTAATCTAGATTCTTTGGGGAAAAAAAAAGGCTAAAACCAAGTCTAAGCAAGACCACAGGAGAAATTGAATTTGGTAATTGGGTCTTACTGTATTAGAAGAGCTTGGTAAACATCTTGGACTTCTCACAAAATATGTTCCTAAAAATCACAAAACTAAGCCAACACAGTTTCAAGGTGATTAGCAAGTAATTTATCTGTCTACTAGGAAAAAAAACCCAAGTCTTCAAGATAGTAATAGAATCTCTACAATGATTTATTTATAATATCAGTAAAAAGTTGGTAGATACATGAAACAGAAAAACATGTGCCATAGCTAAGGGGAAAAAAATCATTAGAAAATGACTTTAAAGTGACCGACTGTGGTACACTGAATACTAACCTTCTCAAAATGTCCACATTCTAATCCCTGGAACCTATGAACATGTTATGTTACATGGCAAAAAAGACTTTGCAGATGTAATTAAGTTATGGGTTTTGAGATGAGGAGATTATTTTGGATTATCTGGGTGGGCCCAGTGTAATCACGGGAGTTACAACAAAATAAAAACTGAAGAATCAGCATCAGAGAGAGATGTTCAATTAGAAGTGGAGGTCAGAGAGATTTTAAAATGCCATGCTACCGGCTCTGAAGATAGGTGAAGGGACCATGAGCTAAAGAATGCAGGTGGTCTCTAGCAGCTGGAAAATGCAAGGAAATGGAGTCACCTCCAGTGCCTCCAGAGGTAATGCAGGTCTACCAACTCCTTGACTTTAGCCATGTGAAATTGATTTAAGACTTCTGACTTCTGAAAGAGAATAAAATTGTGTTGTTTTAGGTCACTATATTTGTGGTAATTTGTTATAGCAGCAATAGGAAAGTAATAAAACCAAATGCTGGATTTAATAGGTAAAAATGTGAAAGCAGCTATTTTGGTATGTTTACAGTTAAAAGAAAAACACAGTTTAGTGAAGAAGGAAACTCCAACAGAGAAGTGGGATTAAAAATCATTACACCTTATACAAAAATTAACTCAAGATGGATTAAAGACTTAGACTTAAGACCTAAAACCATAAAAGCCCTAGAAGAAAACCTAGGAATACCATTTAGGACATAGGCATGGGCAAAGTCTTCATGACTAAAACACTAAAAGCAATGGCAACAAAAGCCAAAATAGACAAATGGGATCTAATTAAACTAAAGAGTTCTGCACAGCAAAAGAAACTATCATCAGAGTGAACAGACAACCTACAGAATGGGAGAAAATTTTTGCAATCTATCCATCTGAAAAAGGGCTAATATCCAGAATCTACAAATAACTTAAACAAATTTATAAAAAAAAATAAACAGCCCCATCAACAAGTGGGTGAAGGATATGAACAGGCACTTCTCAAAAGAAGACATTTCTGTGGCCAAGAAATTTATGAAAAAAAAGCTCATCATCACTGGTCATTACAGAAATGCAAATCAAAACCATAATGAGATACCATCTCATGCCAGTTAGAATGGCGATCACTAAAAAGTCAGGAAACAACAGATGCTGGAGAGGATGTGGAGAAATAGGAATGCTTTTACACTGTTATTGAGAGTGTAAATTAGTTCAACCATTGTGGAAGACAATGTGGCAATTCCTTAGGGATCTAGAACTAGAAACACCATTTGACCCAGCAATCCCATTACTGGGTATATACCCAAAGGATTATGAATCATGCTGCTATAAAGACATATGCACACGTATGTTTACTGCAGCACTGTTCACAATAGCAAAGACTTGGAACCAACCCAAATGCCCATCATTGATAGTCTGGATAAAGAAAATGTGGCACATATACACCATGGAATACTATGCAGCCATAAAAAAGGAGGAGTTCATGTCCTTGGCAGGGACATGGATGAAGCTGAAAACCATCATTCTCAGCAAACTAACACAGAAGCAGAAAACCATACACCACAAACTTTCACTCATAAGTGGGAGTTGATCAATGAGAACACATGGTCACAGGGAGGGGAAAATCACACACTGGGGCCTGTCAGGGGGTAGAGGGGTAGGGAGCTAGGGGAAGGATAGCATTAACAGAAATACCTAATGTAGATGATGGGTTGATGGGTGCAGCAAACCACCATGGCACGTGTATGCCTATGTAACAAACCTGCACATTCTGCAAATGTATCCCAGAACTGAAAGTATAATAAAAAAAAGAAATTATAGAACCAAGAAATAAAATAACTGAAATGTAAAGTTTACTCATTGAGCTTAACAGTAAATTGGAGATAATAGAAGAAACAATTAACTTTAAATAGATCTGAAGAATAGAGTGTCATAAGATTGAAAAGACATGAATGAAGTCTCAGTGACCAGTGCAACAATATTGAGCTGTGTGACATACGTGTAACTGGAGTTTCATAAGAAGAAGAGTGAAGATGGAGCAGAATACATATTTGAAAAAATAATGCTTAAAATTTTCTGAATTTGATGAAAAAAGAGTACATTATAAGATTAAAGAATATTAATAATTCCTAAGCATTATAAATACAAAGAAAATTACACCTAGGCACAGAATAGCCAAATTGCTTTAAAACAGCAAGAAAGAGAAAATCTTAAAAGAACCAGAGGATAAAGAAACATATTACATACAGGAAACAATGATATGACTTACAGCGAACTTTTTATCAGAAGAAGTAGAAATGAAAAGATAATGGAACATCTCTGAAGTGCTAAAATTAAAAGTGGCAATCCTTCATCCAGTGGCATTTCTACGTTCAGTGAAAACATCTTTCTTAAAAAAGTTAAATTATGATATTTTCAGATAAATACATGCTTAGAAACTTTCTCTTCAGCACACCTTCATTGTAATAAATGCTAAAGAATGTTTTTTGTTTGGAGGAAAATGATATCAGATGAACACTCTTATCTTTAGGAAGAAATGACAAGCATGGTATTGGTAAATAAGTAGGAAACTATAGAAGACTATTTTTTTCTTACTGTAATTTTCTTAAAGGACAACTGACTAAAGTAAAAATATTTACAATGTAAACTGGGGTTTATAACACATTTAAAAGTACAAGTTTTGACAGCAATAGAACAGAAGTTAGAGTGAGTAAATGGCATAATACTGTTATAATGTTATTATATTTTAAAGATAGAAGAAGTGGGAAGTGAAAAATACAAAGTACCAAGTATGAAATGAGAAGAGAAAAGATGACAGTAGGGAGTGGAAAAATTTAGGTGTGAAATAAAAAAGAAACATAATTGACTCTAAATAATTTTTGATACTTGAGGTAAGATGTTTGTAGCCCTAGAAAATTACTATAAAATAAAAAGAATTTAAAAATATAGCTAAGAATCCACAATAGAGGAAGTAAGTAATATTAAAAATATTTTATTCTTCTAATAGGAAACACAAAAGAAACAACAAAGATACAAAAAAGAAGAGACAAATTAAAAAATAGCAAGACAGTAGACTTGAATCTAACCATATCAATACTTACATTAAATATAAGTGCACCAGATACTCCAGCTAAGGGCAGAGATGTTAGTTGGGATAGAAACAGGATTCATCATGTACCGTCTACAAAATATATAAACGCAAATATATATGATATAATATACTTATGTTTAGACACAAATACGTGTGTATATATATACATATATATATATGTAAAATAAGCTCTAACTATCAGTAACAAAGGAAAATCAGAGATAAACTGCATTGCACCAAAACTGTAACCTAGTCTCAGCCCAGTCCGGTTTCTATTTACAATTTAAAGAAATACATTCCCAAGTCTATTTTCATGGCTGAAGAAAAGGTAAGCCTATCAAAGGATCCTCTTTGATCTTTCCATATGCAATTTCTGTTATTCAATAAAAAATTAATAGACATGCAAGAAGATAGGATCACATGACTAATAGGCATGAAGGAAATGACAGACAATAGAAGCAGATCCAAAGGTAATTCAGATATTAGAAGGACAGATGAAAACTTTAAAATACCTATGATTATTCAGTTCTGGAATATATAGAAAGAGGTAGACAAAATAGATTTGAAAGACAACCAAACTCACTGAAATAGTAGAATTAATAAAAAGAACCACATATACTTCTATAAATGAAAAAACATAATCTCTGAAATTAAGAATTCAATGGATGAGTTTAATGGCAAATTGTATGCAGTACAAGGTAGGATTAATGAAATGAAATAGATTGATGGAAAATATTCAGACAGAAGCATAGACAGGAAATAGAATTTAAAAAACAGATCATTGCATATTATAATTTAATTTCTTCCTGAGAACTCAATAATAGAAAGAACTCACATGCTTCAGGCATTTTTTATGTTACCTGCCTTACATTGTTTGATAACATTTGAGCTCATTGTAAAATATCAGATAGATTATATAGAAGGATGTTGCTGGATAGAATTTAAGAATAAAATTAGAGCAGGAGTCCTCAAGTGCTACATGGCCTTGCAGTTAATCAGTGTTTTATTCTGTCTTTTTCAGAGCTTTCTGGAGGAAAATGTCAATGTCTTGCATGATCCAAGAGGGTACACAAAGACACTAGGGTGGGTTTGGAGGAGAAGTACAGCAACAGTAAGGCAATTTCCTCTGTTAATCTCCTCCCTCATGAGGGCAGCTCCAATCTTGTGGCTCATAACATTGGCTGTTAACCGCAAAATGTTAAAAGAACAAAAACTTGGCCCATATTGAAAGGAAATCCTGTCAAAATTTCCGTCAACCCTTATGATCTCATTGAGGAAGTACTAGGAGGCAGCTCCCACATCCCTTTTCATTGCTTCCTTTGCCTCACCAGAAAAGAAAGAGTAAAAAGATTCATGGGTGAGAATTATGTTAAGAATGGAGGGTACAAAATTTTGATGGGTCAAAGATCTTTCTAGAAAAACTATAATAAAAGCAGAGGAATGTTAGAATTTTATGAGTAACCTAGTGGATCAAAATAGAAATGAGCAACTGAAAACACTAAACATAAAGCTATGAAGGGGGAGAAGATGGGGAACTTATGATGTAAGGATCAGAATAATATGTCCTGAAAATCCTGCTCAATTGCTAAGCATAGGACAGTCAGACACAAGCACCTTCCTAGGTGAATTAGTGTTCCTATAAAAAGAAAAGAAAGAAGAAATGAAGGAGGGAGGGGTGAGAAGGAGGAAGAAAGGAATGAAAGAAAACAGGGAAGGAAGGGAAGGGAAAGAAAGGGAAGGGAAACGAAGGGAAGGGAAAGGGGGAAGGAAATAACAACAAATAATCTGTATCTAATCTAACCTATAGCTTTACCTTCCAAATTACTGCAAATATGCAGGTTGGAGGAATGTGATAAATAACAAAATGGAATTAAAACAGTCGGACCTGCAATGTGAAAAATTCTATAGGACAAATGACTTGACTTGATTTCTTCAGCAAATAAACGGCAATTAATTAAGAAAAGGGGAGCTCCTTTAGATTAAAATAAATTGAAGAGTCATATCAACCAAATGCAATGCATGGAGCTTCCTTTGATCCTGATTTGAAAAAAAAAACTGTATAAACATACTTTGGGGGGAAACAGGGGTAATGAAACATGGATTAGTATTAGATGATATTGAGAAATCAGTTATTATTTTGTTTTGGTTTTGTATGTTTTGAAAGAAATCTGTGTTGAAGCATCTGTAGGTAAAACTGTATGTTGTCTAGAATTTGCTTTTAAATATTCTAGCAACAAAGATGTGGGAAGAGAGAGATAAAACCTGAAGGGTGGGATGTTGGCTATTGATGAAATTAAGACATGGGTTACATGAGGCCATTTGGCTCCTTTTTAAATTTTGTGACTGTTTGAAAATGTCCACAATAAAGAGTTACAAATAACGCAAGGGATTACCATGTCTCAGAAGTTTGGAACAGGTTTTTCTGGCTTCCCCATATGCAGGTGCAGTGAGCCTGACTTGCGCTTTCGGTTCTCACACAGCGAGTAGACCTGAGTAGCTGTGCCCTGGCGGACACAGTCAGAGCTCTGCTCTTTTGTTCTCATTCTGTCTTCCTCTGCCTAGGCCTGGTTGTATGCAGCAAGGTCACACAGTTCCCATTCTAGCCTGGGAAATATCATCAATCCCTTTTTTTGGCCTCAGTTCAAAACTGCCTCCTTCAGCACAAATAACCCAGAACTCTTAACTTTGTAAAATAAAACTCATCCTTTGAATTAAATTTAGCTTGGATCTCTGTGATTCTGTTCTATCGGAAGAACCCTAGAGGGCAGACTGTCATCTGCACCCAACCCACAGCTGTGGGAAGCAGATTAGGTAACAGAACGACATAAAAGCTTAATCAAGGGGAGGCATTTTTCGGATAATGGAAAATTATGCATGCTTCCAAGCTGAGGTCAATTATCCAGGGTAATAAAAATATTAAAAACGTGAGAAAGTGAGATTAAGTGTTGGAGCAAGGTCCCTAAGAGAGCAAAATAAAGACCAGAGATAAAGTGCAAGAATTCCTGCCAGAAGGATGATTTGTTTTTCTGTACATTGGTAGGAAGAAGGTAAAAAATAAAAGAAGCTACACAGATGAGTTGAGAAAGACATGAAGGATGTTGAAGTGGCTTTTCTCTGGTGGGTAAACTCTTTTTTTTTTTTTTTTTTTTGAGACGGAGTCTCGCTCTGTCGCTCAGCCTGGAGTGCAGTGGCGCCATCTCGGCTCACTGCAAGCTCCGCCTCCCCGGTTTACGCCATTCTCCTGCCTCAGTCTCCTGAGTAGCTGGGACTACCAGCGCCCGCCACCACGCCCGGCTAATTTTTTGTAATTTTTTGAGACAGGGTTTCACCATGTTAGCCAGGATGGTCTCCATCTCCAGACCTCGTGATCCGCCCGCCTCGGCCTCCCAAAGTGTTGAGATTACAGGCGTGAGCCACTGCACCCTGCCAACTCTTTGGAATAAGAAGGAATAAAGATGAGGAGAGAAAGAAAAGGGGTTTGTGCCCAAGGCTAGAATAACGACAGCAGTGGAATACAGGCAAGTCTGTCTGCACTTTAGTGATAGCCCAGGGGCTGGGCTAGGCATCGGGGAAAAGAAAAAGAGCTAGCAGTTCCAGGTGGACCTCTGAATACTTCTCGATGCTGTACAGCCAGGGCAGATGAGCAAATTGGGGTCCTCTAGTGAAATAGCTTATTCCACATGTTATAGAAAGGCTCAGAAGAAGATGGCTCAGAAGGTAGGGATTGCAAAAAGCACCATTGTCCAGAAAACTTCATGTTCAGATCCATCGGCTTGCTCTTCCTTCTCTCAACTTGCTCTGAAGAGGTTCCTGATGAATATCCTCACTTAAGTCTAAGTCAGATGTCATGTCCTAGAAGAACTGGAACATCAGGAAGAATTTCTATGGTACCCTTCCCTCTGTGTAAGTCAACTATTTCTGCCTTATTCTATAATATTATTGATTCTTAACTTATTTTTGTTCCTAACCATAGAGCAAATAAGTTTCATGTAAATATAATAGTGATAAAACTGCATTTTCACAGAAAAATATGACCAAACAGCCTATTACATAATTATAAATAAGTTTATTAACTGTACCAACATGTTTATGAGGGTTTTAAATATCCAGACCATGTGTTTTCTCAAATATTTATACTTACCGATAATTAAGCACACATACAATTCAAAAATATCTTTAGCTATCACATAGACATATGTTCATTGTAGTCATAAAAGAACAAGGAGTCTAAAGAGAATTAGCGTTTCCTGGAATATTTTCCCACAAAAATCAAAACAGTGTTAGATATGATTGAACACCCAATACATACATGACATCTGAAAGTGACTTCTGTCCTAGAAAGTTTCCCTTCCTTCCCCAGGACATGTTAATAATGATGAATACAATTTGATAATTTTCATACATTCAATAAAAACTTTTTAACAACAATAAAGACATAATACTCCAAATATATTGCAGGTACTAATTTCAACTATTTGCATGGACGTCCTTGGATTATTTCAAGGGTATCTTACTGGCTTGAAGTAATATACAGAACTGGCTAAACCCAGTTTTATAATCTCAAAGTTAAGCTTGAAGGAAACAAATTGTAGAGCTCTGAGATGTAAAAAATAAATATTAAGAAAGATACAAGTAGTGGTTTGAATTGTCTAATGGTTCAATACAAATAGGCCCAGAGTGCAGAGAAGCATGAAATGATGAGTGAAAAGATTGGTTTTCTCCTATCTTGGCACAAATTTACTGAGCAATCTAGGGCAAGGGTAAGAAATTGGTTTCCGTGTATATATAGTAAGTTGGTGGGAACAGATGTTCTCTAAGATGCCTCTGAGTTCCAATAGCTTGTAATACTATGTCTGAATACTTTGCTGATATACATGCATCCCATTCTTATATCTCCCCAGTGGAGGAGCTCAATAAAGGGATTGCAAAGAACTAGAAGCTCTGCCCTGGCTTTGGCACATGATTACTTGAATACACAGTATTTACCAGGAGTTCCATTGAGGGAGACATCCTGAACATCTTAGGATGCTAGGTAAAGTATCAGCAAGTATTTGTTTTTGGTTAAGTAAATGAAATATTTCAAGGGTTGTTTGAGTAACTAATTTTCTTTGCTTGCTCAAGGTTCCCGCTTACTTTGCATCTCACTGTTGAGCAGACAGCCTGCTGAAAGTTGTCGCTGACCACCACATATAGTAACAGGTTACCAAAGGTGTTCAGAGCAGCTAATGGTCTAGAAACGATGTAAGCTTCATGGATCTGATTCTCAATGGAACAACTGATTGAAAGCAGGCGAGATTCGATCCGAATGACCCTCAAGATATGGAAGGGTAAAAAACATACGTAAAATGCAAGGAGTAGCAGAATGGTTAGCCTTCGTGCTTTCTGCTTAAGGCAGCTGTCAGTTTGCAGTCCATGGGTCAGAGTGTGGATAATCGTGGTATAGCAAAGTGTCACTATCACCAAGGGGAGGCAGAAAGTAGTTGCAGTCAAAATCAGGTTGTACCACTTAATAGTATTGAGTTCATCCGAACTGGTGAGGTCGAGACAGGCTGATCTGTTGGTCCTGTTGGTTGATGTGATCAAGAAGGTCATCGGAATGACAGCTACCAGTGAAATGATCCACACCACAGCACAGGCTACAACTGCACATCGAGTTTTGTGAATGGAAAAGCAGCTCATTGGGTGAATGATCACACAGTAGCGGAAGATGCTGAAACAGGTGAGGAAGAGGATGCTGCTATACAGGTTGAAATGGAAGCTGAAGCGGATAAACTTACACATGAAATCTCCAAAGATCCAGTTTTCGCCACTGGCATAGTAGTGAATCAGGAAGGGGAGGCTGGTCAGATACAGCAGATCTGTGCAGGCCAGGTTCAGCATAATGATGGTGCTGCTCTTCCAAGGTCTCATTTTGAAAATGTAAGTGGATATCACTACTGCATTGCCTGGAAATCCCACGAGGAAGATAATGCCATAAATAACAGGGAGGTAGTGCATCTTGAGTGGGATGTTTTCATCAGTGCAATTTCCAAAAGCAGCTGCATAATCGGGGAAATCAGAAGCATTTGCTAAATAGTCTAGTGGCTCATTCATGGTTGTCTCCTTTCATCTTGCAAGAAAACAAGAGAGTTCAGTTTGGCAATATGAATCAAATGAGCAGTAACTCGCTGATAAAGGAAAACAGAAAACATTAATGATAGGGTAATAAAAACAAGGATCTACTTTTAAATGAAAATTATTCTAACATCCTAAATTTGCCACTTCTCTCTCTTTAATCTCAAAAGAGACCCTGTGGAGAAGAAATTGAATTTCCAAGAAAATGACTATGAGGCAAGTTACTAAATGCATCTAATAAAAATATAAAAGTTAAATTACCATGAGAGTTAAAATGAGGGATTGGGAGAAAAAAGCCACATGTCGCTTTGGAAAACAATTTGGCAAGGTCACCATTTGGAGAAGCCATAGGGTATCGCCATTAGAGACTTAACAACAGGACCTACTATTAACCAAGTGTGATGCATGCCACCATCACTTACTTCTACATGTCACAAAATACTGAAAAGTGTTTCTTATTACCTCTATTTTACAAGAGACTAAGACTGAGAAATGTTTTGCGGCTCGTCTCTGGTAACACATCTAGGGGCTTAGCTGGGATCCACACTCGCATTTTTCTGACTCAAAAGCCATTCCCTTTCTACATTACCTCTCAGTGCTGCCTCTCAATCTGTATTTTGTTGATTTTCGTCATGATTGCCGTAAATAACGGAGGGAACAAGTGTGAAGACAGGAAAATGCTGAATACTGTAAATTTTAAAAATATAGATTGCACGTATTGCAACATTGTATTTGTGGTAGATTTAATTGCACATTTCCACTCTTCCAATTCCTTTTAATAGCTAACATAATTTGTTTGTGCAGGGGAGTGTGTGTGTTGGGGTGGATGGGGCGGGATCAATGGTATAATGCGGCCATTAGGAGGCTGAGCCCTGAAGCCAGATGGCCAGATTTTGGTGCTCAGATTAGCCATTTAGTAGCGTGTTCCTAAGCAAGTTGATTAAGCTCTCTAGGGCTGGAAGGAGTGCAATTTTAACTTCCTTCTTCTTGCTTATTAGTGTTTTTAAAAATTTTGACGGTGAATTTTTGCAATGAGAAAAGTACATCTAGAAGAAGAGTTATAATTAGCTTATTATTTGGATGTAAATAGCTGTTGGTGAAATGCATCCAAGTCCACATTTCTGGAGCACCCACTCTGTATTGGGTCCTCTGTCAAGTCCTAGAGATACAAACTGAATAACACACACAGATGTATATGCCACTGTCACAGTCTACTGGGGAAGTGGACATGGCAAATTATTTTAACAAAATATAAACCCACCTCATGGAGCTGTCAATAGTATGTTAAAAATAGGAAAAAAAACTCTTGGCTCACTACTGGGCACATAAGAAAAGCTTAAAAAATATTACGTGATTGTTAGTTGCTAAGTCATTTGATGTATGAATGGTACAAGACTACTGAGATCACAAGGGAAGGAGGAAACATCAGAGTCTGCCACCATTATTACTATTATCTGATACTAAATCTACACTATCCAGCATTTCCTGAGAGGAGTACAGAGGTATATTTCAAACTAACCCAACTTGACAAATCCTAAATTAGCAGAATCAGTCCTTCTTGACTGCCCTGAGTATACTCTTCCAAATCTCACTTAGTCCAGGAGGTCTGGGGGAGTTGTAAGGAAATCAGCATGGTTATGGGATATTGGGAGATGAAGTTGGGAAGGAAAAATAGGGATTAATAAAAAATAATAGTGCCTTCTGTGTACAAAGCATTACTGTAAGTGTCTTACATATTTGAATCTATTTAATCCTCACAACAAATGGTGAGGTAGTGCTGTGATCATCCCCATTCAACAGAAGAGGAAACTGAGGCACGGAGGAGGCAGTGATGTGCTCAAAGTCAAACCGCTAGTTAGGGGTGAGCCAGGATACGACTGTGGCAGTCTTGTTGCAGGGCTGGGCTGCATCTCACAATGAGTAGGCAAGAGGGAAATCTGAAGTGCCTGTAATCACAAAGACCAGTTAGCACATTACCTCTCAGTGCTGTCTCTTCATGTGTATTTTGTTGATTTTCATCAGGATTACCCTAAATAATAGAGGGAAAAACAAGTGTGAAGACAGGAAAAGGCTGAATATCTCAGAAAGCTCAATAAATCAAACACTGTAGAGTTGTCCCTTAGTATCTGCAGTGCATTGGTTCCCAGACCCCCAAGGATACCAAAATCTGCAGATGCTCACGTCACTGATATAAAAATAAAATGGTATGGTATTTACACTTAACCTATGCCCATCCTCCTGTAAATCATCTCTAGATTACTTATAATACCTAATGCAACATAGATGTTAAAAGTGCTATTCATGAAACTATCATCTACACAGCACTGGAGGTCATAGGAGTCAGGGACTGCTGACCAGTGAGAGTGCTCTGAAGCCAGGCAACCACAGTGGATGGCTTCTCCCTTGGCAGAATGTCTTAAATGGACTCATGCATAAGGAGCAGGAAGTCACTTAAACTTGAAAGAAAATGGTCACAGCCAAGGAGTCCCAGAAGCAGCACGTCCCAAAGACAGTTCTTAGATTATGTCAAGAGGCCACTAAGTAGCTAATGTTGCTTCTGGAGCAAAGAAGTAAAGATAGTTTTAGTAACGCCCAAAATAATTCTCCAGAGTTATTTCATTCCAATTGGGATTTGCCTCAACAGAGACGTGAGAGGAAGAGAAGGGGAGGGAATTCAAGTCCAAGCTGCTTATTTGTCAGCTCCTTGAAAGAAAAACACAAGTCACCTCATACCCCAGGGGCTGGCACATGGAAGGTGTGCAGTAAATATTAATATTTGCTGAATGCATTAAAGAACAACCAGTAACATCAGCAAAACTTATATGGTACTGAAGGGCTACTGAAGGGGCAACTATCATTCTAAAAAAAAGCTTGGTTCTTAGGCCAGGCACAGTGGCTCAAGCCTGTAACCTCAGCACTTTGGGAGGCTGAGGCAGGCGGATCGCCCAAGGTCAGGAGTTCGAGACCTGCCTGGCCAGCATTGCAAAACTCCGTCTCTATTAAAAATACAAAAAAAAACGTAGCTGGGTGTGGTGGCCCATGCCTATAGTCCCAGCTACTTGGGAGGCTGAGGCACGAGAATCGCTTGAACCTGGGAGGTGTAGGCTGCAGTAAGCCGAGATTGAGCCACTGTACTACAGCCTGAGTGACACAGCAAGACTCTTTCAAAAAAAAAAAAAAAAGCAAGCTTAGATCTTTCATGACTTTTAAAGTAGGAAGCAAAATTACAATTCCTGTCATTGCCAAATAAACCCTTAGCCATGTTATGGAGACCATTTTAAACAATAATTCTATGAAGAAAAGATGGGTTATAGGTAGAAACAACTGCCTTATTGTTCTGAAAAACAATAGTTCAATTCAGATTGAATGAAGACTGACTAGCCAATTGTAAGGGTGGAGGGGTTGACTAGGAAGCTTAATCTGTGTTCCATAAAACCTCATAAAAGTATGAGTTTACAAAATACGTGTGATGTTAACAACAGCACACAAAAAACCGGTCTGGGCTGTGAGCAGGTAGGATGAAGCTGTTTCTTTCCTCCCTAGCTTCAGGGCCCAGTGCAATTCACTGCCACAACTCAGAACACCAGATGGTCCACAAACAAATCATTTCAACTCAAAGGACATTAAAGACAAATGTGGCACAACCCTGGGTATATTCCCTTCTCTTTCTACAACAGTAGTTCTCAAACGTGAGGAGGTTACAAATCACTTGAAACCAATGGGTTCTTTGCAAGCAAGAAATAATGATGTATTCAGCTTTAACATAACCAAAAATATAAGTGTGAACTAAGCTAGGTTCAGCATGAATAAAAGCCAGCATCAAAGGTTGGAATAAACTTGTGAAGAAAAAGCTTATAATTTTAGTACAATCACTATGGAGAACAGTTTGGAGGTTCCTCAGCAAACTAAAAACTGAGCTACCATATGATCCAGCATTTCCACTGCTGAGTATATACCCAAAAGAAAGGAAATCAGTATATCAAAGAGCTATCCGCATTCCCATGTTTGTTGCAGCCCTGTTCACAGTAGCCAAGATTTGGAAGCAACCTAAGTGTCCATCCACAGATGAATGGATAAAGAAAATGTGGTACTTATACATGGTGGAGTACTATTCAGCCATAAAAAAGAATGAGATCCTGTCATTTGCAACCTCATGGGTAGAACTGGAGGTCATTATGGGAAGTGAAAAAAGCCAGGCATGGAAAGACAAACATTGCATGTTCTCACTCATTCATGGGATCTAAAAATCAAAACAACTGAACTCATGGGCATAGAGAGTAGAAGGATGGTTACCAGAAGCTGGGAAGAGTAGTGGGGGACTGGTGGAGGGGATGGCTAATGTGTACAAAAAAAAAAAGAAAGGTAGAAAGAATGAATAAGACCTACTATTTGATGGCACAATGGGGTGACCATAGTCATAATAACTTAATTGCACATTTTTAAATAAAGAAGGTAAGTGGATTGTTTGTATTAATAACACAAAGGATGCATGCTCGAGTGGATGGATACCCCATTCTCTATGATGTGCTTATTTCACATTGCATGCCTGTATCAAAATATCTCATGTACCCCATAATTATATATACCTGCTATGTATCCACAAAAATTAAGAAATAAAAAAATTGTTAAGAAAAAGCTTACAATTTTAGCCTTTTTTTCTCTGAAATTGGAAAGTAGCTGTGATTGTTTGAGGCTAGCTGCAGGATGTCAATATTTGGGTAACACACCGTTCGTGGACCGCTGTCCTGATGCCAGCACACCCAGGAACCTCACGGATTGGGATTCCAAGATTCTGTGGGTAAAGAAGGCAGGATCAGAAATGCTATCCAGTTAAGTGGCAGCAGATACTACTTCACCTCCACAGAGTACTCTTGCCTATTTGGGAACAAAGAAAGTGGGATTAATGATGAAATGTGATTTTCCTAAGGTGCCTGTTGGTTTTGCAGATCAGCTTTGTTGGATAAGTTAAGCTCATTATCCAACAATGCCTGTACCTCTCCCTGCTCTCCTCCCTCTCCCCCAGACTCCCTGGGTTTTTCTGGTTCTGCTCCCATGCTGAGGTCACAGTTGGTTCTTTCCTCCTTTTCCCAAGATGCCAATGGACGAGGGAGGTGCACAGTTGGAACACTTAATCTGTTACCTTCTCTCCAGAGTCCTTGGAAGCTCCAAAGCTGGGGTCACTTTGGGTTGTCAAAAAGAAACTTAAGTAGACCTTTCATTCACAAAGACTTACTTCGATTTCCCAGTCTACATATTTGAAAACTAATTGTACTTCATACTGGTGGAAAAGAGACCAATTCTTAAAACAGGTAAATTTGTGACTGGGTAAGTGCTGTCCTCCCTGGTCCCTGAAGGAATCTTTCTCCCCAACCCTTCTGGGAGCCTCAAGGCTCTTCCCTCAATCCCCACTTTATTGTTTTTTGTTTGTTTGTGTTATTATTGTTGTTGTTGTTTTGGAGACGAAATCTTGCTCTGTCGCCCAGACTGGAGTGCAGTGGCCATGATCTTGGCGCACTTCAACCTCCACCTCCTGGGTTCAAGGGATCCTCCTGCCTCAGCCTCGGAGTGGCTGGGATTACAGGCCCGTTCCACCACGTCTGGCTAATTTTTTGTATTTGTATAGAGACAGGGTTTCACCAGCCTGTTGGCCAGGCTGGTCTCGAACTACTGACCTCAGGTGATCCACCTGCCTCAGCCTCCCAAAGTGCTGGGATTACAGACGTGAGCCACACACCCGGCCAATCCCCAATTCGTTAAATAAGAATCTGCAACTCAGTTTCCCTGAAGACTATTAAGAGGTCATGTTGATGCAGCCCAAAGATATGGTTTTGCCTATTTATTCTTCGGGAGAAACAAATACAACTTCTGAGAGCTCGCTTCAGAAAAATGCATGCATGGACACGCAAATATTATACATACAAGTTAGAGGTTTAGAGACCATTACAAGCTAGTTCACGAATCCATAGCAACGAAACAAAAAACAAGACAGAGAAGAAAGACATTTCAGGGGAAACATTTTCCTCGCTTGTTGGGGGTGGGGGTGGGGCAGAGTCTTTGGTCGTTTCCAACACCACACAGTCCACCACGATGCAGGGTGAGCTTTGAGAACATTCAGCAGGGCGGTGATCAATGGGGTGAGGGATTAACTCTGTTTGTCTCCTAAGCACTCTCCCTGCCCACCTCCCAGACCCCTCACTTGGGTGTGAAAAAAAGTGTGAGATGAAATCAGAGATCCCTAACTCCCCCAGTTCTCTCCAAGTCAAATGTCTTCTCGCCCTGGGCTTTTTGTTCCCTAAAATGAAACTTCGCCTCCCGCCACAGGATCTGGGGTGCTCCTGCTGCCTCCAGAGAAGAAGGGGGCGCTGCTCCGTCCGACCCTGCCTGCTGCAGGGACGTGCGGGGGTGCTCTTTCCCCTGCTCCTCGGGCACCTCCCGTCTCCCTCCGGGTCAGGGCAGGGTCCCCTATACCCGCTCCCTCCGGCCGGTGGGCCCCGCTCCCCGATCACGCGCGGCTCACCTGGCAGCCCCGGCGAGGCGGACATGCGCCCAGCGTGCCTGTGCAGCCTAGTTGGTCCCGGACCGCAGACCTGTCCCGGGGAGGCTGCGCACCGCCCCGCCCCTCCCACCCCTCCGAGGCCCAGCGAGCAAGTGCGTGTTCTCGGGTCCTCGCCCCGAGCAGCCTGGCCAGCAGCATCCCGCCTCGCCCACTTCCCAGTAGACACAGGGACAGCGGCTTCCACTCCCGGGACCTCTGGACATCCTCCATCCCGGTTTGGCGGGAAACTGACCCAGGAGAAAGTGTTTGCAGAGGTTCCAAAAAACCAGCCCGGCGGGAGGGTTGTTGCCCCAGGAGGGTTGTGGCCGCCTTGTCTTGGTCCAGAAATTTCACCACTCTCCTACAGCCCAGTGCCTCTTTTTTTTTTTTTTCTTTTGAGAAGGAGTCTCGCTCTGTCGCCCAGGCGTCCAGTGCCTCTTATTTAGCGTGGGATGGAGGCGACTTACTGAAGCGTTGTCATTTCCCTGTATCCAATTACAACCCTGCCCTCCAGCGCTTAGCAAGGTGGCTTAAAAATAGTTTCTATCCCTGCAAAGAGCGTTTGTCTGTATCTCCAGATCTAGGGAGTAGGTTGCCTTCTTGCTACATAACTTAGGATTCGCCTTTTCTCTTCTCTGAACCTCAGCCACATCGTCCAGTATACTAGCGCCTCCCGAACCGTTGAACTTCAAGATCTCTTCCAGCATCAAAGAGTTCACTGTATTAGCGAATGGGGGTGCTTGGAGAATGCCCCTCTTCGCTCTTCCATGGACGGGCATTGAATGTCTCTTCTGCACTTCCATGTTGATGGGCATCAAACACCATGTATAGCCCATCCTCTGGGAATGCCAGCCAGCAGGAGCAAGAATGTTAGGTTAGGTGTCCCACCAGGGCCCAGGTGGAAAGATTCCGCCCTGGCTGATGGTTGGGATAGCCCTAGTTAGGCATTTTTATTATCATGCTTATCATTTTGATTATTTGAATTCCAGCCTCTCCAGGAAAATATTTTGCATTAGGAGAAAAAATGTTCTCTAATTTTACTATGTTTAATCATTTTTTCAATTCTTCATCTGGAAATAGTTGACCCTGTTTTGTTCCCACCTATGCATTGATCAGACATTTGCTGTTTGATTATTCTGTGTCAAGCACCGTGGAGATATTGAAGAATAATACATAATCTTTGCTTCCAGGAGCTGATGTCTTATAGGAAAACAAGAAATAAATTAAAAACATGATTAGGGCTTGCCACTTGTAAATAAGGGGCTGGGAGGGGACTAAACCCAAATGAAGGCTTTCTGAAGTAAAAGACATCCCAGTGTTTTTCCATGGTGAGCAGGATTTCCAGCTAACGAGGAAATGACTTAAAGAGGTTATTTGAAAAACAAGTACTGGGTCCTAGAACTCTAGACATGGAAAGGACATTTAAAAATATCCAGTCCTGTAAAGTTAAAATTGTGCAGGTGCTATGGAAAAAAAAAAGTATAATGGTTCCTCTAAAAATTAAAAATAGAATTATGACACAAGCCAGCAATTCTGCTTCTGGGAATATACCCCAAAGAATTGAAAGCTGAGACTCAAACGGATACTTGCACACCCATGTTCATAGCAGCATTATTCACAATAGCCAAAATGTGGATGCAGCCCAAGTGCCTATCAATGGATGAAGAAAATGTGATGTATACATTCCATGGAACATTATTCAGTTTTAAAAATGAAGGAAATTCTGACACATACTGCAACATGGAGGAACCCTGAGGACATTATGCTAAACAAAAGAAGCCAGCCACAAAAGCACAAATACTGTACGATTCTGCTTATATGAGGTGCCTGAGTTGTCAAAGTTATGGAGACAGAAATTAGAATAATGGTTGCCAGGAATTGTGGGGAGAGGGAATGAGGAGCTATTGTTTAATGAGTATGAAATTCAATTTTGGTAGATGAAAAGAGTTCTGTGGATGGGTGGTGGGGTGGTTGCATAACAATATTGTTGCACAATAATAATGCCACTGAACCACACTTCAGTATGGTTAAGATAGTACATTTATTTTTACGTGTATTTTACTATAATTTTTTAAACTGACGTTTTAAAAAATTCAGTCCTATGTATTCACTTTTCAAAGGAGGACACAGAATTAGAGTGGTCCAAATGACAAGCCCGAGGTCAGAGCCATAGAGGTCTGTGTAAAACCTATGTGCCAAGCCCTCTGTTCTTACTACCACATTCTGTGGGTGGCTAGGTCATTTGATTGAAACTATTGCTGTCTCAGACAACAGTATACTGTAATCCAATACTCTAAATTGGCTTCATCAACAAGATGATTATTATGAATGAATTGTGTCTTATATCTTTTAATGTTTACCTTTAAACATTACGTCTTACCACAACTCAAATTCTTTCTCTACATAATAGTAATTTGCAGGAAAAAAAATACTAACCAATAAAGATCCTAGTCCCTATGTAAAGAGAATAATATATATCTTTAAAGCAACTTGCATTAGAAAGTGATGTCACTATTTTAGATTGTATATTAAACTTCAAATTTAGGACCTTGAGGTTGTCTTTTAACAACCCTAAATCAAAGACTTATATGAGGGTAAAATTCAACTTCTATTTAAAATTGTTCTCTTGCCCAGATTCAGAAATGCACTCTCTTCCTTAAAATGAGAAGCAAATAGAACAAGATTCTAGCATTTAAATTTATAGCTACTTGAGCGGCACAGGTGTCACCTGTGTGATGTGCTGCAATTGTTCCTTTAAAGCAGGAAATGGGGTTTATCGTCATGACAATCAAGAAACTCAAAACTTCTCTAACTAGGAAGCACTGACATCTTAAAGCCTCCTGCGCCAAAAAGCCCCGTGGAACTCTGCATAGAAAGCAGAGTTAGTATTACAGCATTCTCCAAAGAGCCATTAATTGTTCAGTTGGGGGTTAGCCGGGGTAAAATATTAGAAATTATCTTGGTTCTTATTCAGAGTTTTATTTAGAAAGGAACACATAGTTGATGACAACGTGGACCACTCTATTTCCTGATTGGAGCCTCTGTCCAATCAGTTGAACATCGTCATATTCAACTTCAGATGATCATGCTCCAGATAGTATTCCAACCATGACTGACCTTATCATTCCTAACCATGTATGGTCTTGTCTGACTTTTTTATAACTTTGGCCACAATATGATATGTTTGGTATAATAGCAGTATTCTCATGAGATGAATTGTCTTGATTTTTGAAAAATTGTTAACTTATTTTCTACTGCCTTCAAAATGAATTGCTCAGTTAAGATGTACTGATTAAATAAAGCAATCTGTGTGATCTATACTCTGTTGGCAATGAATTCAAATATTGTGATGCCTTCCAGATTCCTATAATATTTATTTGGTGAGAAGGATGACATTATGGTATAGTGGGGCGAGAGAGTACTAGAAGTTTGAGCCCTGGATTTTAGTTCTGAAAGCAACTCACTTAGCTGGAAAAGTACTTTCATTTCCAGGCATTTTTTAGTCTGTCTAGAAAAAGCAGAGTCAGACAGATCACTTCATAAGGCCAAATCTAGATGAAAGGGATCTTAATTATGAAAATTTAGAAGGGCAAAGCTTTGTTTCTTCGAAAAAATAAGTATGATATTGTTGTGCCAATGTAAGCCACCTGCTATGCTTCCATGTGAACATTACTTCATGATCTTTAAATGTTCTTAAAATAGAACTGTCCTTGTGGACATTTCTTTGAAAAAAGGACTCTTCTGGGGCAGATGGAAAACTGTTGAGAAAGAGATTGGTTAGTTTGTTCTTCCTTAGATTCAATCCCAGTATAATTTGGGAGATGCTGTTAGGACCTTCTAGAGGTGGTTGAAGAGTCAGGCAGCTAATAGATCTAAACAGGAGGCACAGCTAAGAGATGGGGTTGCCAGTCTGCTCAGGAAGAGTTATAGTGTGAAGTGTGTTGACCCATGGAAGCAGGGCGAGGTGGAAATTGGAGACTAAAGGAAGTGTTAGAAGAGGAGTATAAAAAAGCCAAAGAATAGAGAAAGCCATCATTGAGAAATGGAGCTCTTTGCTTCTGCTGGTGCAAGTGCCCCTGCGTGAACTATCCTTCTTGCCCCACCTCTCTGATTTGAATCTTATAATTTACTTCAGGTTTAATAAAGTACTCTATGAGTATATTTTCCAAGAAATACATTTTTTCTAACTTGAATACTTGCTGTACTTGTAGTTTGTACCATACAATATAACATTTATTCATTTTTAAACTGCTTAATAACTTTAAAAATGACAATAGTTTTATAAACTTGAGTCTTGTCCATTCAACAAGATTGTCTGCATCTCAAGAGAGAGCAGTTTTTAGTCACCTCTTTGGATACTACGCAGCACGTTAAATAGGTACAAAATAAGCAATAACAATTGCCTATAGTTACTAGGTAATTATTACTAGAACTATAAAGCTGATTCCTCATTTGACCTTAATTAATATTAAGGTTTTCAGATTTTTGTTGCTAGTTGAGACTAAGCTGTCTCCCACTGGCCACTGTCCAATCAATTGAGCATCTGAAAAGAATATGGGGAAAGAGTGGTCAAGAATTAAACAGAATGGGGCAGGGTGCAGGTGGCTCACACCTGTAATCACAGTGCTTTCTGAGGCTAAGACGGGAGGATCGCTTAAGGCCAGGAGTTCAAGACCAGCCTGGGCAACATAATGAGGCCCTGTCTCTACAAAAGATACAAATTAAAAAAAAAAACAACCTAGCTGGGCATGATGGCACGCATCTGTAGTAGTCCTAGCTACTTGGGAGGCTGAGGCGAGAGGGTTGCTTCCGCCC
Organism: Homo sapiens; assembly: GCF_000001405.40. Lineage (NCBI taxonomy): Eukaryota > Metazoa > Chordata > Mammalia > Primates > Hominidae > Homo > Homo sapiens. The sequence goes on from NC_000013.11 coordinate 96,999,131, forward strand.
AGGAGTATGGAGGCTACAGTGAGCCTGATTATGCACTGCACTCCAGCCTGGATGACAGAGTGAGACCCTGTCTTAGAAAAAAAAAAAAAAGAAAACTAAGCTGAAAAGATTGAATCAGGCAGTTAGGAAATCACTGGTGACATAAAAACCATTTCAGTGGTGGTAGGGGCCAAAGCTTGTTTGTGCAATGGGTTGAACAGTAAAATAGGAAGTTACAAATTGCTGGAAATGATGGAAAGAAAGAAATAATGATGTAGCTTAAAGGGTGACATACTTAAAAGAAGGGGTTTTAAATTTATTCCTTCTTTAGGATAGAGGAAACCTAAGGTTTAGTGTAGAGTGAGGGAAATAAAAAAGTCAGTGGAAAGATTGAAGAGAGATGATTGAAGGACAATGGACATAAAATACTGGTCTCGAACTCCTGACCTCCAGCGATCTGCCCGCCTTGGCTTCCCAAAGTGCTGGGATCACAGGGGTGAACCACCATGCCTGGCTAAGTACTGATATTTTTAACAGTCACTAGGTTATCATAATATGCAGCTGAAGGTGAAAAAGATTAGAATGAATTTTGATTCTCAAACTTGATGGCACATTGTAAATACTTCAAAATTTTTAAATAATAATGATACCAAATGTGAATGCATCTCAAAAGCATTATGTTTAGCAAAAGAAGTCAGCAGCAAAGGAAACCACTTCCATGATTCCATCCTGATTCCATTAAAATCAGGCAAAAAGTAATCTAAGAGGTTAAATACTAGAATAGTAGTTACTTTTTGGAGGAGAGGGAGGTTGACCAGAAAGGGCAAGAGGAAACATTCTAGGTTGATATAAGTGTCCTATATCTTGATTACAGCATTGGTTACTCAGATGAATACAAGTGTCAAAACTCGTTGAACTATATGCTTAGTATCTGTGCATTTACTGTATGTAATTATACCTTGATTAAAAAATAACTCCAAAAAACATTTGACTCAATTAGTATGAGAAGTGGGTTGTGTATTGGGATATCTATGAGCCTCCCAGGTTGTTGTAACATAAAGGAACCACTTTATGGTTTGAGAACCACCGAGCTCAGTCATCTGCTGACATTGAGATGAGGTTAAAGAAGGAACCACGAGAAAACTGATAAAGACTCGAAATTAGAAAGTGGGGTTGAATAGGTACAAACTGGTTTCTCAGGATGTGATTACAGATTATCTGCATCGGAGAACCTTATGTAGCTTGAAAAAAATATGAAATATTGGGACCCACACCAGATCTACTGATACATATTCTGGGAGGGGAACCCAGGGATTTGCATAAAAATACATTTCCCCCAGGTGATTCTCACACTCTAAAGTTAGGGCACTTAACTGAATAGAGATCAGCTGAGGATGAGAACTAAGCATTTCAATGAAGAGAATTCAATGGAAGGCAATTTGAGAGCAGGTGAGGGTAGCTCTAACTTGGAGCACAGACAGTATTTGGAAAACCAGTGACAACCAGGACAGGCGGAGCTGAGGAGATGATGTACAGCTATAATGTGAAAACACAAGAAGATTGAGAAATCAAAGGAAAGAAAAGGGATAATGCAGTGAGGAAGCAGTCTGGAGTCTGCGGGTTACTCCATGGCTCAGTCATCTTCTTGGGATGTACTTTTGGGCAGTGGCCAGTAGTGCTTCCGAGAGATAATTACTCTGAAACGAACCAAAAACAAATGGCAGGATTGACAAATTTCACAAGAATCATCAGCAAAATGTTTCACTTCAAAAAGAAATACAGCATACATTTGAGATACACCTTCAACAAATGTAGGTGTTTGTAAGAAGGAATTTCAGGAAAAGGAGTCCGTTTATGCAAAAATACAGTGGCTGAGAACAGAAGAAAGTACTTAGGTAATAGCATGAGGCCCAATTTTCCTGAAATACTGTTTTTTTTTTAAGTAAATCTAGGAGAGCAAGAAGGATGGCTAAGTCCTAAAAAGTAAAATGGGAGCATTTTGTGGAGAAACTATACTCTCTCTAAACCTAAAAAAAATAAGTGTCCTGAATCCTCCAGCTTGCAAGGCAATGATATCCGCCAGCTTGCAAGGCAATGATATTTGCCAACTTGCGGGAGCTTAGAAGCAGATCCCTCCGCATTGAGCCTCTGATGAGAAACCAGCCCTGGACAATAGCTTGATTGCAGTCTGGTGAGCCCCTGAGTAGAGGACCAAGTGAGCTGTGCTCGGACTCCTAACCCTGGACTCGCAGAAACTGTAAGATTATAAATATGTATTCTTTGAAGCCACGAAGTTTGTGATAATTGTGATCAAATTGCACAGGCCGTGTAATTTGATACCACTGGAAGTGTTTTAAGTAGGGAAGTGTGATAAAAGCTGTCCACCTTCTTGTCCACTAGTTTTTCTGTTGGGCAGTATTTAATTCAAATATTTTATCAGCAAGGTTCTACTAAGAAAAAAAATTCTAGAAAACTCTCTGAAGAAAGAAACCTAATTGTTGTTATTACCTTAAAGATTAATCTTTCACATGTTTGATAGTATTTATATGTTGGGTTATATTAATTATATATTATTTTTTGGTTATTTGTTCAGGTTTTCAACTTCTGGGGTTTACTTACGTGGTTAAAGTTTCATTTCCTTTTTTTTTATTTTGGACCTTTGAAATTATAAAAAGAGCTTTGGATGGGAATCGCATAGTTCCTTAAACTATCTTCCGGTTTTTTGAAAGATAAATAGATTCAAGGGCCAGTGCCAAGTCCGTTGCCAGCATAAGGAAGCTTTGCTATACCAGCATATCACATAAACGCTCTTTCTCTTCAACTCTAAGATCATGAAGAAACTCCGTTCCACCCATGCACATATTCAGACTCCCACCATAGTAAAATGATCCCCACATTCTCTCCATTGCCAAGATACCCATAATGCGGCTTGTGATTTTTTGAGCCCCATGTGGCATTACTGACAACCAGCATAGGATGGTTAAGGTGGACTGGAATGGTAGAAAATTGTTCCAGCACTGCCGTCAACTCCTGTAGTCCTACCTTGCTCTATCACTGTGTGAACACGACATTAATCACACACTCTGACAAAAGTTCAGAACTTCACATTCTTCAGTGCTGAAATGATGATTGTCTGTATTTTCCATAGCAGCCGATGCCAGTTTCATTAACTTCACCTAATACTTAAAAGATAATTTGTTGACAGAGATTCTTTTCCTACTTCTATTAGAATTTCTCCTCTTTCATTAGATTCTTTAGAGAATATTAAGTCAGCATAAGCTGCTGAAATTTGTTCCCATGCCCTGCTAATATCTTATGTCACCTTTCCCTTTCAGCAACCATGATTGAGCACTATCATCTTATTTTCTTTGTCATGCTTCTGCTTTTGAATTAAAACACCTGAGAAATACACATAATAGGCTCTGGGATGTCTTTATTATAGCATTTTCAGGTTCTTCCTTTTGACCTTTTCTATTGCTTTCATGATTAATTTTTTTCCAGGGCTCTGTTGACACAACAGGCCACTGTACTAACCTATTGACTTTTGAAAAATCACAGTTGAAATCTGATTTGAGTAAGAAACCCAAAATAGTTTTCAACTAGCCTGGGTTTTACGAACAATGAACCAGACAAGTTTATCTCTGTGATGGACAGGGTCTGGATGTGGAGGAGTTGGTGTGAATAAGAGGAGGTTGAAATGGAATGTGGTGCAGCTAAGATGTAAAGATAGCATCCTTTGAATCTTACAGTAGCTCGTCTTAGTCATCACTTTTAGAAAAAAATAAAATAATAAGTTATTTAGTTTTAGTAGCTATTTATTCCTTTCTTTGAATTTTCATAGACAATCCTCAGGGTCTAGTCTTTTCTGCTTTGCACACTGATATATGATTGTTAGTTAAAATTATTAAGCTGTTCATTATTACTTCCTTCCTAATTATAGCAGATTGATATTTCATTAAGTTGAAAAAAAATTTAATCCTCTTTAATTGTAAATCCTGCCTTAATCCAAATTGTGGGTTTAACTGTGTCCAAACCTTTGTTAAATTCTTACAATTATCTGTCTAGTGATAATTGGAAAGACAACGTATGCTTCATTTGGTTGATCTAGGTTTTCAGAGAGAGTGACTCATTCATCTCTACTCTGTCTTCAAAGGTGGTTTATTCCTAGCCTTTGCAAACCTCCCTAACCCTCTTCTCTATGTCAAAGGAGACTGATCACTCATCCTGTGGTTTCAGAAGTCCTTTGAAACTTTACATCTGAGCTGTTTTATTTTACGTTTAACTAAAGGCAAATAAGGTCATTATGATCTCAGAGTTATATTCTTTGAAGAAATACATCCATATTTTGTTATTTTATTACATATTTATTTGAAAAGAAAATATTCTCACTCTGTTCTTTCATGACTTCTTTACATTAACCTGAAATTTTTTCATCTCTGTGGTTGTAACCCAGTGATTTCCATTTGGGTGGATAGCAGTGAGTTTGAGAATGTGTAAAGACAGTGTAGAGATGGAAGTGCTGGAAGACTTTCCTCCTGAAAACCAACCTTCCAGGCCAATTATGATAAAAGAACAGCTCAAGGGAAGTCTTGTTTTTTAAATCATGTTCTGTACCCAGTGGCTTTGGGCTTCAGTCACTTTCCTGTTGGGAGAGCTGAGCCCCAGGACAGTGTTCTCTCTGGTCATTATTACCTGGAGTGTGCACTTAACACAGTTCTTTCCACCATAGTCCTATGCACTTATTTAGACCTTGAGCAGGGCCAGCTATATAATTCACAGGTCTTAGTGTTGAAAATTTGAGGATCTTAGTTTAAAAAGCAGGAGAAAACTTCCTTTACAGGTGTTAAAATAAAGCTTTTCTTTTTTTTCCAGTCTTTCTCTTGACCTGCCATGGTGGGGTTTTTTATTTGGTAGGTAATATCATTCTAAGTTAAAGAAAAATTAAAATTTTAAAGTATTTGCATGAAATTTACTGTTGATATAGCGCAATGCCAGTTTTAAATGCAAGTACAAGAGTATTTAACTAGTATGAAGCATCTTCAGAATGATGCAAGTTGACTTTCAAAGCTCACATATGTATGTGTATTCCGTTTTTACCAGGATAATGGAAACACTCACTTTTTCATACACACATACTCTAACAATGCTGTCTCTCTCTTTGGCTTACTGATGAGTCAGAAAGACTGAAAGGAAGATGAACTATGGATTGCCCTATCCTTCCCTAATTCTGCGTCATTGTCAGTATAAGCCATTGGTTTATTCAGGGAAGTAACACAAGACAAGAGGGGACAGAGTTTTTGCACATTAATGTTTCTTAGGATGCCCTTACCTTCTTTCTGCATGTTAGGCAAGTGTTGGTTCAGACAGAAAGCAGGACCTATGGAGACTGTCAATGCCCCTTTTACCCAGATGTAGACCTAACACACTCACCCAGCACTTGCTTTAAGTATCGCTGAACTCTATGGCCTTGTGGGTCCACCAGAATTATCTGCTCACTGGGCATCGTGAATGCTATTTGTAAACAGGGCTGCAAGGAATGATGGTGAACATGCATATTACACATAACTCCTCTGTGACTCACATGCTCCATTGTCCTGTCACATTTCACTTACAAAACACAAGCTCGAAGATAACATGCTTAGGAATTTCAAGACAGCCACAACAGAACATCAAACCAAATGAGGGACCCTGTTAAGCGTGGGACGCTGGGATACTGCTCGGGTAGCACGCCCAGGAAGTCAGACCTGGCCTTCAGTTAGGAAGTCATTTGTTTGACTGTCTTCAGGTGCAACCCTGGAAAAGTTAGCAAAGTTAAGAACATTTTCAGAAGTATCAATTAAAAGGAAGCATTTAAGTCCCTATTTCTTATGTTTATAGCTGACAAGAGACATCAAATATTGGTTTATTTTTATTGAAGTCATCCAGATGGCTTCTGTTATCTCCGGTTCCCCGTTGGATGCCACAGACTGATTCTGTAAGTTATGAATGAGCTGGATGGTTGCCATCTTCTGTTGCAGTTTTTTCTCTGATTGACTGCATGCACACAAGCATCTCAACTCCTTTAGTCTTAGGTGGCACAGCCATCATCCTTTCTTCATTCTGGGTCATTCTAGCTCAGAGCCCTGAGTGATGATATATTTTGGACATTGCATTTGTACATGTGTAATTTCTTAGACACTTTCATCCCAGGTGGGCTCTGTGTACACTGGATGGCTCTCCATCCACAGGGGGACAAATTATAAATAATTATGTCTTAAGAGACAAAAGGGGAATTGAGAAGATCTTTGCAAATTTACCCAAAAGGAGCCATGTGGTCATTCCACAGCATTGTGTACACACACACACACACATACACACACACACATGGTTGGGGGGTGCAGGAAAAAGAGAGGGAGAAAAAAATGAGGAGTAAAAAATAACAGTTTCCCTCCCTGAGGGCTTTGAAATAGCAAATTATCTATTTGCAACTGACATTTTTTTAAGCTGGCTGTGTGTACAATTCAAGCTTTCATTTTATTATATTACTGGAAACCAGGGGTATACTAGGACTTTGCAAATAATCTGTTCTCAGACATAACAGGCCAGTTGACAACCACTCCTTACTTCTTTCACTTTCTTCAAATAATGATCTTGCTGCATATCAGTAGAAATAATCATGGGTAATGTGTACATGTTTCTCTAGTGAGCTGCATTCCTGCCACATGAGTCTTTTTGTGTTCTATGGAGAGCTTAGGAAACAAGCTCTTACCCCTCAGCCATTTTCCTGGGAGCAAGGAATGAAAATTAGACAGGTCTGTGGCATTCAGGAGCATAGTGTGCTGTGTTCCAAGGTTGGAGTAGTAGTGTTCATCCCTCCTCTCCTTGCCCTTGTGGACTGACCCCAGCCACACATGTGTGCAAGGATAAACAAAGGCCAGTCTAGGCTTGCCTCTACTGTTGCTGTCAGTCTCTCTCTCTCTGTTAGTGACCTATGCTCCACATGTAGCCAGATACCAAAGACGTGGTGCCTACAGCTCAGCAAGCCCAGTGGGAAGGGCTGAGTCTAGAGCACTGTAGAAGGGCACCATATCCTCAGTGTGTCTCAGATCCTCCTTGGGGAACTTCCCCAGGCACTCAGCATTCTCCATGACTAGTGTTCCCATCAATCAACCAAAATGGCCACAGATATTAACAGGGAGCCTACTAAAGATATGCTGATGACATGGGCAGGGCAGCCATTGGGTTTGTAATAACCATCATATTTCAGAATTTAGCTCTGGGTATTTCTAACTGCATGGCCTCAAGCAAGTTATTAAATTCTGAAGGTTTCTATTTTCTCATTAAAAATAACTTCCTATCTACCTCCTGGTTTTGTGGGAATATTGGAAAAATTTTAAAACTGCACATATAATAATATACCATAAAAGAAACTGTTAAGTTTCTTTTTCTTGTAATGCTAGGTATCACTATTAAGTGCCTAGCACCATGCCAGGCAGGGTGGAATAAAAATATCTAAGATTTCACACCTATCTAAAATAAGTTCACTGTCTAGTTGGGAGGAAAGGCTTGATGCATGATAAAATATGCTATTTTATGTCTACCTATTGGGTGTTATTAATGCCAAATAACACCTCGTTCTATGAAGTTCCCTCTATCATTATTCCCATTTTACACATGAGATCATGAGACAGATTGAATAACTGCCCAAGGTCCAATAGCTGTGGCAGATCCAAAATATGAAACTCAAGAAATCTAACTCCAGGGCCCAAACTCCACCTTGATCCCATGCTTTTTTCTTTTGTGGTACTAAATGAATGCGACAGACAACAATTAAGTGGACTTAGTTATGGAGGAAATCAATATGGTAATCCTCTCAAAGATCCTACCTGAGTATCTCTCCCTCAGAGCCCTATTTTTAGTTATATGATAAGCCATAGTAATGGCCTCAACATAAAAACTAAGCCTTCTTAATGTGGCTCCCCTTTGAAAGTCCTCAAAATCCGTCAGCCTATTCACAACGTAGAGCTCTTTTTGAAGGCCTTTATGGAACACTGAAGACTAGAGACTGACACCTTTCATCTTCCAAGAAATCTCAAAGCATGTCCTAGAGATGCCAACACCTCTGCTCACACATAGGGCTGGTTTTGCCAATAAACACCATATTTACTGGTATATCGTATAGAAATATATTTCATCAGGCCTCCTTACTCAAAAGTACTGGTCCATTGCATAGTTCCTGTGAAGCAGTATTGATTCCATGCTACATTGGTATGGAATAGAATTTAATAGCATTTCTCACTCTTGGTGGCAGGGGGATCAGAAGCATATGTTAGATGATAAGGGGCATTTTTTTTATATATAAACAACAGAAATTTATTTCTCACAGTTCTGGATGCTGAGAAGTCCAAGATAAAGGTGCCAGCATATTCAGTGACTGGTGAAGGTCTACTTTCTGGTTCATAGATGGTCGTCTTTTCTCCTTTTTAAAATTTTATTATTATTATTAATTTATTATTATCATACTTTAATTTCTGGGGTACACGTGCACAACGTGCAGGTTTGTTACATAGGTATACATGTGTCATGTTTGTTTGCTGCAATAGAATCTTGGCATGACTGCCCCAGTTCTTTTTTTTTTCTTTTCTTTTTTAGATGGAGTCTCACTCTGTCCCCCAGGCTAGAGTGCAGTGGTGCGATCTCAGCTCACTGCAATCTCTGCTTCCTGGTTTCAAGTGATTCTCCTGCCTCAGCCTCCCAGGTAACTGGGATTACAGGCACCCCCCACCATGCCCAGCTAATTTTTGTATTTTTGGTAGAGTCTGGGTTTCACTATCTTGGCCAGGCTGGTCTTGAACTCCTGACCTCAAGTGATCCACCTGCCTCAGCTTCCCAGAGTGCTGGGATTACAGGCATGAGCCACTGCACACAGCTTACTGCCCCTAATTCTGACTCTGTTAATGACTATTTTGTGTTCATTTCAGCTCAATCACCCCACACTGCAAAATGAAACACTGAAGCCAGATCTTCAAGGATTTCGGAGAGTGATGCTGAAATGCCATAGACCTCCTCTTGAAAATGGGGGATTTTTCTGTGAATGCCTTTTTAAAAGAGTTTTTCATGAATTTTCAATTAATGCTTAAATATTGAAGACTAGTCTATTCAATCTTTCCAGCACACTTTATTGGACACTAAACTTGCATAGTTCTCCCTGTGCTCAGGTGACTACTTCGTAGACATTTACTATTTCCTCACCTCCCAAGGACATTCACCTAGGTAGGGTGGTTCCTCAAAACCAGATATCACAATGGGGTGACTCAAAGTCAGACAACTTCCCAGCACTTTCTTGAGCGAATTTCTAAGAGATATACAGCAAGTGGACATTTGACGTCAGCCAGGTATTTGGCCAAAGAGCACCTGGAGGTCAGCAGAAGTCAGATACCTTTGGGTATGCAACAAGTTTTGGACTTTTGTGCTCTGAAAGAACAAGTTTGAATTAAGACAGGCCCTTTCAGGATCCAATAAGGAACCACAGGCCAGTCTCAGGATGACCTGAACACAAATGTTTCAGGAAGTTCTAAACACAGTGAGATTTAGAAGGACCATCTCACATGAATTATTGTTCAGGGTTTGTCTTCTCCACTAGACTGTAAGTTCACTTCTTGTTCACTATCTTGTTCACTTCTGTTTTTCCAGTGCTGACTACACAATTTGGTGCATGGTAACCATAAACCAAGGTAGGGTAGTTATTTCAGGGAGTGGGCGTCTTTGGAGGCCAGGCCTGGTGAAGCATTAACAGACCTGAACGTTTTTATGCAACACGATGGCATTGGAGATGATTATCTTAAGTGAAATAACTCCGAATCATAAAGTCAAATACTACATCTTCTCACTAACAAGTGGGAGCTAAATAAAGTATACACATAGACATAGAATGTGGAATAATGGACATTGGAGACTCAGAAGGGAGAGAGGATGGGAGGAGGGTGAGGGATGACAAATTACTTAATGAGTATAATGTACATTATTCTAGTGATAGTTACACTAAAAGTCCAGACTTCACCAATATGCAATATATCCTTGTAAAAAAACTGAACTTTTACCCCTTAAGCTCATGCAAAATAAAAAATTTTTAAAAATTATTTTAAGTTTTCACGTTGCCCTTTCCTTGAGGCCAACTCTGGTGACTCCTGAGTATGACATGCTTAAGGGAAGTAGAGAAGAGTCTGCATTTCTGTAGTCTCCTTAAATATTTCCCAGAGCAAACTTACTCCAGCTGTCTCCTAGAATGAGTCCCAATTTGTATTCAGGTTTTTTTTTCTTTAATTTCAAAGCTAAGCTTGTTAACCAAAATGGAAGAGATTTAAATAGATTCACCAGTGACCCTTAGCTTTGTGGGAAATGTGCCTGTGTGTCCAGACAGCAATAAAAATTTCCAACCCCAGGCAAGTTAGAGGCGGTAGAAGGCGCTCCCTTACAGAACTAAAGCAGCCCAGTGTTTTGGTATTGCCATTGTTGATGTTTGTTATATAACATTCTTTATTTTTAATTGGCTCTTCTGTTTTCCTCCTCAAATCAATTTGTTAGTAGGGATGCTGAAAGGATTAAGGATTTCTGTTAATTTAGATTTTGTGGGAGAGTTATCCCAAATGTAGAGTCTTTCGGCTGGATGGATTTATAGGGGTTACAATGGTTTCCTCTCCCGTCTCGAGATGCAGAGGCTTTAAATCATCATGAGAATTGAAATTTTATCACACTATTCTTTCCTCCAAAGCAGGGTAAATTCCCTCAGTGAATCAGAAAACTTCTCCTTTGGTTTCAATACATGTTGGAAATATTAAGCATATGAAGACACATCTTATTAAATCCTTTTTTGCAGGTACAAAACCACAACTATGTGCACCTTCTCAGTTATTCTCACAACACCCCTATGAGGAACCATAATATTGTTCACCCTCTTACATGTAGGGAAACTGAGCATCAAAGAAGTTTTTCAACTTAACCAAGGCCAAACAGATTGTACCAGCTATTATCTCATTTTTCCTGAGCTCCACACTCACCCTTCTTTTTCATCGTTTGTGAAGTGGGCTCCACAAAATTCATTTCTCCTCTGCCGGCCAACAGAGAGCCCAGGAGGGAGGCAGCAAGACTTGCATTTCTGTCCTAGGGCTGCTGTTACAAAGTACCACAGGCTGTGGCTTAAACAGCAGAAACTTATTCTCTTACTATTTTGGAAGATAGAAGTGTGAAATCAGGGTATCTGGAGGGCCATATTTCTAAGGCTGGAGAGGAGAATCCCTTTTACAATTCCTTCCTCTTGCTTCTGGGATTGCCGGCAGTCTTTGGCTTATAGATGTGTCTCTCCGGTCCCTGGAGCCATCTTCCCTCGGGTTGTCTGTGTCTTCCCATGGCATTCTCTTTGTGTGTGTCTGATTTTGTATCTCTTCTCCTCTTCTATAAGGACACCAGTCATATTGGATTAAGGGCCCACACTACTCCAGTATAACCTTATCTTAACTTAGGTCTTAATTACGTCTGCAAAAACCCTATGTCCAAATAAGCTCATATTCACAGCTACCTGTGGTTAGGACTTCAATATATCTTTTGGGGAGACATCATTTAACACACCAGGACTGTCCTTTCTCTCTGCTTTTGTTTTCCTTCCGAGATCTACTCACAGGGCAAGTGGTGGTCCCAGCAGAGTTCACTGCAGTGGCTGAGGCTGTCAGGGTCTCAAAGCAGGTAGGCACATGGGAGTCCTTCTCCCAGGACGGGTGTTCCTCCAGCTGCTACTCCTTCAGCCCAGAGGCCCCGAGTCTCAGCCCTGCAGGGTCCTCAAGATCTCCGCGTTCCTCCCTAGTTCACATCTCCCTCAGTCTTCACATCACTAGCTGCTGTCTACACCTGCTACTCCTGTTAAACCTTAAAGTTCTCTTTTGTCCTTTCTGCTAGCTAATCGTCTTTTATCGGGTCAACAATTCTTTCCATTAAATTTTCTCCATTAAGATATTTAGTGTCTAGCACAATTTCAAGAGAATGGGAGGATACAATTTTTTGGCATTTTTTGCTAATATTTGGAAAGTGTTTACTCTTATGGTTTATAATTAAATATATACTTGTTATATTAAAAATGTTTCTTTCCTATTGTGAATCTCTGTTTAAAAGGAATTTTCATTATCTATTGTCTGCCTATAATCATTTCTGCATTTCTGTTACATTTCTTTGTGGTGCATTTAAAAAAGTTATTTTAATTGAAATTTAAAATTAGAAAACAGCAAAAACCCTAGACCATGGCACACAGGTGGTGGATCAGGAATTTACACTTAAGGCAGTGTGGTGTCGTGAACTGTGTCTCCTGAACTGTGTCACAGGAGAAAGCACTGGAACTTTTAACAGATTTTTTTTCTATGCTATGGTAAAATAGCATGGAGAAAAGTCATCCCTTCTTGCTGGTTTCCTGGGAAAAGGCAAATAAATCTGAGAAGCTTCTAAAATACTGTTGAGGTTTCTAGGCGTATCCAAGTGACGCAGAGCACCACTACTCTCCTGCTTGTACTAATCACCAGTGCCACCCACTGCTTGGTAGTCATTAGAGCTGTTTACAGGCACCTGTTTTTATCTCCTGCTGGGCACATGGCACCATTGCCTCTGTTAACCTCTCCGAAGTGAGCTGAGGCCATGACTTCCTTTGGCCAATGAGATGTGAACAGAAACGACCCTGTGTCATTTCCAAGTAGAGATTTAAGAGTGAATGCATAACTTGCCATGTCCATTTTCCCTGCCCTGTCAATCCTGGAACATCTGTCAAAACACAACATCCATCAGCCCATGTCCCTGAATGACTACAATGAGTAGAGCACCTGGCTAACCTGCATTGTGCGTGCAGCATGAGTGAGAAATAAATTCTTGTTGGACTATTTTTTCCAGCAGCATATCAGGGCCTGCCCTGCTTATTATACACAGATTCCCATGTCCAGGGGCAATCTCCCAAGCTATTTTTTTTTTTTTTTTGAGAGTCTTGCTTTTTTGTCCAGACTGGAGATCAATGGCGTGATGGCAGCTCACTGCAACCTCTGCCTCCTGGGTTCAAGTGATTCTCTTGCCTTAGCCTCCCAAGTAGCTGGGATTACAGGCGCCTGCCACCATGCCTGGCTAATTTTTGTATTTTTGGCAGAGACAGGGTTTCACCATGTTGGCCAGGCTGGTCTTGCTCCTGACCTCATGTGATCCACCCGACTCAGCCTTCCAAAGTGCTAGGATTACAGGCGTGAGCCACCACGCCCGGCCAAGCTCACGTATTTTTAATAATTTTCTCACTTATCTTCTCAGACATTCTGCTTTCCTGGAATTCCTTCACCCTCATTGGCTTCTCCTTTTTTGCAACTTTGTTGCATTCTTTTGCCATTCTGCTCTGTAAATGCTGAAAGGACTCAGGGCTCAACCTTCAGGCCTCTTCTTTATCTGTACTCTTTCCCTAGAAAATCTTACTCAATCCCATGAAGTAAATGCATATCTGCCCAGAACTCTCCCTTAATTATCATTCACATATAATGAACTACCTATTAATCATCTCTATCTGGATGTCTCATTGGCCACTTTAAATTTCGGATGCCTAACAATTTTTGATTCTGTACCATATCTGCAAAATCTGCATCTCATATAATTGTACCAGCATTTATTCAATTGCTCAAACCCCAAACCTAGAAGTCATTCTTGATTCCAATCTTTGAACTCTTTCTCCCAGATCGCCATCTGGTTTGTAAGTCCTGTTGGCTGCAATTTAAACTATTTCCCAAATCTAATCACCTATCACCACATCTCCCCCAGTCAGAGTCACCACCAGCAGACACCTAGTAATAACCAAAGCCTCTTGTTAGGACTTTCTGCTTTCACTCTAGACTGCTAATATCTATTCAGACAGCAACTATAGTGTTCTTTTTAAAATATAAATTATATCATATTGTTCTCCTATTTCAAAAACCTCCAATGGCTTCTGCTGCCATTGGAGGCAGCATTGCTTTCTGTTCCAATGGATTTCTGTTAGAATAAAATCTAACTTCTGTAGAAAGAGTTAATTATAACACCCATATTTGTTAATTCAAAAAAAAGTAACTATATGGGAAGCTGCAGGCCTCCACTCAGAGTTTAATAAGAAATCTTGAAAGAATGGAAGATTGTTGGCATGGTTCTTGAGAAAACAGCTCAACTGGCATTACTCGCTTATGGATAAATAAAAGAACAATATAGGTAATATATATATACTAGTTACTCACAAATTTAAGTGAAATCTTTGCTTATTCTTATGCCCTCATTGGGTGAATTTACATCTGTCTACTTACAGAAAAGCTCTTAGACCTTCTTAGCAATCTCGAAAGGGTTCTTACAAGTTCCAAGGGCTATTGACATGTGTCCTTGAGACTAAGAATATCTACCAGAGGAAATCACATTGGTAAGATTGTTTTGGTGTAGAAAATCATGTTTGTTCACCTAAAATTGTTAACTAAGTTTTTCATGAGAGAATTTTACCCACCAATCATATGTTACTTACTTCACTCTGATCTCCCTCATCTATCTCTAATGAAACCAACACCATAAAAGGACTATGCAGATTCTTTTAAAACTAGAAACAGACCTAAGTAGTATTTTTTCCTTGTAATAATTTGCAAGCCATAATAAATTGTTTTTAAAACGCATTAGCACTAAAACACAGAGTAGAATCCCAATTTTTCACAGCACTTATGACTTTGGCTCACAAAGCCCTATGTTATTGCATGAACACCTACCTCTGTGAAATTGTTTCCTCTTCCTCTTTTCCTCCTTCACCACCTGCAGGCACACTGGCCTTGTTGATGTTTATGGAACACAGAAAGCTGATTTCAAATTTAGGGCTTTAGCTTTTTGATTCCCCTGTCTGATCTTCCCAGACTCACACCTATTTAACATTCAGCTTTGGTTCAAATGTCAACTCTTCCAAGAAGTCTTCCAACAGTGCTTTATCTAGCTTTCCCAGCAACCCCCATCACCCTGGGTTTTTTTCCCCCTCATTTTAGGTATTATTAGAAATTGAGTCATTTCTTATATGTTTAATTGCCTTCTTTCACTAGAATACAAATTCTATAACAGAAAGAAACTTGTCTGTCTTTGATATGGTTCAGCTCTGTGTCCCCACCCAAATCTCACCTTGAATTATAGTAATCCCCATGTGTTGTGGGAGGGACCCAATGGGAGGCAATTGAATCATGGAGGCAGGTTTTTCCTGTGCTGTTCTTGTGATAATCAATAAGTCTCACAAGATCTGGTGGTTTTATAAAGGGGAGTTCCCCTGCACATCCTCTCTTGCCTACCGCCGTGTAAAATGTTACTTTGCTCCTCATTCACCTTCCGCCATGATTGTGAGGCCTCCCCAGCTATATGGAACTGTGAGTCCATTAAACCTCTTTCCTTTATAAATTTCCCAGTCTTGGGTATGTCTTCATTAGCAGCATGAGAACAGACTAAGACAGTCTTGTTCATCCATTTCTCTCTCGAGTCTTGAGCTCTGTTTAATCTGTAGCTGGCCATAGAAAAAATAGTGGAATGAATAAGTGTTTATAACTTCAAAAGCATCTTAACAGATAGTAACAACACAGTATTAGCTCATATATCTGGATGGATTGGGTCCAAGGACAATTCTATAATAAGAAAATTGCCTGGTTCAAGAGTTTAGGACACATCTTTTGTGGGCCACAGCTGTATGTAGGTATAGCTGATTTGTGTGTTTCATATTAAAAGCCACTTGAAAATCAACCATATTGATCCACCTGTGAATTAGCAAGGACTCAGCAGTCTCAAGGTGGGAAAATGATTCTTGCTGCTGTACATTTTGAAAATTAGACTGAGCTGGTACTATACATAAGTAAAGTTTGTTGAAATAACTAGGATTCCATAAAATCCTCCTGCTAAGAAACTTCTCAGCATGTCTATCTGCAGTAATAACTGTACCTGAATAAAACTTGGTGGATGCAGAAGGTTGTGGACTCATCTTTTGGTTTTGGTTGGCTCAGGAGCTAGTGTAGGGCATGGCCAAAGACTTGCCCTTCGAATGGACCAGGTGTGAGTAAAGGAAACACAAGCCCAGCTGGTGTTAGACCCTCAGATCTAAAAACCAGCTGGAGGAAAAATTGGAGTGATCTTTCAGTATGAGTTCTACTTTATATTGTTTGTTATTTCTAGCAGAGATTCAAAATGGCTGCATTGCCCAGAAAAATAATGCCTGACTTCTATTAGCAGAAGGAAATGATTAGCTGTTTCTTAAAAGCTTGCTAGGATGCATTCGTACCACATTTTTGGCCTGGGCTTTTTGGTTATTACAATGTCAATTTTTTAAGATGGTTTTTAGTTCATTTGTGTTTTCTACTTCAATTTTTTAAAATTGTTTTTGCTAGAAATTTATCTTTTTCACCTAGGTTTTAAAGTTTATCGCGACTTAGTTGTATAGCCACACACACACATACACACACACATTTATAATTTCTGTTTATTTGTAGTTATTTCCCTGTTTTAATTCTGCATCTGTTGTATTTGTATCTTCTATCAATCTCCTGTTTCTCTTTTGGCATCTTCAGGGCTGGCCTGGATATGCAGGGAAACTGGCAGCCTGAGTGTAGCTGAGCGTCTCACCCGCGATATTTTAGCTTGCTTTTAAAAAGTCTTCACAAATCATTTTATTTTTACTAGTCATTGGATATTCTGAAAAAATCAAGAGAGAGATTTTCTGATGGTTGAATCACTGACTGCTGGAGTGTTTTGATGTGGGTTTTGTGGTCATAGATGGGCCCCATCTGTAGATACCTATTTCCCTTTTTAAAATCCCGTTTGAAAATGAGTTTAATTAGGAGCAAACAACAAATTAACACATTTTGGTATTTTACCTTGAAATTCCTTACAAATATATTGATATTGTTTCATCCAATATCAATACTTTTATCCACATATTGTTTACAAATG
This sequence comes from Homo sapiens, assembly GCF_000001405.40. NCBI lineage: Eukaryota > Metazoa > Chordata > Mammalia > Primates > Hominidae > Homo > Homo sapiens. The sequence continues at coordinate 97,016,072 of NC_000013.11, forward strand.
AACTAATTTTAGTTTATCAGTAAGTTGTTCGAGTCTGTCCTTGGAGCAGATTAAAATGTATTGAGTTTTTTGATGAGGCAAGCATTTTTTGATAGGCTGCCTTTTTTGTTGTTGTTGTTTTACTTAAAACAACTTCAAATCTGACTGAAACATTTAAATGTATAACATTTTATCTGTTTCTGCCCTCTTATATGAGTTTAGTCTTTCAATATGATTATGAAACTGACCTGAATTACTCCATTGGACAACATGGAGAAGTAGAATTCTGCTAATTTTGCTGGTGCATATGTTTGATAAAAACTTAAGAATATAAAAAAAAAAAAATCCCCATATGGTTGATACAGAAAAAGTGTTGACACGTTGCTGCTCTGTTTCTCTGCGAATCTGTGTACCTCTGCCATACTGTGGCCTGACGGCATGTGCAAACTTACCTTTTAAAACTACAAAGAGGGCTGGGCACGGGTGGCTCACGCCTGTAGTCCCAGCACTTTGGGAGGCCGAGGCGGGCGGATCACGAGGTCAGGAGATCGAGACCATCCTGGCTAACACCGTGAAACCCTGTCTCTACTAAAAAATACAAAAAATTAGCCGGGCGTGTTGGCAGGCGCCTGTAGTCCCAGCTACTCCGGAGGCAGAGGCAGGAGAATGGCGTGAACTCAGGAGGCGGAGCTTGCAGTGAGCCGAGATCGTGCCACTGCACTCCAGCTTGGGTGACAGAGCAAGGCTCCGTCTCAAAAACAAAACAAAACAAAACAAACAACAAAAAAACCCACAAAAACACGAAGAGGTATAGACTCCGTCTCAAAAAAAAAAAAAAAAAAAAAAAACACACACACACACACACACAAAGAGGTCTAGTCTGAATATGTACTGACCGTAGGGCAAATCATGGTTATTGTTGTCATTTTCTAGAAACACACTTGCAGTGGTTTCTTTTATTAGGTAAATTGTTGATTAATGTGATTTAAGTGATGCCACTTAACATATGCTGGCTTTTGGGATCTTCTTATGTTTAATCTGTAATTTAATGCCTGTTAGTTAATATTTTTAAGGTATAGCTATTTTAAAATTCGAAAACAAAACCATTCATTTGGAATCCTAAAAGGACTCTGTTCTAATGCAAAAAAATGACTTTCTACTTTTTCTCTTGAATTTTTCAGTATATTCCATGGCTAGTAGAAATAGAACTAAATCCGAAATTTTTGCTTGACCAAAAGCTAAATTTTTTTTCTTCTTAATTTTGGAATAAAGTTTATAAATTTTAGGGTTGCCTGGCAGATTCATTTTGCCATCAAGTTGGCTATGATGAAGTAACTGATATTTTTAGTGTTCTTTATTTTACTTATTTTACTCCCACTCCTTCTCCAGATAATCATTCAGGATTAATATGAAACATTTCATAACACTACCTAAATGTAATAGTAATAATACTTAAATATATAAGGATACTAAAAATAATAATACTTAATCATTAAATAATAATAATTCTTAAATATGTGTTACTTAATCATACACAGAGAGTGCTTACTATGTGCCAGAGACCATGCTAAGCACTTGTCCATATTAGTTCATTTAATCCTCTTGACAGCCCTATAATATAGATATGATTGTCTTCATTCCCACCTTACAGATGAGAAAACTGAGTCACAAAGAAATGTGGTTACTTGCTTAAGGTTATTGCTGTTAAGTGGAAGAGCTGGGATTCAAACCCAGCTCTGCACCCTAGGGTTCATGTATCTAATCGCCATGCTGTACTAGCATGGTTGACTGTAATACAAGTTTGTTGTTCATTTGTCTGTTTTGTGCCTTTGTACAACTGGAGTTTGAATCTTGTCCTACATCATGCCAAAAGCAACTAGTAAACTCCTATTTTTCCATTTCAAAATATCCTAGAAATGTCAGGTCCTCTAGGCAGTTTTCTGACCTACTCACTCATTTTGGTTAGAATCTTATATGTACGTTACTCAAATAGTAAATAACATATGCTCATCAGTAAGAATATACAGTGCAACACTTTTAAAATAACGTAATTGTGGCCAATAGAACCATTCTTATTGGTTAGTGTTGTGTTGACTAAAGGTTCATATAAACTCAGAAAAAAAGTGAGTTGTGGCTGAAAGTGCTTCCTTCCACCAGCAGATGTCACTGTTGTCTCTTAGCGCTGAATGTTCAGCGTTGACTGAAGGTTATAATGGAGAACAAGAGCTATTTTATTAAAAATTCTGTAAGCCACCGCGTACAAGCAACGTTGCTTTGGCATGAATACAAAAAAAAAATAGCACAAAATGGGAAAGCAATCTGTTTCCTTACTTCTACAAAGCACAGTAAGTTTCAGACAACCTAGTGTCCCTCTGACACCTGGGAGGCAGCAGCACAGTGGATGAGGAATACGGGAAGGCGCTCCTCTGTGATCTGCATAGATCCATTCTAACTCGGTGCAGCCGGTGGGACTCCAAGAGTTGAGACCATAGGGGCTGGGAAACAGCCCTGGCCACAGGGTGGTAGTGAACTAAACTTGTTTCTCAGCACATGCAAAGCACTCTCTATTAATTCCTGGAAATAATTGAGAGAGAATTTGTAGAGCCTGAAGGTCCTGTACTAGCAGGTGGGACCAAAAGCGATGGAAATGAGGCTGATTCAAAGGCATTCTAAGCATCTCTGCTAGACTCTCCGAGAATGCAGGCATAAACCAGACACAGCCCTGGGCCCTGTGCTCACCCTGAAGGCAGCAGGAATGTGCAAGCTCTTCCGGCAAGCCAGAAAAATGTGGCTGTGGCGTTTGTACACCTTTATTCCCGAAAATATCCTATTACTTTTTGAAAATAGATTTAAAAGAGGGGTAGCCTTCTGAAAAATCACCATGATATTTGCTTTCAGTAACATTTGGATAAAATCATCAATTATTTGAGCCATTCCACGATCAATTACTAGGATGTCTGTTAAACTGCATCACCTATAGATGTATATATTAATTGAGGTTTAAAAAATACCTGCTACTCCAGAATGTTTGCTTATATACTCGCAAATTCTGTTGCCTAGAATGGTCAGGGAATATATTCTGCTTAAATTAGAAGACGTTGTTTTCTGGTTCATTAAGTAAAACTTTTCTAAGATCAATCAATACACTTTTCTAACTTGGTCCTGTGATTTCAAAAGCTCATTTGGCAAAAGGACAGGCTGTCGGTCTTTACCTCTGGATGTGGGTTACATTTTGGTCAAATTGGTTGGCAATAAGAAGGCAGCTGGAGGGTGACTGTCAGCACTAGGAGAGGAGCAAAGAGGCTGCCTTCACTTAAACTAATGTTCAAAATTATTTCCCATGAGAAATGCAAATTCCTAGGTCATAAATAGTTTGGAACTAAATGGTGATGCTTACTTTGTGGAATGATTCTCTAACAAAATAAAAAATTCACTGTGATTTCACTGCCCTGGCCTTTCAGCCAAATCTTTCTTCTGAGTTCAAACCCATACATCCCAAATGCCTAAAGAATATTACCATTCAGATGTCTCCAGGCATCCCAAACTCATAAGGTTACCAGAACACTCATTTAAAACTGAATTTCTTTTTGTGTGTACATTCCATAAGTATTCCTCTTCAGGACATCCTTAAACTAAAAATGTTCTCATTCCTTGCCTGAGATTCCAATTTAGCTGGATGTCCTATTATTTTATCTGACAACCTTACAAACTCAACATGTCTGAAATAGAACTTTTCATATTATCATATAAAGCCACTTCTCTCCCTCTGGAATTAGGAAATGGCACCACCACCACCCGCATGCCTTTCTCACACATTAAACCCATTCATTCATTAAATTGTTACACATCTGTTTAATTATAACATCTCTTAAAATTTAACAAACCCACCCAGTTTTTCTCTGTCTCTACTGAACCTCCCCCTGCCCCAGCTTGGCCATCATCATATTTCATCTTCACCAGTCTCCTTCTTTCTCCATATCATAGCCACAGTGGTCTCCCCAATCTACAACCTCATTATACATGAAAACCTCTACATAAAACCATCAAATGGCTCTCTAGGGTGACCAGTTGTTCTGAATAGTCCAGGACTATTTCAGTTTGGCACTGAAAATCCTGTGTCTTGGGAAAGTTCTCAGACCCAGGAAAACTAGAGTGGTTGGTGACCCTATTTCAAGTAAAGCACAAGTTCTTAGTCTGGTTTATAAGACGCTTTGTGCCTTTCCTGACCCCCTAATTACTTTATTAAATGTTATCTCTTGTCTCTTGCCTACTCACAATCTGTATTCCAGTGATGTTAATTTTCTGCCCATTACAAGAGAATTCCATCTAATCTTTTGCATCTCCAGGCTGTAGTACTTTCCTGTCTGAAAGATGTCCATCGTCTGGCTTCCTTTCTGCTCCTCTGGTCCCCTGTCTATGCCATCACACATTCTTCCTAGGTCCTACATGTTATTTAGGTTTAAATTTACACATTTCTTTCTCTAGAAAGCCTTTTCTGAACACTCAATATGTTACAGCACACCTCCCATGAGCACCCAAAGCTCCTGGGATTTAACATGGTAATTTCACTTATGTTCTTTATTATAATGACTATGTTTGTCTTTTGAAAAAAATTTTTAGATGTTATTGTCCTTTGCCATCAGATTCCCTAAGGGAAAGAACAATGGCTATGTTGCTGCGCATTGTGTTCTCAGCACCTAGTAGTGTGTCTGGCACATAGAAATTGATCAATACGTATCTTTTAAATGCAAAAAAAGGCAACTGAATGACAGCCCACTGGATAGCTCTGCCTGGTTCTTTCCCAGGCAAAGTCACCTCCTGTCTAGCATCCCCCTTCCCCCAACTCTCAACTTCTCAGCTTGCTCCTTCTTCTGCATTATTTCTCTAAATAAAGATATGCATCTCTTGTCTTGCCCAAGACAGACATCTAACAGGCATTCCTTTTTTATCCACCTCCTACCTTCCACCTCCAGACAATCACTACATTCGATCACTTCTCACTTTTGCATGACTCAAGAATTTGCTTACTTCTCTACCACTACCCTGGTTCTCCCCCATCATGAACAGAATGCTAATAACCTCCCACCTGGCTTTTTACCTTTTCTACATTTTCCTTTGTAGACACCAGTTTTCACACTGTGGACAAGATGATCTTTTAAAATTACTGCTGATCTTTTCAATTTTATCTTCCTTTACACTTTCCTTCCTTTTCTGGCCCCTCTCTTGGAAGCCTTCCTGATTACTCAGGGCTGGATCTGATGTGTTCCCATGGTGAGTGGTACATAGTCGTAAATGTTGCATTTATAAAATTATCATAAAATTACCTGGTGATGCATGTCAGCTTCCTCCCCTCCAAGGTTAATTCTCTGATGGCAGTCTACAGTTTATCACTTGCTTCACAGAGTCCAATGTCCAGTGCTCAATGGGTGCTTGTAGCACGAGTCAATGAACGGCTCTTTAATACAGGACATTCACTGCTTATCAGTGAATTATTCACATATATACAATGGAGAAAAAGGAACACTGATAAGGTTAAGGTAAACATCAATCGTATCATTTAGAATTATCAGACCTATTATTCTGATTCAAGTGGAAATAAAACTAGCCAGTTAATACTCATGTATTTACATAGGTAAATACAAAAGATAGTATAAACACAGAATTTTTGTTTGTTATTCTTTTTTGCCTATCTGATTTAAAAGACAGCTGTACATACTATGTCTGTGTTGATGGGGACACAATGTATAAAGACGTAATCTGTGACAATAATAACATAAAGAGAGGCAGAGCTATACACGAATGGAGTTTTCGTATACCATCAAAACTAAGTTATCTGCTTTCCAGGTGAAGTTTACGTACATGTGTCACTCAATTCAGAGATTCAGAGTGGAGGTAAGGAATGAAGGGTTCAGTCTGTGAAAAAAACCAATCCACGGTAGGGTTGAACATGAATCTTCCCTTAGTAGCGGTACTGCAGATGTGTGTTTTGCTTGCTCTGTTGCCACAGGCTGGAGGGCAGTGGCTCACCGCAACCTCCACCTCCTGGGTTCAAGTGATTCTCCTGCCTTAGCCTCCCGAGTAGCTGGGATTACAGGCACACACCAACGCACCCGGCTAAATTTTGTAGTTTTAGTAGAGACAGGGTTTTTTGTTGTCCAGGCTGGTCTCGAACTCCCGACCTCAGGTATCTGCCCACCTCGGCCTCCCGAAGTGCTAGGATTTACATGTGTGGGCCACTGCACCCAGCCCAGAGAAGAAAAACTTCTAAAGGGAATAAATCATCTCATCCAAGACTGATATTCTTATATCGTATGTAATATATTGTTACAGCTATTAGCATAGCCAAATTGTAACAATATACTACATATAGATGCTAAGCCATTAATATAAATGACTTGCTATATTGCTCTCAACAATTTGAGATTTGTCTTACTCAAGCTTTTTACCCCTTGTTCTAGCAGGTACATGGTTTTTATAATCCTTGTGGATTTGAAATCTAAGACATCAAAACTAAAGTCAAAAAGACATATCTAATACCAGAATAAAAGCACAGTCAGATGTCTGGAAGATGAATCAGATTTCCAGGTAACTGTCAAACACTTAGTCTTTTTTTAAAAGATGGGGAAAAAAAATTCACAGACCATAATTTTCTCTACATTAAACTTTTCTATGAGCCCTATAAGAGAAGAAAACAGCCTTGGAGAATCAAGATTATTATAAAGAAAACTTACCTGAAGAGAAAAGGATATCTACATAAGATGACTTTTAAAAATTAACACATCTGGAAAATGTATGTAAGTTACCTCTTTCAGAGAAAGAAATTTCAAATGACGTTTCTAAAAGAATAATAACTTTTAAAAGACCTGTATGCAAAAGACACACTTGGCACAAAATGACAGAGGAAAGTTGAAAATAAGTGGATAAAAAGGATATATAAGAAAATTAATAAAAGCAAGCCATAGTAACAGCAAGTAAAATATAATTCCTGATAAAAGGCATTTGTGGTAGATATAATAATGCCCCCCCAAAAGACCCTGTCCTAATCCTGGAAACCTGTGAATGTGTTACCTGTTATGCCAACAGAGACTTTGCCTATATGATTTAGGATGTAGAAATGGGGAGATGATTCTGGATTATGTGGGTGGGTCCAGTGAAATCATAGTATCCTTATAAGAGGGAGGCAGCAGGGTCAGAGTCAGAGAAGAGGATATGGCAACAGAAGCAGAGGTCAGAGGGATGCAGGACAGGAGCCAAGGAACACAGGTGGTGTCTAACAGCTGGAAAAAACGGGAAAATGGATTCTCTCCTAGAGCCTTCAGGAAGCTGGCAGCCTTGTTGACTCCTTGATTTTAGCTCAGTGAAACTTATTCCAGACCCCTGACCTCCATAACTATGAGGTAATAAATTTGTGTTGTTTAAGCCAGTAAATTTGTGGTAATGCAGAAATGAAAACAACCATTAGAAACGATTACAAACACCTCTATGCACACAATCTAGAAAACCTAGAAGAGATGCATAAATTTCTGGACACATACACCCTCCCAGGTCTGAGTCGGGAAGAAACTGATTCTCTAAACAGACCAATAACAAGCTCCGAAATTGAATCAGTGGTAAATAGCCTACCAATAAAAAAAGGCCCAGGACCTGATGAATTCGCAGTTGAATCATACCAGATGTACAAAGAAAAGCTGTTACCATTCACTTCTTCTGAAACTATTCCAAAAAATCGAGGAGGAGGGACTCTTTCCTAACTCACTCTATGAGGCCAGCATCATCTTGATACAAAAACCTGGCAGAGACACAACAAAAAAAGAAAGCTTTAGGCCAATATCCTTGATGAACATTGGTGAAAAATCCTCAACAAAATACTCGCAAACAAATTCAGCCAAAAAGCTTATCCACCATGATTCAGTAGGCTTCATCCCAGGGATGCAAGTTTGTTTCAACATACACAAATCAATAAATGTGATTCATCACATAAACAGAACCAAAACAAAAACCACATGATTATGTCAATAGATGCAGACAAAGCTTTTGATGTAATTCAACACCATTCATGTTAAAAACTCTCAATAAACTAAGTATTGAAGGAACATACCTCAAAATAATAAGAGCCATCTATGGCAAACCCACAGCCAACATTATACTGAATGGGCAAACACGGGAAGCATTCCCCTTGAAAACCAGCACAAGACAAGGATGTCCTCTCTCACCACTTCTATTCAACGTAGTATTGGAAGACCTAGCCAGAGAAATCAGAAAAGTGAAAGAAATAAAGGGCATCCAAATAGGAAGACAGGAAGTAAAAACTATCCCTGTTTGCAGATGACATGATTCTCTATCTAGATAACCCCATAGTCTCAGCCCAAAAGCTCCTCCAGCTAATAAACAACTTCAGCAAAGTTGCAGGATACAAAATAAATGTACAAAAATTATTAGCATTCCTATACACCGAAACAGCCAAACTGAGAGCCAAATCAGAAAGGCAATCTCATTTACAATTGACACACACACACACACACAGACACACACACACACAAACATACTACCTAGGAATACAGCTAACCAGGGAGGTGAAAGATCTCTATAATGAGAATTACAAAACACTACTCAAAGAACTCAAAGAAGACAAACAAATGGAAAAACATTTCATGTTCATGGATAGGAAGAATCAATATCATTAAAGTCGCTATACTGCCCAAAGCAATGTACAGATTCAATGCTATTCCTGTCAAACTACCAACAAGATTCTTCACAGAACTAGAAAAAACTATTTTAAAATGTATATGGTCCAGGCATGGTGCCTCATGCCTGTAATCCCAGTACTCTGGGAGGCTGAGGCGGGCGGATCACCTAAGGTCAGCCTGGCCAACATGTTGAAACCCCATCTGTACTAAAAATACAAAAATTAGCCAGGTGTAGTGGTCGCACCTGTAGTCCCAGCTACTGGAGAGGCCAAGTCATGAGAATCGCTTGAAACCAGGAGGCAAGGGTCGCAGTGAGCCAAGATTAGGTCACTGCACTCCAGCCTGGGCAACAAAGCAAGACTGTCTCAAATATATATGTACGTGTGTGTGTATATATATATACACACATATATATATGTATATGTGTGTGTGTGTGTGTGTACACATGTGTGTGTGTGTATATATATATAACCCAAAAAAAGCCCAAATAGCTAAGGCAGTAGTAAGCAAAAAGAACAAAACTGGAGGCATCACATGACCTGACTTCAAAATATACTACAAGGCTACAGTAACCAAAACAGCATGGTATTGGTACAAAAACAGTCAAGTAGATAAATGGAACAGAATAGAGAGCCCAGAAATAAGCCTGCACATCATTTTCACCTTTAAATTTGGGAAATGTACGGGAGGTAGATAGAATATTTATATCAAATAGAGAAATCATGTATTCTTTATGCCATTGATTATATTGTCAATAATCTTTTGTAGGATGATTTGACACTATACATGAAAAACTTATGGTTTTGTGTATCTTTTGAATTATGACTTTCCATTTCATGATTGTACCTTAAGAAAACAACACAAACATGAGCAAAAATTTAACTAAAAATATATTCCTTACCATATTGTTTATAAAAACTTAGAAAATGGAAATAAATATGCAACACTAAAAAGTTGGCTGAATAAATTGTACCACATTCATATAATAAAGTGTAATTTAGCCATTTAAATGATTTTGTAGAACATTTAATGTCAGAACAATGCTAAAGATTTTACTGGTCAGAATAAACTAGATAAATAGAGATAGACATAATGTAGTTTGAGAACAATTCCAAAGTTCTCAGTGCCTTACACAATGGCACATATAGAACCAGGTGACTCTTTGGGGCAGCTGTCCACCCTGTATGTGTTGGTTTAGCATTTCCAGATATTTCCCTCTTATGGCAAAATCTCTTTTTTTCCATCTCCGAGTTACAGCAAGAAAAGAGCATATCAGATCATCACTACTAGGGATTAAAATGCTTGTACTTCAAAGTAACTTATGTCACTTCAGCTTATGTTTTATTTGCCAAAGTCAACGGCCACATCAAACCTCAAAGGAGAGGGAAGTAAGTCATTTCATGCCCTTAGAAGTAGAGAAGAACACAATATTGATGAATAGTAGTATTCTTACCATTAACATGTATTGTTAAAAGTTTAATATAATAATACAACTTGTAAAAATTGTGTGTACATGTGTTTGTGTATGTGTCTCTACATGTGTATCTATTTGGATAGAGATATAGATAAGATAGACGTGGACAGACACGTGTGTATATAGAATCAACAGAAACTCTCTGGGTAGCAGGACAATAGATGATTTTTATTTTCTCTTTTTTATTATCTGTATTTTCTAAGTTTTTTGCAATGAGCAAATGTTATTGGAATAAGACGTCAGGTTATAACATTAAAAAATATACCAACAAAGAAACTTGTTGGATATATTTTATTTTCCTTGGTAAATGTACATAATATGTTTATAACCATTTGAAGTTCAAATTTTATGAGTCTTTTAAGAAAGTGAAGTTCTTTAAATTTAAAAAAATGTGGGAATTGATGACAGCAGCAGTAGAAAATGAATACAGATTTTGCTACTTGGAAGTAGCATGCTGCTACAGCAAGTGCCAAACACGGAGACATGCTTTTAGAATTGAGTAATGAGCAAGGGTAGGAGAATTTTGCAGAATGTGGTAAAAAATACTAGATTGCCTTGAGCAGGCTATTAGGGGAAATATGGATGGGGAATATCCTGTTGGCGAGAGGTCAGAAGGAAGTGAGAAGCCTTCTTGTATTGTTTCAGAGAATACCTAAATCATCACCAACAGACTGTAGAACCTTCGTTAAAGTTACTGCCAAGTGAGGACTCAGAAGGAAAGGAGGATTGTGTTATTGGAAAGTGGGGCAAAGGAGAGAATTCCCTTGTTAGGGAATGCAGAAAGCTTCCTGGAATTATGTCCTGCAGTTATGTGGGAAGCAGGAGCTTGTAAGAGATAAACTTGCGTATTTAGCTGAGGGTATGTCCCAGCAACATGCTCAGGAAATGACCTGCTTTCTTCTTCCTGCTTACAGTAAACTGCAAAAGGAGAGAAATAAATCGAGGGAACAACTAGTAAGTGAAATAAAACCAACACTCAGTGATTTGAAAAATTATGTTTATGCAGATTGCAAAAGTTCTAAAATTAGGAGATTTACCATCAGAAAGTGCACTCTGGAGGAGAAACCAAGAGTTTGGCTAGACAACCTTTTGCTAGTGCCTCAGAAGGATGCAAAGATCAGAGCATATAGTCACATCAGGGCTGGTTGAAGAGATTCAAGCATGTGTGACTCATGGGAGCCCTCAGCCATCTCCACAGAACCAAAAATGGAGATGGGGTTATTATTCTATTCCTCATTTGTAGGAGTTTTAATCACAAATTGGAGCCAGAGTTTGTCAAATTCTTTTTCTGCATCTACTGAACTCAGAATCATATGAATTTTCATCTTTATTCTGTTAACATGCTGAATAGCATCTATTTTCAAATGTTATCCTAACATTTCATTCCTGGAATGAACCCCATGATGTATTATTTCTTCTTTTATATTGACTGATTCAATTTGCTAATATTTTGTTAAGGATTTTCACTTGTATGTTCTTGAGTAATATTAACCTATAATTTTCTTTTCTTGCAAGGTTTATTTGTTGTTGTTTGTGTGTTCTTTATATTTTGATATCTGGATGGTACTGGCCTCATTAAATGAGTTGAAAATATTCCTTCTTCCTCTTCTGCTTTCCAAAATAATTTGTGTACAGTTACTATTATTTCTTCTTTAAGTGTTTGATAGAATTCACAGGTGAAATTATATGGACCTGACATTTTCTTTGAGGGAAGGATTTTGATAGCAAATTCAATCTCCTTAATAACATTTTCTGCTTATTTTGTATCAGGTTTGGGAGGTTTTATTTTTCATTTGAGTTTTTAAATTTATTGGCATAAAGTTATTTATATTATTTCTTTATTTTCCTTTCAATCACTGGAGTGATATGCTCTTTCATTCTTCATATTTCTAATTTTTGTTTTCTCTCCTTTCACTTAAAGAGTACTATCTATCAGTTTGGTTAATCTTTTTTTTTTTTTTTTTTTTTTTTTTTTTTTTTTTTTTTTTTTTTTTGAGACAAGTCTCGCTCTGTTGCCCAGCCTGGAGTGCAGTGGCACGATCTCTGCTTACTGCAAGCTCCACCTCCCAGGTTCAAGCCATTCTCCTGCCTCAGCCTCCCGAGTAGCTGGGACTGCAGGCGCCAGCCACCACGCCCGGCTAATTTTTTGTATTTTTAGTAGAGACGGGGTTTCACCGTGTTAGCCAGGATGGTCTCGATCTCCTGACCTCGTGATCCGCCCTCCTCGGCCTCCCAAAGTGTTGGGATTACAGGCGTGAGCCACCGCGCTCGGCCGGAAATCTCTCAATTTTTAGAACCCTATCCACATTTATGGGTGGGAGAGAGACATAGCATCTACCCTGACTTTCTACCTTCTTGGTCATTTGGCCTCTGGGAGATTCTTAAAAGCATTTCTACTCTCTCTCTTATCCTGAAATTTCTAGCCACAGGCCATATTTTGCTAGCATGTTTTGCTTACCTGCATACACATAAAAATGTGTAGCTGTCCAGTGTTTTGAATGGAACTGAGCAAAGCTACATAGCCAGTTTTCCTTTCTTTCTCTCTTTTATATTTTAAGAATTGCTGAGGAGGGCGGTTGTTTTGTTTTGTTTTTGTTTTACTTCCTTGTCAGGTCTGCAAAAAACTCCTTAAAGCCTCAATCCCATTTCCAGAAAATTTAATCACAAAATTAGGCATGTCTGCCCTCTAGTGGCAGGCCTGGTGATTACCATAGAAGCCGAATATTTTGACACCGGTTTTTGATGGAATTACCATCCAATAAGACGGCCACGTCAGATTGTGTTTAACCACCAAGCCATGACCTTTACTTCGTCTCTAATCTTCACTCTACATAAAAAGAACTTTCCTTTTTCTCTGTATCAATGTTTGAATTTATTCGTTTATACTAAATGTATATTACCTTTATGGTAAAAAAAAATATGGAATTAAAAAATATATGTTTATAACAGCCTTGGCCTTTAGGGAGGTAATAGTATGTTTAATGAAACTGTTGTAATAAAGGAGTTTTAATACTGAAAACATAACAGGTCATCACAGAGAGGAAACAATGTGAAACATTAAGTGATTTCTTACACACTTTGAAAATAGGAATAGGGTCCAAGTATTCTCTCTAGACCTGCCACCAACCTGCTTTCTACTAGAGAGCCAAATAAAGATTTTAAATCAGGGAGTAAAAGCCAGGCATAATATCCTTTTTTGGGGGGGAGGGGGATGGAGTCTCGCTCTGTTGCCTGGGCTGGAGTGCAGTGGCGTGATCTTGGCTCACTGCATCCTCCGCCTCCCAGGTTCAAGCAGTTCCCCTGCCTCAACCTTGGGAGTACCTGAGACTACAGGCATGCCACCGTGCCCGGCTAATTTTTGTATTTTTAGTAGAAATGGGGTTTCACTGTGTTGGCAAGGCTGGTCTCGAACGCCTGACCTTGCGTGATCTGCCCATCTCTGGCTCTCAAAGTGCTGGGATTACAGGCAAGAGCCACCACACCCAGCCTATCCTTCATTTTTCAGAGCAGTGTTTCAGATACTTTTGATCCTTGGCTCATTTTGATAAACTTGAAAATCTCAACATCTTCCTTCCCTCCTAGAGAGTCACAGCCACCATCTGGGAAGAGTTTCCTCAAAGCTTTAACTTCTGTAGTCCGTAGGACAAAATAATAATTTCTGTATTAGTTCATTCTCTCACTGCTATGGAGAAATACCTGAGACTGGGTAATTTTTAAAGAGAAGAGGCTCACCCTTTCACAGGCTGTATAGGAAGCATGGCAGCATCTGCTCGGCTTCTGGGGAAGTCTCAGGAAACTTACAATCATGGTGGAAGTCGAAGGGGAAACACTGCTTCGCATGGCTGGAGCAAGAGAGCGGGGTGAGGTGCTGCGCACTTTTAAACAACCAGATCTCAAGAGGACTCACTATCACCATGACAGCACTAAGGGGGATGGTGTTAAAGCATAAGAAACCGACTCCATGATCCAATCACCTCTCACCAGGTCCCACCTCCAACACTGGGAATTACAATTGAACATGAGATTTGGGTGGGGACACAGATCCAAACTATTTCCTTCATTTCTAAAATTAAAAAATATATTGGTAATTGCTTTGCCTACCTCTGACCTGCCGCCACCCTCCACACAACCCAAGTATACTGTTCAGTGAGGATCACTGTTTTAAAATTCTAGTTTCATTAGCAAAAGATAACTTCCCTCTTGCTGATCTCAGAAGGTTTTACCCATCATTGATTCTAAGCAAAATACATGTTCATTCTCAGTTATCATGAAGGATCTGCATCTCAAAAATCTCTGACGTCTCTCTCAACATAACATGGTTCATTCTACATTTATTTTTATTTAATATATTGATCAGTGGGCATGATGGGCACATGACTACAGACTATTATAATTTGTCTGCCTGATGGTGCCTGAGCCCATGCTGTTTCCATCACCACTCTGGGTTTGTGTTACTGATGGAGTAAGTTTCAGGAGGGAGAAGGATCGAGGGCTGGCTGATATGCACAGTAGTTGGTAAATGTTTAAAGGGTTGAAATTTTAAATTTTATTTAGTATATGGCTACTCATACTGAAATTTCATATAAGTCAGGAAGTCAGTTTTTAAATAGGCAAAAGTTTCAAATGCTTCAAAACTCAACTGGTTAAATATTAAGCTTCCAAAAAAAGACATAATTTGTTGGCTGATGGTAGGGGTAGGGCAGTGGTGCGGGAGGTGTGAATGGAAAAACAAATACTCTGTGTAAAAGAGGTGTTACTTAAGATAACCTCTTACATTTTATTTTGCAAATTGTAATCTGATTACAGCATAAATTTTAGACCACTGAAATTAGAAAGGCTATAGATAGTTGAGGTCATTAATAATTATTAAGGCTGTGAGTTTGTGTGTGGGAGGGGTGAGTAGTGAATGTCAGGTGAGAGGTCTTATAGAAAGGGGACAATTTGGATAACAAATTTGAGATTAAGATAGTGACAAATACATATACTTCCAAAGTGGACTGTGGCTCTTTATGCTCAATGTTACATATCATGGCCACAAGATGGGGACACAACGTAATCTTCCCTTGTATCATGCTGGTGACAAGCAAAAACTCAAACAATGCAGGTCTTAAGTCAAAGTTACTCTATGTTTACATGAGTAAGAATTCTCCTCCCATTTTCATTTGGAATTTAATGCTAAGGTTGGCCCTATATCCAGTACAGACAGTGTGTTTGTCAGAGGGAGCATGTATTTGTGAAAACTACTTATTTTAAAAAATAATTTGGGGCCGGGCGCGGTGGCTCACGCCTGTAATCCCAGCACTTTGGGAGGCCGAGGCGGGTGGATCACGAGGTCAGGAGATTGAGACCATCCCGGCTAAAACGGTGAAACCCCGTCTCTACTAAAAATACAAAAAATTAGCCGGGTGTAGTGGCGGGCGCCTGTAGTCCCAGCTACTTGGGAGGCTGAGGCAGGAGAATGGCGTGAACCCGGGAGGCGGAGCTTGCAGTGAGCCGAGATCCCGCCACTGCACTCCAGCCTGGGTGACAGAGCGAGACTCCGTCTCAAAAAAAAAAAAAAAAAAAAAAAAAAATAATAATAATAATAATAATAATAATTTGGACAGACAGTATGGCAGCCAAAATTTGCTTCCCAGTTTTACCCTAGGTCCAGATTGTAGAATCCTGGAGTCACCATGTTCTGCAGGAGCCCTAGTGTATGGGAGCAGAAGCTTCGGTCCCCAGTCTGCATTCTTCTAATACTATCCAACTGAGTCACTGTGTCAGATGATTTTGCAGTCTTCCTCTATTATTTCCTTCTCCATTTTTGCATGGAATTTTTCATCTTTGATGTTTGTGTGTAAGAGTTTTGCAGAATATTGAATTTAAGCATTTCATACCATGATATAACAATTTTTTTAAACTTCTGTGATCTCCCAGAGTTAACCATTTAGAATACATTCACTTCCATGATAAAATTTTGGAACATCAGTGTGTGCCGTATCTTATATATTTCATATATTTTTATATATGAAATAAAATAACTATCCATTGCTTTATCTACACAGGTATCAGATATTTCTGATTTCATATGTCTGAAATCAATATTTAAACCAGGACTCACTTCTCATATAAAGTTATATCAACTGTTCTTTACTGATAAACTTCTTTTTATATAGGTATATGAGATAAATTACATCTTCACATATAAATATATAGTTACATGTAGCTATGGATGAAGGAGTATATGTGTGTATAATAGATAAGATCTGGTATTTGATAGCACAACAGGTTGACTATAGTCAATAATAATTTATTATATATTGAACAATAACTAAGAGTAGAATTGGAATGTTCCTAAGACAAAGAAAGGATAAATACTTGAAGTGATGGATACCCCAATACCCTGATGTGATTATTACACATTGTATGTGATATGGTTTGGCTCTGTGTCCTCACCCAAATCTCATCTCAAATTGTAATCCTCACATGTCGACGAAGGAAAGTGATTGGATCATGGTGGGGAATCTCCCCCATGCTGTTCTCATGATAGTGAGTGAGTTCTCACGAGATCTGATGGTTTTAAAAGTGTTTGGAAGTGCTTCCTTTGTTCTTTTCTCTCCTGTGGCCTTGTGAAGAAGGTGATTGCTTCCTCTTTTGCCGTGATTGTAAGTTTCCTGAGGCCTCCCCATTCATGCAGAATTGTGACTCAATTAAACCTCTTTCTTTTATAAATTACCCAGTCTCAGGGAAGTTCTTTATAGTAGTGTGAAAACAAACTAATGCAATATGCCTGTATCAAAACATCATATGTACCCCATAAGTATATACACTTATGATGTACCCATAATTTTTAAAGGAAAATTATTTTTTAAAAGATATGTGTGTACATATATGCATATATGTAGCTATTTTATCCACATGTTTATAGATAAACTCCACAGCAAACTTTACATTTCTCTAACTTTCTGCTTGGCATTTCCAACTGGATGTTGCATAGGCATCTCAGTCTCTCAACATGTATTCTCATCCCCAACCTCTTCATGTATTGCCTGTCTTAGTGAGTGGGACTACAAGTCATCCAGTTGTCCGTGGGTCTTGACACCATTTCATCCTTCACCATGACTCTACAGTCAATCACTGTCTTGTGGATTGTCTTCCAAATATCTCTCAAGCCTACTAGTTCTCTTGTCCTTACAGAAACTTTCATAGAGTAGGCCTTCTTCTGGACCCATGGCCTCCTTTGAGTCCATCCCAACATGGCCATCAGCCTCGCCTATCTCAAGTGGGAATCTGACCATGTCTCTACCCTAGTTTAACCTTTCAGTACATCTCTCACCCCATTACCTAGAATTCCAGGCACTTAGCCGGATCTATAAGACTCCAAACTGCTGAGCTGAACAAGTATTTTTATTCCTCTAGCATTTGCTTGAATTGCTTTTTCCAAGAAAACCCTCCATGATGAATTTCACCTTAGAATTGTATTCAACTTCAAGGTTTATATCAAATGTTTTAAAATAAAGGTATTTTATACATGCATATGTGTTCATAATGTATCCATCTATATAAATTTAGATATATAATAACAAAACCTATATTGATATAGCAGTAAAGCCTAACTTTTGCTTGACCCTTGTATTAACTTGGCACTGCCACAAATGCAGGAAGATTTGAGGTCTTTTTACCTGGATGAAATTTCTAGACCCGCCCTGGGCCAGAAGAGAATTCACTGCCCTGATGGTATGGACCCAGTCTCAGTGGAATTCATTTATTGCACAAATATTCACTGAGTTTTAACTATATGATAGGTTCTTGAGATACATTATTAAATAAAACAGAGGGAAATCCTTGCCTTGGCAAAACGTAAGTTCTGGAATATTGAACATTTATTCCTTTTGTTTAACAAATCTACTTGTGAGTCAGATGGCTGAATAGAACCCTCCAGTAATCTCTCTCCTGCAGGAACACCAATTTGAACAACTATCCACATAAGAGAGTACCTTCATGAGAACCAAAATATCAGGTGAGTAATCACAGTACCTTGTTTGAACATAATATAAAGGAAGGAGGCACTGAAGAAGGTAGGACAGACAGTCTTGCATTGGCTATACCACCCGTTCCCCAACCCCAGGCAGCATATGGAGAAAGAATCTGTGAGCTTGGCAGAGAGAGTGAAGTGAGGTGTGACTTTGCATTGAAGCTCAGTCCTGCCTTGTCATGGCAAAACACAACACAGAGCATAATTCTGCTGGTGCCCACCGAGGCAGCATTTAGACCAGCCTGGGCCAGAGGAGATTTCCTCATTCCAGCAGGAGGAACGTGAGTTCTAGCCAGCTTCACCACTGGCTGGAACCCAGAATAAATTTGAGTGGCAGTCAGGCCACAAAGGACTGCAGCCCCTGGGCAAGCCCTGGTGCTGCACTAATTTCAGAGGCAGTGGACTTATGGTACAATCCAAAGGAGCTGTGGTGGCCAAGGGAGTGCCTGCATCACTCCTCCCCCAATTCAGGAAGTACAGCCCTGGGAGAGACTCCTCTGCTTGGGGGAAGGAGCAAGAAGATTTGAGGTCTTTTTTCCTGGATGGAATTTCTAGACCCACCCTGGGCCAGAAGAGAATTCACTGCCCTGATGGTATGGATCCAGTCTCAGCAGAATTCACTACCTGCTGATGATAGTGGTCTTGGGCCTTGAACAAACACGAGAAGCAACCAGTAAGTAGTCGCTGCAGGCCTTGGGTGAGCCCCAGTACTATGCTAGTCTGCAAGACTTCAAGTGTGTCCTTGTGCAATGCCAGTTATGGTGGCCCCAGGAGTGCTTGTGTCACCCTTTCTCTAACTCCAGGCAGCTCAGAGCAAAGAGAGGCTCTATCTGATTGAGGAAAAGAGAGGAAAGAGAGTAAGAGACTTTGCCTGGTAACCAGGAAATTCTCTCTTATCTTTCCCAAGTCCACCAAGGCTGTGTATCTAGGAGTCTGAAAGAGTTGCAGGATTCCTGTGCAACTCTTAGGACAACAACCCTTAGGACAGTAGTCACTGTCTTAAGCCAGTGACCACAGGCTTAGAACACAACACTCAATCCCCTTTGGATTCATAGAAAGCCCTATCAAGATGGATGAGTATAAATAAGCCCAGACTGTGAAGATTGAAACAAATACCTAACTCATCAATGCCAAGACACTAACAAATGTCCCCAAGCATCAAGAACATCCAGGAAAACATGAGCTCAACAAAAGGACTAAATAAGGCGCCACTGACCAATCCTGGAGTAATGGAAACATGACCTTTCAGATAGGGAATTCAAAATAGCTATCTTGAGGAAGCTCAGTAAACTTCAAGATAACACAGAAGGAATTCAGAATTCCATCAGAGAAATTTAACAAAGAAATAGAAATTAAAACAAAAGATCAAGCGGAAATTCTGGAGCTAAAAAATTCAATTGACAAATTGAAAATTTTATCAGTTTCTCAACATCAGAATTGATCAAGCAGAAGACAAAAAGTAATGAGCTTGAAGATAGGCTGTATAAAAATACACAGTCAGAAGAGAAAAAAAAATTTAATGAAGCCCACTGACAAATTCTCAAAATGCCAAATCTAAGAGTTACTGGCCCTAAAGAGGATAGAGAGAGAAAGATCAGAGTAGAACAAGAAGGTTAAAGAACACCAAAATGATTCAACCCAAATAAGACTACCTCAAGGCATATAATCAAACTCTCAAAGGTCAAAGATATGGAAAAGATCCTAAAAACAGCAAGAGGAAAGAAGCAAATAGCATATAAAGGAACTTTGATATGTATAGCAACAGATTTCTCAGCAGAAACCTTAAGGCCAGGATTGAGTGGGATGACATATTCAAAGTGCTGAAGGAAAATAAACACTGGCAACAACCTATAGTATTATATACAGAAAAATCATCTTTCAGATATGAAGAAGAAATGAAAACTTTTGCAGACAAAAGCTGAGGGCTTTTGTAAGTCAGTAGAACTGACTTACAAGAAATGTTAAAAAGAATTCTTCAACTTGAAAGAAAAGGACGTTAATGACGCCTGGTGTAGTGGCTCATGCCTGTAATCCTAGCACTTTAGGAAGCCAAAGTGGGCAGATCACTTGAGCTCAGGAGTTTGTGACCAAACTGGGCAACATGGCAAAAACCCTTCTCTACAAAAAAAATATAAAAATTAGCCAAGTGTGGTAGTGTGTGGTGTAAACCCAGCTTCTGGGGAGGCTGAGGTGAGAGGATTGCTTGAGCCCAGGAGGTGGAGGTTGCAGTGAGCCGAGATCATGCCACTGCACCTGGCATCAGGCCACTTCTCCAGCCTGGGAAACAGAGCAACACGCTGTCTAAAAGAAAAGAAAAGAAAAGGAAAGAAAAAAGAAAAGGGGAGGGGAGGGGAGGGGAGGGGAAGGGGAATGGGAAGGGGAAGGGAACATTAACGAGCAACAAGAAATCATCTGAAGGTATAAAAGGATAATAGTAAATATGCAGACAAATACAGAATACTCTAACACTATAATTGCAGCATGTAAACCGTTCATATATTTAGTGGGATGACAAACCTATCAAAAATAATAATTACAAAAACTTTTTAAAAGATAGACAATATAAAAATATATAAATGGAAACAATAAAAAGTTAAAAAGTTGGCCAGGCGCAGTGGCTCATGCCTGTAATCCCAGCACCTTGGGAGGTGGAGGTGGGTAGATCACCTGAGGTCAGGAGTTTGAGACCAGCCTGGCCAACAGGGTGAAACCCAGTCTCTACTAAAAACACAAAAATTAGCCAGGCATGGTGGCGAGCACCTGTAATCCCAGCTACTCAGGAGGCCGAGGCAGGAGAATCGCTTGAACCCAGGAGGCAGAGTTTGCAGTGAGCCAAGATTGCACCACTGCACTCCAGCCTGGGTGACAGAGTGAGACTCTGTCTCAAAAAAAAAAAAAGCCAAAAAGTTAGAAGGGAGATGTAGTTGAAGTGCAGAGATTTTTAGTTTTATCTTTGCTCTTTTTTCCTTTTCTTCATAATCAGTGTTAAGCTGACATCAGTTCAAAATAATTGCTTATGTTATTTGCAAGCCTCATGGTAACTACAAAACAAAAACCTATAAAATATACAAAAGAAGAGTAAGAAATTAAAACATTTGACCAGAGAAAATTACTTTACATAAAGAAAGCTAGTAAGTAAGGAAGAAAAAAAGAAGACCAACAAAACAACCAGAAAACAAATAACAAAACAGTAGTGGTAATCTTTACCTGTCAATAGTAACATTTAATGTAAATGGACTAAATTATCCAATTAAAAGATATGGAGATAATGAATGAATAGAAATCAAGACCCAACCATATGCTGCCTACAAGAAACTCACTCTACCTATAAAGACACACATAGACTAAAAATAAAGGGATGGAAAAAGATATTCCATGCAAGTGGAAACCAAAAAAGAGCAGAAGTTGCTATATTTATATCAGATAGAATATATTTCAAGACAAAAACTGTAAAAAGAGAAAAAGAAAGTCATTATATAATGATAAAGAAGTCAGTTTAGCAAGTAAATATTTATGTACCCAATACTGAAGCATCAAGATATATAAATCAAGTATTATGAGAGCTAAAGAGAGACATACTCCCCAAGTCTCCAGAGGAGAGCCCTTCAGCAGATAAAAGGGCAACTCTTCCGCACGGGAGCAGAAAGATTCTTTTTTTTTTTTTTTTTTTTTTTTTTTTTTGAGATGGAGTCTCGCTCTGTCGCCCAGGCTGGAGTGCAGTGGCACGGTCTTGGCTCACTGCAAGCTCCGCCTCCTGGGTTCACACCATTCTCCTGCCTGCCTCAGCCTCCAGAGTAGCTGGGACTACAGGCGCCTGCCACCACCATGCCAGGCTAATTTTTTTGTGTTTTTAGTAGACACAGGATTTCACCATGTTAGCCAGGATGGTCTGGATCTCCTGACTTAGTGATCCGCCTGCCTTGGCCTCCCAAAGTGCTGGGATTACAGGTGTGAGCCACTGAGCCCAGTGGGAGCCGAAAGATTCTAAGAGGGCTGTTCCACAATGAAAAGAAACAGCATTTGGCCACAGGAGTTTTCCTGTTCCTGTGGAGAGTTTAAATAAAAATATTAATACAGAACAGACATAGTCAATTTAGCAAGCAAAAGATAAAAGAGGATAACATAAAACAGGCCAGTTGTGATGGCTTATACCTATAATCCCAGCACTTTGGGGGACTGAGACCAGTGGATCGGTTGAGTCCAGGAGTTCAAGACCATCCTGGGCAACACAGCAAAACCTCATCTCTACAAAAAATACAAAAATTAGTCAGGCATTTGGCGCATGCCTGTGGTCCCAGCTACTTGGGAGGCTGAGGTGGGTGGACTGCTTGAGCCTGGGAGATTGAGGCTGCAGTGAGCTGTGATTATGCCACTGTACTCCAGCCTGAGCAATAGAGTGAGACCTTCTCTCAAAAAACAAACAAAGAAACCAAAAAAACAAAAACAAAACCACAAACCATTTATTAATTAGATAAAAACAAGACATGAGACAAAAAAATACACAATATTGTTCACTTGTAATATTTATGTCATAATAATAGAAACTATGAATATTGACTGAATGAATAATTATATTAGTGTTTTGAGAAAATGGGGGGAGATAGATGGTAGAAAATTAAATCTCATCTACCAATATATATACCTACTATGTACCCACAAAAATTAATTTTTTTGAAAAAAGTTAAAAAAAAAGAAAACCTCATCTATTATAATACAAATCTATAGATATCTAAAATTTAAAAATGAAGAAATAACATTATGAGACTATTATTTTAAAACATAAGGTAAATTCCCAAAAAAAGCAGAAAGATTTTTAAGTGAGGGTTAAAAATGGACAGGACAAAGAATCTTTGTTTTTCCTTATAAATCTAACAGGAAATTTTGACTTTAAAGAGCATGAACATGTTTTACTTTGATACAAAATAGTAAAAATATTTATCCATAAATAATGGAAGAAAGTATTAAAACAGATCTTTTTAGTTGTAATACAGGAAATCTAAAAGCAAAAATGACTGTTTAATGAAACTTTGTTTCCATGATCTGGTTTTCTGTTTGTTTCCATGGTATTTTAGCAAATATTTTCATACAGTCTGAAATGGGCCTACTAAAACCCACTACAAAAACTAGATTCTTTGAAACATTAGAAAGGTTTCTGAAAAGAGAATTTAAGCATCTTAAGAAAAAAATGTACTGGAAAAAAATCTTAAAAATTAGCAATCTCTATGGTAAGGTTTCAGTCACCTCAAGAAATTTCCCTCTTTAAAAAATAAAATTATAACCTCTCAAAGAAAAAAATACTTTAAATTAAGTGATAATCTTTATTATTTTATAGTTTGTTAATAATTTGATAATAATTTTATGACTTCCATGAGCCCTCTATGACATATCATTTTTCTGGGGAAGCTATGTATGAGAATTTAGGTATATTTTTGGAATATAATGATAATTTGTAGTATTTACAATATAATATTGAAATTATGACTTTATGATTCATCTTATGTTCATATTCAAAAATAAAGTTGTGTTTTCAAAAAAGGGATTGAATCTATGTGTGTGTGATGAAGATTTATGTAAATAAGTAAAATAATTTCTAAAGTTGGTCTTTCTAACTTTTTTTTTTTATTATACTTTAAGTTCTGGGGTACATGTGCAGAACGTGAAGGTTTGTTACATAGGTATACACGTGCCATGGTGGTTTGCTGCACCCATCAGCCTGTCATCTGCATTAGGTATTTCTCCTAATGCTGTCCCTCCCCTAGGCGCACACCCTCCAACAGGCCCAGGTGAGTGATGTTCATCTCCCTGTGTCTACATGTTCTCATTGTTCAACTCCCGCTTATGAGTGAGAACATGCAGTGTTTGGTTTTCTGTCCTTGTGTTAGTTTGCTGAGAATGATGGTAGAAGAACCCTTAATAAGCTTACCAGGAGCGTGGTATCATGCAAGTAAGGACTATGCTTATAAAAAGATTTGGCTTTGAATCCATTTATGTATGCTCCCTCCTGTCTTCCTTCCCACCTCTTTTCTTCCTTCCTTCTTTTTATTCTCATGCAAAATCAAATGGTAACTCGCCAGAGAGGGTATGTTCAATAATAGGTTCGTGTAAACAGCAACTATATTGATTATCTTAGTGAATCACCTTAATAATGACTGGGTTGATAATCCTGGTTATATCTCTCTTGGAAAAAGCAACTATTAATACTTGTTTAAGAAAATGCTTATAAGGATATATAGTAATAAGCCAATTTTCCCCTAAACATGGTCCTACTTAAAACCTTTGTGTCTTTGCAAGAGTTGTTCCCTCTTCTGGAAGAGTTATCTTTCTAGTCTACCTAGAAAATCTTAACCATCTTTTAAATTTGGTTTCTCATCAACTCTTCTGATATTATTATACATGGTTTCTCTTAACAATATTCACTCCTAAACTCTCTTCATTAGCCAGCCATCTCTCTTGCTCTGTAAAATGCCCACAAAATGCCCAATACAGGCTTCTACTAGGATGTTCTGCAGTGCCACAACTGGCTTTCCCATTAAATAAATGTTGGCTAATTAAAAGTCACTTCAAACCACTTATACCAGTGGTTTCTGTTGTTGTAATCTTACAATTTAACTAATGCTTATCCAAGCCAAGAAAATGTGCATAGGCAAAAGATATATTTAATATCTTTCTGAAAGCTAATTTGAATGTTCTTTTGCGAAGACTCCATGAAGACTAAGTTCAAAAACACACACAAAGAAGTTCAAAAACTAAATAGGAAAAATAGGTTTGAAAATTTCCAAAACAATAAAAATCTAGAGGGATAGGAAACTCTGATGTTTCACAAGAGTATATATTTTTTTGTAATTGAAAAAATAATTGTACATATTTATGGGGTACAATGTAATATTTCAATACATGTGTACAATGTATAGTGATCAAATCAGGGTAATTAGCAAATCTGTCACCTCAAACATTTATTATTTCTTTGTGTTGGGAACATTCACAATCTTAGTTCTAGTTCAATAGCACTGCACAGTGACTATAGTTAACAAAAATTTATGAGTCTTTTTCTGTTCCCTGCTCTATAAATACATTGAAACTGAAAATCATGGAAGATACATTATAAATGTAGTTTACACAAGAAAGAGGCCTGTTTTCCAATTTGTAGGGTTGGACACACAAAAAAGATTCTTTGGTTCTTTTTCCAAAGATTAATGGAAAATGAAAAAAAATTAAAATTTGATGTTTTTATTTTTTTTTAAATGCTTAAGGCTTGTATGTCTTCTTTGGCTACCCATTTCAACTAAACTTTTGGATTAACCAATTAGCCATGATAACGTAAGTTGTTTTTTGTTTTGTTTTGTTTTGTTTTTTTGAGATGGAGTCTCGCTTTGTTGCCAGGCTGGAGTGCAGTGGCACAATCTCAGTTCATTGCAACCTCCACCTCCCGGGTTCAAGCGATTCTCCTGCATCAGCCTCCTGAGTAGCTGGGACTACAGGCACGTGCCACCACGTCCAGCTAATTTTTGTATTTTTAGTAGAGACGGGGTTTCACCATGTTCGCCAGGATGGTCTCAATCTCTTGACCTCGTGATCTGCCCACCTTGGCCTCTCAAAGTGCTGGGATTACAGGCGTGAGCCACTGCTCCCAGCTGATAACATAAGATTTAAAAATGGCTTCTATCATAATCACTTTCTCTTCGGCAGTACTGTTGCTCATTAACAAATACTACGAATGTTTATGTCACCCCAAAATTCATACATTGAAACCCACTCCCCAAAATGGTAATGTTAAGAAGTGAGGACTTCCGGGGATTATTAGTGAAGCGGCCACGTTGTCTGGGGTATATACTCTGGGGTACGTTGTCATGCACCAGGAAAATTTAGGACACGGACACACATGAGGAGTTTAGGAGCGGAGGTTTAATAGGTAGAAGGGAAGAGAAAGAGAACCAGTTTCCTCTATAGAGGAAGGGGTCTCCGAGTGGAAAGGACAGGCTGGCAGTGAAAGTGCCAAGTTTTATAGTCCAGTTTGAGGAGGTGGTGTCTGGTTTACATAGGGCTCACAGACTGGTTCAATCAGCTATGACGTTTACATAGTGCACAGGGAAGGCTGGTCACCCCACCCTAATCTTCTTACGTAAATGGGCTTTCCAGTTGATGGGTACCATCCTGTCTGCTCCTTACAGCACATATGGATGGCAGAGAAGGGAAGATGGAGCTGCCATCTTGAAAATGTCTAGTCCTTAGTTCCTGCAGGCATTCATCCATGGAAGCTCCCAGCTTGCAGGCTGCTCTTTGTTAGAAAATGATTTGGGGCTGCTTTTCATTAAAAAGAAAAACCTTTCCAAGGACCCCCATACCGTTGCTATTTGCCTAAGTGATTTCCTCTTAAGCCCTATATCATTAGGTCATGAGGAATCTGCCATCATGTGCAGGATTAGTGCCCTCATAAAAGAGGCTTAAGCGAGCCTGTTCACCCTTTTCACCATTTGAGGACTCAGCAAGTAGACACCATCTTCAAAGCAGAAAGTGAGCCCCCAGCAGATACTGAATCTGATGGAAAATTGATCTTGGATTTCCCCATCTCTAGAACTGTAAGAAATAAATTTCTGTCTTTATAAGCCATCCAGTATCTTGTATTTTATTACAGCAGCCCAAACAGACTAAGACAACAAGTTAAATACTTTTTCACTATATTCAATGCTTTAGGCACTAGGCTAAGTTCTGAGATAGAGCTATGAGAAAGGAAAATGTGGTCCTGCCTTCATGGGGCTTAAAATTGTTTAAGTTATATTATTTTTTAACATCTCATTGAATTATAAATATGTTTACATATCTGTTTTCCATGCTCTTTGACAACTGCCTAAAAGGTAGGAAATATAATTTCCATTTTTTACAGTTTCCATGCCTTACAAAGTATCTGGTACTTAGCAAAGACTAACTAAAAGTTGGTTGAACTGATTTACTAGATAAAGGCAAAAACTTCATTTTCTCTAAAAGTCCTAATACCTATGAGCTTATCTAGATCAATATTTTGCCTTATACTTTGTATATTTGTCTGCTGTAAACCAATGGCTGGAATTGAAGTTTAAGTGCATCAGTAACTTTTTAATGAAAAAATGACTACATGATTGCACAATTACGTATTAATTGGGACATCATTTATCAAGGAAAGTATTTACACAGCAAGCACCTACTTTCGGAAATTTTCACCATAGTCTGTCCTCAGCATGTCTCCAGTACAAAAGTTCAGCAAGGAAATAACCTCACAGTCATGCAAGTGCTTGAAAGTTAATGAATTTCATCTGCACAAAAGATGAGTCAGAATAACAATTCATTTCTAGTGAGGGAGGGCCCTTGAGCTGAGATTCTTCAAATGTTGTGTTCCTCCCCACACTTAACACTTTAATCCTGTAATAACAGCCTGGAATATACATAAGAATTCCTCAGAACAGCTTGTACTTTTAACAAGTTTTATTCAGCTAAAAATTCTTTTTATTCCTACCCAGAAGAAAAATCAATGAATAATCATATGAAACCTTAATCAATATCATTGATAATTTAACCTCAAAGATCTACATTATCCTCTCTGACTCTACAACGAAATCTGGTTTTGTTTCCAGGATCCCTTGCTTAATAAAATAATCTAAATGTTGTCAAGTATATTTGCTCTGTCATGTGGTCTTAACATTAGTTTTTGATGTTTCTTTGCTACCCATGGATGTCAAGATTTCTTTAACAGATGGTGGAGTTTCACACTTCTAGTTTCTCAATATAACTGGAGCAGATATCTGGGTAACATGCAGCCATAATTTACTAAAAGTACAGTCACCTTATTGTGTTGTTTTTCTTGAGAAATTTAAAAATATAGACAAGTACAAATAACATAGCAAATATCCAGGAACCTACCACCCATCATTGAAAGCTGTTAACATTTTGACACATTTGATTTAAATCTTTTTTTAGAAAGAAAATACAATAAGCGTTATGGACAAAATCAAAGTCCCTTTTGCTCTCTATTCCCAGTTCGAATTCTACCCTTCCTTCCCCAAAGGTAGCCTTTATCATGAATTTAATATATATTTTTTAGTCTCTTAAAAATACATATATGTTTGTTTTCAGGAACATAAAAGAATATTTATTTGTATGAATTTTTATTAATGTAAATGATATATATTCTGTATATTTTATATATTTTGGGATCTTTCCATCTATAAATATATATGTTTCCTTTTAGTGACTAAATGGTATTCTATCAAATCAGTATTCCACAATTCTATTACTAATTCACTTAATGGACTATTAGATTGTTCTAATTTTTAACCATTGTAACATGATTTAACCATTTATGTTTCTTTGTCCACAAGGTCAAGTTTCTCTAGACTGATGCTACTTAAAGGGTAGTCCACAAACTGGCTGTTCATCTACAACTTATTACAGTCTATGGAGAGATAAGGATTCTGTAATCAAATAGCATCAACTGTGTCCCAAAACACACTTTTTAGTTCACCTCACATCTCATAGCAAGTCTTTCTCAGGGGAGGAAGTTACCCTGGTTTACATTCTGATACAAGCTCTTTATCTAATCACGCATGGGGTAGGACTGCTTTAGATCACACACGTGGAAGTGGCATTTCTCAGTCATAGGGTGTGTGATATTTGATTTCACTCTGTAATACTAAACTGCCTTCCACAGCGATTGTCTCTATTTACTCATCCACAGTCTCTGAATCTTTCAATATTTTCCGCATTCTTACCCACTCTTTTTCTGGCATTTGTTTATTATAACTTTATTAATTTATAATTTGCATACCATATAATTCACCTAAAGTATACACGCCAATGGTTTTTGGTATGTTCATACAGTGGTGCGACAATTAATTTAGAACATTTTTTGTTTGTTTTGAGATGGACTCTCGTCCTCTTGCCCAGGCTGGAGTGCAGTGGTGCCATCTTGGCTCACTGCAACCTCTGCCTCCCAGGCTCAAGCAATTCTCCTGCCTCAGCCTCCTGAGTAGCTGGGATTACAGGTATGTGCCACCACATCCAGCTTATTTTTGTATTTTTAGTAGAGACAGTGTTTTGCCATGTTGGCCAGGCTGGTCTCGAACTCCTGACCTCAAGTGATCTGCCTACCTCGGCCTCCCAAAGTGCTGGGATTACAGGCATGAGCCACTGCACCCAGCGCAATTTAGAACATTTTAACAACCACTCCAAAAACTCCCAACATTCAACCTTCCCATCCCTTCAGCCCTAGACAACCACTTATCTACTTTCTGTCTCTATTGATTTGTCTATTCAGGACATTTCATATACATGGAGTCATATAATATGTAGTCTTTTGTGACTGACATCTTTCGCTTAGCATAATGTTTTCAAGATTCATCCATGTTGTAGCATGTGTCAGCACTTTAGTGCTTTTTATGGTCAAACAATATTTCATTGTATGTGTATACCACATTTTGTTTATCTGTTCATTAGTTCAGGGACATTTGGGTCATTTCTGCCTTCTTGGCTATTATGAATAATGCTGTTATGAATATTGATGTGCAAGATTTTGTGTGAATATATGTTTTCATTTCTCTTTGGTATATATCTAGAAATAGAATTGCTGGGTCAAATGATAACTTTGTGTTTAACGTTTTGGAGAAGTGTCAGACTATTTTCCAAAGTGTTTACACCATTTTACAGTTCCACAAGGAGTGTGTAAAGGTGGTAACTTCTTCCCATCCTCATCAATGCTTACTACTACCTGACATTTTGATCATATCCATTCTAGTGGATGTGAAGTAATTTCTCGCTGTGGTTTTGATTTATATTTCCCCAATGACTAATCATGTTGAGCATCTTTTCATGTGCTTATTAGCCATTTGTATATCTACTTTGGAAAAATAGCTATTCAGATCCTCTATTCCTTCTTTAATTAGGTTGTTTGTCTTTTTAATATTGAGTTACATAAGTTCTTTATATATTCTTTATACAAATCCTTTATCAGATGCAGAATTTGTAAGTATTTTTCCAATTAATTTTGTCCTATTCATGTTTTTATAATTGTAAAAAGGGTATAATATGTATATGAGACTGATATGAATCTTAAGTGTACAGTTCAATTAATATATAAAAAATTAACATAAACGTTGGTGTATGCATGTATATGTGTATGCATGTAAATATATTTATCTCTGTGCATGTATATATACAGATAAGTATATGTGTACATATATATATAATATGTGTCTATATCTTGCTAATATATTGCTGAGTTTGATTTTTCTAATACTTGGTTAAGGATTTTGTATCTATATTATGAAGAATATTGGTCTGCAGTTTCCTTTCATTATAAGGTTTTTGTTTTTTGTGCAAGTATGCTGGCCTCATAAAGTGAGTCTATTTGCTGAAGAATTTGTGAAGGATTGTTTGATTTCTTTTTTAAATGATGAGTAGAATTCAACAGTGAAGTCATCTGGGTCTGATACTTTCCTATGGGAAGGATTTTCATTACAAAGTATTTCTGTATTGGATGCCAGACATAGTGGATTTTGTCTCGTTGAATTCCAAGTTTTGTTACCTTCCTGTAAAGCATATTGAACTTTGCTTAAGAAGGTACTTATGTTACTTGTGGACCACTTGATTATTGTCAGGCTTATTTTTAAGTTTTGTTCAGTGGGCTTAAAATAACCTATACTCTAGGACTAGCTCAGTCCCACCACCAAAGCCAGACCCCTCTGCTGTCTTTATTGAATGTCCTGGGTGTGCAGTGCCCTGGCTGGATGGAACTTGAAGTTCTCTAGTTCTCTGTGAGCTCTGAGACTTGCTCAGCTTAAAGCTCCTTGGTAATTGGTCAATTCATAGAGTCTCCTACACTTAACAAAACTTAATATTCAGCCTAAAAGGGAACCCTACTCATAATTCTGGAGCCATGTAGCACTTCCTCTCTGTTACGCTACCCGACAAATTTCAGAGGTTTCCTTTTTCCCACATTCTCATCTCTGTTGCCTCATCTCACAGAGAGCACCACACTTTTCTCTGGGAACCCCTCCTTGCACCGTTCTCTAGTAAGTCTCTCTAAGAAAAGAGCTGCGTCCCTCCTCATTCCTTCTCCTCATCTCAGAGATCACAGACCTGTGCTTCCTGCTGTCCAGCATCTGAACATAACTACCTCGACCTTTAGTCTGGCTTTTGATTTGTTTATGATGAGAAGGTAAGTTCACATCCAGTTACCTATCATGCCAGAAGCAGAAATCTGCACATAAAATCCAAATTACTATGAATACCAGTCTTCATCCAACTAGCCAAGAGAAACCCGTTCTTTATTTTCTTGCATCCCCTTTCTGTCATCGTTTGGGGCTCTTACTCAGGCCAGGAGACCAGTACTGATTTCTGTCCCCCGAGATGAGAAGAAGAGACATGCCCTATGCCTGGAAGACTCTGGCTCTACCCAGGGTTGTCTGCTATCCTGGGGATTGCCCTATCATGTCCCCATCATAACAGGAGTTGGCCGGGCGCTATGGCTCACACCTGTAATCCCAGCACTTTGGGAAGCTGAGGTGGGCAGATCACCTGAGGTCAGGAGTTCGAGACCAGCCTGGTCAATATGGTGAAACCCCATCTCTACTAAAAAAAATACAAAAAATTAGCTCGGCGTGGTGGTGCATGCTTGTAATCCCAGCTACTTGGGAGGTTGAGGCAGGAGAATCGCTTGGACCTGAAAGGCAGAGGTTACAGTGAGCCGAGATCGCACCACTGCACTCCAGCCTGGGTAACAGAGTGAGACTCTGTCTCAAAAAAAAACAAAAACAAAAACAAACAACAACAAAAACAACAACAACAACAAAAAAACAGGAGTCAGCATCAGGGGCTTATCTCACACCTGGTGTGGAGTTCTTCACTGTTTTACCACCCCCGTCTCTGTACCACAAAATTATCGTTAGTAATAATCATGAAGTAAAATGAATATATTTCACATTTGAACTAAAACATTCATTTACCAAATAAAAATATAACCCCTTTCAGTGAGCTCTTTGTTTCACAGGTTTTAAAAAATTTATATAGATTTAGGGGGAACAAGTGCAGTTTTGTTACATGGATATATTGCATAACAGTGAATTCTGTGCTTTCAGTGTAATCATCACCCAAAGAGCACACATTGTATGCATTAGGTAATTTCTCATACCTCATCTGCCCCTACTCTTCCACCTTTCTGAATCTCCAAAGTCTATTATTCTACTCTCTATGTCCATGTGTACACATTATTTAGCTCCCACCTATAAGTGAGAACATGCCATATTTGACCTTCTGTTTCTGACTTATTTCACTTAAGATAATGGCCTCCAGTTTCATCCAAGTTGCTGCAAAAGATATGATTTCATTCTTTTCTAGCGATGAGTAGTATTCAGTATTCCATGTTGTGTGTGTATGTATATATGTGTGTGTGTGTGTGTGTATATATATGTATATATCTCATATCATATTTTCTTTATCCAATTATTCATTGATGGGAACTTAGGTTGATTCCGATCTTTGTTATTGTGAATACTGCATTAATAAACATGTGAGTACAAGTATCTTTTTGTTATAGTAATTTCTCTTCCTTTGGGTAGATACCCAGGAGTAGGATTGCTGAATTGAATAGCAGTTCTAATTTTAGTTCTTTGATAAATCTCCATACTGTTTTCCATAGAGGTTGTACTAATTTACATTCCCACCAGGAGTACATAACATTCCCTTTTCTCCCCAATCTCGCCAGCATCTGTTATTTTTTGACTTTTTTATAATATCCATTCTGAGTGGTGTAAGATGGTATCTCATCATGGTTTTGGTTTGCATTTCTGTAATGATTAGTGAAGTTGAGCATTTTTCCATATGCTTTTCATTTGGCCATTTATATATCTTTGCAAAATGTCTGCTCATATCTTTTGTGTACTATTTAATGGGTTTTGTTATTTTTGTTGTTGTTGAGCTGTTTGAGTTTCTTCTTTTTTTTAAATTATACTTTAAGTTCTAGGGTACATGTGCACAACGTGCAGGTTTGTTACATATGTATACATGTGCCATGTTGGTGTGCTGCACCCATTAACTCGTCATTTACATTAGGTATATCTCCTAATGCTATCCGTCCCCCCTCCCCCCACCCCACAACAGTCCCCGGTGTGTGATGTTCCCCTTCCTGTGTCCAAGCGTTCTCATTGTTCAATTCCCACCTATGAGTGAGAACATGCGATGTTTGGTTTTTTGTCCTGGCAATAGTTTGCTGAGAATGATGGTTTCCAGCTTCATCCATGTCCCTACAAAGGACATGAACTCATCATTTTTTATGGCTGCATAGTGTTCCATGGTATATATGTGCCACATTTTCTTAATCCAGTCTATCATTGTTGGACATTTGGGTTGGTTCCAGGTCTTTGCTATCGTGAATAGTGCCGCAATAAACATATGTGTGCATGTGTCTTTATAGCAGCATGATTTATAATCCTTTGGGTATATACCCAGTAATGGGATGGCTGGGTCAAATGGTATTTCTAGTTCTAGATCCCTGAGGAATCGCCACACTGTCTTCCACAATGGTTGAACCAGTTTACAGTCCCACCAACAGTGTAAAATGTTCCTATTTCTCCACATCCTCTCCAGCATCTGTTGTTTCCTGACTTTCTAATGATTGCCATTCTAACTGGTGTGAGATGGTATCTCATTGTGGTTTTGATTTGCATTTTTCTGATGGCCAGTGATGATGAGCATTTTTTCATGTGTGTGTTGGCTGCATAAATGTCTTCTTTTGAGAAGTGTCTGTTCATATCCTTTGCCCACTTTTTGATGGGGTTGTCTGTTTTTTTCTCTTGTAAATTTGTTTGAGTTCTTTGTAGATTCTGGATATTAGCCCTTTGTCAGATGAGTAGATTGCAAAAATTTTATCCCTTTCTATAGGTTGCCTGTTCACTCTGACCATAGTTTCTTTTGCTGTGCAGAAGCTCTTCAGTTTAATGAGATCCCATTTGTCAATTTTGGCTTTTGTTGCCATTGCTTTTGGTGTTTTAGTCATGAAGTCCTTGCCCATGCCTATGTCCTGAATGGTATTGCCTAGGTTTTCTTCTAGGGTTTTTATGGTTTTAAGTTTAACATTTAAGTCTTTAATCCATCTTGAATTAATTTTTGTATAAGGTGTAAGGAAGGGATCCAGTTTCGGCTTTCTACATATGGCTAGCCAGTTTTCCCAGCACCATTTGTTAAATAGGGAATCCTTTCCCCATTTCTTGTTTTTGTCAGGTTTGTCAAAGATCAGATAGTTGTAGATGTGTGGTATTATTTCTGAGGGTTCTGTTCTGTTCCATTGGTCTATATCTCTGTTTTGGTACCAGTACCATGCTGTTTTGATTACTGTAGCCTTGTAGTATAGTTTGAAGTCAGGTAGCATGATGCCTCCAGCTTTGTTCTTTTGGCTTAGGATTGACTTGGCAATGAGGGCTCTTTTTTGGTTCCATATGAACTTTAAAGTAGTTTTTTCCAATTCTGTGAAGAAAGTCATTGGTAGTTTGATGGGGATGGCATTGAATCTATAAATTACCTAGGGCAGTATGGCCATTTTCGTGATATTGATTCTTCCTATCCATGAGCATGGAATGTTCTTCCATTTGTTTGCATCCTCTTTTATTTTGTTGAGCAGTGGTTTGTAGTTCTCCTTGAAGAGGTCCTTCACATCCATTGTAAGTTGGATTCCTAGGTATTTTATTCTCTTTGAAGCAATTGTGAATGGGAGTTCACTCATGATTTGGCTCTCTGTTTGTCTATTATTGGTGTACAAGAATGCTTGTGGTTTTTGCACATTGATTTTGTATCCTAAGACTTTGCTGAAGTTGCCTATCAGCTTAAGGAGATTTTGGGCTGAGACGATGGGGTTTTCTAGATATGCAATCATGTCATCTGCAAACAGGGACAATTTGACTTCCTCTTTTCCTAATTGAATACCCTTTATTTCCTTCTCCTGCCTGATTGCCCTGGCCAGAACTTCCAACACTATGTTGAATAGGAGTGGTGAAAGAGGGCATCCCTGTCTTGTGCCAGTTTTCAAAGGGAATGCTTCCAGTTTTTGCCCATTCAGTATGATATTCACTGTGGGTTTGTCATAAATAACTTATTATTTTGAGATACGTCCCATCAATACCTAATTTATTGAGAGTTTTTAGTGTGAAGGGCTGTTGAATTTTGTCAAAGGCCTTTTCTGCATCTATTGAGATAATCATGTGGTTTTTGTCATTGGTTCTGTTTATAAGCGGGATTACATTTATTGATTTGCATATGTTGAACCAGCCTTGCATCCCAGGGATGAAGCCCACTTGATCATGCTGGATTTGGTTTGCTAGTATTTTATTGAGGATTTTTGCATCGATGTTCATCAGGGATATTGGTCTAAAATTCTCTTTTTGTTGTGTCTCTGCCAGGCTTTGGTATCAGGATGATGCTGGCCTCATAAAATGAGTTAGGGAGGATTCCCTCTTTTTCTATTGATTGGAATAGTCTCAGAAGGAATGGTACCAGCTCCTCCTTGTACCTCTGGTAGAATTCGGCTGTGAATCCATCTGGTCCTGGACTTTTTTTGGTTGGTAAGCTATTAATTATTGCCTCAATTTCAGAGCCTGTTATTGGTGTATTCAGGGATTCATCTTCTTCCTGATTTAATCTTGGGAGAGTGTATGTGTTTATCCATTTCTTCTAGATTTTCTAGTATGTTTGCATAGAGGTGTTTATAGTATTCTCTGATGGTAGTTTGTATTCCTGTGGGATCAGTGGTGATATCCCCTTTATCATTTTTTATTGCATCTATTTGATTCTTCTCTCTTCTTTATTATTCTTGCTAGCGGTCTATCAATTTTGTTGATCTCTTCAAAAAACCAACTCCTGGATTCATTGATTTTTTGAAGGGTTTTTCGTGTCTCTATCTCCTTCAGTTCTGCTCTGATCTTAGTTATTTTTTGCCTTCTGCTGGCTTTTGAATGTGTTTGCTCTTGCTTCTCTAGTTATTTTAATTGTGATGTTAGGGTGTCAATTTTAGATCTTTCCTGCTTTCTCTTGTGGTCATTTAGTGCTATAAATTTCCCTCTACGCACTGCTTTAAATGTGTCCCAGAGATTCTGGTATGTTGTGTCTTTGTTCTCGTTGGTTTCAAAGAACATCTTTATTTCTGCCTTCATTTCATTATGTACCCAGTAGTCATTCAGGAGCAGGTTGTTCAGTTTCCATGTGGTTGAGCGGTTTTGAGTGAGTTTCTTAATCCTGAGTTCTAGTTTGATTGCACTGTGGTCTGAGAGACAGTTTGTTATCGTTTCTGTTGTTTTACATTTGCTGAGAAGTGCTTTACTTCCAACTGGTCAATTTTGGAATAAGTGCGGTGTGGTGCTGAGAAGAATGTATATTCTGTTGATTTGGGGTGGAGAGTTCTGTAGATGTCTATTAGGTCCACTTGGTGCACAGCTGAGTTCAATTCCTGGATATCCTTGTTAACTTTCTGTCTCATTGATCTGTCTAATGTTGACAGTGGGGTGTTAAAGTCTCCCATTATTATTGTGTGGGAGTCTAAGTCTCTTTGTAGGTCTCTAAGGACTTGCTTTATGAATTTGGGTACTCCTGTATTGGGTGCATATATGTTTAAGATAGTTAGCTCTTCTTGTTGAATTGATCCCTTTACCATTATGTAATGGCCTTCTTTGTCTCTTTTGATTTTTGTTAAAGTCTGTTTTATCAGAGACTAGGATTGCAACCCCTGCCTTTTTTTGTTTTCCATCTGCTTGGTAGATCTTCCTCCATCCCTTTATTTTAAGCCTATGTATGTCTCTTCACATGAGATGGGTTTCCTGAATACAGCACACTGATGGGTCATGACTATCCAATTTGCCAGTCTGTGTCTTTTAATTGGAGCATTTAGCCCATTTACATTTAAGGTTAATATTGTTATGTGTGAATTTGATCCTGTCATTATGATGTTAGCTGGTTATTTTGCTCATTAGTTGATGCAGTTTCTTCCTAACATCGATGGTCTTTACAATTTGGCATGTTTTTGCAGTGGCTGGTACCGGTTGTTCCTTTCCATGTTTAGTGCTTCCTTCAGGAGCTCTTTTAGGGCAGGCCTGGTGGTGACAAAATCTCTCAGCGTTTGCTTGTCTGTAAAGTATTTTATTTGTCCTTCACTTATGAAGCTTAGTTTGTCTGGATATGAAATTCTGGGTTGAAAATTCTTTTCTTTAAGAATGTTGAATATTGGCCCCAACTCTCTTCTGGCTTGTAGAGTTTCTGCTGAGAGATCAGCTGTTACTCTGATGGGCTTCCCCTTGTGGGTAACCCAACTTTTCTCTCTGGCTGCCCTTAATATTTTTTCCTTCATTTCAGCTTTGGTGAATCTGACAATTATGTGTCTTGGAGTTGCTCTTCTTGAGGAGTATCTTTGTGGCGTTCTCTGTATTTCCTGAATTTGAATGTTGGCCTGCCTTGCTAGATTGGGGAAGTTCTCCTGGATAATATCCTGCAGTGTTTTCCAACTTGGTTCCACTCCCCGTCACTTTCAGGTACACCAATCAGACGTAGATTTGGTCTTTTCACATAGTCCCATATTTCTTGGAGGCTTTGTACATTTCTTTTTATTCTTTTTTCTCTAAACTTCTCTTCTCGCTTCATTTCATTCATTTGATCTTCCATCACTGATACCCTTTCTTCCAGTTGATCGAATCGGCTACTGAAGCTTGTGCATTCATCACGTAGTTCTCGTGCCATGGTTTTCAGCTCCTTCAGGTCCTTTAAGGACTTCTCTGCATTGGTTATTCTAGTTAGCCATTCATCTAATATTTTTTCAAGGTTTTTAACTTCTTTGCATTGGGTTCAAACTTCCTCCTTTAGCTCGGAGAAGTTTGATCGTCTGAAGCCTTCTTCTCTCAACTCGCCAAAGTCATTCTCCATCCAGCTTTGTTCTGTTGCTGGTGAGGAGCTGCATTCCTTTGGAGGAGGAGAGGCGCTCTGATTTTTAGAATTTTCAGTTTTTCTGCCCTGTTTTTCCGCATCTTTGTGGTTTTATCTACCTTTGGTCTTTGATGATGGTGATGTACAGATGGGGTTTTGGTGTGGATGTCCTTTCTGTTTGTTAGTTTTCCTTCTAACAGTCAGGACCCTCTGCTGCAGGTCTGTTGGAGTTTGCTGGAGGTCCACTGCAGACCTTGTTTTCCTGGGTATCAGCAGTGGAGGCTGCAGAACAGCGAATATTGGTGAACAGCAACTGTTGCTGCCTGATCGTTCCTCTGGAAGTTTCGTCTCAGAGGGGTACCCAGCCGTGTGAGGTGTCAGTCTGTGCCTACTGGGGGGTGCCTCCCAGTTAGGCTACTCAGGGGTCAGGGACCCACTTGAGGAGGCAGTCTGTCCATTCTCAGATCTCAAGCTCCATGCTGGGAGAACCACTACTGTCTTCCAAGCTGTCAGACAGGGACATTTAAATCTGCAGAGGTTTCTACTGCCTTTTGTTTGGCTATGCTCTGCCCCCAGAGGTGGAGTCTACAGAGGCAGGCAGGCCTCCTTGAGCTGCGGTGGGCTCCACCCAGTTCAAGCTTCCCAGTGGCTTTGTTTACCTACTCAAGCCTCAGCAATGGCAGGCGCCCCTCCCCCAGCCTCGCTCCCATGTTGCAGTTCGATCTCAGACTGCTGTGCTAGCAATGAGCAAAGCTCCATGGGCGTAGGACCCTCCAAGCCAGGCATGGGATATAATCTCCTGGTGTGCCGTTTGCTCAGTTGGAAATGCAGAAATCACCTGTCTTCTGCGTTGCTCATGCTGCCCCCCTTTAGTTTCTTTTAGGTTCTGGATATTAGTCCTTTGTCAGAGGTATAATTTGCAAGTATTTTTCCCCATTCTTTGGGCTGTCTGTTCACTGTGTTATTTCTTTTGCTGTGCAGAAGCTTTTTATTTGAGTTAAATTTGTCCATTTTTGTTTTTGTTGCATTTGCCTTTGTGCTGTTAGTCATGAATTCTTTGCATAGACCATTGGCTAGAATTGTTTTTCCTAGGTTTCCATCTACAATTTTTATAATTTTAGGTCTTACATTTAATTCTTTAATGAATCTTGAATTAATTTTTGTATACAGTGAGAGATAAGTGTACAGTTTTATTCTTCTACATATGGCTATCCAAATTTTAAACCCAAATAAAAAGTCCAAGAAATCACATAGATTGATAGAATTGGAATAACATAAATTTTCTTTGTCATTATAATCATTGTACTGTCATTGTTTATTTCTAACTTGCAGCTTAAACACAGAATGTGTGGTGCCATTGAGGTTGGTGACACAAACAGCTCCTGAAGCAAACTCAAACTTTTCCAAACCAGTACAGCATTACTCTTGAAAAGAATCCCATGGGGCGAGTGGATCACATAAGGCCAGGAGTTCAAGACCAGTGTGGGCAACATGGCAAAACCCCGTCTTTACTAAAAATACAAAAATTAGCCCAGCGTGGTGGTGCGTGCCTGTAATCCCAGCTACTCAGGAGGCTGAGGCAGAAGAATCTCTTGAACCCAGGAGGCAGAGGTTTCAGTGAGCTGAGATTGTGCCATTGCACTTCAGCCT
This sequence comes from Homo sapiens, assembly GCF_000001405.40. Lineage (NCBI taxonomy): Eukaryota > Metazoa > Chordata > Mammalia > Primates > Hominidae > Homo > Homo sapiens. The sequence continues at coordinate 97,055,799 of NC_000013.11, forward strand.
GGGCAACAAGAGTGAAACTGTCTCAAAAAATAAATAAATAATAAATAAAAGAATCCCATGTAGCTAATTATGCAGATGTTGAGGGCTGACTGTATAACTGAGAGATCTTTGAAATTAACTTCATTTAAAGCACAGCATTTATTAAAGAATAGGTAATGAAATTGTGGTTACCAGGGGCTGGGGAAATGGGAAAATGTTGGTCAAAGTGTATGAAGTTTTAGTGGGACTATAGGAATGAGTTCTGGAGATCTGTTATGTAGCATGGCAACTATAATTAGTAATAATGTATAGTATACTTGAAAATTGCTAAGAGAGTAGATTTTAAATATTTTCATCACAAAAATAATAAGTATGTGAGGTGATGGATATGTTCATTAGCTTGATTCAAACATTCTGTATTTGATACATATATCAAACCATCACATTGTCCACCACAAGCGTACACACTTTGTCATCTGTAAATTCACATAAACAAATAAATACAATTTTTGAAATCTTGTTTAAAAATGTAAACCTGGAAGGAACTGATTTTTTTCCACAAGGGAGGATTTTATCACTGACATTGTTTGAAACTAGACTCATGGTGATAACATAAAGCAGACTAATGCTTGGCTGTCTTTACTGTTGTTTCCAAAACTGTCCACAGGCAATACACTCCTTATGACCTATACTCTGGATGGATTTCTTCCACTGCCTTACCCTTGTTATGCCATCTTAGCAGTCCATGACAGTAGCCTCTCTTGAAGAAGGCTGGTGATAGTTAAGACACCACAATTTGAACCCAAGCAGTCCAATTTAGTTTCTGCCCATCCCTGGGACCCCTTTAGTACCCCTGGGCCTCCATTTTCCTCAGTCTAGTAGAGGTTATTCAGGGTGTCAGAGACAGGGGAGGAGAACATCTCCATGGCTTCCATGCAAAAGTATGCTAGGCTCTTGATGTCCACACAACTCTCTTGTGACCCCAACCCCCACACCCACACCCACACCCACATGGCTGGATTTGAAAGGGTGTGGCCACCTGAAAAGATTTTACTTATCATTGTTGCATCTATCTTCAAAGCGATTGATATGTCTGTTTTTTGGTAGTTAATTGTCTTGGTTTGGTATCAATGATATATTGCAGAACAAGTTGGAAATTTTCTAGCTCTCTGTTCTTTCAAACAAAGTAAATACAGCTCCTTGAAGTTGTTATAGATTTCACCAATAAAATTCTGTGGACTGGAACCTTTGGGTGGGGTAATATTTGACTTAATTTTTTTAATTAAATAAAATTAAATTTAGCTTCTGTAAAAATTACATATGACACTTACAAATAATTTAATTAATACAGAAAAGACAAAGATGAGAAAGATGAAAGTAAAATACTCAAATCCCATCACACGTGAATAATCATTAACATTCATACTTTTGTAAAAACCAAATAATGTATTTTTCAATAAAAGGATTAAATGTAACTTATCCAAATTTAATAGAAGAAAAATAAACTGAAGTAAAACCAGTGAGATCACTTCATCCTCACATAAATGTTTCTTCACTCCATGAGATATTTCCCAACAAAAGATTCTTCTATAGTCTTCCAGATTCTTTTGTGGTTCAGAGCATGATAATTGGGTTTTCATGCTATGTGTGAGATGAACCTCCCTCAAACCTTGTTAAGACGTCAGCACATTACCAATCTGACATGAAGATACCAGGGAAGATACCAAATAAAACACTCAGTGTAGAATCATTACATCTCATTAAAAACACAATATGATTTTAGGTAGTGTCAAGTGCTTACCTGCAGGGCTAGATGAATGCACTAGCAATTTCATTCTTCTTCCTGTTTCAAGTATTTGTATTCTGTAACAATAATTCCCAAAGTTGTTTAGAATTTGTTTTATATATAAATCAGTTCAAGGCTCTCCACCAGTGCAGAGCCTTCATTTCTAAGCTCTTTATTTAATTTCATCTCTAGGTTTTTTGTCATCAAGGAATTTGCTGAAGAGGGCTCACACTGTATTTCATGGGAAAGCCTGAAAGTTTCCTAAATCTTTGAAAGCAGGGCTGACTTTGTTAGTGTGCAGCCCATGCAGCAACACAGAATCTTGCGCTGAGACAAGAAGTACCCCATGCTTGGGCTAATTCATGTTCTGCTGTCATCATTTTGAAATTCTTAATATATTTTGTATCTAGGGGTACCTTGTTTTCATTTTGCTTTGGGCCCCACTATGTAGCTGGTTTTGATGGAAAGACATTTGTTCTGACACGGTAGCTCTCAGTCACTCTCTCCTTCAGAACATAGTAGCAAATGCCTTCTAATAATTGACATCACCATAGAGAAGTTGGAGGTCTGCCTAATGGCTTTCCCTATTTAGGCTATTTGATATTGAAGCCTGGATGCCTGAAGAAATCCTTTTTTACCTTTGAAGCGCAACCACTAAACCAGAATATTTCTCTGTGTTAAGCCTCCTACATTGCAGAGTTTGGGGACCACAGTGTGCCCCTGCTTCAATCTGCAGATTTGTTTCAGGGAATTATTCTTGTGTAATATATTTAGGTATTTTTTTCCGACAGTTGAGAGGCCGACCCACACCTCCGTATGTTCTTGATTAAGCTGCTCTCCCCTTAGACCTCAAACTTCTATCCACAACAGCCAAGGGGAGGCTCAAACCCTCTCCCTCCAGGAGCAAGGAGAGAAGTCTCTTGAAAAAGCAAAATGAAACCCTGACCCCAAATCCCTCTCCAACTAATTTATGGTAAAATTCCTTGAAAAAGCTGTCTATTATTACTGATCCCAGCTTTGGAGCGGTGGTGGCTTCCTGCTGCTGCTAATCTCTTGGCTCAACAAAACCCATCTGTCATTGCAACTCTTCTCTCACACGTGGAACCAATTTCTTGCGCTCTATCCCCCCAACCCTGTGTTAAATAATTAAAGTGGTTTTCCTTTCTTTGGGTGACTCCTGACTGATGGACATGTAGGAGACTATTTTAGTAACAGCCATTAGATTGTGTTTATTATTCTTATTGTTTAAATACTGTATATCTTTTCTGATTTTTTTTTTTTTGTCTGCCTGGTCTATCAGTTGCTCGAGAGCTGAAGTTTCCCATCGTATTGACAGTTTTGCCAACTTTTCCTTATAGATCTATAATTTAAAAAATATTTTACTATGGTTCATTAGTATATGCTATTCAAGGAATATAAGATTAAAATAGTTACATGTTTCAAGTTGGAGCTCAGATCAATTTCTGCTCAAAGAATTGCATGAGCCTTTCCAGGCTTCAGTGGCCCGAAGGCTCCAGTGGGGAAAAGTGTGGTTTTAGTCTGCACATTTCTTTTCTGTGTGTAATATTTTTCTTTCTCTGGTTTCTACACCCTTCTGATCCAGTCTTCTTTTTCTTCCAAACATTGCTCAAAGTTTCTGGTTCTCTACATTGCTCAAAGTTTCTGGTTCTCTACTTTTGCACTTTTCCCCAGAAAGGTGATGGATGTAGTCTTTCTCATTGTGTGTGTGTGTGTGTGTGTGTGTGTGTGTGTATTTGACACACACTTACAGATATTTCCATTTCAGTGGAATGAATAAAGCAACTTTATAGGCTTTTCCTTTCTGGGACTGTTTTTGTGGTATTGAAATCATCAGTTTAAAAGCATTTACTGCTAAAATAATCAGGGCTTAACTTTGGAGAAGTAATTATTCGATAATGGTTTTAATTTTTTAATAGTTATTATTTCTATTGAGAGAAATAGAAGATTTCTATTCTTTCTCTCAAGTCATTTTGATAATATATCTATTCTATAAAAGTGAACTTTTATCAAGACTTTCAAATCTGCTAGCGTTATTTTATTCTAATTCTGATTTAATTTTTAAAATGTAAAACTCCTTAGTTTAATTTCTTTATGTATTCTTCTGCATAACTAAGGAGAGTCAGTGGCTTATTAACTTCATTGCCACTTTTATTCTTTTATAAATAAATAATTTTAAACTAAATTTTATAAAATATATTTTAAAATACAAGATGCATAAAGAAAAACTAACACCCCTCCCTCATTCTACCCTGTATTTCCCTGAGATCATCCTAACAGATTAGTGTTACTGCATTTCTCTCGTCTTCTGCAAGCCTGTGTGAACACAAGCACACACACACAGGTTTTTGTTGTTTGCTGTTTGCTTTTTGTACACTATACACATTATCCTTTAACTTCCAGTTTTCAATCTTGTGGTATATTGGGCACCCCTTCAAGTTAGGATGCGTAAATTTCCTTTACTCTTTTTAATAGCTGCATAGTATTCTATTGTGTGGACATATCCTAAAACATTCAATCTCTCTACTATTGAGGGTCATTAGAATTTCCATTTTTGAAATTGGTGGAAATTATGTTAAGTGAAATAAACCAGGAACAGAAAGTTAAACACCACATGTTCTCACTCATATGTGGAAGCTAAAAAAAGTTGATCCCATAGAAATAAAAAGTGGAGCAGAGGATATGAGAGGCTGAGACTGATAGGAGGAAGGGAGGGACAGGGAGAGATTTGTTAAAGGATACAAAATTACAGCCAAATGGGAGGAATAGTTCTAGTGTTGTATAGCACTGCAGGACAACAATTTTAACAATAATATTATATTAGTAGTTACAAATAGCTAGGAGGAGGATATTGAATGTTCCTAAAACAAAAAAATGATAAATTTTTGAGATGATGGATATGTTAATTACTCTGGTCTCATTATTATCTATTACAGGCATCAAAACATCACTATGTACCTCACAAACATAAACAATTATTATTTGTCAATTAAAAAATAAAATTTAAAAAAGAATGTTTACTTTTGAATACTACAAGCAATTCTGCAATAGAGTTTTTTTTATGTGATTTTAAATCTATATTATAGATTCTCTCTAGAACATTCGTAGGAGTTCGCATTTTTCACATTAATATTTATTACCAGATTATTTTAGTAGCAATTTAAACTTTCTCCAGCAGTGTAAAATAATGACCATTTCCTCATATCTCCTTCAGCAGTGAATAGTATCAGTAATTTTTAATTGGTACTAATCTTCTAAATGGAAAGGTTATCTAAGTATTTTAATATGCAGTTATGGGGACACTAATGATATTGATCTTTTACAATATATTAGTACGATCCGTCACATTTCCTTCTTTATCAATGCCCTGGTCACATCCATTCATTCCTTGGATTGTTTATATATTGTAGGCACTCTACGTTTGGCAGATTAACCCACCGTGTGGGTCATTTATTCATCTGATTTACAGCCATTGAGTGCCTACTACTTATCAGGCACTTTTGAAGGTAGGGAGTGCAGTGGTAAACAAAGCACAGTATATGTTCTCATGAAGCCTACATTCTACTGGGAGAGGCAAGGAACAAGTAATCTAAAGTCATATAATTTCAGGTAATGTCAAGCAGTGTGGGGAAACATCATGATAGATGGAAAATGACAGGGGTGAAGGGTTTCAAATATGGTTTGGGTAAACCTTAAAACACTTGAAAAAGTTTCCAAATGACATGAAGAAAAAGTCATGGTAAAACCTGAGGACGGTGTATTCCAGGCAAAGGAAGTACACATGCTAAGAGACAAGCTTGACTTCTTTGGAGGACAGCAAGAAAGTCCATGTAGCTGGAATGCAGTGTTGAAAGTGAGCTTGCAGAGGAAAAGGCTGGGAGCTTGAGGAAAGCCAGGTCATTTAGGGACTTAGAGGCATGGGGAAGAGATTACGTTTTATTTTAAGTGAGATGGTATTATACTGGAGGCTTACAACTAGAGGGAAACCATGGTCTGATTTATGTTTTCTTTTGTTTTATCATATTGGTCATTTATGGAGAATAAAATGGAGGAAGTCAAGAGTGTGATGGGGAATGTAGTTACAAGGCCATTGTAGTAATCTAGGAGCAAGATTATCGCAGTTCAATGATGAGAACAGCGTAACGAACAAGGACAAATGGGTGTCTAGGGAATGTATTTTTTTTTTTTTTAGACAGAGTCTCGCTCTGTTGCCTAGGCTGGAGTGCAGTGGAGTGATCTGAGTTCACTACAAGCTCTGCCTCCCAGGTTCATGCCATTCTCCTGCCTCAGCCTCCCGAGTAGCTGGGACTACAGGCACCTGCCACCATGCCTGGCTAATTTTTTGTATTTTTAGTAGAGATGGAGTTTCACTGTGTTAGCCAGGATGGTCTCTCAATCTCCTGACCTTGTGATCCGCCAGCCTCGGCCTCCCAAAGTGCTAGGATTACAGGCTTGAGCCACAGCGCCCGGCCCTAGGGAATGTATTTTGAAAATAATGCAAAGCAGCTTTTTCAGTGGCTAGATGTAGAATGTGAGGTTTCAGCAGGAAGTAAGGGTGATTCTCAGGTTTTTGGCTTAAACAAAAGCTTGGTGCTATTAATATTTACCTATCTTAGTTCATTTGTGTTGCTATCAAAGAATACATGAGGCTGGGTAATTTATAAAGAAAAGAGGTTTATTTGGCTCGTGGTTCTGCAGGCTGTATAAGCACGGCCCCAGCATCTGCTTCTGGTGAGGCCTCAGGAGGCTTCTACTCATGGTGGAAAAGGAAGGGGAGCCTGCATGCAGGGATTGCATGGTGAGAGACAGGCAGAGGAGGTGCCAGGCCTTTTTCAACAACCAACAACCAGTTCCAATGGGAACTAAGAGCAAGAGCTCACTCATTATCACAAGGACAGCACAAGCTATTATGAAGGATCTGCCCCCAAGACCCAAATGCCTTCACTGGGCCCCTCCTCCAACACCAGAGATCAATTTCAACATGAGACTTGGTGGAGCCAAATAAACCATAGCAAACCATAACATTAGCAAAACAAGTATTGCCAGAGTGGGGATGGGGAATCATTTTGAGAATGAAAATCAAAGGTCCTTGATTGGACATGTTGAGATAGAGATGCCTATTAAACAACCACAGGAAGGTGCTGGTTGGTGTTGGAAAGGTAAGTTTGGCTGTCAGGGAAGCAGTTCAGGTGATGTTAAATTGTGAATCTTCAGAGTGTAAGTGACCTTTGGTGGCATGGGATCCCATGGAATCACCAAGGGGGCATCTGGAAATATAAAAAGAGCTAAGAAATGAACTCTAGGGTACTCCAAAATTTAGAGGGAGAAGAGAGGAGTAAATTGGGCTGGAAAGCAGCAATCAGTGAGTGAGGTAGAAAAGAAAGCATGAGAGTGTAGCATTGTAGATAAAATTCAAATACTTGGAGATATTTCAAGGATGATGGTGCAGTCAACTCTGTTAAATCCGATATCTGTTTAAAATATATTTTCTGGTCCACTGTTCATCTTCTGACTCTCTTTAGGATTTAATTCATAATAAGATTTTTTAATATTCAAAATTTTTTTTACTTTATGGTTTTTGAGTTTCCTAATCTGTGTAAGAAGTTCTTCTCCAGCCAAGGATATATAAATACATACTTTCTTCAAATATTTTTACTGATTTTATTTTTACATGAAAATATTACATCATCATGGATATTTTTGTAGATCGTGTGAAATCGGGGTCTGGTTTCATTTCTTTTAGATGGAGAGCAAATTATGCTAGCACCAGCATTACAGTGTCTTTTCCTCAAGAAATTGAAATATGTCCTTTGTCATCTGTCAAATTTATACATTTTTCTGGATCTATTTCTGGATACTCTATTCCACTAAATGGTTTGCCCTGTTTATGATGACTCTAGGGTAACAATTATTATTAGCCCATCTTGGGTCAGGTGTCCATTCCTGGTCTAATCAACTCTGGCCAGGAAAAGTGGCATGATATGGCTTCACATCTCTCAGCTGTAGACACAAATGATCTGAGAAAAATGTGAGCAGAGCAGACAGATTGATCAGCATTTTCACATACTCCAGCAAAAATTTTCCTCTCATAAGTATGAAAGAGTGTAAGGACCGCCATATTTATAAAGTCTCTCTAAGTATCATTACAGATACAATATTTCCATTCATTTAATCATACAATTCTAGTCTCTGGTAACAATCAGTGAAAAACAGAAAATACTCATATATGTCAAACAATCCTTTAGTTTTTGTACCCTTTCAATCCTCTTTGGATTCTGAAATTTATTTTCAACCCACAGATAATAAATAGTACATAAGATTTTGTGGTTTTACAGATAATAAATAGTACATAAGATTTTGTGGTTTTAAACAGAAGTACCTTTTGAGATTACATTTCTATTAATTCCTTTTGTGTTGCTCTGTAGCTGATTCGTATTACCCCTGGAAAGCTAGTTTCGTGCCCTGGAGGAAATTCACCGTCACCACTACCAGTAAACCACAGGCAATTCTCTACCTTTCTTTAAGTGGGATGGAAAGAAATAATAAAATCATGCAAGATAAACTTACAGTTCAAAATCTAAATGGCGCTAAAACTAGCATGAAGTCACATGCATAATTGAGCCGTAGTGTTGTTAAAATCATCACATATCCACATAAATTCAGGGTAGCACAGAAATAGGACATAGTCAATCTTCATTATACACAGATTCCATATTTGCTAATTTACCTACTTGCTAAAATGTATTCGTGACCCCAAAATCAATACTTGCAGCTCTTTTCCAGTCATCTGTAGACATGCCCATAGGGGCAAAAATCCGAGTCTCTGGCTGCTCATGTGCCAGATGAGGTGGAAACCAGGCAACCCTACCTTCTAGCTTCAGCTCTCAGACAGCCAACAGGTGTCCTTGCACAGCCTGTGCAGTGCCTTTTTTTTTTTTTTTCATTTTTGTGCTTGCTGTTGGTGCTTTCACTCCTCAAAGTGGCCCTCAGAGCATATTGTGGAAGTGCCGTCCAGTGTTTCTGAGTACAGGAAGGCTGTGATATGCCTTCTGGAGAAAATACATGTGTTAGATAGGACATGAGTTATAGGGCTGTTGGGTATAAGTTTAATGTTAATGAATTAATATATAGTAAATGGATGCCTTTAAACAAAAATGCAGATAAAATAAACTTACGTATTGATCAATGAATGAAAATGTTACCCAAGGCTCACAGGAACTTAACCCTGTGTTCTTCCTAGGAGCAATGATTCAATATTTGCTAAATCAGTGTTTACAGCAACTTTCTAAAACATAGCTAATGTGAATAACAAGAATCAACTGTATTTCAGACAGGTGCACTTTTTGAGAACAAATGCTTGACGCTCAAACCATTTTTAGCAGTGTTCACACAAAATAGATAGAGTAAGATCCGGCTAGTTACTTTCTTTTAAAATCCCACACACAAAACCCAACTGATGACCAAGTTGATGCTTTAATATTAGCTAAGAACCATTATTGCCTCCTTCTTACCGAGCCAATCCTGAAAGGAGAGTATTGGACTATTAGAGGCACATTTCCAGTGGAAACTGTAATAGCAGTTGTCTTAGAATTTGGAAGGTGTTAAAGACACCTTTTTATGTTTGTTTTTAATAGCCATTCAAAGTGGGTCTAGTTCATGAATTATTCTACCATTGTATTGATGCTGAAAGTAAAGCACAGATCATCCAAAGAAATATTTTGAGATCCATTTTCTATTGAACAGGTGATACATTAAAAACACACATAGCAAATAATCCAGGGAGTCAACACAGAACTAAAGTGATCACTTTTAGAATAGGAAGAGGATTGATATCTATGGTACCTTAACATTGCAATAATAGTCATTATTAAGAACCTGAACCCAGCAATCTAAACTACTGAGTTTTCTGTCTAATGGATATGCCTCCCATTACTTTAGAAAGCATTTTATTAAAAAAAGAGGAAAAATGAGAGTGCCTCATTATTTCTCAAAATATAAATACAGCACTGACTGCAGATTAACTCTGAAGTGTTCCCAGGTCAGTTCAAAGGGTGGGTGCTCTCATGTATATGAGCATACACAGAAGTAACACTAATAATAAATTAAATGATACAAGAGATTACTTTCCAAGCTTTAAACACAAGCTAGGTTTTTGCTTTGTTTTCATACTTAGACTTTTTCTCTCTGCTATTATAAAATTCTCAGTTTAGATGTATCAGATGTATAGTCCACATTGACTATTAAACATAGAAGATGAGAATTTAATTACGACTACATCGATGGTCCTTCATAATCTTATCCCAGCCTTGAATCTCTTCACCACCCTTTGAACCTCCTTCAGTTGCTCTCACCTCCTGTCCCCTTTCTCTGTCTACCTCCCACAAGCCCTTACCCAAGTATTCTTTGAACTTCACATTGTCATTATCTTACCTGGGACTGTATCTTCCTTTTATATTATCCTTCCAGTTCCCATCCATTTCCTAAAGCATTCCAAGAACCCATTGAAAATATGTCCTCTTTTTCCTGCCTACCAAATTGTACCTATAATTTGCCCCATCTATGTGGCATTTTAGAAAATAAATTTACACTTTACATGTATGTGCATGGTTGACATACCTGTAGTTATGTTATGTAAGGTATTTCTACCTCAGTAAGATTTTGCGGGCATAGGTCTCTTGTTATATTTTTATTCTGTTTTCCTGAGCACGTAAATTTTCAACAAGTTCCTGTGAGTTACATTGTATTTCTTAATGGGTATAACTACAAACCAGGTATGGGAAAATCAGACTGAAGATTCAGGGAGATTTTCCAGGAGGAAGTTGGGAATAAGATAAAGGATTAAAGACAAAAATAATTTTACCTAAATGAATGATATAATTCCTTTTATAATCATCTCTCCTAATTTTCCTACTTATACGCTACATGATAGCCAAGCTGCACACTTCCCCAAATATTGTTTCCTCCCTCCATGGGTTTTCACATAGTCACCGTGAGCTGGGCTCAGATCCCTGCTGCTCGATGTAAGAGCTGCATGACCTTAGACATGTAACTTAACCTCTCAAAGTCTCAGTTTCCTTATCTGAAAAACAGGGATAAAACTGATACCTATAGCATAGAATTTCTGTTAAGACTGATCGATATTCATAATGCAAAATACCCCATCCTTGCCATCTTTTAAGGCAGTGTTTATTAGATAATAGGCAACAACTCATTGCATTGGGAAATAAACTTTATGGGTCCCAACCAGAATTTTTTGTTAAGTGGAAATCAATAGAGTATAGTAGAGTAGAGTGGGACATAACAGAGCATATATCTCATAATATGGGAAGATATTGTTTTGTGAAATTTTTATTCCAGATCTACATTAATGTGTGTTCTGCACTATGACACAAAATGTATTTCTCACTGAGGGTATAGGAATAAAAATGTTTGAAAAACACTTAGTTAACATTAGTTTCAATTGCATATCATTCATGAAGCTACTCCAGATTACATCACCCAGAAATGAACTCTCCTCTTCTGACCTTGCACTCTTTTTTTTATGCCACATTCTATATCATATTAGAGCTGTTTTTGTAAGTATCTCATTTTTATAGCAGAATCTCTTTGAGCATCTAGGGCATGCATTGTTCATCTCTGAATACTTGGCAGGGCTACTCTGAATACTCTTAGCATATTTGTTTGCACATTATAAATGCTAAGTGCATATTTTGTTAATAGATGACTAAGTTTCACCCATATTTAATTCTAGAGGTGACAAATTGACAAGGGATGCCTGAAAAATAATCTAGAGGCAAATGTGCGGGAATGTACTTCAATAGAAGAGAAAAAAAAACAATATCTACTTATTTGTTGCAATGAGGAATTCCTACCTACCAATATAAAACATTTTTGAAGTTTTCAAAAGATTTTGTTATTGGATAAAGCATTTCCCTCTTAACCTATAGAGGGCAGAACTTCTTAAACTGGGCTTTATGGATAAACTTTAAGAGTACATAAGCTCTGCAATTGTATGTAAAATCTGCTTATGCGTGTGTATATGCATATGCATGCGCACGCACGCGTGCACACGCACACACACACAGCCCCCCGGAGTGCAAGGGTTAAAAACTTTACATCCTCTAAGCAGATGTTCCATGATGTAAAAAACCACAAATATGCCTGTGACACATCTCTTTTAGGAAAACCAAATTTTTCAACTTTCTGCATTTCCCCTAAGCCTCAACCCTCTTTCCTCTTATCTTAAAAACCATCCAGCTAGGGTTAATAATCCAGTTTCTCTCCCTAGTCCAAAGGACACCCTCTGCTATGAAATTAGGCAGGGAGGGAGGCACTGTGACTCTTTCAGGCCATTAGGAAATCATTTAGCCACTGATGTCCTATGGCCTGACCCCTTCAGTAATCTCCTATTGGCTTTCCACAGCAGTAAATCACCTGTTGGCCCAGCACCTGGCCGGTTTTGGGAATATGTGATCATCATGCTCATTCGCCCTCTCTGGAGCTACAGAAACCCGATGGGTGGTGCAGAATCTCACTATGGTTCCATTTGCTTTTGATCTTTCGGCTGGATAAGGCATGAGCAACAGGAAAGCAAGTACAACCGATGGCTATTTGGGACCTCCTACATAATGGGTCCCCTAGGCGGGGGGCAAGTATAGCAGCATCCAGAACAATTGGGAGGGGAGAGCATCCAGTATTTAAGTGGAATTTAATGTCTGCTCTTTGGTCTGCAGCTCTGACTTGGGATTCCCCCTACCAGCGGGGCTTCTTCCAGCATAAACAGGAGAATGGCTGGGCAGCAGTGATTAGGATGATGTAAACACTGTGGCTATTTAAACAGCTGCTTCCCTTCACCTTGAAGCTCATCCTCTCTCCTTCATACTAATTTCCACCATTAAAACTGACCTTGCTCTCCAGAGATGAGATGCCAGAGCCTTGGGGAACCTGACCTAAGGTTTGAAACCCACGTAGAGATTTCCAGCCAGCCAAGAAGTATACAGACACCTTACTCTCTGATTGTTCCGGGGCAAAGTGTGCCACCTCTATATGGAAGTGTTCTGATTCCAACTCAGTAGTTCTCCAAACCTGCCCTTTGCCAGCCTACATGTCATCAGCTTGCAGGAAAGTAATCCAGGTTGGATGCTAACACAAGAAGGCTGGACTCTCCCAGCAGCAATTAGCTGGAGGAAGGGAAGCGTCATTCTGGCAGGTGAAAGAAATAGATTCCTGGTTTTGTTTTTCTACTGCGTGAGATCTAAAAGCTTGAAACATTCTTCTCTTCACATGCCCCTCCCCCTTGGCCTTAACTGACGACTTACCTTCTGGGCAAACAGTTTCGTGGTGAAATCAAATCACCAAAAACGTGACTCTTTTTGGAGGAGCGGATCTTAGGACAGCAGCGCTCTCCTTTGTCCCTTAGCCCCTGAAGGTGCCGTTTTCTATTCTTGGCTGAGTTTTTCTTTCCCCCCACTTACCATTATACTTCATACTGTTTGACTTTCAGCAGCCACAGCCTGGGGAACATCTGAACTTGGCTACCTTTCCTCTTTGCTGTCCATAATAACTCCCTTCCTTCTGGACGGGCAGGATATTAATTCTCCACATGGTTCCTGATGAATTGGAAACAGAACAGGCGGTATCCATTCGCCAGCGGACTCCCATTGACCCATAGTCAGTTTCCAGGGTAGAATTTGCCAGTAGTCTGAATTTTTCACACAAACAGGAAAGAAGGTTTCAAATTCCCATCTGTATCCACAACCCTCAGCAGAAAGAGGCGCAGTGGCTCTCTGCCCTCCTGATGGCCATTCCAGTCAGTAACCATGTAGTCTTGCGTGGTGAGCTCATCAAACTTCCTTCTGACCTAGAAATATTGGTGTTAATGGTAAAATAATAAAGATATTTTGCAGACATTTCTTCCCATTTGCCTGCTCTTAGCACTCACTTCCAAAACAGGCCTGTTTAGACTTCTCTGGAGAGGTGGTTATCATGGATGCTTGGAATTTGGGAGTTCTGCATTCCTCTAACGCAGCTGCTCCCTTAGCTTCTATTCCTGCCTTGGTTGGAGTGAAGAGAGCCTCACTTGCTCACTCCTCCCTCCCCAGCCCTCAGCCTCACCAAAGGGTAAGCAGTCTCAGCACTCATTCCATCCTGTCCACTGCTCCACTTTACTTTAAGCGTCACAAGCAGCCAGGCACTTTGGCTCACACCTATATTCCCAGCACTTTGGGAGGCTGAGGTGGGAGGATCACTTGAGGCCAGGAGTTTGAGACCAGCCTGGGCAACATGGCAAGACCCCATCTCAACAAAAATATTTTAAAAAATAGCCAAGCATGGTGGTGCACACCTGTAGTCCTAGCTACTCAGGAGGCTGGGGCAGGAGGATACCTTAAGTCCAGGAGTTTGAGGTTGTGGTGAGCCATGATTATGCCACTGCGCTCCAGCCCAGACAACACAGTGCACAATGAGACCTCTTAAAAAAACAAAAAGTACCACAAGGAGTCCAAAGACCTCCATGTGCTTTAACACATGAATTTCCATCCCATGAGATCCCCCAAATGACCCTATCACAGACCACCAGCCCCTCACTGTGCTCTTTCAATGAGCCACTCAGTAGCAAAACACTCTCTGTTCTCAATGCTTGTTCTAAAGGAGACGTGGTTGCCTCTGAGGGCAATTTGCTCCCGGCAGCTTCTTGCTCTCAGCCCTGTTAGTCCCAGGTCTGGGCTTCTTCCTTTGCTTTCAGACCTTTCTCCCCTTTCATCATTGAAGCATTCAGTCTCCACTCCAGTTACTCTGCCTGATTAGGCTTACTTATACAATGACCCCAGCACCGTCCTCTGTCACAGAAAATTGTAGCTTCTGGCCCACTAGTTGTGTCCTGAAATAGTTCCTGCTGATTCAACAAAAATGACCATCCCAACTCTCCAACCTCTCAACTCTGTGGTCTCCTCTTCTCTAATGACCACTGGAGAAGAGGGCCGTTCTCCACCGGTACTCTGCCGTGTCTTGGCCTCCCACCCCGACAGTCACACCCTAGACCTGTGCATTAGTAAGTACTGCATGCACTGTGCATTAGTAAGTCCTGATCACAATTTCAGTCCCCTTGCTTTGACATCATCACCTCCCTTTTGCCAGATCACTCTCTCATGTACCCCAACTCCAAAAATTATCCTACCCCACCAGGATTTACAAACCAATGAGGCCTGGAGTTTTCACTTGCCTTACCCAACTTAGAGCCTATGGTTCACATTCACAGTTACGTATTGCTCTGCATGTGCCCTTATCTTCTGTCTCCTTCCCTCCCTTTGCCATCATCTGGGAAAGCCCAGACCCTGGATTCATCCCACTTTCTGCCTTCTCCCTATCTCCACAGGAGCAGCTGGCCATGGCTGGAAAAAACATAAACCCACTTTGTCATGTCACTTTCTATTCATGATGTGAACTTTGAGTGTGTCTTTGTTTTTGGTTTATGTTCTCAACATGTTTGTGAGATTTACCCAGGCTTTGGGTGTAGCAGTAGTACATTCGTTGTTGTATAGTAGTCCATTAGATGAATATACCACTATTTTTCCATTTCACTACTCATGGACATTTGAGTTTTTACTGGTTATGAAGATTTTTGTAAATGCCTTTTTTTGGTATATGTGAAACCATATATGAGTAGAATTCTGGGTCATAGAGTGTACCTCTGTTTAGCTTTTGTAGGTCTTACAGTACTAAAAAGCACTGTATCGATTAATACACCCATGAACAGTGTACAAGACTTCCTGCTGCTCCACATTTTTACCAACACTCGATAATGTCAGGTTATTCCATTATAGTCACTCTGTTAGGCATATAGTAGGATCATATTTTTAGTTTTAACTTACATTTTTCTGATAACTAATGATGCTGAATAACTTTTCATATGTTTATCGATCTTTTTGGTAAAGTGACTGTTCCAATCTTATGTCCATGTTTTGTTTGGGTTGTCTATGCGTTTCTTATCATGTAGAAGTGTTTTCAATATTCTGGATATGAGTTCCTAGTCATTGAAAATACAATCATGCATCGCTCAACCATGAAGATATGTTGTGAGAAATGTGTCATTAGGTGATTTTGTCCTTGTGCGAACATGATAGAGGGTACTTACACACACCTAGATGGTATAGTCTACTACACACCTAGTCCATATGGTATAGCCTATTGTTTCTAGGCTATAGACCTGGGTAGCATGTTACTGTACTGAATGCTGTAGGCAATTATAACAGGATGGTGAGTATTCATGTATCTAAACATATCTCAAGGTAGAAAAGATGTGGTACAAATACAATGTTATAATCTTATAAGATCACTGTTTTGTATGTGGACCCAGACTGCATTGCAATTATCTCCTTATTATGGCTTGTCTTTTCATACTCTAAATGGTGTCTTTAGATGAAGAAAAGTTTTCAACTCATTAGTCTTCTCCTTTATGATTAGTGCTTTTTGTATCCTGTTAGAAAATGTTTGCTTTGCTTATCTTATGGAACACATTCTTCCATATTGAAAGCTTTATTATTTTATCTTTCACAATGAAGTCACTCTTTAATCTACCTGAAATTGACTAACAGATTTTTAAGTATGATGTATATATGAGTTAAGTCTCTGTTGAAGATTACTTTGGAGTGTAGGATATTTGAAGGTAAAAATCCTTAATATCCCATAGAGAAAGACTATGCCTACAGATACCAAAGCATCTGTTCAATTTAGGGCAAAAAATCTATTAATTTGATGGTTTCATATCATGTTGACCAACTAAATGAATGATATTCTAACATTTTGACTAAAATGGTTCAATTGCCAGTTTGGTTTTTGTCTTGTGTAAACACAGCAAAGGGACTAAACATAAAACTCTACTTGGAAAACAGTGATCTTGAAACTGGCTTCTGGCCCAGACATAATTACTCCCAAGATACACCTGTTAACAAACTTGGGCTTGATTTCCTTAGTCACCTCTTATTATGATTATAAATTAATCATTTTCCTGGCAGGGGGCTGAATCGAGTCTGCTAAGTTTCCTCTGGCTTTCGTATCCAGTGACTATATCTTTCTCTGCTATTCCAGGCAAATCAGCTGATTAATATGAAATTAAAACATAAGTAGGTTTAAAATTGCCACAGGCCACAATGGATAATGTTAGGTTTTGTGAAGGGGGCAAGATTATTTTTTAAGGTCCTTTTAGCTGTAAGAGTTTATATGTATATGTGTATGCATATGTAAACATACACTTATAAATAGATATACAGAGATACACAAATTTTTATGTGTACATTTATATATAAAACTATAAATTGTAAGAATTATTTATTAGCAATTATAGAGATTTCTGTGAATCATATTGCTTTATTTATTCAATCTTAAATCTTACCATTACTAATGTAACCTAACATTTCATAAAATTAATAAAGTAACCATCTATAATTCTATCACTCAGATATTACCAATTTTATTACTTTGGGGATATTTTAGATTTTGTGAAGGAGGAAAGATTATTTTTTAAGGCCCTTTTAGCTGTAAGAGTTTATATGTATATGTACGCATATATAAACACACATTTATAAATAGATATACATATCTATACACAGCAGTTAGAAATCCCATGGACAGAGCAAGCAATAGTGTCTTCAGGCATATGCCCCAATCAAAGTCGTGGGTGGAGGTGACAGCACTTAGCCTGAGCAGCTTCTTGTTTGGGCAACTCAGGCATCAGCTCAGTAGCAATGGGGATTTATTTAGTCAACGGCTCTCAAGGCTTCTCCTGAGAGCCTCTGAGCTCAGCAAAGGGCTGTTTAGTTGTAGAATTGTTGGATTCATTAAGATATCATTAAGAGTTTACATTTTAAGTCTTACTAGCTCCCTCTCATGACTGAATTGTCCTGACAGCATTCTCAATACCAGTTATTTTAAAAAGTAAGAATCTTAAATATTTGGGAATAGACTTGGCCTCCCTCTCTCCATCCCATTTCCCTAACATTTTATTCTTGGTCATGAAGTAGCCAGCTCAGATAATAGGGGGCACGGTTTCCTGGGAAGAAAGTTAGGTGGGATGTCCCTTACTTGTCTTACACTGTCTGTGTCTTGTTTTGTCCATTATTAGGCTTGAAATTTATGTGGGAGTGTTGACAACCATCTCAGGCTGGTAGTATGATGGAAACAAAGAAGGTATACTTTAAAAAGCTAAAGCAACCCTTTCTTCTCATCAGGACTTTGTTATGTAGCTCTGAAAACAAAAGTGACTTCCATGTTTCCTTAACTTTTTGGGTAGTCATTTATTGGTTATGTATAATAATATATATTTAAATGTTGATCCAGTGTTTAGCACTTTTCAGCTTTCCACCTTACCCCTATACCTTTAGCTTCTCTGCACTCTCTAACCTCACCTGGGTCACTCAGAAGCAGGCCTGCTTCTTAGACCTGGTCCATTTCCCCCTTAGGTAGTAAATCTGCAGTGTGGACTTACCTCTTATGGATGTATTTTCTCCTAAGATTCATTTGACTGAAATATCTTTATTTCACCTTAGTCTTAAAAGATATTTTAATGAGTATAAAATTCCACTTGCAAGTTATTTTCTTTACATGTATTGAAGATATCACTCCACAAACCTCTGTATTCTATTATTTATGTTGAGAAATCAACTGTCAGTGTTACTGTAGTTTCTTTGAAGGTAATCTATCTTTATTCTCTGTCTGCATTTAAGATTTTCTCTTTGTCTTTGATTTTCTGCAGTTTCTCCATAATGCATCTAGGTGTAGATTTCTTTTTATATATCTTGCTTTGGATTCATTGGGTTTGTGGGATCTGTGCACTGGTGCCGTTTGTCATCTTTGGAAAACTCTTAGCTATCATCTCTTTAAATATTGGCTTAGTCTCATTTATTCTATCCTTTTCTCCTGGGGCTTTGATTACAAAGATCTTACATGTTATTGTTCTGCCCCATATCATGAATGCTCCTTTAGGTAACTTCAAGTGTTTCTTCTCTCTATGACTTCAGTTTTGATATTTCTTTTGACCTATTCATCAATTTTGCCTTCACTGTCTAATCTGCCATTAGTGGCTCTTCAAATATAGCTTCTGTCCCATTCAATTTTTTTTCTTTCTTGAATTCTGGTTCTATACATTTAAAATGTTCTCACTTTATCTTCTGACTCTTATTCTCTCTTCTCTATTACCCCTAGTTTTGTTTTTTGTGTGTATTTAATTTATTCTAACTTATCTTCCAGTTTAGGAATTCTCTCTTTTAGGGTGTCTAATTTGCTGGTAAAGCCATCTTTTAAAAAGAAAAAAAAACAAACTCGGTTAATTTCTTTTTAATTTATAAAACTTTTATCTGATTATTTTTCAAACATGCAATGTTGCATTTTTAAAAATGGTTTTGTGTTTCTGCAAATATATTTAAGCTTATTGAGTGTTTCTTTATACATAGCCCAGTTGTTTTACAGTCTGTGTCTAACAGTCCCAATATATGAAGTATTTTAGGGTATTTTGCTGTTTTCTATTTTTCTGGTTTTACTCATGAAGACTAATTTCATTGGGTGTTTGGTTGTATCTTTGGCTGTGTGCTACAATGCATATGGAAAGTTATTTGCAGAAATTAGTTGAGCATATAGTGGAGGTACTTCCCTCTAGAAAGTGTTTAATTTTGCTTCTCCAAGGCACTTGTGGTCCCTATAATTCTATAATTGCCTTAAACAAAATTCCAGGCTTTACATTACCTGTGTAACCAAATAATTCAAAACTAGCAGGAAACTCCCCTTGAGCTTTACTACTTTGGTTTGCCCACACCTTTGAGTACATTACTTGGAATCTCAGCAGTTATTTTTTGAGGGGTGTGTGATAAGGGGTGCAGGGAGTTGGACTGCAGAGCATTTCTTATAGCATGCTCCATCTTGTACAGGCCATTGGATTTCTGTCTAGTCTCTGTCCACTGAGAAGGCCATCAAAGATTATAATAAATTGGGATTGCCAAACTCTCAAAACAAAAGTGACTTCCATGTTTCCTTAACTTTTTGGGTAGTCATTTATTTGTTATGTGTAATAATATATATTTAAATGTTGATCTACTTTTTAGCACTTTTCAGCAGCTTATGCAAGTAGCAGAATGCTCTGTGAAATACGTTCTTTCCCATGATGTTAAATTAAAAACTTGGGCTGGGTATGGTGGCTCACACCACCTATAATCCTAGTGCTTTGTATTCCTAGCACTTTGGGAGGCTGAGGTGGTTGGATCACCTGAGTTCAAGACCAGCCTGGCCAACATGATGAAACCCCGTCTCTACAAAAATACAAAAATTAGCTGGGTGTGGTGATGCACACCTGTAATCCCAGCTACTCAAGAGGCTGAGTCAGGAGAATCGCTAGAACCTGGGAGGCAGAGGAGGTTGCAGTGAACCAAGATTGCACCACTGCACTCCAGCCTGGGCGACAGAGTGAGACTCCATCTCAAAAAAAAGGGAAAATTAAAAAATAAAAACTTGGATATATTTTGGGATACAATTTATATGTGCAATAATTCTAAAAACACAATAAAATGTTTAAAATACAGTTTCTGCTTGTCGTGGATCACCTGATACTCCACCTGTGGCAGCCTCTGCTTCCTTTCCCGACAACCCTCATGCTCCCCAACATACACACAGATGCATAGAAACACCTTTTTTTGTTACTGTTTTTCTGTAGGAAAATAAATGAAGACAACTTTCCTATTTTATTTATATTACATCTCTTGGATCTATTCTTTTTGCTTTTAAATTTTTTATAGTCATTACTTGTGGGTTTTTTTTTTTTCTCACTCTGAGCTATGGAGAATTTCACAAGCTGTTTATCTAATTTCTTGATTTACTATTCATTCTGTTCTTTAAGGCCTCCACTCTATTTGCCATTTTTAGTCCAACAGTTTCTCTCTGAAAGTATTCTTTCTTGTTCTCAAATTGTTCCTTTTTCATTTATATAATACCTTATGGAATCCATTGAGAATATAAATTACATTTTAAAAACAGTTTTCTGCTGAAGTCAGCTTGGTGCGTGATCTGTCTCTTCACAGAACGTTTCCTCCGATAATTCAGATGCATCACTTTTTTTGAACTACGGAATTTTTTTCTTGTATAATATTTTTCTTTGTTTTGTTATTCTTTTAGATGTTTGTGTGCATCCAATATGTGGAGCTCAAATAAGTTGTCTTGAAAAAATATATAGAGAGAAAGAGAAATAATATATTTTTATATTCAAATCTTTTCATCCTTAAAAAGGAAGGAAAAACTTCTCTCTCTCTCTCTTTCTCTCTCATATCTATTCTTTGCCCAGGTAAGACTTTATCTACCTGTGGAAGTAGGAAGAGAGTTGTTCTGCAGAGAGTTCCACTGCTTACCAAGTTTTCTCCTCTGTTTGCCACTGCACTGCCTTCATTAGGAGCCCCTGTGACTCAAGGAGCTCTTGCTGCAACTTCCTGATCGCTGAAGTTACGAAAACCAGTTCTCTTCTCAAGGCTACCAAAGCAGTTTCTGGGCATGCTGAACATTTCTGTTAATGTCTCACAAAGCCCACTGCTAAAGAATATTTCCCCTTCTTACCTCACAGATATTCCCGTAAAGAGCCGTCCCTCCCGCCTGTTCTCTGGGAAGCCCAGCGTAATCTCTTCCCGTATTTAGGCTTTCACAAAAGGCAGGAAGAAGAGCCTAGGGCTTTTGCGTTCCGCTCTTCAACAATTCCCTGGGCAAGAAAATATTAAGGGCTTTCCTATGTGCTTGAAATTGGAGAATTAAAAGATAAAGAGAGCAAAATACAGCTTAGCTCAAGAATGGCAAATTGCTGTAAGGTATCTGGTTATCAAAATATAGAAGTCACATTTAAGTACATATTCCTTGAAAGAAAAAAGGAAGTAAGAACAGAAACAAAAAGAATAGAAGTTACTTTTTCATTTCTTCAGGAAGCTGTTTGACCAGTATTGGGACTGGTGACGGTTTTATTTCTCCTATTTGAAAAAATCAAAGCAAAAGAGCACATAGTTATTTTTAAATGTATGTTCTGAGTATGATGAAGAAAATGCTTTCACCAAATGTACCAAGTTTATTTATCATCAGTTGATGACATGGGATTGATGTCATCAGCAACTCTTAGGTGGTCTAGAATATGAGTTTTGATTACTGCCATGAGTGTCTAAGTTTTGATAAAATGTTAATAAAAGCTATACTTTGGGTCATTTCCATAGGAACTTGGGAAAATTCAAAGTGAAACAGTGAATCAAATTTTTAATGTGGTTTTGCTATCACCATTAAAAGCTGTAGGAGATAAAGAAACCAATACATGCCGGGCGCGGTGGCTCACGCCTGTAATCCCAGCACTTTGGGAGGCTGAGGCGGGCGGATCACAAGGTCAGGAGATCGAGACCATCCTGGCTAACAAGGTGAAACCCTGTCTCTACTAAAAATAAAAAAAAATTAGCCGGGCGTGGTGGCACATGCCTGGAGGCTGAGACAGGAGAATGGCGTGAACCCGGGAGGCGGAGCTTGCAGTGAGCCGAGATCGCGCCACTGCACTCCAGCCTGGGTGACAGAGCGAGACTCCATCTCAAAAAAAAAAAAAAAGAAGAAGAAGAAACCAATATATGACAATACCAAAATATGCCTCTGTGCTCCTTACATACTGGGTTGAAACTCTCAAGCATGTTTGATGGCACTGTATTTCACTTCAAATTGAAGTTAATAAGAGATCTCCCCAAACAATTATTTGGGTATTTGTATAAATAGTCTAGGATGAAGCTTTAATCTTAACATCATGGTCAAATCTAACACTACCCATCCCTGAGACACAACAGGAGGAGGTAAAGCTAACCTTCACCAAGTGCATCTATGCAGCTATGGTTAGCCTTCTTACATGGCTTTACCAAGTAAGGTGGGAAAATCACTGAGATAGTAGGCCACCAGGTTATTTTCAAGTGGTAGCAGGCCGTTTTGGGATGGTTGTATCTATTTTGAAAGTATGTAGAAACTTAGTTTACCACATGGACAATTGGTAATTGCCAATTCAACCTTGCAGATCTGAGAAATTTTGATTATATACCACAACTGCTAGTACCTGATATACGGCAAAGAGGATATATGTATCTGAAATACTAGGTCCTCAGTCCCAATATGGAACTGTTAAAATTGTGACTAAGTATAGCATTTAAATCACTATTAACATCACCAGCTTCATTATTAGAAAATTTAATGCAGTAATATGAAAATTTCAGTGAATAATAATAATAGCTTGTATTTACCAAACGCTTTATATGAGCTGAACATTGTGGTAAGTATTTCACATTTTTTTGTTCTGATTTAAGCCTCCTGACAACTTTATGACCTATTTTGCATAATAGGAAACTGAGGCTTAAAGAGGTTACGTAAGTTACAGGTGTCAAAGCAGGGTTTTGAATCTACATTTCTCAAATGCTAAAGTTGGCATCTGTATTAGTCAGTTCTCACACTGCTACAAAGAAATAACCTGAGCAGGGTAATTTATAAGAAAAGAGGTTTCATTGGCTCACAGTTCTGCAGGCCGTACAGGGAGCATGGCGGCATCTGCTTCTGGGGAGGTCTCAGGGAGCTTTTTTACTTATGGCAGAAGGCAAAGTGGGAGCAGGCATCTTACATGGTGGGAGCAGGAGGAAGCAAGTGAGTGGGGAGGTGCCACACACTTTTAAACCATCATATCTCATGAGAACTCACCATTGTGATAACAGCACCAAGGGGGATGATGTTAAACCATGAGAAACCACCCCCATGATCCAGTAACCTCCCACCAGGCCCCAACTCCAGCCCTGGGGATTACAATTGAACATGAGATTTGGGTGAGGACACAGAATCAAATCACGACAGCATCCTTTTCATTAAACCAGGTTACTTCATGCATAGACTTTCTATTAAAAGATCCCTTTTGCTGCAGTTTATTTACATTTGAGGCTTTGATTATCTAAACTTGGAGTGGATCTTTAAAAAGGGTAAAAAGTTGTGTATAAGACTTTTTCAAACATCGTAATCTGTCATATCTACCCTTAAATAAGAATGAGTTATAGTCAAAGTATGTGTAAGGAAAATATTGAACATGTTTTACTTTAAAGTATATAATGAATCTGTAATAACTTTGAACATATGAATAAGGATTGATGGATGCTTTGAGTTTTAAGTGTTGACAAACTTATCTTTGGAGCAAAATAACTGATTCAATAATATTTACTTTCTAATAACTCTAACCATGCTTTTGGAGAAAATAAATAAAGATATGCTTCTACTGTGATGCAACAGCTGTGGAGAAGAGAAACTGTTGGGGATCAAGTGATGTAGTAGAACAAGATTATACAGCCTTGTGAGACCCGATTACTAAATTTTCAAAAATTTTATTGCACATTCTCACTCATATGTGGGAGCTAAAAAAGTTGATCTCATAAACTAGAATGATGGCTACAAGAGGCTGGGAAGGGTAGGGAGGAGGAGGATGAAGAGAGGTTGGTTAATGGATACAAAGATACAGTTAGAAAGAAGGAATAAGTTCTAGTGTTCTGTAGCACAGTAGGATGATATAGTTGACAATAATTTATTGTATATTTCAAAATAGCTAGAAGAGAAGATTTTGAACGTTTCCAACACAAAGAAATGATAAATGTGTAAAGTAATGGATGACTTAATTACTCTGACTTGATCATTACACACTGAATGCATGCATCAAAATATCACATGTATACCATAAATGTTTCTAACTATGTATTGATAAAAAAATAAAAATAGGCCCGTTGGGGCATAGTGGCAAGGGGAAGGAGAGCATTAGGACAAATACCTAATGCATACAGGGCTTAAAACCTAGATGATGGGTTAATAGGTACAGCAAACTACCATGGCACATGTATACCTATTTAACAAACCTGCACATTCTGCACATGTATCTGAGAACTTAAAGTAAAATAATTATAATAATAATAATAATAATAAATAAAAAATTTCAAGAATTTTGTAAGCAAGTTGTTAAACACAGCCTTTATTTGTTTATTTATTTATTTAGATAGGGTCTTGCTCTGTCACCCAGGCTGGAGTGCAGTGTCATGATCTCAGAAATGCAGTCATTATTAAAAGTAAATTATATAGTGTTACAATTAAATTACATAGTCTTGCAATTAAATTACATTAAAAACACAGGTGATAAATACACGAGGTTACTTCCTAATTATTTTATTACATTGTAGTATCATCTATGCTCTTGCAGTTCTTTCTATTGCATATGAATGGTGGAAATATCACATGAGACCGTGCTACTGCACGTCTTCCCAACTCACATCAGCCTGGCATTGGCCATGGTGGGAGTATTTACACCACACAAACTGACAAACCCTACAAATCAAGGCTGGATTTATAGTTTTTTTGATTATCTAGACAAGGCTTGGCGAACCAAAATCAGTGGGCCAAATTGAGCCTATGGTCTTTTTCTCTAAAGTTTTATTAAAGAACAACCATGCCCACTTGTTTCTGTTTTGTCTGTGGCTGCTGTTGGACTACAATGGCTGAGCTGGGTAGTGGCGAGAGAAACTATGTGGCCCACAAATCCTAAAATATTTTATATTTGTCTCTTTACAGAAAACATTTGCCAATCTCTCAACTAGACTTAAAATACTGATGGAAAAACATGTTAATAATACAGGTTAAACATAAGAAAAGGGGTCATGTGGATTGCCATTACACTGTCACTAGCATACAACATTGGGAAAATATTCTGACGGTATTCAAAAACTATTAACTAATTCAGCAAAACAGTTGTTCATGTAATTCACAAGTGAGTAAAAATCTAATATATGTAGTGCCGAAGTTGAAAGAAGTTTCAGTTTAATGAATATAATTTGTTTGAAGGTGACAAATAGTTTAACGGCAGACCATATATCAGATATAATGATGATAAATGTGTTAGAAAAAGAGCTGGCAAATTGGGATGCAACTCTATGTGTCAAATCATGGTTGAATTGCAATAGTAGTTTGGCCGTAGATGCAAGAATTTGGCAAAAATCAATGAAAGCATTCTGCAAAAGACAACTCGCTGTATAAATTTATTATAAAAATATTGTACATTTTATTATTACTTGTGAATTGTGTGCTGCATATTCTTGATATCAGTAAAATTAATAAATATATGTACTTAATACATATGCATATAATTTTTCCAAGAGAACCAGTTGTTTAACATTTACCAGCATACCACCAATCAGGCTTCAATAAGTATCTAACTGGTGCTTGCCTCAGTGATGTCAGGAGACCCAATTTGTCCCTAAAGATTTTTTCTACAGGCAAACCAAGCAAATAAAAGTTGGATAGTGGACAGTAGTCAAATCAGACAGGACACTTGATAATCCTTGGTCACCATAAAGTGATAAGCATCATACCTCTCACAGCTACATCCAACCCAAAGGAGTATCTGGTACAATTAATTACCTTGAGGCCAGAGATAAAGAAAGTTGACAGTCAGGTGGTTGGTACCTGTGTTGATCAGGAAGTGAAAAATGCTATGGATTACAAACAACTGTAGAAGCTCAGTGACTCAAATAGTTTTATTTCTTGCTCACCTCACAGTCCAATGTGGTTTAATGAATTGGGGGTAGAGGCTCTGCTCCACACTCACGCAGGGACCCAGTGGCTCACTATCCCAGGGGTCATGAGTCCTCATGGGATGTCCTGTGTCAGGTTAACCCACAAGGAGTGTATGGCGGTTTGAGTGGGCGGTTTTAGGCACTAGATCTGGGAGTTACATGTAACACTTCCAGTTCATATCTCATTAGTCAGAATCCAGTTGGCAGTGGGGACTGGAAAAAGGTAATCTTCCCACTTTCCCAGGAAGAAAACGAAACAAGAATTTGTGAACATACGGCACTGCCTCTGCCACTACTTCCCTTTTTCTACTTTGCCTAGCAAGCTCCAATAAACAGGACATTTTCCCTTCCAAATATGCCAATGAGGATCCTTGATTTAGTCGAACTGTGTGGTAAACTTGAAATGACTTGGATAAACTAATCAACAGTCATCTGTTGCAGACATGCAGGTTTTGGGATGGTCCCCAGATTTTCCAGTATATGCATGTTGCTGGGAGATTGTGGGAGGAATAAGATGTGAGGTCAAAAGGACATTCTTGCTTTTATGTAATTGTTTTTCTACTTAAAGTTTTACAAAATAGTTACTCAAAGTACTTGCCCAGTTAGTGCATATATCTTTAGGTCAGTGTGTTCCTTTATGTTCTCGCAATCTCTTGATGTTTTTTAAGCTTTATATTTATGTAAGGGTGGGTGGGGGATAAAAAGAGATATTAGAAGTAGATAAAGCATAGAGAATACTAAGGAGAGGTCCAGGAACAGACCTGCATCCTGAAGAACATAATTATGTTGTTACATTTGCAAAATGCAAAGACAAGTATTCAAGAACGTGAACTAAGGGTAAAGTGCTCGCCTGTGTGTATTGTATGTCTGGGTGTGTGTTGGTGGGTGTGTGAGTGACTTGCTGAACTCTATTTCTGTAAAACTTAAAGTAGAAAAAGTATGATTCTAAGGGCAGCATAGTAGGAATGAGCTCCTGGAACAGCATCAAGCAAACAGGCGACCTTCCTCTTCCCAACCTGGGTGCCAATGGTGACATATATGTGAGGGAGGTGCCTCCACATGCCTCTTCCCATCTGCTTCCTAGGTTTTTTTAACAGAATGGAAATTCTGAGAGTCACAGCAAAGCCAGAGCCACTGCTGTCAGTTGGCCCAAGGACACCTGCCCTCACGGTGTTTGGCACAACCCAAGTCACCTACACTTTAATAAGGTCAGCAATCCAGGCCCGTCCGCTGCAGGAACTGCACGTGCATTAGAAGGCTGTTGTTCCCAGGTGTCTCTCCTTAGGAGAGCAAAGAAGCCATGAAACAGAGAAATTTGAGGACCCAGAAAGTTAAGCATAAGGACTGTTTAGCATCTGATGGGGGCCCTCTTTAGACCCTTGTTTCTGTGGAAAGTCTCCCACCTGTGTAGTTCTTGCCTGCATCTCTCTTCTGGGTCTCTCCTGGCGTAATTTTACCATCTGTCATAGGGAGTATTCTGGGAGAGGCCTTCCTATTCTTGTAACCTGCAGAGGAATGACAGATGAATGTGGGGGAAGGGGAAGCACATGTCCTCCTCTCTGAGTGGGCTTGTGTGACTTCAAGTCAAGCAGAGCTATAATTGCAAATGAGCTTTTGAAAGGAATATACTCTCAAATGTCAAGGGTTGCATCTTCCTTAACTGTCTTTCTGTTTGCCGTCTATCTTTTTTTCCTGAAATTTGTTTTTGATAAAGGGGAGAATCTTACTCCCCAAAAATAAAAATATTGGGACTAGGTATAGGGGGAGAAGTTGACTACAAAAGAGCAGCACAAAAGAGTTTTGGGAGGTGAGAATTTTCTATATCCTGATTGTGGTAATGATTACCTGACTCCATGCATTTATTAAAACTCATGGAACTCCACACCCAAAAAGTGACTTACTGTTTATAAAGTAAAAAGTAAATTTGCAAACACTTCAGACATGTCAGTAGGCATTGTAGCTCCCTTTATGAAAATGATAATGATGTTAATTAAAGGGACAAGAAAACATTTATTTAAATCGATTAAATTGTCCTACTCTATCCAATATGGTAGACACTAGCACATGTGGCTGTTGAGCACTTAAAATGAATAGAACAAATGGAAATAAGTGTAAAATACACAGCCATTTCAAGGACTTCATGCAAGAGAGAATGTAAATATCTCATTAACATTTTATATTCATTACATATTGAAATGGTAATGCTTTGGATATATGGGATTAAATAGTATGTATTATTAAAATTAATTTTATCTGGTTCTTTGTATTTATTATGGCTACCAGAAAATTTAAAGTTACATTTGTGATTCACACTGCTTCTATTGGACACTGCTGAGCTGATACTATGTACCAAGAGTAAGAGAATTATGGAATTAGTAACTAGTTTGGAAACTCCCTTGTCACTTACCCACTCCCCTGCAATTTTATACTCGTTATCCAAAGCTTGTTCTTAGCCATCAGCTATTTCTTCTCTATGTTCCATTTTGTTATGGAACCAAGACTTGAAGTATAATCTGTAATCAAATGACTCCTAAATATTGATATCCTGATCCTACATCTATCTAAACCAGTGGTTTTCCAACCAGGGCTGATGTTGTGCCACCTCCTCCCCCAGGGGACATCTGACAATGTCTGGATACTCTTAATTGTCACAACTTGGGGAATGAGAATACTACTGGCATCTGGTGGACAGAGGCCAAAGATGGTGCTAAGCATCTTACAGTAAGCAGGACAGCCCTCAGAATCGAGAACCACTCAGTCTAAAATGTCAATACTGCTGAGGTTGAGAAACACTTGTAAATATTTGTCAATATCCTCATTGATATAACAAATGTATATTGATAACCTATAATGTAAAACTATGCCAAGTATTTTGAGGAAATCAAAGATAAATTAGATATAGACCCTACATTTACCATACTTACAGAGATAAAATTCACAATTGTTTGAAACAGAGTAGGTGATCAATGATGTCAAAATAAGATAATGTCATAAGAAGAGATTATGATAAGTGATAGGTAAAAATATGGATGAGTTCTCACTTGCATTGTTTTCAAAAGCCAACGTAATATTTCTAGTTGGATATCCTTAAATCTTACACAGCTAAAACTTAACTCACCAACTTTCCCTATCACCACAAGAAATCATTTTCTAAGTATATCATTATTCATTTAATCTCCTAGGTTTATCTCTTCTGTCTTCTACATTTCTTATTAAGATTTTTAAATTAAATTCTGTAATGTACTTAATATCAATAATCTTGCTCATTTTTCTTTTTTTCCAAATGTGGGCAAACAATTTTAGGAACTTACTGGTGCATTAAAAAGTTTAAATATACAATATGGTCCCAGCAAGTAATTTAGTGAAGGAGGTATGTGAAATGCCAAAATAGGATGACTACTATGCAGATAGTAAATAACTGACAAATAAATGATAGGGATAAATATCATAGAAATTCTGGGGAAAATAATATCAATATAAAAATATGGAAGCCTAGAGCAATTTGCACATTATTCTATTTCAGATTCTCATACCTGTATTGCTAAAATAGACTGTTCTACAATTCCTGCTCTAAAACTCCCAAGTGTTATTTTTAGTTAAAATTTCCTAAAATATATATTTTATCATGGCATTTCTTCTGCTCCAGAGTCTACAATCACTTCCTCTTCTCTAAGACATTAAACATCTAAACTCCTCTTCTCATGTTTAAAGGCATTCTACAATTTGACCCAAACCTATCTTCATTTCCCACTATGCCCTAATATGCAAACACCACACCAGCCAGGTTGGCCTATTCATAAGCCCCGGCCTCTGTGTTTTTGCAGGCCTCTCTCCTCTCCTTCCCTTTGTTAATATTAATTCAAGCCATCTTTCCAGGTTCATCTCAAGCTCCTTGAAGCTTTCCCTGCCTCTCCAGGGCATGCTCTTTCCCTTCTTTGAATTCCTTTGCACTCATAATAAATACTGTAAAATTTTGAATATTCTTATTCTCTAGAATTTGCACTTGGAATCAATACTGTTTAAGAGTAAATTTTCTTATTCTCTGGGGTGAAAGAAGTCATGTTGAAATGTCCTTCTGATACCTGAGTTCACTTAACGGAGTCCCTAGAAGGTACTCAATGTCTATTTGCTGGTCAAAGAAAGAGTTATTGATGTTGTGCAATTGGAAGAATACTACTATGATTCTTCTATCAAAAAGGTATATAACTGATTCCTTTAAATGAACAGATCAAAAATCTCTTACATGTAATAAGTGTTACATTTCAAAGCAATTAACTTGAGGACAAAACACATTCTAATTTTCACATGTTTTTAGTACTCCTCTTTAAGAATTTCTTTGAGAGCCTGTAACACATCCTTTAATATATTCAAAGACTATACATCTTAATTCTGTGAAGGTTAACTTGGCTTTTCAAACTGGCATATAGAGCCAAGTTGGGGGATTAAGATGGGTGAAGCTGGGAATATCATAAGTGATTTAAAAAAGATGTGCAAAGGGGATCAACAGACTCAGTTTTCCTGTTGATTTTAAACTGTCTCTGAAGACAGTTTTAAATAAATCCTTGAGTTCTGATTTCACTTGGGATGTAGAAATCTATAGAAGATGTCCTTTCAAATCCAATAATGAAAAAAGTTTAAAAATTTATAAAATAAAAACTTTTTGAGCCAATCAAAAAGGTAAGGTGTCATAGCAACGAATTAAATTGAGTTCCAGTGAGTTACAAGTCCCTCCAAGGTAAGATGAAACACATAAATGGCTTCATCTTAGCAGAGTATGGAAGGAAGAGGTGAATATAAGTGGGTATAAAGAAATAACCTAAAATGGTACATGTTTAAAGGCCAAGTATAGGTAACTAAACAAGTTAGGTATAGCCAGGGGACCCAGATATAAGGGTAATTCATATACACTTGCAATCTCTTTTTCACGTGCTTCCATAAGATGTTCACAAGAAATATTGAGGGCAGGGAAAAAGACCCAAGGGACACCTGCTTGGTGGCCCAGGTATTCATGAAACAATTGTACTTTAAGTACAGAGAAACAAAGATAAGAGTGACAGTATTTTCTCATCAGGAACAATGCAACTACCAAAAGACTTATAAAGACATGAAGAATGCCAGGAAGGCTAGAAATGAAGGTAAATATAAAATACTTTCTTTTTCTTTCTTCACATTAAAATATAATTAATGTTATAAAGTAAAAATAGCAACACTATATTGTGAGGCTTATAACATGTAAAACTAAAATGTATGATAACACTAGGCCAAATAATAAAAGAGATAAAAAGAAGGAATTAAGCCTAGAAATCAATAATGAAAATATGTCTGGAAGTCCTCAAATATTTGAGAATAAAACAATGCATTTTTAAATAACAAATGGGACAAAGAGGAAATCACAAGGAAAATAGAAAATATTTTGAATTAAGTAAATAAGAACACAACATCAATATGTGTGGGACACAGGTAAAGCAGTGCTCGGAGGCAAATTTATAGCATTAAATATCCGTATTAGAAAACAAGAAGACTCTCAAATCAGTAATCTACATCAGAGGTCAGTAAACTTTCTCTCTAAAGTTTACTGAGAATGGCCAGATCATCAATATTTGAGGCTTTGTAGATCATATAGTCCCTTTTATAACTACTCAGCACTATGTTTCAGTGTGAAGACAGCCATAGACAATATATAAACAAGTTTATCTATGTTTCACTACAACTTTATTAATGGACACTGAAATTTGAATTTTATCTAATTTTCACATGCCACAAAATATTACTCTTTTAATTTTTTTCAATCTTGTAAAAATGTAAAACTGATGCTACAAAATTTAACAATACCAATCAACATATCAGCAGGAATTTTTTTGGTAGAAATTGCTAAGTTCATTCTACAATATATATGAAAAAGCAAAGGACCTAGTGGAGAATTCATACTATGTAGTTTCAAAGTTTACCAGAAAGATGTACTGATCAAAATGCTCTTGTATTGGCATGAGGATAGACATAAATCAATGGAATAGTATAGACAGTCCAGAAAGAGAACCAGACATTTACTTCCCTTGAGTTTTGACAAGGGCGTCTTGGTAATTTATTGAGGAAAAGATAATTTTCAACAAATTATATTCAAATTAGATATTCAGCTAGAAATAAAAAATATATCTCAATCCATATATCATGTTATAGATATGAATTAACTCAAAATGAATCATAGACTAAGTGTAAGAGCTAAGCTATAAAACATCCATTAGAAGAACACATAGGAAAAAATCTTTGTAATCTTTGGTTTGAACATATATTTTTAGATAGGACACAAAAGGCACAAACCATAAAAGAAAAAATTGCATAACTTCACTTCATCAAAATTAAAAACATCTGCTCTGGAAAATACTGTTAAGAAAATGAAAATACAAGACAAAGACTGGGAGAAAATAATTTTAATTTTAAAATACATATCTGATAAAGAATGTGTATCAAGAATATATGAAGAACTGAAAGTAAGAAAAACAATACAACTAAAGGACAGCCAGAAGATTTGAGCAGGCACTTCATAAAAAAAGAAATACAGGCTGGGTGTAGTGGCTCACACCTGTAATCCCAGCACTTCGGGAGGCTGAGATGGCAGGGTCATTTGAGCCCAGGAGTTTGAGACCAGCCTGGCAACATAGACCCCTCATGTTTACAAAAATCAAAACAAAAATATTAGCCAGGTGTCGTGGTGCATGCTGGTAGTCCCAGCTACTCTGCAAGCTGAGATGGGAGGATCACTTGAGCCCAGGAGGTCAAGGCTTCGGTGAGCCATGATCATACCACTGCATTCAGTCTGGGCAACAGAGGGAGATCCTGTCTCAAAAAAAAGAAAAAAAGAAAGAAAAGAAACTAAAACAAAAAAGAAGAGAGATACAAAAGGCATATAAACCAATGAAAAGATGCTCAATGACATCGAAAAACTATTAATACAAATTAAAGCCACTATGAGACACCACTACAACCTATTAAAATGGCTAACATTTAAAAATAGGCCAGGTGTGATGGTTCATGCCTGTAATCCCAGTGCTTTGGGAGGCCAAGGTGGGCAGATCATTGAGGTCCAGAGTTTGAGACCAGCCTGGCCAACGTGGTGAAACCCTACTAAAAATTAAAAAAATTAGCCCAGTATGGGGGCGGGCACCTGTAATCCCAGCTACTCGGGAGGCTGAGGCAGAATTGCTTAAACCCAGGAGGCAGAGGATGTGATGAGCCGAGATCACGCCACTGCACTCCAGTCTGGACGACAGAGTGAGACTCCTTCTCAAAAAATAAAATAAAATAAAATGGCTAAGATTTAAAAACTAAAAGCTGACAATAGAAAAGACTAGAAAAGATGCAACACATCTGAAACTCTCACACATTGCTGGTCAGAATGCAAAATGTCACAGCAACTTTATAAAATGATTTAACAGTTTATTGTAAAGTTAAACCTACACTTAATGTACAACATACAACCCAGCAATGCCACTCCTGAGTATTTAGCCACACACAAAAAAATGTGGCTACACAAAGGCCTACCTGCAAAATTTATTCAGAACTGCCAAGAAATAACTATCAACTGATGAGTGGATAAACATATTACTTTACACTCATACAAGGAGATATTACTCAGTGATAAAAAGCAACCAACTCTTGGTGCATGCAACAACATGGATGAGTCTCAAAAGCATAAAACTAAGTTTAAAAAGACAGATGTAAAGACTACATACTGCATGAGTCCGTTTACACGACATTCTGCACAAATCAAAACTATAGTGTAAGGAATCATATCAGTGATTTCTCAGTGCTGGGGAGTTGAGGAATGGTTGACTCCAAAGGAGCACATGGAAATTTTGGGGTGAAGGAAATATTCTCTATGTTAATTGTGGTAGTGGTTTCCTAACCATATACACATGTCAAAGTTTATGAAATTAAACTCTTAAAATGATAAATTCTGTGTTATGCAACTTCAACTTCAACAAACCTGACTTTTAAAAAATAATCAAAGTAGGAATAAAGCATAATTAGAAAAAAACATACAAACTCGATGTGCTCAATCTGCATTACCCTTATTTGACTACATTAAAAAGGCAATGTTGACCCAGCATGGTGGTTTACACCTGTAATTCCAGCACATTGGGAGGCCAAGGTGGGTGGATCACTTGAGGTCAGAAGTTCGAGACCAACCTGGCCAACATGGTGAAGCCCCATTTCTACTAAAAATACAAAAATTAGCCAGCTGTGGTGGCACGCGCCTGTGGTCCCAGCTACTTGGGAGACTGATGCAGGAGAATCACTTGAACCTGGGAGGTGGAGGCTGCAGTGAGTCAAGATCACGCTACTGCACTCCAGCCCGGGCGACAGAGTGAGACTCTGACTCAAAAACAAAAAACGGCAATGTTTTCCATTGTTCCAATTATGCAACAGTCATATTAAGCAATTTATTTTTATTTTTCACCTGTAATAGTGGGGTAGCTTTGAGGTAGCAGAATACTTGGTGATAAGAGCCTTGTCCTTCCAGGCAGGTCCCACAGATAGCTGTTAACTGGCAAAGCCAAGGTTTCTGTGGAAATCTTCATCTGCCCTGTTTGCTGCTATGTGCTACTCTCAACTCCAACTTTCCCTCACTGGTCAAGCACACTCTTGGGCAAGATAAATGTGTGATTTGCAACACCTGTAAAAGCCCTGCTCATTCCAGGGCAGCTATGATGATGGGGTGGTGGGAGTTGACTGCAGGTCATCTCCCTTCAGGTCTTTACTGGCAAATTTTAGGATTCAGCGACCTCTCAGTGAAGCTAAAAGGTGGTAGAAGATGGTAATCAAGTCATCAGAAGTAGAATGAATGCTATTGGAAAAGCAGAGCTACCTTAGCTGGGGAGAATGAGACTGAAGCTCTCTCTTCCTGCACCTCTTTGTGTGTGTGTGTGTGTGTGTGTGCATGCTTGCGCACGTGTGTGTGTGTTGGAGGGTAGAGCAGAACTCAGATAAATGGGCCAGATCAATTAAATAAGACCTCAATACCAACATTTAGACTTTTAGCACTGCCCATTTGTATTCATACTCAGCAACCCATTTGTCAAACTCCCATCACAGTTGGCTATGTTGGTATGTAATAATAAATTGATTTTAGGCACTACTTGACATCTGGGTCTTTTGTGAGCATTGCCCAATTGTATGAGCTGGCATATAGGACTCCAGCAGCAGGAAACAGGTGCTTTCTTGTGCAGTGGTTTCTTTTTCACACATTTATCTCTTTCAATCCTCACAGCGATGATCTGAGGTGAATGCAATTGTCCTTATCTCCAAAAATGGGGATCTTGACCAAGATCAGGTATATCACAAGTTATAAGTGAAACCACAGATAGCCAGGCCAGGCCCCCAAGCCTTCTGATTGTAAGTCTAAATGTGTGAGTCTCCCTGGAAAACCTGCCAGTGCACTCTCTGCAGGATTGTCTATTTCTGCTGGGTCTTCTGCAGAATCCTGCTCTGCCTTCTCCATGATGGACTGCCAGGACTCAAAACCTCTTTGAATCGGGGGCTCTTTTCATCCAACTGGACATTGTCAGTTCATGTCTACTTGTCCTTCTTGTTTTCTAAGCTTTAATGGAGATCTTTATGTCAAGGGAAATAAGCCACAGGAAGACAAATATTGCATGTTCTCACTCATATGTGGGAGCTAAAAAAGTGGATCTCATGGAGGTAGAGAGTAGAGTGACATTTACCAGAGGCTGGGGAGGGAAGGAGGAGGAGAGGATGAAGAGAAATCTGTTTGGGGGTACAAGAATAGTTAGAAGATATTTTTTAAAAGACAAAAAAAAATAGTCCCTTTCTATATTTCCAAATCTTCAAACAACCCCCTAGAACAAAGGCTTTGGCATGATAGTTGACATAGATAGAATGATAGTATGCATGTAGTCTTTTATGTCTCTCTGTGTTAACTGATTTCCAAGTTTTGAGAATCATTCAAGTTGTGTATATCACTCTATTGTATAGATACACCTTCATTTGATTGTCCATTCACCAGATGATGGACTTTACCCACTATTTTTATAAGGTTGTTTGTCTTCTTTTATTGAATTTACAAGTTTTTAGTATACTCTGAATGCCAATCTATCAAATGTATGTATTACAATCTGTATTGCAGATACAGTTAGATAAAAGGAATAAGTTCTAGTATTTGATAGTATAGTAATCATAGTTAATAATAATGTATTGTGCATTCCAAAATAACTAGAAGAGAAGAATTGTACTGTTCCCAACACAAAGAAAAGATAAATGTTTGAGGCAATGGCTATCCCAATTACCCTGATTTGATCATTATACATTGTATATTTGTATCAAAATATCACATGTACCTCCCATATTTCTT
This sequence comes from Homo sapiens, assembly GCF_000001405.40. Taxonomy (NCBI): domain Eukaryota; kingdom Metazoa; phylum Chordata; class Mammalia; order Primates; family Hominidae; genus Homo; species Homo sapiens. The sequence continues at coordinate 97,092,568 of NC_000013.11, forward strand.
AAGTGGCATAAAAATAAAGAGATAAATGAGAGTGAACAATGCAAAATCACATTGTGATATTCTGTGGGTTTTCTCGGCTTCATTATGCCACTAGGTATGTTGTTGTGTGAGAGGCAACGTATAAGCTATTTGCTGAGTACATGAAAATAGGCTTATTTTCCTCTTTACAATTTAGAAAGCATTTCACATGTGACATCTAATTTGATTTAGCCTTGGCAAAAGAGACCAGGCACTGGGGCCAACCATTTCCATAGCAGGGGTTAATCGAGGTTACTTCTTTTAAATCAGTATTACTGATCTCTGTACTAAAAGACAGGCATGAAAGAGAAATTCCCTTAATAACTTACTGATGGGGCAAGCAAGGAACTATAAGCAAACCATCTTAAACCAGAGTTTCTCAACCTACTTCAAGTCATCTGGGGTGCTTGTTAAATATTCTGGGCTCCCATCCATGACTTACTAATCCAAACCTCTAAAGACAGTGTCTGGTGATCTGCATTATTTTAATAAGCTGTCCCATTAATTTTTTGCATAATAGTTTTTATTTTTATTTTATTATATTGAGACTGAATCTCACTCTGTTGCCCAGGCCAGAGTGCAATTACAGCTCACTGCAGCCTCATCCTCCTGGGCTCAAGTGATCCTCCTGCCTCAGCCTCCTGAGTAGCTAGGACCATAAGTGTGTGCCACAACAATTGGCTAAAAATTTTTTTGTATTTTTTGTAGAGACTGAGTCTTGCCATGTTGCCCAGGCTAGTCTTGAACTTCTGAGCTTAAGCGGTCTGCCTGCCTCAACCTCCCAAAGTGCTGGGATTATAGTCATGAACCACAATACGTGGCCAATAATTTATTATTATTATTGTCCAGCCAGTGGTCATAGGTTGGCTGATTTTGTACAAGATGATACTTTAATGTCCTTCTGATATATTTTCCATGGTCTGCAGTATTCAACTCACTGAGACTGAGGGAAATATTCTGCCAGACGCCTTGAAAGAGTTAATTAAAATAATTGATCGTGAGGCTAAGTTGAGTGCAACTGTCTTTATGAAGCCACTGTGGTCTCTTATTAGTTCCCTCATAGTCTGAGAACCAACACTGACATTGATTTTTTGTTAGTTTTGATTATTTTTTTCATTCATTTATCCAAAATTAACACAACTAGACTGCTTCAGAAAATAAAAATGTTTAGATTTTGAAGGAAAAAGTGAAATCCTTAATCACTGTGACATTGATACACATTCCGTCTTTGCACTAGATTTCCTCAGTAATACAAAATGAAACACTTTTGGCTCTGTGACTCCTGGAGAGTTAGGCAGCTAAATTTGGTCACCATCTGAGCCAACAGATGAAGTAGTGGAGGACAAAATGAAAGTTTCAAATAAGGCATTCTACGAGGTAACGCGCTCGTTGACTACTGAGAAACATAAATAGCATTGACCCATTTGGCTAACTACACAAGGAAAGAAGGCTGTCATCTGAGGAAGAACCAATGAAGCTGATGCACATTGTCTAAGACTTTTATACTCAAAACAATAAAAAGGCTTGAATATCAATCAGCTTTATCTTCACTGTTAGTCTGCACCAAGGAGTCACACCCTCTGCCTTCCTGATATTTGGGACTAAATAATTCTTTGTTGAGGGGGCTGTCCTGTGTGTTGTAAAATGTTTAGCAGAACCCCTGGCCTCCACCCATTAGGCGCCCACCCGAGACCCAGTTGGGACCAAGAAAAATGTCTCCAGACATTTCCAAATGTCTCCTGGGGAACAAAATCACCTTGGTGTGAACCACTGATTTCTACCACTAATTTCTGTAATTTTAACTTCTGCGATAAAAATTCTAAAAATTAAAGGAATTCCTTAAGATATGCTTAGCTTAAACATATATTTAAATATTTGAAAGCCACTCAAGAACTATGTCAAGATCAACGATGCAGTAGCAGGGCTAAGCATTCCTATTTCATGTGTAATGAAACAACTTCCATAATGAGCGGGTGCAAATTGGTATCAGTGGTAAGTGAAGTCTGAAACTGTTAAGATTCAAAGCACGATTAGTTTCAGCATCCTAAATGTCATGCTTCTAAAGCACTAAAACAAGCTTTTATATGCAAAACAGACTCTGATACCATCCAAAAAGTTGGAAAAGGCCGTTGTTCTCCTCCTTTTACATGAAATCCCTTGTAATTCAAATGTATGGATTTCAGAACTCATTCTGTTTTCCCGAACTTAACCTCTGTGAACATCAATCCTTCTGTGCCAGGAGTATATTTCTTTACCCATTTCTACTCCATTCCCCAAATCAGTGGAACCAGTGATTTCACTCCTTATGAATTCACTCTTTCCCGGTTATTTCCCAGTTAGGTGGTGTGTAAACTAAGACTAAGTCCCAAAGCCACAGATGGTGGCCAAAAGAAATAAAACTTCATCAGGTGCGGTGGCACCCCCCTGTAATCCCAGCACTTTGGGAGGCCAAAGCAGGTGGATCACCTGAGGTCAGAAGTTCCTGGACAACATGGTGAAATCCTGTCTCTATTAAAAGTACAATAATCAGCCAGGCATGGTGGCGGGCACCTGTAATCCCAGCTACTTGGGAGGCTGAGTGAGGTAGGAGAATGGCTTGAATCTGGGAGGCAGAGGTTGCAGTGAGCTGAGATCGTGCTAACGCACTCCAGCCTGGGTGACAGACCAAAGACTCAGTCTCAAAAACAAAACAAAATGAAGCAAAACAAAATAACAACAACAAAAAAAAAACTCATGAAAAGGAGAACAGGAAAGAGGGAATAAGAAACCTTGGTAGAAACTCCAGGATGAGGGGCAGGAAACGGGACCCTTGGGAATGAAAGCATAGAACTACCAAGGCCTCCTCTTGAAAAAGAAAAAAAGAAAAGAAAAATACTCATTAGAACACTTTTTCTTATTGTATAGGCAATGCATACCCATGGAAGGATCTCTGGTGGCTAAAAAAAGAAATGTAAAAAGAAGATACAATTATTTCACCTTTCTGCATAGTATTACCATCCTTGTGATATACATTGTTTGGGTTTGCATATTTTTGACTTTTATATACACAGAATTCACTGGATTTTTTTTTGTGATTTGGTATTTTCAGTCAACATGAAATTTTAAGACTCATCTGTATTGGTGCTTGTAAAAAATTATTTTCACTGCTGTTTAATATTCTACTCTAAGAATATACCACATTTATTTATTTATTCTACCCTTGATTTTGGTTGTTTCTAGCATTACCTATTACAGATAAGGCTTCCACAACTATTATTATGTGTCCATTGAAGCATATGTTCAAGAGATATTCTTAGGGTGAAAATGCTGGATTTTAAGTGATGTGCTTCTCCAAATGACTATACGATGCCAAAACATTTCTTAAATTGTTTTTACCATTTAATTCCTACCAGATCACCATTCTTATCAACACTTGAAATTGATAATCATTTTTTTATCCATCTGATGGTATGTCATATGGTTTGCCTGTGTCCCCACACAAGTCTCACCTTGAATTGTGCTAATCCCCACGCGTGAAGGGCAGGCCCAGGTGGAGATAATTGAATCATGGAGGTGGTTCCCCCATACTGTTCTTGTGGTAGTGAATAAGTTTGGCAAGATCTGATGGTTTTATAAGTGGGAGTTCCCCTGCACAAGCTCTCTTGCCTGCCGCCATGTAAGACTTTGCTCCTCATTCACCTTCTACCATGATTGTGAGGCCTCCCCAGCCATGCTGAACTGTGAAACAATTAAACCTCTTTCCTTTATAAATTACCCAATCTTGGGTATGTCTTTATTAGCAGTGTGAGAACAGACTACTACAGTATGAAAAGGTAGCTCATTGTGGTTTTAATTTGCATTTCCATGATTACTAAATAAGTTGAAATATCATATTTGAATGAATATTTATGTTTCCCCTTTGGTCAAAATTTTAGCTGTTTTAGATTTCATTATTTTTTCTTTTCTTGTTAATTCATGTCTGTTTGTATATGTCCATTCAAAAGATAGGAATTCTTTTTCCAGTTATACATATTTTCATGTGGTGTGTGTGTGTGTGTGTGTGTGTGTGTGTGTGTACCAGTTAGTGCTCTGTCTTCTTAAGGTCCTTTAAAGTTTATATAGGTATTGAAACTCAGCTGTAATTTTAAGATTCCAGGTGAAGAGAGAGGAAGGAGGGGAAACAAAAGGGTCATTCCTGGCTGAGGCAGCGCCCTTTAAGGATCTTTCTCAAAATCCCACAGTGCATTTCCACTCATATCCCATTGCCTAAGGATTACTCTCAGGGCCACAGCCAAACACAGAAAGGCTGGGAGATGGAATCATATAACTCAGCACTACTATTCCTAAAGAAATTCAGGCTCTGTTGCTAAGGAAGAAGGGGAGACTAGATATTGGGTAGCAACTAGTGGCTTCTGCCAAACGGACTGACTTTCCTGATTTTAGCTAATTTTAACAACCGTTGCATAACACTTTTCTTCCTAGTGGTTTTTACTTTCTTTGTTATTTATTTACATCTTATATATAACAAACCTATAAGATACTATTCTGTTTCATTTGTCTGTATGTTTTTTCAATACTGGCATGCTGACTTATTTATTATAATTTATAGTAAGATTTTGCTTGGGGAGCAGATTAATTCAATATCATTATTTCCTTCCTTCAGTTTTTCTAGGTTATTTTCACTTATTATTTCTTTTTCTATATAATGCAAGATCATTTTAATAAATTACAAAGAAAATCTTGGCTTTTATTAAAATGCTTTAAATCCTTATTAAGTCTTCCTATCCAGAAATATGAGCTTCTCCATTTATTTAATTCTTAGAATCACAAATTCATATATGTCTTCTGTATTTCTGATGTAACATTATTTCTACATATTTTATGATTTTCTTGATATTATGAGGAGAGATTTATTTCTTGTATTTTAAATTACTGGTGATACATGTGAAAAATAGATGTGTTTTTTGTTTGTTTTTTAAATTTGGAAAACTTTTTCTTTTAACTTTTATTTTAGGTTTGCGAGTACATGTGAAGGTTTGTTACATAGTTAAACACGTGTCATGGGGATTTGTTGTACATATTATTTCATCATCCAGGTATTAAGCCCAGTATCCAGTAGGTATCTTTTCTGCTCCTCTCCCTCCTCCCATCCTCCACCCTCAAATAGAGCCCAGTGTCTGTTGTTTCCTTCTTTGTTAAACTTGGATAACTTTTTTAAGGACTCAAAAGAATTTTATTGTGTTAGGGTTTCTTGGATTTTGGGATTAACTTTTGGATTAATTTTTTTATATTTATCTATGACTGCACATTATATAATACATGTATATATAATTTGATAATACAAATAATTGCTACTTCAAATAAACTTGTTTTATTAGTTTATATTTTTTCTATTTGGGAACCCTGGATAAGAAGTCTTATATTTCTACTACTCTTTGATTTCCTTCTGTGTTTTATTTATATTTTTCTTTTCTAGAAATGATATTATTCAATAACTTACTTTAGTATTTTCTCTTTTATTGAGTCTTACTTTTTAAAAAAATACTTTAAGTTCTAGGGTACATGTGCACAATGTGCAGGTTTGTTACATAGGTATACATGTGCCATGTTAGTTTGCTGCACCCATTATATCGTCATTTACATTAGGTATTTCTCCTAATGCTATCGCTCCCCCAGGCCCCCGCTCCATGACAGGCCCTGGGGTGTGATATTCCCTGCCCTGTGTCCAAGTGTTCTCATTGTTCAATTCCCACCTATGAGTGAGAGCATGCGGTGTTTGGTTTTCTGTTCTTGTGATAGTTTGCTCAGAATGATGGTTTCCAGCTTCATCCATGTCCCTGCAAAGGACATGAACTCATCCTTTTTTATGGCTGCACAGTATTCCATGGTGTATATGTGCCACATTTTCTTAATCCAGTCTATCATTGTTGGATATTTGGGTTGGTTTCAAGTCTTTGCTATTGTGAATAGTGCTGCAATAAACATGCGTGTACATGTACCTTTAGAGTAGCATGATTTATAATCCTTTGGGTATGTACCCCGTAATGGGATCGCTGGGTCAAGTGGTATCTCTAGTTCTAGATCCTTAAGGAATTGCCACACTGTCTTCCACAGTGGTTGAACTAGTTTACAGTCCCACCAACAGTGTAAAAGTGTTCCTATTTCTCCACATCCTCTCCAGCACCTGTTGTTTCCTGACTTTTTAATGATCGCCATTCTAACTGGGTGAGATGGTATCTCATTGTGGTTTTGATTTGCATTTCTCTGATGAGCAGTGATAATGAGCATTTTTTCATGTGTCTGTTGGCTGCATAAATGTCTTCTTTTGAGAAGTGTCTGTTCATATCCTTTGCCCACTTTTTGATGGGGTTGTTTGTTTTTTTCTTGTAAATTTAAGTTCTTTGTAGATTCTGGATATTAGCCCTTTGTCAGATGAGTACATTGCAAAAATTTTCTCCCATTCTGTAGGTTGCCTGTTCACTCTGATGGTAGTTTCTTTTGCTGTGCAGATGCCCTTTAGTTTAATTAGATCTCATTTGTCTATTTTGGCTTTTGTTGCCATTGCTTTTGGTGTGTTAGTCATGAAGTCCTTGCCCATGCCTATGTCCTGAATGGTATTGCCTAGGTTTTCTTCTAGGGTTTTTATGGTTTTAGGTCAAACATTTAAGTCTCTAATCCATCTTGAATTAATTTTTGTATAAGATGTAAGGAAGGGATCCAGTTTCGGCTTTCTACATATGGCTAGCCAGTTTTCCCAGCACCATTTATTAAATAGGGAATTCTTTCCCCATTTCTTGTCTTTTTCAGGTTTGTCAAAGATCAGATGGTTGTAGATGTGTGATGTTATTTCTGTGGGCTCTGTTCTGTTCCATTGGTCTATATCTCTGTTTTGGTACCAGTACCATGCTATTTTGGTTACTGTAGCCTTGTAGTATAGCTTGAAGTCAGGTAGCCTGATGCCTCCAGCTTTGTTCTTTTTACTTAGGATTGTCTGGGCAATGAGGGCTCTTTTTTGGTTCCATATGAACTTTAAAGTAATTTTTTCCAATTCTGTGAAGAAAGTCATTGGTAGTTTAATGAGGATGGCATTGAATCTATAAATTACCTTGGGCAATATGGCCATTTTCATGATATTGATTCTTCCTATCCATGAGCATGGAATGTTCTTCCATTTGTTTGTGTCCTCCTCTATTTCATTGAGCAGTGGTTTGTAGTTCTCCTTGAAGAGGTCCTTCACATACCTTGTAAATTGGATTCCTAGGTATTTTATTCTCTTTGTAGCAACTGTGAATGGGAGTTCACTCATGATTTGGCTCTCTGTTTGTTAATGGTGTATAGGAATTTTTGCAATTTTTGCACATTGATTTTGTATCCTGAGACTTTGCTGAAGTTGCTTATCAGCTTAAGGAGATTTTGGGCTGAGATGATAAAAATTAGATGTATTTTTATACATTTGTTCATACCCATTCACTTTACTTTCTCTCCCAGGCATTCTGAAAGAGTGTCCATGATTTATTTTGGGTAATTTGTATATCCCACAAGTAATTATAACTTTTTCCTCTTTCTTGAAGGATAGTTAAGTTTTATGAATTAATGCATTAGCCACTTCTTGCAGAATACTGTAAATTAATCATTATGATAGGGTGGTCATTACTCTAGGACCTGATTTTAGTAAGCATGGCTCTAGTTTGCGCTGTTAAATACGCTGCTGCCTGTTGCTTTGAGGAAAACTTTATGTTTTTGAGAAGTATGCTTCCATTCCTCTTTCTTTTTAAAAAAGAAATGTTTTTTAATTTAATTGCATGCCTTTTCCTATATACAGATAAATATTTCTGATATGACTTATTAAACATGTTATATTATTTTAAACTCTGATGATGTTTTTGGTTGTAGTGAATTATTTTACTACCTGTTAAAAATATAGTTTTCTAGTAGTTTGGTGGGACTTTTGTCGAAATTTTTGAGCTATCAGTTAACTTCAGTCGATAGTTATATTTGTGTGTGTGAGAAGGAAAGAAGGAATGGGCACAGGGAAGAAAAGATAGACAATCAGAGGAAGATGTTTCAGGATTCATTAACAGAATTGTTCTGACTTAATAAAATAAATTGGGTTAATCTAAATTGGTCTGCATTTTTCTATGTTCTTAGATTCTTTATGAAAAATAGGAAGTACATCCCTGAGGATTTGAAAAAATTCACCTAAAAATAATTAGTTCCCAAACTGTTCTGGGAGGTTTGATAATGTTTTGAGAGTGTCTAAGATAATTGAATTATTTGGGATTTCTACTTTTTCTAATGTCAGTTTTGACAATACACATTTTCCAGCAGCACATTTTAGTCCAGGCCCCAATCCCCCTCCTTTTTCTCCCTGTAGTTTACTTCTCTTTTTATTGCTTCCTACAGTTGTCCTCTTCTCTTGGTCAACTGCATACAGAAAGTCTATCTTAATTTTCTCCTATCCTCCTGACCCTGTGGTTTCTCAATAGCTTTTACAGCTTTTAAAATGAAAGTAACAATGGAAGTAAGAAACTGGAAGTAAACTATCTTTGCTTGACATTCTCATTTCTTTTTTATCCTTACCTCTGTCTTTTTCTACTCTATTGGTAAGAAAAATATCATCAAAGTTTCAAGCTGAATCTAAACTTTTGGTGGTATCCAAGACTAAGGTTAGAATTGATCTGTGTATCATGGGACAAACAGATTTACTTGAGATCCTGGGTTTTTCATTATAGATATTGGGCTGTGTTCCATACTCAACACACACACACACACACAATTCAGATTTCAAATTTTAATCTAACCTTTTGTAGTCATAACTGATTCATGCACTGCTCTGCCCATTTGCTCTTCCTTCTTTCTCCAAGGAATAACTGTATACCTCAGAACTAGTTTGAAAAGCTAAGAAAAGGAGTATAGTGAAGAAGAAAACAGTGGTAAGCTTTGTGGAATATCAGTTGTGTTGAAGAGAGGCAGGGGGCATAAAACTGGGAAAGGAGGAGAATAAAAATTCCTATTGCCTCCAGGTCTTCCAAAAGTGGCAGCTATTTGGGGACTCTTTTTTAAAATATATGGGAAATAGGTAGAGGTGTAACAATACCAATGCATCAGAGTCACTTGTGGAAATATATATAAATACATACATATATGTCTCTCTAGCTAGCTAGATTGATATAGCTACAGGTAGGTCTATATAGCTGTATAGAGATCTATGTATTCTGAGTCCAGTGATCTGGTGTGTAGCTCTGGAGTCTATATATCTGAAAGTGCCCGACAGGGGCAACTAATGAGAACTGCTACAGAATAAGCATTCTGGGATAGAATCCAAGCCCTACTCTTTCTTTTAACCTTAGAATGTTTAAAATGTTATTTTTTTACCCACTTAAAATTTAAAATTCAGTGGTTTCAAGTATATTTACAGAGTTGAACAATTATCACCACAATCAATTTTAGATCATTTCCATTGCCCCAAAAAGAAACCCCATATCTCTTAGTCATCACCCTCCAATTTCCCCTCCCTTCCTCCAGGACTAAGCAACCACCAATCTACTTTATCTTTCTATAAATTTGCCTATTCTGCACTTTTTAAATAAGTTGAATCATACATTATGGTGTATTTTGTGACTAATTTCTTTCATGTCACATGTTTTCAGGGTTCATCCATGTTGTAGCATGCATCAATACTTCATATTTTTTATTGCTAAATAATATTTCATGTGTGTGTTTATATATAACATTTTCTTTATACATTCATTCATCAGTTGATGGACATTTGACTTTTTCCCATTTGACTCTTATAAATAAAGCTGCTATGAATATTCATGCACAAATGTTTATGTGGACATGTGTTTTTACTTCTCTTGGATGTATATCTGGGAGTGGAATTGCCAGATTGTATGACAACTCTGTGTTTGACCTTTTAAGGAACTATCAGACTCTTCTCCACAGTAGCTGCATCACTGAAACTCCCACAGCTGTGTATGGGGTTATCTCCAGCTCTTAACATAGTATCTGATGCATAGAACATTCTCAAAAAATATTTGTTGAAGGCCAGAAGGAAAGGAAGGACAGGGGAATCAACATTCATAAGTGAGTGCTGGCTGTGAGAAAGTTGAGTTTAGAGAGAATCCTGATCATGGCTTCCCCAGCATGGGATAGGGGACAGGCCACAGCACTGACTCCAGGAATGACATAATGGCTTTGTGCATGCCATCCTGCTCTGATTCAAATTGTACTTTTTCTCTTTAATCTTCAGCTCTCTGCCTTTGTTTCTTGGGCTCATACCTGATATAGGTAAGCAGGAATGTTCAGGCCTCTTGGGATTCTTGTCATCCCAATAATTCCCAACACAGAAAGTCTCTCTCTCTCTCTTTCTCTCTCTCTCTCCGCGCCCCCCCAACCCGCTCCCATCACACACATACATACACATACTGTGATTGTATTAGTCCATTTTTGTATTGCTACAGAGTAATACTTGAGGTAAGATAATTTATAAAGAAAAGAGGTCTGTTGGGCTTATGATTCTGCAGGCTGTACAAGCATGGCCTCAGCCTCTGCACTGAGGCCTCAGAAAGCTTTCACTCATGGCAGAAAGTGAAGGGTAGCTGGCATCACATGATGAGAGAGAAAGGAAGAGAGAAAGCAGGAGGTGTCAGGCTGTCTTTAACAATGAGATCGCTCAGAAAACTCACTCATCACCATAAGGACAACACAAAACCATTCATGACAGATCCACCCCCATGACCCAAACACCTCCCACTAGGCCCCACCTCCAACATCAGGGATCCCATTTCAGCATGAGATTTGGAGGAAACAAATAACCAAACTGTATCGGTAATAAAAGTTGTTGAGCTCATGAAGATGTAAGAATGCAGCGAGAAGCGAACATGGGAGCAACCTGGCCCTGTCTGGGTGCTCTGCTTCCTCTGAGGCCCATTCCAGGGTGGGTAGCTGACATCTCTCCCTCCCCTGGGTCTAGCCTCGGATAGGGCTGGGAGGCCAGAGACTCACTGATATGGTTTGGCTGTGTCCCTACCCAAATCTCTTTTTGAATTGTAGCCCACAATTCCCACGTGTTGTAGGAGCCACTGGGTGGGAGATAATTGAATCATGGGGGCAGGTCTTTCCCATGCTATTCTTCTGATAGTGAATAGTTCTCATGAGATCTGATGGTTTTATAAAGGGGAGTTTCCCTGCACAAACTCCCTTCTCTTGTCTGCCACCATGTAAGACGTGCCTTTCACCTTCCACCATGATTGTGAGGCCTCCTCAGCCATGTGGAACTGTGGGTCCGTTAAACCTCTTTCTTTTGTAAATTGCCCAATCTTGGGTATGTCTTTATCAGCAGCATGAAAACAGACTAATATACTTGCTTATATCTTATTAGGAGAAAACTGGATGCCAGGAAAACAGCTACCAGCAGCTTTATGTTTTATCACACAAATTCTTACACCCCCAGCAAAGGAGAGTGCGTCTATATGACAGCCCCTAATTACATCAGATCATAAGTTATTGTGACAGTGGAGAGTGGGCCTGACCTATTCAGCCAAAAACGATGAGGACCAACCCTGAGGTGGTGATGTGCCAGCTCCTCTGGGATGGGATGTCACTGGCAATGCAGATTTGAATTCCCACTTCTGAATTGTTTTTATTCACAGTACTTTTGACACCAAAGGTGTGAAGTTTTTCCTCACACCAATCAATTCTCCAACTCTCTGGACACCAACTAGGTGTCCTACAACTCAGTTCAACTCTGATACTAACTACCTGGAGTTAGCACAGGCCCCACAGGTAAAGGGCTTGGTCCCATGAGACTGCCTACTCCCTAACCCCCGACCATGCTTCAGATGCCGATTCCAAGTCTAAGCCACCCATGCTCCTGACCAACCAGCTACAAAGTCAGAGGCTGCTCACAACTCCCTCCTCAGGCTTCAAATTTTGCTAGAGTGGCTCACAAAACCCAGGGAAACACTTTACTCACATTTACCTGTTTATTATAAAGGATACAACTCAGGAACAGCCAAATGGAAGTGCCACCTAGAGCCAGAGATGAGGGAGGGGTGCAGAGCTTCCATGACCTCTCAGGGCATGGCACCCTCCCAGCACCTCCGTGTGTTCACCAACCTGGATGCTCTCTGGACTCTGTTGTTTAGGGTTTTTACAGAGGTTCCATTACATGGCTTGACTGACTAAATCATTGCCCATGAGCGATTAACTCAATCCCCCACCCATCTCCGTTCCCTGGAGCTCAGGAGGTGGGGCTGAAAGTGCCAACCTGCAAAGACTGTTGTTGGCTCCTCTGGCAACCAGGCCCCATCCTGAAGCCATTTAGGGACCCCAGCCACCAGCCATCTCATTAACATATTAAACTCAGATAAAGGGGCTTATTGTAAATAACAAAAATAGTTCTTCTCACCTCTATCTCTCAGAAAATTAAAAGAGTTTCAGGAGCTCTGTGCCAGGAACTGGGGACAAGGACCTATTACATATATATACATATATATATATATATATATATATATATATTTTTTTTTTTTTTTTTTTTTTTTTTTTTTTACTGTATCTCAGCCACCCTTGCTGGAACTCCAGGCTCATCTCTCTCCATGACCTTCCCAATATTCCACTGTCCAGCATTACCCAGTGGTTTCCAGTTTCTGCTGCCCCTGCCTGCAACCCTGTCTCCATCACCAGCATCTGATGGGTCTGCCTCAGCTCCCAGCTTAGACCCTTCACTTCCTCCTGAGGTCTCTTCCAGTTCCCAAGGTCTGGCCTAAAATCTGCTCTTGGGTGCCATGCATCAGGCTCTATTTCACTTGGTTGAGCTGCATTGCATTTGCTGGTTTATCTGCCTTCCTTCCTAGATGGAAAGTTCCATGGTGGGCGGGAACCTGACGGTGGTTGTTCATCGTTATATCCTCAGTGCCTAGCAGAGTGCATACCACCTGGTAGGAATTCAGTAACTATTTGTTGAATGACTGAACGATGTTCTTTTCCAGTTAAAACAGAATGAGGGCATCAAATCTATTGGAAAGACCAGCAAGTGCCCTCACAGAACCCAGAGGAGAAAATAGCAGACCCCTGTGTCATGAGTGTCACATTCAGACCTCCATAAATAAACACTCCTTCACATCTGGGACTAATTAGACCAAAGAGAAGTTTTCTGTTTTCATAAATGAAAAACTGTCCAAATGGTTTATTGCCATAAATAGGCTAAATTAAATCTTAATCCTTGTATTAGTTTGTTTTCACATGGCTATAAAGAACTGCCCAAGGCTGTATAATTTACAAAGGAAAGAGGTTTAATTGACTCACAGTTATGTGTGGCAGGGAGGCCTCAGGAAACTTACCATCATGGTGGAAGGTGAAGGGGAAGTAAGCACCTTCTTCACATGGCGGCAGGAAAGAGAGAGCGGTGAGTGAAGTGGGAAGAACCCTTCATAAAACCATCAGAGCTCATGAGAACTCACTCACCATCATGAGAACAGCATGGGGGAAACTGCCTCCATGATCCGATCACCTCCCACCAGGCCCATCCCTGGACTTGTGGGGATTACAGGTTCGAGATGAGATTTGGATGGGGACACAGAGCCAAACCGAATCACCCCTGGAGTGCCACAGATAGGTCACATGTGTGGTGTTGGTCCCTTCAGTTCCTAGGGTGGTGCCGGAGGAGAAGAGGGGAGAAGCCTGGATTCAGACCTCTATAAATGAAGGAGCCTTTATCTATAGAGGTCAGAATGTGACACTCATGACACAGGGGTCTGCTACTTTCTCCTCTGGGTCCGGTGATGGCACTTGCTGGTGTTTCCAATAGATTCGATGCTCTCAGTCTGCTTTTAACTGGAAAAGAACATGATTCATTCATTCAACAAATACTTACTGAATTCCTTATTGAAGAAAGGAGATGCCTGGGGTAGCTGGACCCCCATGCCAAGGCCACTGGCCACGTACAGCCTCGTCTATGTGCCCCAGCATGTCCTGTGAATGTTAGCGTGGGGCATCTGGGGTGAGTTTGCACAAGCTTGAGAACACTGATGGCCACCATGTCAGCAAATACTCTGTGTTGTTATTATTTCTTACTATTTTTAGCCATTAGTACTTCTTAAATAGATATTTCTTTAGGCGGGAAGTCAAGGAAAGCACTGTATTTTCAGGCTCTGCAGAACCTAGCAGTGGTCCTGTCTCTCTGGAGACTGGGGTCTTTTCCGATTTTTAAAACAGGAGAGAAAGGGAGCACATAGTAGTAGTAGTAGTATGACTCTCAGACAATTTAACAGGAAATTTAGTGGTAGAATTTGTAGTGGTAATTGTGGTAAGAATAGTAATTAGTAGTAGAAGTAGAAGTGGTAGTAGTAGTAACTATCTTTCCAAGGCAAAAAAATAGGTAGGATTAAATATCTGTATTAGGGTTCTCTAGAGGGACAGAACTAATAGGATAGCTGTATATATAAAGGGGAATTTATCAGGGAGTATTGACTCACACCGTCACAAGGTGAGGTCCCACAGTAGGCCATCTGCAAGCTGAGGAGCAAGGAAGCCAGTTTCAGCCCCAAAGCTGAAGAACTTGGAGTTCGATGTTCGAGGGCAAGAAGTATCCAGCACGAGAGAAAGATGTAGGCCAGAAAACTAAGCCAGTCTAGTCTTCCCACGTTCTTCTGCCAGCTTATATTCTAGCCTTGCTGGAAGCTGATTAGATGGTGCCCACCTAGGTTGAGGATGGGTCTGCCTTTCCCAGTCCAGTGACTCAAATGTTAATCTCCTTTGGCAACGCCCTCACAGACACACTCGGGAACACTACTTTGCATCCTTCAGTCAAGTTAACACTCAATATTAACTATCATAATATCTAATCTTATATTTTCCATATGTGGGCCCCCAAGAGGTTAGAGGCCAAAGCTTGAAGCAACCAGGTACAAACAAGAAATTTTGTTTAAAATGTAAAGGAAATGTTAAAAAAATTAAACAACATTTTAGAATATTGTGTTTCATCCTAAAAACCCATGCAAAATTTACTTGCTACTTCATAATATTTCTGTGTCATCTCTCCCTTCCTCACCCCCCAAAAGCTGTGAGTTATAAATGTGCTCCTGGGGCCAGGTGCAGTGGCTCACGCCTGTAATCCCAGCACTTTGGGATGCCAAGGCAGGTGGATCACCTGAGGTCAGGGGTTCGAGACCAGCTTGGCCAACATGGTGAAACCCCATCTCTACTAAAAATACAAAAACTAGCTGGGCATGGTGGCGGGCGCCTGTAATTCCAGCTACTTGGGAGACTGAGGCGGGAGGATCGCTTGAACCTGGGAGGCAGAGGTTGCAGTGAGCTTAGCTTGTGCCATTGCACTCCAGTCTGGGTGACAAGAGGGAAACTCTGTATCAGAAAAAAAAAAAAAAAAAAAGTGCTCCTGGAACATGGGCCAAGTTCATCCTGGGACTTCGTGACAATCCCTCCTGTCCTCTCCTGCCCAAGCCCTCGGGGGCTGCACATTCCTCAGCTGAAGAAGAAACACTGCCTGTTGGCCCAACTTGATTCTTACATAGTTTCTTCTCTGGATGGTATGATATAAAAGTCAAACCACAGAGGTTCTAAGTTAACAGAGAAAATGGTGAAGGGGACCAAAAATAAAGAGAAATGATTATTATTGTTATTATTTTGAAGTGAATAGGAATAGGAGTTTTCTCTGGGCTAGCATGACAGCATTCGGGGGATGGAGCTGGCCTCCTGGTATCTTGCTGCAATATCAGAATGGTGGGGAACCCTTGCCCTGACAGCATCGCAGACTGTCAGTGATCCATCACTGTTTATCATACTCACATTAAATTATGCTTGGCGTGTACTATAAGTCTGGAAACCCTGCCAGATTCGGTCTCTGGCTGCAACGTGGCTGCCTCTGACTAAGGAGGCTTGATGGGTATTTTATCATCTTTTTAGAGATGGACGTCGCTTGGGCCTTCTTAGGTAATGCGAGGTATGGTGTTTCCATGAGACCAGAGTAGCTCTCAAGGTGTGATATTTTTCTAGGGGAAGAGCTCTGGGAAAGGGGCTCATGTATTTTTGGCCCTAGACCTGACTTTTTTTAGCTGGCGAATGTGATAAACAGGCTGAATCCTAACTTTCTGTTGGCTGCCCTGATTCTGCGCTGACTCAGCTTTCTTTGTGGCTTCCTGCCAATGCATGTAAGGTACCATCCAAAGTCTGGGAGAAGATGCTCAGTCATCTTTTTATTGTTTCTAGAGAAATGTCCTTAGTGAACAAATAGCCCTGATTGACAGCCATAAAATAAGAGAATTATATCATATAATGTCTACGGTGCTTTCCAGTGTGTGCATTTTTAAACTTTGAAATTTCCAGTTAAATTGAGAGGGAGAGATGCTTCATAGCCCCACAAGAGGTGGAGAGGGGGAACCTTAAAGTATTTCCTGAGCTGAAGTTTCCAATGAAGCAGAAGCATGTTGTAAGTCAGTATCCAGACTAGACAAGACTAAAGTGTCCACTCTCTTTATATCAGAGAGGAATCAAACTAAAACTTTTTGAGGGAAGGTTCAGATTGAGAGTTAGTCTGCTTAATAAGGGATAAATGACCCCACCAGCTCATTAAGTGGAACCTCAGGGACTCACCCTGGAGAATGTACAAATGTGCATCTCTCTCTCCTGGACCCTGATGAGCATAGGATAAACATGCTTAATTTGTAATATTCCTTTCTCTGCAACATAAATGACGTATCTTGGGCAGGCAAGGCTGACCCTTTGATATATTTCACCCATGGTAGGATCTTTAAAACATGAAAGTTTGTTCAGAGACCACAGCTCTAAGCCTGTAGATCATTTTGGAGAGGATGGAAGCCAGGTAGCCTTTGGCAGGGCCCCTGGCATGCTTGGTGCTGTCTTGCTTGATGAGAAATGTGTGGTTCCACCGCCGGGGGTGGGCGGGGGGATTATCCAACAATTTATTTCTACACAACAACGGCACATGAAAAAAAAAAAAAAAGGCTTGGCTCAGAATGTGAGAGCTGAAATGAACCTTCAGGGTCACCTCCATCAACCCCTCTCTCCGCAAACAAAGAACACCAGGACCCCACACGGCTAAGTGGGTGGGTCCCGCTCCCATAGCTAATTAACGGCAGACTCAGGTATAGAAACCTGGTATCTGTAATCAAAATGGCCCTAATTCAAAACCTGGTCGGGCCACTCAGTAAGCCATGTTCCCCTCGGTAATTTATCCAGTCCCCCCTGAGCCTCACTTTGCTCCGCCACAAAACAAGAATGACCCTCCTTGCTTTTTAGGGCTCCTCTGCAGATTAAATTCATTAGCACCTCGAACGTTGGAAAGACACAATATTTTCTTGCCCTCCCCTCCTCTTATCAGCTTGAATCGATGCGTCATGAACTCAGTGATTTCCTCTTCGCAAGCCTGCTCTGGATGCAGTCTGGTGTTACATAACCGGCTGGCTGAGGACGCAGGTCCCCTGGGCGCTGCCGGCGCGCTGTGACCAGACACGCGGGCGCGGGTGGGGGGTTCCGTCCAGCAGAGGGCGGCAAAGGACGCCCGGCGCGGTCCCACGGCCCTGCGGGCGAGCAGCAAGCTACTGCGTTCCCTTCGGGAAGGCCTAATGAGCTCTTCCTGCACCGTGTTCTTTTCGGTAGAAGCATTTTTCCTGCCTCACTTAAGTGAGTACACAGTGTTTTGGCAACTGCCATGTGTCCATATTTTTTTTTAGTTTTTGCTTTGTTTGGTTCTGGTTTACTTGAGGGGCGCTCATGACATTTGCTAAGCATTTCCACGCTTATGGTCTTCTCGCAGTTTGATGTCTCCAGTGCCCCAAAAGGAGTCATTTTTATTCCCAATTTACAGATGATGACGGCGATATTCAGATAAGTTTAGTGACGTGGCAGAAGCAGATGCCCTTTCTAAACCAAGGAAGGGGCTGGGATGAGGAAGGGGAGGTATTTAATTTGACCGTTTCTGCCTCCTTCTGTCAGACATATTCGACAGGATTTATTCGGTGCTTGAGGTAAGTCAGGTACTTTTGTAAGTGCCTGGGAACATGAAATAAAAAGGAGGTGGCAAGTCTTCAATTTAATTCGAAAGACTGCATAATTTTTTTGACCTCTGAAAGTGGTTTGGGAGGAGGTAGAGGCTGGGTTTCCTGCAGTGTAGACAGGGTCTGTTACACCCGCTCCCTCCCAGAACTGCTGGATCCCAATCTGCAGTTTCACAAGCCCCCAGGTGACTTATCCACACACTTTAAAGTGTGAGATGCGCAGCCCTGGAGGGCACCCAGGAGCTCCATTCAAATATTTGGAAGGCCAATATTTGAAAGAGTAAGTGTATTTGTTTTGTTTTGCTCTAAAAGATAGGTTTAAGTTTAATTAACATAAGCCACAAGAAAACGAGATTTCCAAATCCTGTAATGAACAGGGGATTTGGAGTCGGGCCTTCTCCTAAACCTTACTAGCTTGTTACTAGTTGCCAGGTGAGTTGAAGCTGGAGGGACTTGGCGAAACTTCTTCTCTCTGATTCTTATGACTCCTAAGATGGGAATGTTGTTCTCTAGCCCCCACTGGGTGACTGCTGTTGGCTTTTCCCCATCGAATAAGATAGGAAATTTGAAAGTTGTAATTATTAACTGCCCGGGTCAGAGATAGAGCGCTCTGCTCTGTGAGGTAGTAAGTGGCTCTTCACACATTGAGGGACAGTGCAAATGGAGGTGGGGATGTATATTTGGGGCTCTTATGAAATTCAGTATGGTTGGGGCATGTAGTGGGGATGGAGGTGGAGGTGAAGAATGCGAGAGCTGATGGCACAATTAGGACTAGAACCCAGAAGTTCACTCATTTCATAGTTATTGTGTTAGAAGTAAGAGCAGTCCCCACAATGCCCCACCCTTAGTTTGGCTCCCCCGCTCCCCCCGCCTTACAGACAGGGTCTTGCTCTGATGTCCTGGCTGGAGTGCAGTGGTGCCATCATAGTTCACTGTAGCCTTGAAACCCCCCTGGGCTCAAGGTGTGAGCCACTACACCTGGCCTGACGCCTTAAAACTAATGCTAGATGACATCTGCTTAGTTGGGAGCATCACAGACCACATACCAGGGGTGTCCAATCTTTTGGCTTCCCTGGGCCACACTGGAAGAGGAAGAATTGTTTTGAACTACACATAAAATACACTAACACTAACAATAGCTGACATGTTAAAAAAATAAAACAAACTCATAATGTTTTAAGAAAGTTTAAGTATTTGTGTTGGGCTGCATTCAAAGCTGTCCTGGGCCACATGCCACCCATGGGCTGCAGGTTGGAAAAGCTTGACCTGGATTCTTCTAGCTAATTGTGAGTATAGGAGAAGGCCGTCTGTTTACTGCTTCTGGAGCCCTCTGCGTAAGTGCAATTAGGAACGAGTGGAAACAATGAGGAGGGGAGCATAAGAATAGCTTGGTTGTGACCACTGGAACCCAAAGCAGCACTTGTCTTGTCAGCGCTGTGTTATCAATCAGGAAGGCAGCCGTGGCTTCTCCCGGGAGGCAGGCACCAAGATGAGGAAGCCTGAAGTTCTGGGCCCTGCAGAGTCCTTTCAGTGCAGGGGGGCAGAGAGAAGGAGCGTGAGGAGACCCACATGGGAGGCATGCAGGAGGCCCTCTGTGTATGTCTATGGAATGGGCCCCTCAAGGAGCCGCTAAGCAGCGGGAAACTCCACCCACTGGCTTATTCTCACCCCTGGGCTCCTCCATCCCCTCACCCTTCATAGAGCCCAAAACAAAGACAAAACTTGTGCCAGCTTCAGAAAGGTCAGTTCTGATTTAGACCTTTGGTCTGACTTGAATGGCATCTCTTAAATACTGAGTTAATTAAAGAAAGGGCACAATCTACAGAAACCCATTCTATCAAGTTCTGCCTCAGAGAACGCCCGTTAGCCTGACATAGGATGTTTCCTTAGTGTTGTCGTTGCCTGTTGTTGGGCCCTCCAGACAAGCTCAGCGCCGTAGTCGCTCCATGTTCGAGCTCTGTTTTGTAAGCCATCTAGCATTTTGCTTCCAAGGGTGGAAGGCTGGAGTGGCAGAGGAGCTGAGAAATGTAATATCAGCCAGTGAGGAATGCAGACTGGAACCTGAACCGTCTTTGGTTTACATAGTCTTGGTTGAAATGATGTGGTCATTTATCTCGATGGATGTTTATCCTACTCAAGACAGTTTCTTCCTAAACCAGGGCAAGACTTTCCCCCTCCCCTCCTTTCTCCACTTCTCTTCTTCCATCCCCTCAGCATTGAATCCTTCCAGTGCCCAGGAATTCCTCCAGATCCTATACGTTCCAGAAACAGGCAACCTCCTGCTCATTCAAGGAATGCTGGAATTTAATACTGTCTGTGCCACCTTTTTTTTTGCCCTGAATGACTGAATGAGTGAATGAATGAATGAATCACATAGAAAACACCTTGTCGTTTCAACTTAATTCTGAAAATACATTCAAATGTATTTTTGTGCTTTTTGCTGAGTTTCTACCTGAAACAGATGCCCATCCTTTTCACACCATTGGCAGTTTCGTGTGATTTTATTTTTTCCCTTCCTCAGATTTCCTGGTTACTTTTTTTTTCAAAGCATGAAGCTGTAAAAAGAGTGTGGGATTTGGAACTGGGCTGCCTGCATATTAGTCCCAGACTTGCCCCCGACTCGCTGACAAACCCTGAGCACGCCACTCACCCTGTGAGCCTCAGTTTCCCCACCAGTGAACAGAGACCCAGCCAAGCTCCCGTGAGTTCTGTGAGGATGTACAAAAAAGAGCTTTGAAAAGGTGACATGCAGATGACTCTCTTTCTTTTCTTTTCTTTTCTCTTTCTTTCTTTCTCTCTCTCTCCCTCCCCACCTCCCTCCCTTCCTCCCTCTCTCTCTCTTTCTCGCTCTTTCTTTCTCTTTCTCTCTCTTTCTTTCTTTCTCTTTCTTTCTCCTTTCTTTCTTTTCCTCTACTGTGTCATCTCCATTTGCTTTCTCTAATGTTCTTCTCTTTTCTCTCCTGAAAACTGGCATTTTAAAAACTGTTGCTGTTGCAATGAGTACTTGCCTTTTAAAAATCTTCAAGTTGCTAAGCAGCGTCAGCCCCCCCTTCCCCTTTTGTGCAGCCTGGTTGCCATAGTATCATCTGAGCATGGTAACAAGAGGCAAAGAGCAATCATTTTTCACTAAATAGGGCTGGGCAGACAGATAAACATGCTGCAGTGTTTCCTTACAACCTGTCTCGAGGAAGGGGGGATGCTGCTCTGTAGTACACAACTCTGTTGCTTTCATCAGCCGCTACCTTGGTTTCCTGTTGGCTGAGAGCGGCTCTCCTCACCTGTAGCTCCTGGCATGTCATCCCACCCCTGGCACAGCACTTCCTAAAAAAGGCTTTTGAAGGGATGCTGCTGCTACTCCCTTATTTGTAGCTATTTAGGGCTAAATGCAGACTCAGATCCTTCTCAGATAGTTGCTAAACATAGAACATTGAGTGTGAATCAGTACTGTGACTAAAGTTTCTTGTGTCGTAGCAGGTTTGGAGAAGATAATTAATAAACGTCATCGGAGTGACATCAAAGGGTGTTCTTCAAAAAATGGAAGAGGTTAAGAGAGAGATGAAAATAAAGAACCTACTTGAAATCAAACATGTATTTGAGAAATTTAAATCCAGATTCCTGTTCTTCAGCTCACAAGGTCAGATACATGATTAGCAAGGTTATGAACTGAAGCACGGGGCAGAGTGGGAAGTTTTTCCCCTTGGTCCATGTAGGCAGGGAATGTCCACAGGTATGGGTTGACTCATTAAAATACTGAGACATTTCCCTCTGCATTGGTGCTGCTCTAGCGCACAGTGTCCTCTTAGTGCCCGGCCACCCTCACTCCAACCCCAGGACCCTAGGGGGTCCCCACAACCCACTGTCAAAGGGTTAAGGCTGGCACAGCATGGGGTTCTCCAGGAGCCTGCAATACCCCCACCCCAGCCCCTAGATCTGAGGCCAGCAACTGTTCTGGTGGGTCAGGGTCCCTGCCTTACTCCCTTGTTAAGTCTTAGGAATATCGGCTCCTAAAGCTACCCACATGTACGCCTAACCTTTTTCTAAATAAGTCCATTTTTCTTGTGGAAGCAAAATTTACTCTTCCAGATTAAGCCATCAGCGGAGTGTGCCGCCCTCTGCAGACACTCAGCCTTCTTTGGGAAGACATTCCCTTTGAACTTGGGTTGCAGGATTGAGATGAACAAGCACTGTCACCCCTACTCTCATGCTCGACTGCCCCAGGACAATGACACACAATTGCCAGGCAGCTGCTTAAAATGAGGAGCTCACTCCATGGCTTCAGGGGGCTGTGTGTGTCGATCCTCTGAGCTGATTTCCCTACATCTTAAACATGCATGGCTCAGAGGGACCTACAAAGAGGCCTTTTCAGGCAAGGGCAGGGCTATCCCCAGACTCCTTTAAACAACTTCTCCCTTAAAGCGGAACCAAGTTTCCCCTTCCATGAGTTTTCCAGGACCTTTCCTATTCTTGTGTTTAACAGTTTCTGCCCTTCTTCCTTCCTGCTGGAAGCCACGTTAGGGCTAATAAAATGTCTTGTCAGAGGAATCCTGGAACCCAGGAAGGGAGAGAAGAGATTCCGCAATCTGCACTGGCCAGGCAGGAGCCTCCGACATCAGAGACAGACGGCATCCATCCAGCGTCTCTCAGAAGGAACTGCAGCTGCCTCCCTCAGTTACCCCACCCAGGGTCTGCTGAGCCTTGCTCAAGGAAAGTGCTCTGTGATGTCTAAGGAATGCCTCGTGGAAGTCTGATTTGCTTTTGTCTAGACTTGGGAGGAAGCAGAGGTTAGCTGTCAGAGTGCCCTGTATATATGCCCTTCTGAATCCCAGCTTTCTCGACTCACCCACCTTATTCGTCTATTTGGACTCCCTGATCAAATGAGAAAAGTTTCCCTGTCCATGTGAGTGGTACCTACCACACCCTCCTTAGCATATTGACTGGTAGGTCCCTTGTCTATAGCCTTGTCTGACTGCATAACAAAGCTGTGTTTCCCAAAAAGAACTCCTTCCCCTTTTCCAGATTCTACAAACTTCCACGCTATCCCTAACTTGACTGTGCCTAGAAGGCCATTGGTCAGAGCTTCACAGGGCTTTGGCTGTTTTGCTGGCCAAGTTATTTTTGGATTCAGTCCCAGTGGTATGCTGATAAATGTTTTATAACTGACTGTCAGGGGTATTGAGGGGGGGGCAGCAAAAGAAGAAAAGCCCTGATTTGTGGCAACTGGCGATTTCTCTTTCCTTTCTTTCTTTCTGTCTGTGTTTCTTTCTTTCTTTCTTTCTTTCTTTCTTTCTTTCTTTCTTTCTTTCTTTCTTTCTTTCTTTCTTTCTTTGTCTTTCTGTCTTTATCTCTCTCTCTCTTTTTCTTTTTCTTTTTTTTGATGGAGTTTCTCTCTTGTTGCCCAGGCTGGAGTACAATGGCACAATCTCGGCTCACGACGACCTCCGCCTCCTGGGTTCAAGTGATTCTCCTGCCTCAGCCTCCTGAATAGCTGGGATTACAGGCATGCACCACCACGCCTGGCTGATTTTGTATTTTTTGTAGAGATGGGGTTTCTCCATGTTGGTCAGGCTGGTCTCAAACTTCCAACCTCAGGTGATCTGCCCTTCTTGGCCTCCCAAAGTGCCGGGATTACAAGTGTGAGCCACCGTGCCCGGCCACATCTGACAATTTCTATGGTGTAAAAACTCCCACCATGGTCAACAATAAACTACCAAACTGGAGTCAGTGAATGCCGGACTGTGGGGAGATGTGCCCAGTTGGTTCTTGTGAGCTGGTGCAAGCTGGCTCTAGCACACCACTGAAGTAAACCCTTCTTCACGGGAACGTGGCTGTCCATCTTTTTTCGTGTTTTCTTCCTGTACCTTGTTTCCAACTAACATCTGTCAGGTGTGCCAATTCTTTCAGCCAGTGGTTTCCAATCTGTTTTTGGACAAAAGTCTTAATGTTCATATAAATAAGTGAAGTACATAAATGCAACAGCAGCCTGGTTGGGAAATTGGGGAAGGTTCTGGGCCCTACACTTTCCTAGAACCAGGGAGAACACTAGGAATCACCACTTTAGGGTATTTTCCTCCACTCATTGATGACTTGAAACAATCCCGAATTCTGTGGCGTATATGACATAGCTCTTGACCCATGATTGTTGTGTTGAACTCTTTGGCATAGTTGAAATGAACAATCTTGTGGATTTACTTGGAACCATTTGTAACACCCATTGTTTTCGGCCAGGAGGGGTTCTCAGGAGCTTCATTAATCAACATAACAATGATGACCTTATATGCACTGCAGGACAGGCAGTTACAGTGGGAGCCCTTGCTCTACCAGGACACCTAATTTAAGTGTTTGTCTACAGCTCTGAATGTTCTCTGGCTTCAGCTGTCTACCAAAAACTGAGAGCTATGAGTCACACCACTTAGCTGGCTGCAGGTTTCCAGTCCTGCTTTTTTTCTCAGTCAATACCTTTCTCTCTCTCTTGTTTTCTCTCTCTGTGTTTGGTATTATTTCATGTTAATTCAGATAGCCCTAAAAGATTTTTTAGTATATTTCCCCTCCAACAGAGTGCTTCCATTTTTATTAATCTATATTAATGTATATGTAATATACATTACATATAATGTAAATCATAGTTTAATGGGAATGCACCATTTAATGCATTTCTTTCATTTTGATGGGAGAAATAGCCTTGGAATTTCCTGAGGCTTCAACAATCAAGTTATTAATAGAGAAATAAAGTAAAAATTATAAAGCAGGAAGGGGGCCTATAAAGAAAGACAGAAGACAGAGTTGCAGGAAGGTTTTCCCAGTCTATGAACCCTTGATATCTCTCTGACCCATCGCTGCTTTATGTAGGATCCAAAGATTCTTCTTGTCCCAGTTATTCAAGGCCATGTTCTTAACTCTGAGAGCAGTTGTTAACTGGGACATATCAATGTTTGGGACTGTCTTCAGGCTAAGTGTGAGTTAAGTGGCCTTTCCAGTCTCCCACGCTGTAGGGAGGTACTCACATGCAAAAGCTTAATAGGCTTTAACTTTATGCTAACAGTGTGAAGTGCTAATAGTTGGATTTCAGACATCAAACTGGTTTAGGGCATAGAATGAGGAAACAACTTCTCTAGATGGATGGCCCTTATCAGCGCCTCCAGAATCACACCTGTAGGTCATTGTTACTTCCATTTGCATGTGTGGCCAGCTGTGTTGGTCCGTCAGGAATGCAGAAGACCAATCTGCCCCACATCTCCATTGTTGCTGGACTTCTCCATTTATACATCCTAACGGGCTTCACACAGAACCTATCCAAAACAGAACCACACAAGTTCAAGTTGTATTCCATGCTCCACATCTCAATGAGCAGTTGTTACTCAAGGTTACCCAGACCACAGGTTAGTGAGTCCCATTTGGACTCCTCTCTACCTGCTCTCCATTCAGTTGTCAAGTTCTATCAACTTCTTTTTCAATTTCCTTTCACATTTCTCTTTCTTTCTAGCTCCAATACTATTGCTCTAATTCAGGCTACTTTAATTTTTTCCTAGTCTGGAAGAATGTTTTATTCATAGGACATTTTCAATAACTATCAGTTAAATGGCTGGACGACTATAGAAGCTTCCTTTTAACTGGCAATCCTGCCTCCCAGACAATTGTGCTATATGCCTTTCATTTATACCCCATGCTTTAATGAAAGTTCTAGAACATAAAGTGGATCATGTCGCTCTTGGAGGTAGTAGCACTGCACACACCATACACCCCATCTTGCTTGTCTTACCCAACATGGTCTCACCTGCTCTTCAATCTGTCCTTCCAAGCACTTACGTAGCATCTGCTGCCTCCACAGGATCTACTGGACTTTGTTCCTCAGTGTTCATCCCACGCCCCAGCCTTACCAAATTCCTGTTTCAATCTGACCCATTTCTGGGAGTTATTTTAGTATCACATCTTTACCTCCACTCGGGATATTGTTTTTCACTTAGGCCTTGTGCCAGATTATCTCTTTCCCCCTTTCTGTGTTCTGGATCACAGGGGCTTCGAAGCCTGGGAACTACATTTCCCAGAAGCCTCCTTCAATTCTGTGAATAGGAAGATCTTAAGTGAAATTCAGAGGTAGAAGAGAAGGAGACAGAAGTATTGTTCCTGTGGCAGCAACAGTCAGGTTTAGGGACTTTTGCAGATGGCCTGCGTGAGATTTGAC
The DNA here is from genome assembly GCF_000001405.40 of Homo sapiens. Taxonomy (NCBI): domain Eukaryota; kingdom Metazoa; phylum Chordata; class Mammalia; order Primates; family Hominidae; genus Homo; species Homo sapiens. Next base: position 97,118,779 of record NC_000013.11, read on the forward strand.
CATGACTTCCAAGAGTCCTTTTGTAAATCACCTATAGGGCTGTTGCAGGCATCTGAGATCTTGATTAAAGTTTCCTGCAATTCCTGAACTTCCTGATTTCCTAAATTCTTTTTTAATATTTTTACTTTTTAATTATTAATTGACAAATTATAGTTGTAAGTTTTCTTAAATTCTAAAAGCAGCTCTTACTGACCTTTGTTCCCTTAGCCTCCCAAAGGTCTTGTGAACCTTAAACTCCCTGCATCAAATCTTTTCTGCTGGAAATATCTGCAGTGGTTTCTCCTTTCTCAACCAAACCTTGACTACCACAAATCAGGCAGTCTATTATATGGAAATGATTTTAAGCCAAGTCTCAGCTTCAAGCTTGCTAAGATGTAGCCTTTTATTCCCTCTGTGGTTGCAGAAATCTATAAGATTCCATGCCTGCTTACGTTCCTGGCTTGTGTTTTGGGTCCATTGCATGCATTCAACCCCACGTGGTGGATCCCAGCCCACTTGGCTAAGACTTTGGTGCCTTTCCTAAATTTTACTGGCCTGTCATATGAGGGAACTTAACTCTCACCCCTTAACTCTCATGCCTACTCTACCTCTTGAAGTCGTGCTCTGAATTGGACAACCTTTCTGGAACCAAAGGGCTGCCATCACTCAACTTCAATATTTACTACTGCCTGGAAACATCTGCTCTAGTTCTTTACTCATTCTTTGGCTATAATCTCCTTTTTGGTTCCAGTCAATGTGATTAACCATTAAATCCTCGCCCCCTCTCTCCAGGTGACAAATCATACGCCAACTTTGCTGTTGTGACCTGGTCATGCCTCATCCCTCTTTTGTTCTAGTCTCTTTTCTTCTATTCTAGTCTGGACTTGAAGTCCCAGCACACTCCTCAGTTGGGCCTGTCAAGGTTATAGCATTAAGCTAATAACATAGCAATTCCTTAAAAGCATAGCATTTTTCTATCCTGTCATTTCACTTCAAGTCCTTCTTGTAGCCAGCCTCAAGTTGGGATATAACTTATAATTACAAAAGGAAGTTACTAGGATCATAATGCATATATATTATATTATTGAACATAGAAGCATTACTCTGGTCAGAAACACTCATGGCAGATCTTCAAATTCCTGATGGCACCTGCTCTTTTCTTGCTACATACAATATTACATCATGGTAACTTGTTTTACTTTTTTCTAATATACACTATTTCCAAGAGCGTATTCATTGTCCTGAGGAATCTCTCATTCCATATTTCAGGGATCAGTGATATGTGTATACTCCACTTTTGAATCAGCCCTCTGTAGTTCCTGTGTGATGCTGAAAGAGTTCTTTCTTTTCTCTGGCATTCTCTCGGCTTTTCCTCTCTGGAAAATTTTTGTAACCACATGTGTACATTTAGTACCACAGACTTTTCTTCAAGTGATAATTTATGGAAAACCAATCCATGTGCATTACGAGTGCCAATGTTGTAAGTCCATATAATCATATAATTTCAGGATCAGTTTCAGCCAGAAAACAGAGAAATCAATCTTTGGTATGCTGGCACAATCCTCATATCCACATTCAGAAGGGGATACTGAGTGGGAAAAATCATGGCAGTAATCATTTTACCTGCCTCTGCTCTTAATATTTCAGTGGAGAAATAATTTCTGCTAAAAATTAGGTATGGACATGCTACCTATTCTTCTTGGAAATATTTTAAAAGAGATTCCACCCACCTATCACATGGTTCTGCAGGATGAATCATGAGCTCTGTAATGCCACCAAAAGGCAGATTCTCACACATTTGCTCATGGACCTCCTGGCTGGAGAGATTGGCTGTTCAGATCTGTCATGTTTAGTCATGTACCAGTGATGTGCACTTTCCTTGGCACAAGGGCAATGGGGTCACTCCATTCGTCTTCAATGTCTGACTTCATTTTAGGGCTTCATCCTTTTCTTCTCTCTCTTGCCATCAAGTCTTGCTTCGGTCAGTTTCCAAAATCCAATTGCCTGCTTGCTGATGAGGGTTTCCATGGCAACTTCCATTGGTGGCATTATTGCCTCCATTGCTCCATTTGGTCTCTGCTTTGTGGCACTAAGCTCTTCTTTCCAGGTTAGACCTAAACATTCCTGATTCTCTTTCCAGCCTCTTTGTTCTTATATTGTGCTTGACTTGGATCAGAGCCTCTCTGAGTTCAATTTCCATATTGAATTTTGTTCTCAGACCAACCAGAGAGAATCAGAATCCCAGTCCACCCTGCAATAAACATATACCCATTCCTGGACCCCACCTAGAAATAATTCTACATGTTAACTACTTGAAAACTCACTTAATCATCATTTCTTTCTTATTGTCTTATATATATCTTTTTTCAGGTGCATTCCTCTGGTTGGAAATGTTTATTAGTCATTCACTCCTTAGTGTAAAATGACTCTATCACCCAGTGAGAAATTGGCAGTCCTGAATAAAGGTGGAAGATTGAGAAGTGGGCGTGTGGGGCAAGAGGTCATTTTTAAATGTAAAAAACTATGAAACAAGAAGGGAGATGATTCCTTCTATAGGGAGATGTTCCAAAAACATAAAGATTCTAGAGCTGGAGGAAATGAGACAGCACTTTGAGGAACAGAGTTTGGCGGTGCTGTTGATAAAGGAAGGTAAAAGGACAAAATCATTCAATTTGTAGACTTCTTCAGCACATTGGTGACAGTGCCTGCAACTGACTACTGGAAGCCACTGCCTTTTGCCCTTGACATGCTTTGGTAGGTTGTGTTGCCTATGTTTGTGCTGTATGTTACCAGATACAAATTTAAATCTTCCTCATGTAGTATTCTTAAAGAAACATCAGACGCATTTCAGATCTATCCCACTCTACCTAGAAGATGGACTTCGTTTCTTCCTTCCACATTCTTATTCTCTTTCCTCCTCTCCACTTTAATCTCTTCAGGAAAAGGCACATCAGTAGCCAGGCACAGTGGCTCATGCCTGTAATTCTAGCACTTTTGAGAGGCCAAGGAGAGAGGATTTCTTGAGCCCAGGAGTTCGAGGCTGCAGTGAGCCATGATCACCGCACTGCACTCCAGCCTGGGTGAGAGAACGAGACTCTGTCTCAAAACAAACAAACAAACAAACAAAAAGGCACATCAGTAACCATTCTCATAAGGCTTGTTGCCTTACTATCTAGAAGCATATAGTTAACAACATAAACACAAAAAGGAGAAATAAACACACAGTCTACTTAGTCACATAGGATGAATAGGTATTTAGAAATCTTTGAAATACCAGGCATCTTGCTCTTTACTCTCTTATAGTAGAGAGTAAAGGTTCTGTCTGGACTTGGCATGATCAGAGTGTGGCTCCTTATCCTGCCTCTTATCTGGCCAGAAGCCCTTGAGGAATTTATTTAACCTCTTGGAGCCCAAGATTATCCAGGGAAAAGGAGAACAAAAATACCTCTCTCTTAGGGTTGTGAAGATAAAGAGATAAAATTTGTAATGTGTCTGGGAGTGTTAATCCATATTAAATTTCAAGAAAGGTTATATTTAGTACACACTGGTGAAAAAAATAAAGACTCTTTAGTTCTCAAGATCTTTTGTCTTGAAATTTTTCTATCAATATCCATCTAAAAATTTATCTAACAAAATAATTATTCAGTGACTCATGTGGACCAGCCAGTATAAAATTTGATATCATTCCTTTTTCTGGATTTCAGTTGAGTATGCGACTTAGACTTATTTTGAAACCAAATCACGGGAACAGAGTCACCTTCATTAGACTCATGATATTTGTGCTCTTGTTGGCTGGTTTAGCATTCTCTGCTTGCTTACTGTATTTGAAAAACCAGTCATGATTCATCATAGAGTCTCAATTGTCTTGAGAGCCCATTCGTTTCAATGCAATCAATATTTATATGCCACTTTCTGTGTGCAGAGGGTTGTGCTAGACACCCAAAGGCAGGGAGTGGTTAAAGAAGAAAGAATAAAACACTGTTCTGTTTCAAGAAACAGTAAATATGGCTGAGAGCCAAAGCATCAAGCAGATGACTAATAGAAAACAATGAAGTGAATGCGATGAGCAAGTGATATGAAAAATATGGAGAGAGAGAGGTTCATTCTGGCTGGGGAAACCAATTAGTAGATGAGGTAGCATTTCTACCTAACCTTGAAGAATGAGCAGCACCTGACCTGGGAAGATGGAAAGAGAGAGACACCTGTGTAGACAAACAAGGTAAGCATCTATTAATATATTGTCATATTCAGGGAAATAGTGAATTTAGCCTAAGGTATAGCTTTGGAAGCACAGAATCACTAAATTTTATAGCTGGAAGGGACTCTAGTATCCGATCCACTCATTTTAAAAGCATGTGTTCAAGGAAAGTATGGAGATATGTTTTGAAAAGCATGCTGGATTAATTCATGGAGAGCCTGGAATGTCATTTGAAAAGTCTGGACTTCATATCACAGGTGATGGATATTTTCCAGAGGTTTTTGAGTAGTAGAATTGAATGCATTTATAGCTCTTATTTCTGCTTTGGATACTTCTATAACAGTTGTTCTCAAAGCTGGACCAGTATCTGGAGAGTTTGTTAAAATACTGATTGCTGGCCCCCAATTCTAGAGTTTCTGATTCAGTAGGTCTAGATGGGGCCCAATAATCTGCATTTCTAACAGGTCCTCAGGTGAAGGTGATGCTGCTGGCCTAAAGACCACATTTCAAGAACCACTGCTGTATTGCACTCTACTGGTTCTCAACCATGGATGTTCATTAAGGTCATCTGAGGAGCTTCTAAAAAGTACTCAGGCCTGTGCCCTGCCTCAGACCAGTTGACCGGGAGGCCCTGAGGATGGGAAATAGGTGGAGGTCGTTTTTCAAAGCTCCCAGGTGATAACCCAGGTCAGCACTTCTCATATTCTCTCGTGCATAGGAATTTTGTCAAGATGCAGGTTCCTTTTTAGTAGGTCTGGGTTGAGGCCTGAGGTTATGCATTTCTAATGAGTTTCCAGCAGATGTCAATGCTCCTGGCCAGTAGACCAGCAAGGCTCAAGGAAATTCAATATTCTTCTTCCTTTTTCTTCCCACTTTTCTCTCCAAGTTTCTATTTAGTGCTTGATTCAGTCTCTCTGCCCCCAGTGCAATGTCTCAATGCAATGCTGCCCCAACACACCATCCCTGAACCCCAATTTCAATTATGCCTCAGAAAAAAATCAGACCAGGCCAGGTGTGATGGCTCATGCCTATAGTCCCAGCACTTTGGGAGGCTGAGGCGGGCAGATCACTAGAGGTCAGGAGTTTGAGACCAGCTGGCCAACATAGTGAAACCTCATCTCTGCTAAAAATACAAAAATTAGCTGGGCGTGGTGGTGTGTGCCTCTAATCCCAGCTACTTGGGAGGCTGAGGCACGAGAATCACGTGAACCCAGGAGGCAGAGGTTGCAACGAGCCAAGATCACAACACTGTACTACTCCAGCCTGGGAAACAGAGCGAGACTCCAGCAAAAAAAAAAAAAAAAAAAAGAAAGAAAGAAATCAGACTGACTTGGGATTTGGCCAGCCATTGAGTTGATCTGGAGATGAGACTCTGGGCAGACACTGATGCAATGCAGGTGAGTGTGCCCCCAATAGCCCAGGCCTAGATGACTCCTTCTGTCCCCACCAACTCCTGCATGTGGTGCTTGGCAGGCCACCCACACGCCTTCATCGAACCTTTTCCTTACAAGCTCCTGAGCTCTGCCTGCCCACCTTCTCTCAGCAAGTTGCTTTTTTGCACAAATTACTCTTTTTTATAAGCATAATTCCCAAAGAGAGAATAAGAAGCTTTCTGGCGTATCTATTAATCATGAGGGAGATTGGAAGCTGGGAATAAGGAAAAGGGAGAAAGAGACCTATAAACTAAATAGAAAATGCCCATCTGAAACAAGCCTTCTCCGACAGGCCCCCGGTAGGACCTGCACTCCTGTCCCTTACCTTAGATGCCTCTTCCCTTTTCTTGCGTGTGTGTTGGGGCGGAGGACGGACGGGGTTAGGCAGGGGAGCAAAGAGACTTTTCCCCTTTTATTTTCTTCCGTGAATTATGACAATGGTTTGAAGTGCTCTTGCCTAGAAAACTGTGCTTGGAGGAGTGAAAATGAAAACATTTCAAGGTTGTAAGGTGAATCTTCTTCTCTTACAACCTTGGGTAGATCAACACCAGGACACCCAAATTATTTCGATTAAAGGAAGATATCTGAGTACAAGCTGCACTGTGCTGTTAATGAACAAAGAAAGAAAACAGTAATTGTTTTGCTAAGCTGTGTTTATATGAACAAAAGCCTCAGAAAGAGTTTAGCCCTTGAAATTCTTCATGGGACCTTGCGACATCACCACTTAGGAGGGGGAACTGATAATATGTTTGCTGATTATATGTGGGTGAGGACATTTTTGCAAGGGTTCCAGGGGCGACTTCCAAATGGACATGAATATAGACTCATGCAGAGGCTGCAGGAATTCAGGCCAATTGTGATACTCTGTGATACTCACAAATTTGGGTCACTCTCTCAATTAGTTTAGCTCCTCATCTGTGTGAGTACAGAAACAAAAGCTACTTGGAGGCCTTGTGGGTTGGCAGAGCATCTTAAAATACCCTCCTAAAGAGGCAGTGCTGCAAATTCAAAACAGACTTTCAAAATAAACTCAGCAGGGCAGCACTCCGGGGGTGCTTCCAGAGCCAGCCCCCACCCCACCCCCAGTTCTCAGTTCTAGGTGTTTGAAACTGCAGTACCCTTGGCTGTTACAATCCTCCCCTCCCCCATGAGCCTGCTTCTCCCTGGAGGAATCAATCATTCTGCAATACAGCTGAGATTTCTACCAGTCCAGATGCAAGCTTTCACAAACCCGACACGCCCCCTGTCTTCTGTTAGTCATTATCAATCTTCCCGTTGTGGTGGAGGGAATTAGGTGTACTTAGTGAGCTCTCAAATAAGTAAGTGGTCATGTGAAAAGCCAGGCATATGATACATACAGTCGGATCAGGACTTTAATCTTGGAAGTCGTCTGGGACATGGGGTGTTTTGCAGTAACAAGGACAATTCTCTCAGAACTAAATCCAAATTCTGTCTGTCCTGTTTGTCTCAGGCATTTCTGCCACCAGAGCAAACTTTTTATGCTTTGGAGCATAAGTACAGATCATCTGTTGTGCTTTAAAGTGGGTGTTTTTTTTTTTTTTTAAGGAGCTAATTCGGTTGTGCAATACCATCAAGAGGCGCCACTTGTAAATTATATTTAGGTGTGTGTGTGTTCCTCCCCTCGCGGGGCTGATGAATCATATCCATCTTCGTGTCATTATGTAACTCTACACTTGCAAGAAGGGCTGCGAGCCCCTGCCATACACCAGAGGCTCCTGCCCATCTGCGCTCCACCCAGCAGGAGGGTCTCTGCTCTTCCAACACCAGCCTTGGCCTCTCTGCGGAAAAGCAAGTGTAGTGACTAACTCATCCTCTGTTCCCAGTTTTAACTGAAGGTCCTGTGTTCAAATGGGATCAGCTGGCCACACTACCTGGTCTGGCTCTTTGCCCATTTCTGGCCTCAGGCGCTGAGGGTGTGGACATTAGCACGGGTCCTATGGGCTTGGGGTTCCATCCAGGCCTTCCTGTTCTAACAAGAAATCTGGAAGACTGCACACCCTGGAGGCAGGAGGCAGGCCTGGGGTACAACAAGATCTGCTGTGGTCGTGGAGAAGAGGACAGCACTCCCTTTCCTCGTGGAAGTATGGACAGGTGTGAAGGAGTTCCCTGTGCCGAAGCAGACAGGGGCCCTACAAGTGAGAGGTTGCTATTTCTATTACATGGCAGTAAGAATGAAACCAAGAGTCATTGTGTATGTGGGGGAAGAACACAAGGTTGGGAGCCAAACTGGGTTTATATATTAGTCATGCCACTCATTTATTGTTTCTGGGATGAATTATTTAGTCACTGTCAGCCTCAGTTTCCTTGTCATTAAAATAGAAATCATAAGTACTATACTCAAACCTCAAGACAGTATTTTCTGTATTAAAAGGCCATCAAATTCTGATTTGCTTCTCCTAGACTTCAGAATAAGGGAGTAACCTTGGCTTTTGGACCAGGCTTGCTTAGTCTCTGGTCCCTCTTCTTCCCTCCTCCTGCCCCATCCTGCCGTCTCTTGCAAATCTAATGTGCTTTGGCACTCAGGCAGTTGTTACTCTGTGTGCTCATTAAAGCAAAACAGCTGCTATAACAATCAACCCCCAAACTTCAGTGGCTTATTGTAATAGAAGTTCTCTCAGAAGTCTGGTGCAAGTGGGGAATGGGGTGCTCAGCTCCACTTGGACATTCAGGGACCCAGGAACTCCATCGTCCTCAGCACATGGCCTCTAAGGGTGAAGAAGGTACATCCACTTGTCTTGGAAGGGACACATATCACTAGAGTTCATTGACAAAAAAGGTAAACTCTGTAAAATGTTGGAAGAGATTTATTCTGGGCCAAATGTGAGTGACTGTGGCCTTTTACACAGGCTCAGGAGGTCCTGAGAATATGTGCCCAAGGTAATTGGGTTACAGCTCAGTTTTATACATTTTTAAGGAGACTGAAGTTATAGGCACAGACATAAATTATTAATGGAAGGTATACATTGGTTTGGTCCAGAAAGGCAGGATCTCTGGGTGAAGGAGGGGGGTGCCTCACAGGTCATAAGTGGATTCAAAGATTTTCTAATTGGCAATTGGTTGAAAAAGTTAAGCTTTTCCTAAAGAATTGAAGTCGGGAGAAAGAAATGTCTGAGGTAAGATAAGGGCGGTTGTGGAAGCCAGAGTTCTTGTTGTATAGATGAAGCTCCCAGGTAGCAGACTTCAGAGAGGATAGATGGTAAATGTCTCTTACAGGATCTTAAAAGGTGTGAGACTCTTAGTTAAATCTCTCTTGGATCCTGGAAAGGGAAGGGGATGCTCTGCAGAATGCAAATTTCCCCCACAATTTGCATGGCCATTTCAAAATAGGTCAAATAAATATATTTTGCAGTAAAGTACTTTGATTTCCTTCAGGGTTTGTTATCTGTCTTGTGATACCATACCAGAGTCAGGTTGGAATTTTGTATCTTACTGCCACAAAGAGTCTGTGTTGTCAGTCTTAGGATCTGTTTTACTGTTAACCCTGGTTAGTTGTGCCTGAATTCCAGAGGGAGGGGGTACAATGAGGCATGCCTGACCCCCACCCCCAACTCTTCTGTCATGGCCTGATCTAGATTTTCAGGTTTCTGTAGGATCCTATTGGCCAAGGGAGTAGGGGTAGGGATGTCCATTCAGCTGGTTGTGGGCCTTAGAATTCTACTTTCGGTTTACAAGTTCATACTCAGTTGCAAAAACTAGTCACATGCCCCCACCTGGAGGCAAGAGGGTCTAGTTGTGCAACCACTTCCCAGCCACCATTCTAACTAGGAATTGTCCTTTCATGTCCTAAGTTTTTCAGACTTCTAGATTGTGTGGGGCACTGTGCTGGGCATTCAGAATAAAATACATGATTAAGACACAGTCCTTGAAACTGTCCCCACAGGGTTGACAAGAATTGCATGCTTGGTTCTGGACAGAAAAATAGTTACAATTAATCAGGCTGCAATCTGGTCCACTTCCTTGTTGCTAAAAGTCACATGGCACTGGATACTATTTGCATACCGTTGTTCCTCTAGATAGGATTTCTGACATTAGAGTCCTAAGATTGCTTAAGAATTGAGTTGCATTCGTATTATTCCTATAGACAGGATCTCTGAGATTAGAATCATATAAGGCTTTTGTTTAAGGGTCAGTCATTTAAGATGTTTTCCAGACCCTGAATTCCAGCAACCAGTTTGAGGACCCTCACAAAGAAATGGGATCAGCATGAGAACACAGCTTCTTCCCCTCCCTGTCCCATGACTTCGCCCTGGACTCTTCGACTAATCAACCGTCTCCACACTTCAGCCCACTCCAACCCCTAAAAACGCTAGCCCCAAATTCCTCAGAGAGATGGATTTGAGGTTCCCTCCCTTCTCCTTGGTCAATGACCCTAAAATTAAGCCTTTTTCTCTGCTGCAACTTGGTGTCTTTGCATATTGACTTGCTGTGTGCACCAGGCAATGAACCCATTATGGTTACACCCATACCTCCAAGGAACTTGCCTTACATATTGGTAAACTATACTCCTCTTCCCTGGCTTGCAGCAATAAGATTCAGCCTTTTGGCATGTCTTTTGATATATAGGATAATGAATACAGAGTACAGGGGAAAAGAAAATCAGCTAGTAACCAAATTCAAAGCTGGGAGGGATCTTGGAGGTCATCTGTACAAAAAAAAAAAAATTGTCAATGGATAAGAAACATGAGACCAAGAGAATTTAAATGACTTGCCCAAATTCTTCTAGTTGATTAGTCCAAGAATCAGGTTAAAATCCTGCTCCTTTCATCTTCCAGTCTTTAACACTTCCTAATATGTCAGAATCTTTCTGACGACTGTGTAACATGTAAGAGTTTATGAGTTCAGTCCTGTTTTAGTATGTGTTTAGGCAAAAGGGGCTAATGGTGAGTCCCAATGTGGTGGCTTTTGTAGATAACATAGTCAACATTCACCATCATACCTGCAGAACATGCGGACATCATTGCCTCATTGGGAAATTATGTTGCCTCTTTGGAGTATGATCTTTGCCTCTTCTTTTAATTCTCCCTGCATTCAATAACACCTCAGCTCATGTGCCAAAAACCTGTCCAGTTCACCTCAGGTAATACTACCTGTCAGGTTTCATCTGTCCCATTTGAAGCCTAATGAGCCTCAAAAGTTTGAATAATGTTTTGTTTTCAACACACAGTGCTGTCTACCATGTACCCAAAGCGAATGGCCATATGTATAAATTGGTTTAGCTTATTTCTAAAAGCATAAATCCCAGAGGGCATAAGTGTATGGGTTCAAATGGCCAAGTCAGTATGATCTATCAGCTCTGGTTAGATTGGCATAATCAGCTTTGACATAGAGATATAAGGGGCACTTGGGGACTTTTAAGAGTGAGTGGTAATCCTGACCTTTGAGTCCCTGGTCAAGTGGCATATCCAGTATGTAAGGGAGTCATTTTTCTTAATGGAGATTTCCTTTCATGGAGATGCTCCTGACCAGAAAACTTTTACTTCCAGGAGCTCTCAGACTGGAGTATACTTCTCAGAGACACACTGACCTATGAGCCTGAAAGTCAGGCTATTCCTGAGGATTCCAAATCTCCTTTCTGGAAAAGTAGGAGTAGTGGATATATTTAAGTGAAGTGAGAAAAAAGAGTTTACCAATGTAAATATAAGCTTCTTGAGCGTAAGGCCATGTCTTCCTAATGTCCTAGTCTAGAGCTGTTGAGTGAATTCCACTTCTATTCCTAATGAGTCTGGCAATTGAGACCCTGGAGAAGCTTGGTAAATGGTTCTGAGACTAAGAAGAAACTGTATATGCCCTGCAATTCTGAAGCTACTCTTCTCAGACAGTAGGTTTACATCGTATCAGAGCATATGACTGTGGCATTTCTATAATAAACCAGACCAGTTTAAGGGCCTTGGAATAATCTCTCTCTCTCTCTCTCCTGCCCCACCCCAAAGTGCCCATATCCAACTGGGAAAGGCTAGAAACTCTATAACCTATTTCCCAATATGAAGATGTATGTGTTTCTGGACATGTGACTGAGTTTAAATTCCCTGGAGAGTCTCTGATTCTACTGCAGTCTAAAATTCATGTACTCAGCTGTTCAGCTGGAAGAAACAGGGCTGGATGGGAAGACTGATTTCTTAATATATAAATAAAATGAAGTTTTCCTACTATCCTAGTCTTGGAAATTTTACCTACAATTAAGTATTTACCTACATTTCTCCAGAAAGCTACCTAGACACTGATTTATCTTCTACAGACATGTTTTAGATTGTGCTGAAATGGCCAAGTTTTTCCTAAGTTGGCAAAAAAAAAAAAAAAATCCATTCCATGTGGCTGGAATCAAGCCCACTGAGATTTTCACCAAGGGCAAAAATACCTTGTATGTGTATCAAAAGCAGTTGGAAAAAACTGGCTCTATTTTTCTGCACCAACATCATCAGACTAATGGCATTCCAGTCAATTAGTTGGCATTGTTCTCTTTGGTGTGCATCAGAAGGGCCCAACTTAAGCTGGACTCAAAATCCTGTCCCTTCTTCTGGATTCTAAATCTGAATGGATAGTTTATGTTCTTGTCCTCTCATATGTTGATTCTTGAAGACTGCATACTACTGTTCATTCAGTCATTCAGCAAAGATTTATTTTGAGCTTACAATTCATGGGTCACTGTGTTGGGCATTAGGAATTCAAAGATGAATAAGACATGGTCTTTATATTTAAAGAGCTTACCTTAATGTCTAGAGAAGGAAACAAATATCTTCCCAGATTGACTTCATTTTGGGAGAGAGATCAAGTTCACTTAGGATGGTATGCAGTACTGCCCTACTGTACACCTCTAGCGGGGTTATGTATCTGATATTCTACATGACTTACAGCCCCTAGGATACAATGTGAATAATATTCTGGACATGTGCAATGAAGCTGCTCTGGGAGGGGTCCGCAAGTGCAATGAAGCTGCTCTGGGAGGGGTCCCCATGTGCAATGAAGCTGCTCTGGGAGGGGTCCCCATCCTAGGAGATGAGACACATGAGCTTTGAAAAGATGAGTACATAGACAAAACTTAGAAGGACATTGCAGAGAATAAGCAAAGGAACACAAACATGGAACGATCAATAAGCAAAGGTAGAATTCAGTGGATGAGAAGAAGTGTGGTAGGAGATGAGGTTGCAGAAGGAGGCAGAAGCCAGATAGCAAGTGTCTTGCATGCCATATCAAGGAGTTTGAAATGCATCCGGTTAGTGCTGGAGAGAGTCTTTACAGGGCTGTAACTGTGACTTGCATTTTTGAATGTTCACTTTGGAATCAGTGTGGAAAATGAACTTGTTTACGAAAGGAGTAAAGGGGTGGGCTGAAGAACAGGGAGGTTAGTGAGGAGGCATTGAAATAGCCCAGTAGAGAAACGATGGAAATTTGAGTTAAGATAATGAGTTGAAGATTGACTCAAGACCTTTGGGAGGTGAAATTCACAGGTCTGTGTGACGAGTAAGACACAAGAAATAAGCAAAGGGGGTTGCTGAGATTGAAAACCCTATGGGTGGATGATAAATCATTTTACCAGGATAAAGGACCAAGAACGAAGGTGCCTTCGGTAACAGAAACCATGAGTTTGGTTTTTGAATATGATAAGTTGGAAATTGGGACCACCAGGAGGGCTGCAGAGATAAGTCTGGAGTTGGGGAGAGAGGTCTAGGCCACAAAAAACAATTTAGAACAATCGGTGTTTAGGGCATGGTGGAAGATACTCTCCTAAATTCCTAATTTCTTTCCTTCTCTGCACTCTAAAATGACCTCTGATGAACTTTCCTGATGATTTAACTTTTTCAAAGCCACCACTGGCAGTCTATTCAGTCTTAGCTGTCAGATTGAATTACCACTTACATGGCCCTCTACTCGGTTTTTGCAACTCCAAGCCCCTTTCTGAGCACTCGTGCTCGCTCTCTCTCTCTCTCTCTCTCTCTCTCTCTCTCTCTCTCTCTCTCTCTCTCTCTCTCTCCCTCCCTCCCTCTCTCTCTCTCCCTCTCTCCCTCTCTCTCTCTCCCTCTCTCCCTCTCCCTCTCTGCCTCTCCCTCTCTCCCTCTCTCCCTCTCTCTCCCTCTCTCTCCCTCTCTCTCCCTCTCTCTCCCTCTCTCTCCCTCTCTCTCCCTGATTGCTTCTAGTGAGATAGTTGAATAGACTTTCTCCTGGGCTCTGGCGCATGTAATCCAGCGAAAGATCGAAAGTCCGATTTCCCACTCTCCCACTTTAGAGCTTGTGGTCTTGAGCAAATTCTTAAACTTCTCTCAACCTCAGTTTACTTATCTTTACAAGGCACTCCAGTAAAAATCTCAAAGATGCACTTTTTTGAAGTTGAAATGAGATAAAGTATAATAACATTCAGCATGCCACACCAATAGATGCTCCACATTGTTCATTCGATCATCAGTTCTATAAATCAGAATCTATTAGAGTTGAAAGAAAACTTAAAGACCATCTCACCTCATTCTATCAAATTCAGGAGAGAACTGGGCCCCAGAGAAAGAATATCACTTGACCAAGTTACATAGTCAGTTAGTGACAACTTTAGCCTTCATATTCTCATGTTTAACATTATACTGTGCTCCGACCTTCCAGGTTTTTTTATTTGTTTTTTTTAAGGGGATCTGTATCCCAATATATCACACAACTATATTGGGCTTCCTGTGGAAGATGGGAAGATGAGGGCTGTATTAATTATCTCTTATGGCACAAGAAATTCCCACTAAATTGTGGCTTAATGCAACACTTATCTATGGTCTCACAATTTATTGAATCAGAAGTTTCAGCATGGCTTAACTGGACCCTCTGCTCAGCTCTCACAGGGCTATAATCAAAGCGTTGGCTGGGCCATGTTCTCATCCAGCAGCTTGACCAAGGGAGAATGCACTTGCAAACTCATTGTCAGGTTGCTGACAGAATCCATCGCCTTATGGCTGTAGGACTGGGTGGCTGTTTTCTTGCTGGTTTTCAGCTGGGGGGGCCACTCACCCTGGGTTCCATCGGCCTTCTGACTGGTTCTCCATGATGTGACATCTGACTTCATCAAGGCCAGCAAGAGAGCATCTCTTTCTCTACTTGCAAGTCATATATATATATAGTGATGGGACATCATTATGGGAGTGACATCCCATCTCCTTTGCATATTCCATGGCTTGGAAGCAAGTCCAGGTCCACCAGCCCTTAAGGAGGAGAATCACATAGGGCAGGACACTGTAGGCCAGACCCTGGGTGGGGGGCACCTCAGAATTCTGCCCTCTGCAGATGCTGTGGTAGATTTCATTGCGAAAGTGTCACAGGGCACAGTCCAGTTGGCCCTTGGTCTCCTATAATCACAACCAAACACACGGCACTGCTTTCAGGAAAGCTGCATCTGCAAGGGCTCTGGGACAAGTGTGAGAGCAGAGCAAGGTATCCTCAGGAGATGCTGTTGGACCCAGAGTGACACCACAGGTCAGAGTGGTGCTGGTGCCACTGAAAGTGCACATGTGTGAATGTGTATGTGAATGTATATGTATGCATGTGAATGTGTTTAAGTGTGTATATGTGTGCGTGTATATGTGTCCATGTATATGAGTGTGCATGTGTCTGTGTGTGCATGTGCACGCATGTGTGTATATCAAGTGTCAGAGGGGTCCTTCCTGGAAGCTCATCAAGTGACTGCCTGCCATTTGACATTTTCTGGAGTGGCTCTTTCCAGAATTGTTGATACACTCTGTGACATGAGTCACGCTGCCTCTTTATTAAAATTCCATCTTCTCCAGCTGAGGCAAAGCAAATATTTACCCACATCTAACCCTGGTCCCAGCCTTGGCAAATGTCTGTGCTTCTCCATGGAGCTGTCCATGCCCTCAGGTGTGGCTAAGTGAAGGAGACATTCCGCTTTTCCTCAAGTTCCCTGGAGACTGAAAAATCAGAGGCTTTCTCTGCCTCCAGGCCCCTGCCTCCAGTGAATCCTGCCCACCGCCTGAAAGTCTTCTTGAAACTCTGCTTTCACCACGGTACTTGCTTGATCAAGGTGTTCGGTGGCTTCTTCTGCCTAAATCCATATGCATTATCTTATCCTTGAAGGTCTACCAAGCTTGTAACCCTTCTGCTCCCCACCTCTCCCCCTTACATACTGTAATTCCCCAATGTTACTCAGCACCCGCTCCAGTGAGGCCAGGCATGTTAAAACTGAATGACACCAGTTGCCGCATATCTGCTAGTGTGGTTCCACTGTACCCCTTCCACCCCACCACAGTCCGCTTCTCACAGTACCTCCCATCGAAAGCATAATGCTTTCTAAGCCCACCTGAAACCTCACTGCTTCCCTGATTATACACAGTGGCATTCATCTGCCCCAGCTTTGACCTCTCTTAGCATTTGCTAACTGAACTTGAGTGACTGTTTTAGGCAACTTATTGTGCTGCGTGTTGCATTATTTAATTATTTCATGAGAGTGTGTCTTGTTGCTCTAGAGAGGTTATGAGTCTCTTAAAGATGGCCAGATGCGGTGGCTCACGCCTGTAATCCCAGGACCTTGGGAGGCCAAGACGGGTGAATCACTTGAGGTCAGGAGTTCGAGACCACACTGGCCAACATGGTGAAATCCTGTCTCTACTAAAAATACAAAAGCAAAAACAAACATACTTGGCCAGGTGTGGTGGCATGCACCTATAGTTTCAGCTACTCAGGAGGCTGAAGCAGGAGAATTGCTTGAACCCAGGAGACAGAGGCCGCAGTGAGCTGAGATGACAGCACTCCATTCCAGCCTGGGCAACAGAGTGAGACTCTGTCTCAAAAAAAAAAAAAAAGTTTTTTAAAGATAACATTTACATTTTTCCACTTTTTCTTTCTCTCTCCCTAGCTTTTGCCTTTTCTTTTCATGGTGTTTACAATTTGGACTTTGGGCCTAGATGGACTTGTATTTAAATATCAGCTCCACCACTTTCGACCTGTGTGAAACCTCTGTGGTCTTCATTTTTCTCGTGCTTAAGTGAGGATAGCTACCTCATATTGTGGTTGAGAGAAGCCAGTGAAATAACATAGGGAAAGAAATCCCTGGCACATAGTAAGCATTCAATTAATGAAAGAAATCATAGAATCCTTCATTTCATGTTAATGACCATTTCTGTTCATTCCCGCAAGAAACAGCTGAGCACCTTCCGTGAGCCCAGAACTGTGCTTAGGTGATGGAGAGAGATCAATAAATAAAATGATCATGTTCCTATGGACTGTACAGGCTAGTGGCTATTAAGGCTTCCAGGAGTCTGCAGAATGTGTGATCAGAAGCCCTAAAAGCGACCAAAATAGTTAGTGATTTTTATTAAAAAAATTGAAGGAAACCACTCACAATGAATCATTATTTTAAAAAAGCCTTTTCATTGGTAGTGTGTGCCAGCGTACCTGTAAGCATTCATGTTGAGAGTGGCATAGGACTCCCAGCCACTGGTTTCCCCCACTATCCCCTGCTCCATGCAATGCTGTTAAAAGTGGAAATGGGGGCTGCCTCTGCAAAACAGGTGACCAGATGGTGCTGTTTTGACGAGTTGGTAATGAGATGAAGACGGATGCCTTCCCAATATGCTGGAGGTGGAGAGAGGGGCTGATCACCTTCAGTGTCCTCTTTCTCTCTGCCAAGCCCTTCACCCTCCCCACACGCATTCTTCATGCTTTTCAGAGATGGGGGAAATGTCTCATGATTCAAGTGCCTTCTAAAGCTCCTGGGAGACATTCACCTAAGGCTGGTAACTAAGGTTGGTAATGTCATAAGTGCCTAATAAATATCTGCTGACTTGTATCTCATTCTTTCGAGAGCTATATCCTATAGAACCTGCCCCAAATGAAGGAGATCAGCCTCCTGACAAGCTGCACTGAAAGTTAAAAGTGGAACTCAGGAAAATTATCTTAAAGCTGCAGTGTGAATGTTTATTTGGTTGTTTTGCTCAAACGTGGGCTTTCTGAAGAGTTCAGTGCTTTTCTCTCTCCCTTTTGTGGGTGGCTCAATGAAATGGAAAAGCTTCAACTTTAATTCCTATCAGAGTAAAACTGTAAGTGGTAGAAGTTATTGACTTTCCCTTTTATGGAATAAAAAGTGCCTTGATTATTGAAATGCAATACCACATTATGAAAGTCCCAAAGGAACAGGAGGTTTCTTGTTTGAGAGGCACGCACTGAGCCAGGAAGTCTAGTGCCAGTCATTGCAGAGGAGAAGGAGAGCATCCCATTGCCTGCCAAACCCCCTAAGCACCCTGCAGTGGGCACTCCCACATTTCTCCCTGGCATTTGGCATCCTAGGCTGTCTGAGCTGAGGAGTCGTTCCATTGATGTTGGTGTGTGCCATACGTCACCCATAGGCCTGCTGAATACAGAAAGTATTCCCCAAGGAGATTAAAGGAAAAGAGAGAGCTTCAGGCCCCTAGAATCCCCATGGTGGAAAAGAGCAAGAGGCAATTCTGCATCTGGGAAGCCCCCAGCCCCATGTCATTAAAGAAGAGACAGTTTTCCATTCTAGCTGTTCTTGCACCTATTTCTGACCCATACTTGCTGTGTAAGTCTGTTTTCACACTGCTGTAAGATACTACCCAAGACTGGGTAATTGATAAAGGAAAGAGGTTCAATAGACTCACAGTTTCACATGGCTGGGGAGGCATCAGGAAACTTGCAATCGTGGCAGAAGGGGAAGCAAGGCATGTCCTACATGGAGGCAGGAGAGAGTGAGAGCGAGTGAGCAGGGGGAACACCAGACACTTATCAAACCAGAATCTCATGAGAACTCCCTCACTATCATGAGTACAGCATGGGGGAAACCACCGCCCCACCCCCCACCCCCGTGATCCAATCACCTTCTACTGGGTCCCTCCCTCAACACCTGTGGATTACAATTGGAGATGAGGTTTGAATGGAGACACAGAGCCAAGCCATATCACTTGGATCAGGTCAGATTGGGGGAATTTCTGACCAAAACTCCTGACTTCCATACAATGACTGATTCTAATGGGTTTCCCTCACTCCAGACTTTCCCAAGACATCTCTTGTGAGAGTTTAATGGGAAAATAGGCACCAGCAAATGACTGCTGAATGCCTTGCTGGATTTAGCAATAGTAGCAACCTCTATATGGTGATCTTTTCCTGTGTGCCTGGCACTGTGCTAAGAACTTTACATACCGTTATTTGCCAAGGAGCCAGACTAGGAAAGTCTCCTTAATGTGCAGTTACTGGTGAGAAGACAAGGTCCAGTGATGTTACATTAGGTACCCAGGAGCACACAGCCAGAAAAGACGACAGTTGGAGTGTGAATCCTGGTCTCCTGATTCTAGAGTCTCAACTCTTAGCTACCATACTACATGACGCTACAAGTCTAAAAAAAGTCTCCAAAAATGTTGGCTTTCATCCCTCCATTTCCCATAAAATGTCCACTCCTTTGTGTTCTCTTTTCTGCTTTATGCCCTCTGTCTGAGTCTGTTCAGGCTGCTCTAACAAAAACATCATAGACTGGGTGGCTTACAAGCAGAAACTTATTTCTCACAGTTCTGGAGTCTGGGATGTTGAAGATCAAGGCATCGGCAGATTTGGTGTCTGGTGAGGGCCCACTTCCTGGTTCCTAAATAGCTATCCTTTCTCTGTGTCCTCATATATGGGAAGAGGCCAGGAAAGTCTCTGGGACCTCTTATCAAGGCATTAATCCTACCTCCATGACCTAATCACCTTCCAAAGGCCCCTCCTCCAAATACCGTCATGTTGGAGGTTAGGTTTCAACATGGAAATTTTTTATTTTTTATTTTTGAGACAGATTCTCATTCTGTCACCCAGGCTGGAGTGCAGTGGTGCAATCTCAGCTCACTGCAACCTTTGCCTCCCAGGTTCAAGCATTTCTCATGCCTCAGCCTCCTGAGTAACTGGTATTACAGGTGTGCACCACCACGCCTGGCTAATTTTTGTATTTTTAGTAGACACAGGATTTCACCATGTTGGCCAGGCTGGTCTTGAACTCCTGACCTTAAGTGATTGGCTTGCCTTGGCCTCCCAAAGTGCTGGGATTACAGGCATGAACCACCGTGCCCAGCCTCAACATGGGAATTTGGTGGAAGACACAAACATTCAGTCCATAGCACCCTCCACTCTCCCATCAAACTAGATTAGCCCATATTAATTAGTTCATTAAATATACCTACTGTTTTGGCACACTAGGTGCTGGAGTTCTACTCGACTTCACTGGATACTTATGCTAGCCCTTATTGCTGCCAATCATTCCACGAGCACAAGAAACAGAATAATGGTCTCTTGGTCTAGCCCAATGGGAAGGGTCCAAGAAAGGGGAGAGTGGTGGGGCATGGGACAAAGGAGCCAAGGGAGACTTTGGCCTGGGCTTTGTGACTGCTATAAGCACAGAAAACTTTGCCAGTGGGCAGTTTATTTGGCAAGTTTGAGCATTAAGAGGTAGGATTAT
The DNA here is from genome assembly GCF_000001405.40 of Homo sapiens. Taxonomy (NCBI): domain Eukaryota; kingdom Metazoa; phylum Chordata; class Mammalia; order Primates; family Hominidae; genus Homo; species Homo sapiens. Next base: position 97,138,829 of record NC_000013.11, read on the forward strand.
GCTAGCTATGTTGATCAGGTTACCATCACCTTATCCCAGCGATCACTTTCAGCATCACGAAAAATAGGACCACCTGTGGATCCTGATGCAATTTGCTACGAAGTATGCAGCAGCATCTGTGCAGTCATTTTGCCAAATGTATACAATAAATTTTATCTAACTTCCGGTTTATAGAAAATATAGGGGTTAGAGAACCAAGATAAATGACTCAATGAGCAATAATCAGACAAATCCAGAAGGTAGAGCATTCCCCAAGACCCCTGCTAGTCTCTCCTCCTGGTCAAGAACATGAAAAGAAACATGCAGGGAAGGAGGTGTGGATGGGCTGATCGAGGTTAAAAGAGAATAAAGAAATATAATGAGTAAATGCAATTTGTGAACACTGATTGGCTTCTGCTTTGAATAAATGAGTCATAAAACTCACTGGGGCAACAACTGGGGAAATTTGAATAGAGAACAGGGATGATATGATATGCAGGTCTTATTAATTGTGTTAGGTGCCCTATGGGTATTGTGATTATATAGAACAAGATTAGTTTATAGAGATGCTACTAAAGTCTTCAGAAGTAAAATGTAGTATCTTGAATTTACTTTAAATACTACATTAAAAAATTAAAGTATATCCAGCAAAATGCTAACACTTTAAAATTCTAGGTGATGGGTATATGGTGTTCATTATATGAAACTATCATAACTATGATAAATCTAATGAAATGGAAAATTACAACCTTGGTTTGGCAGTGTGAAAGCAATGTAGTGATTTATAAAACCTCTTTAGGGGATAATTGCCATGAGTACAATGGTTATTAGGGACATTGTGAACATGTCAGATTCATTTTGGGGAGTCTTTTTGATTTTCAAACCACCATGTCCAAGTGCACTCAGAGGGCTTCTGTGCAAGGAGCGGACAGAATCTCCTTGTGTGTCATGGCCCAGCTTCAGACGCACATGGAGGGAATATTGCCTGAGACTCCAAAGATCCCCACAGCCAGAGGCCTCCATGAGGCACGTTTGGGAGGCTGATCAATCCATTTCACTACCAACATTCAGCCCCATCACAGCAGGGAGAGGCAGCAGCTGTGGTGGGCAGGGAGGATGCCACATTCCTGACCTTCAGCCATCACTTCCTCTATCTCTCTTACCTCTTGGGATTTCACAAGTGGCTGTTCCCTTCTTCTGCTTTCTTCCATAGGCTGGACCCATCCTCTTGCCTCCCTTACAGGTCCATGGCATCTGTCACTCAGCATTTCTCCCACTTCACTTTTCCAAGCTTGCTCCACTTCCTGATGCTTTCCACCATTTCCTCCACGGTTTTTTTTTTTTTTCCTTCAAGCTTTTCTTGCTGAATTTTTGTACGATTCTCCTGTCCCATTTTTACTCAACTTAAGAATTGTATCACGATTTATATTGCGGTTCTCTGTCAGCTTTTTTTCCCTAGTACCATCTGCCTCTTTGTAGAAGACTGGTGATATACAGGCAGATACACACACAGACACACACACACGCCTTTGGTAGATGTCATGTCAAGTTTGAGTTTGTGCATGTACTGAATGACGCTTAGGAAAATGCTTAGTGAGGAATGAATTTGTTCTTCAAAACCAGAGCATACATTTAACATTTGGATCATATTTGTGAGTTTCATTTTTGTTTGCAGTAACAGTATTTTTCTCTCAGTGGTAAGAGCAGCTCATATTCACCTTTCCCTAATGCTGAATTCTCCACTTACTTCCCTTATGTTGCATCCCGGTTTGTTTGGGGTAATTTAGGTTTTGAGCCATTCTTCTCTTGTTAGAGTCTATAATGCCTCTTCTAAATTGAAATTCTTCCTTTAGGGAGCCAAGAACTCGGATGCTTCTAAATTTACATCTGGGTAACAGATTTGCTACAAAGTTGGACTACTGGGGAGCAAATTCAATGTTTCAGAAATTTTACAAAGAGTTACATTCCTCAAGGTCTCATCCAGTGAGTTCCGTCACTGGGGACAGATGGTCTACTTTAAGTATAATCAGGAAGTTTCAGAAACATGACATAATGTTTATCTCTCCTAAGATTTTTCTCTTTGATTTGGCGTCTGAGAAATACTCCTTGTGCCCATCTCTCTCTCTTTCTTTGGCAGATTCTGACAAAAATAATGTCTAGAAAGGCTTTTGCATTGTCTTTTATAAAAAGAACATATTTGCTTCTAATAATACATATTGGCTATACTTTAACACTTTTAGATCACATAAGCTCAGTTTCTTTTTCTCTTATGAAAAATAATGTGCTTTATTTTGAGCAAACGAATAAGCCACAAGCTCTCTGAAAAAAGATGATTATAGGAGAAGAACCCAAAAGGTAATCATTTTGGCCCAGAATTGTGATCAAAGTTGTCCTTTATATCTGTCCTACATCTGACATTTAGACACAAGCTCTCACTGCAGGGAGTCTCATGAGAGCGTGCCTAGGATGGCAGGAAGGATGGCATTTCTTAAGATGGGTCTGACTACATGATGTATGTTCAGTAATTTACAAAAAAAAATCTGAAATGCAAATCAAATATAAACCATCTTCATAAGAGTAGGAAAATGCTCCCCGCTCCCAGCCAACTGTGCCAGCTCTTTTGAGGAAATAGTATTTATTGAGAGGAGATAATACATGTTTGAATTTTTCCAATTGTTCTTTATGCTGAATATTCTTCATTTAAAAGTAGCTCACATATTTTTTCTGCAGTCTTTAATTGCAGATGAGTTAGGTCTACAACTTCTTTGGTGCCTCTGTGCACACTACAGTTTGCACACACACACCCTGTCACTACTCTCTTTTATTCTATAGGATCGTTTTATGGAGTTCAAAGTCCTCAAAGCTTGCAGGGAAGGGAGGAGGGCTAGGGAAAAGGACGATTGTGCTAAGCCTGAGTGTAAACTCCCCTGGAGCAGAGAATGACTCACATTCTCTGTGACATGAGTCACTCCCATGCAAAACTGGAGTTGCGAGCTACTACTTTGCCTGTAGCTGTTTGTTTGTTCAGAGGCAGATGGAAGGCAGAGGCTGCGCAGAGAATGGAGAGCTGTGTCTGAGGAGCCTTGGAACATTCACCCAGGTAGAGGAAGGCCACCGTGTGATCACCTTTTCTCCTTGGCTATAGCTCAGAATATTCAGTTCCCTAAAGTAAGGCACTGCTAGTATTTTTTACCTAAGGAACTGAACCAGAGAGAAGGTTAATTTGCAAAACAAAAAAGAAAAAAAATTGACTAGCAACCGATAGAAATTGATAGAGAGGGAAAAGGGAAAAACTAATGGGGTAAAAACTCAGAGGGTTTCTCTATCAATTAAATTAAAGCTTTCTCATTTAATGAGAATTGATGCTTATTATAACTGTGCTTATTTATTCTTAGCTGTATATAAAACAGTAGAAAGTTGTTGATTTAATATGAAAGTTTAGAAAAGATAAGGTATTAATTCTGCATTCTAAAAACTCATTAACCAGGAGTGCTTGATTTCCTAGAAAGAATGGAACTTCGCCTGTCATAATTATTGAGACGATAGATTCACCTCTGATTTCTCAATTATAAATAGAATCATCAAATGCTGAAGGCAAGGACCTTGTCTAAACAATCTCCACTAGGTTATGTATTTGAAAGTGTTTGGAACTACTGTGAAAACTCGATAGTTCTTAGGTCTTAGTTCATCAAAACCTAAAGTGAAACATACCTCCACACATAGTGTGGGTGTTCATCCCTACATATTCCACCTCCCCACACTGGCCTCCTCGAAGGAGGCTTGGAAGAGTCTATGGCTGGCTCTGCATTGGTCATGCACGCCTCCACGGCTGCTTTGCTCTGTGCCCCGGCTTTCCTAGGTATCTCCTCTCAGCCTGACCTCCGCTTCCGCTTCCTGTCCCACGTCTCTAACCAACAACTTAAAGGGACCCTACCCAAGGAATTGTAACCTGTGGAATTTCCCTAAAGGGAAATCTCAGATATAGCTAGGGGCTCAGGGAATGCAACTAACATGCAACTTTGGGAAGATGGGTTTTGCTTTTTTATCTTAGACTTTTTTTTAGTTTGCCTTGAGAAAAATCAGAGCTGTTCTTTAGAAAAAAACAAAAAAATGAGAAGGTAGCAGGTCTTGTCTTCAGTCTTTCCCATTTCCCAAGAAGCACCGGATCAGATCCTCTTAGGACCATGAACTCTTCACTTCCTACCTAGCTACCTAGCCCAGATTTATCATGTCAGTTACCTCTGTAATATGGTGTTGGTTTATAATAGCTTAAAAATGAGTGTTGTGGCTCCCTGCTATATTTTCTTTTTTACTGGTTCTTCTTGAAAACTAAAAAATAAAAATAAAAAATCCTAAAGGAAGAATTCTCTAGTTGTAAAGTTTTGTCAACATAGTCAACACTGAGGGAAGCATTTGAAAACCTTCCCTATGTCCTTTGTCATCTCATATAAGCAGCTATTTATCTGTAACCACTCCCAATATTAGGCCAACTTGTATTTGATCATACCACATAGCCATTAGCTGATTTGGGTCTCAGCACTCTTGGTAACATGTTAGAATTCTTTGAAGGACCTTCCTGCCATCAACACTTCCTAAATTCCCCAAACCCCTGTGCCGTTGAAATCTATCCAGGAGGGGAGTCTAACATGCAAAACTGCATGTGACTCTTCAGCAAGGTGGAGAACAGGAGGCAGGTATGATAGGTTTGCTGGCTTCTGGTTTACTAGTCCCTGGTACAGATGAAATGAATAATGTTTGTACTCAAGTAAATGTACTCACCTTTCTTTAATTCACAGATGATGTTTTGTTGACAGCTAAGATTTAACTTTAACTTACGGATTTCCGTATAATTTTACAATGCAGTTACTTCCTAGGATTCATTCTAACTATGATTGATACTGAGTAAACTCTCTTTTATTTTTGCTTCATTTAATTTCTCTATATGTATAAAGTATAATGGGAATGGTTTTACCCTGACTTATTTTTCGATAGTTCAATGATGGCTATGGAGGAAGAGTGTTTAAATGAGTTTTTTGGTTTGTTTTGATTTTTTTGAGACAGAGTCTTGCTCTGTCACCCAGGCTGGAGTGCAGTGGCATGATCTCCTCTCACTGCAATCTCTGCCTCCTGGGTTCAAGTGATTCTCCTGCCTCAGCCTCCCGAGTAGCTGGGATTACAGGCTCCCGCCACCATGCCTGGCTAATTTTTGTATTTTTAGTAGAGACAGGGTTTCACCACATTGACCAGGCCAGTCTCGAACTCCTGACCTCAAGTAATCTGCCTTCCTCGGCCTCCCAAAGCACTAGGATTACGGGCATGAGCCACCACGCCCGGCTGTGTTTAAATGATTATTGATGTGGTGCCACGTGGAGTGGGAAAAGGGAGCGGCTGCTCTGTCTGAGCCTTCAGAAACCTCGCCTTAGCAGCAACAGCTGGGAATGAGCAGAGTCTGCTAGGATCGCACCTCCATGAAGGAGGGGTCTGAGCTAGGGCCAGATACCCGTAGGATCCTGATACTGCCTTCTCTTCTGCTTAGAGGACTATAACCATGTTATCCCAGAAATTGTGCATTAAAAACCATGAAGCTCCTCTCCCTGCCTCTAGACATGATACTTCTTTTTTTTTTTTTTTTTTTTTTTGAGACAGAGTTTCGTGCTTGTTTCCTAGGCTGGAGTGCAATTGTGTAATCTCAGCTTACTGCAACCTCTGCCTCCCGGGTTCAAGCAATTCTCCTGCCTCAGCCTCCTGAGTAGCTGGGATTACAGGCATGTGCCACCACGCCTGGCTAATTTTGCATTTTTAGTAGAGATGGGGTTTCTCCATGTTGGTTGGTCAGGCTGGTCTCAAAACCCTGACCTCAGGTAATCCGCCCACCTCAGCCTCCCAAAGTGCTGGGATTACAGGCATGAGCCACCCCGCCCAGCCTAGTGATACTTCTTATAATTACTCTTGGTGCAGCCACCACATGACGGCGGAGGATGAGGAGGAAATAAGGAAGATCTCAAATAGGAACAAATAAGGAGGTCAAGGTGCAGGGCTAGAGGGAAAGAACATTAGAAGCAAAGTATTCGGAAGGACCCTGACATAGAGCTGTGAAGGTTACATAATGACAGTGGTACTCATTAGGCGAATTTCAAATATTTGAACCCTCTAAACTTACAGGCACATGGTAGCATTGTGCTTCCCCCACCAATTTAAATTTTGTCTGTGTAATTTGCTTTAGCAATAAAATATGTGGGAAGTGATGCATATTTCATATCTAGGTAGAAGCTTCAGGAAAGAACGCAGGCTTCCCTACATGCTCTCTCTCCAACATTTGAGAAAATGGCTGCTTCATCAGCCTGGGTCCCTGAACAACTCCAATGAGCAACCTGTGACGGGCCTGTGGAAGGACTGTAAAATTAACTTTGTTGCTTTAAGCATCTGAGATTTGGGAGATGTGTGTTATTGCACTGTAACCTGACCAGGCCTGACTGATCCTGAAGGAGCAGATAGAAGCTAAACAAAGGCTAAAAAAAGCAACATGATAAGAAAGAAAAGAGAAAGAAAGAATTGGTAATGAAAGAGAGAAAAGAGAGGTCAGGGAAGATATGGAGAAAAGGAGGGAGCAAAAGGGACTGTAAGAGGCAAGAGAGAGGATGATGAGAAGAAAGAGAAAAGTGTCCAAGGAAAAAGAACCTAGGTGTCTGAGGATGCAGGTGCCCAGTAGCTTGCAGTGATAACTTGCCATATGAAGTGAGGGCATGGGCCTTGATGTTAACTGCATACTTTATTTCATAACTAGTTGGCAGCACGTATTCTGTTACTTATTCCTCAAGCTATATATTTGAAGCCATCATTATTTTTCCGTTGAAAAAAGCTAAAAGATATGGGCATTGGATGGTGTTTGGAACTGCACAGTGTAACTATATTATGAAATAATAGTTTGTTGCAGAAAAGAGCCTGCCAAGTGGTCTAGTTCTGAGTTCTTGAGCCCTTGCCCTCTGGTGCTATAAGGCTTCTTCCTGGTTCCCTCAGGGGCTGCTCCCTGAAACAAGGCAAGGCAGACCAAGCAGTTGATCTACCTTGATTCTCACCTGAGCAGTTGCATTTTTATTGGATGTGTATAGCAGGCTTCCATGTCAGGTTTTACTTGCAGACAGGGTTCTACTCTTTTCTTTTCTTTTCTTTTCTTTTCTTTTCTTTTCTTTTCTTTGAAACGGAGTCTCACTCTGTCACCAGGCTGGAGTACAGTGGTGTGTGGCATGACCTTGGCTCACTGCAACCTCCACCTCCCTGGATCAAGCAATTATTCTGCCTCAGCCTCCCGAGTAGCTAGGACTACAGGCGTGTGCCACTACAACCGGCTAATTTTTTTTTTTTTTTTTAATATTTTAGTAGAGATGGGGTTTCACCATGTTGGCTGGGATGGTCTTGATCTCCTTACCTCGTGATCCTCCCGCCTCGGCCTCCCAAAGTGCTGGCATTACAGGCGTGAGCCATCGCGCCCAGCAGGTTCTACTTTCTAAAAGAGTTTTGCCAACAACAGATCCAGTCTATTGTGAACAAAAACCCCACAACACTTCACTAACATTCCATCCAAGCATTAGGCATGAACATATGTATTTGTTCAGAATGAAATGAGGTTTGTAGCTTACAAATATTACCTATGAATGAAAAATGAGCACAGAAGGAGTGCTGTTGGCCAGGGATCTCACTTGATTGGTGGGCTTTCAGAAAGCACACTGGGGAACAAAAGACCTATGGAGAGGATTGTATGGAAGGAAGGACCTTAATCTTGTGGGGATAATTGAGACAGAAAAATTGCCTGAAGCTCTGACTTTAGAGAAGCCTTTCCCCTGTTCAGAATCCAAAGCCACATTCTAGAATATTCATTATAATGCATGGCTATTCTTCCCTCCTACCCAAAGCCAAAAAGCAGCTATCTGGGATGCTCAGGATGTGTTGTTCCCAGGTGACCATGGCCAGTGACCCAACAAGAGCACTGATGGATGAGGTGGGCAAAACCAAATAGAAGCCCTGCAGGCTACTTCTGGCTTGGATGTTTCCCTCTCAAGAAAAACCATACTGCCATCCCTCAGTTGAAAAGGCAACTCCCATTGGATCTGTCTGTGAATGGCATGGGGGGTTCCTGCTATGCTATGGACCACAGCAGACCTCTTTTTGTTTTGTATACTTTGGTAGGAATATGGCAGAGGTCAACAGTATCTGGAAGAGAGTGTTAGATACAAGATTACATTGGAAACAGAACATAATGGCAGTTATCCAAACAGAGACAAGAACAGCATCTGGAAACTTGAAAAGGTTAATGAACTACTATGGTTGGCTCTCTTGCTCCTTTGGTTGCTGGAAAAGTAGGCAGGTTGCAGGAAGCATGAGAAGTACTGAACAGTATTTGTGCTGAATGCACTGTCTGTTCACTTTATATTATTCCAGACATAGATACTTAGAGGAATGTTTTTTCTCTGTCGATTGGTGAGATTTTTAAGTTCAAAATGTATGAAGGTAATTTGAGCTGTGTTTATAGAATGTATGTTCATATTGGCAGTTGTCCTTACCTCTGTTTCCATAATCATTCCTCCCCACCAAGCACTGTAACTTTGGCTGAGTGTAAAGCAATAGTCCACCAGTGGCTAGGAATGGTCCTGCTTTGATCATCTGGAATGATTTTTTTTTTACCTACTGACTAAATAAAGAAATGCTCATATTTACCTGATTCTTCATCTTGTAAATGAAATAGTACATTTCACATCCATTTCTCATGTTGTTTAAAGTTTAGGAGATATTTGGTATTGTAAAAATATAATAGAGCCAATGAAAATGACAGCTTTCTAAGTCCTTAAAATCTAGGGAGGAAAGAAATAGCATTACAGCCAGAGTCCGTGTAGGTATCCAGGAAGGATGGCATTGAGCTGACACAGTGGAGATGCAGATCTTGGTTTACCTGATGTCCAAGGCTTGTTTTCATGAGGATAAAAGAAGAAATTCATGGTCTGAAGGCAAGAGAGGCAGCTGATTGCAAATAAGGAGGTAAGAAAGTGGGTTCCAGAGTTAGGGGGCAGTAATAAAAGACAAGACACAGAATGCAGGAGCAGGAGAGTAGTGGGAAGAGGAAGGCGGGGGACGTCCTGGCTCCTGGCAGCAAAGGGAGGCAACTAGAAATGGCAGCAGAGTCAGACGCCAGTCAATGCTCTGTTCACCCTGAGCTGCCAATGTACAGGTTTGCCCTTGGAAAGAAGAGGAGTCGGCATGGTTAAGGATACATGGTTGAGAAAGAAGATGCTGAGCGACCGGTTACATAAGAGGAAAAGAATAACAAAGCACAGTAAACTCCTGACATAGACAAGTGTTTATTCACAATGTCCAGTTGAGACCTCTGGGAAGGAAATTTCAAAAAATAGAGGCTTCTTGTATGATTAGCAAATGTTCTGCCTAAAAAGGTAGCTCTGCATTTCTTAGCTGAGACAATTCTGCCTGTAGGACCTGAGAAGAAGGACAACCTCTGTTAGAGTGCTTTTCTTTTTTTTTTCAATTTGGTAAGGCCCAGAGAACTATTAAAACAACCCATGGTTACATACCATTCATTATATATTTGTCCAAACCCACAGAATATACAACACCAAGAGTTAGCCTTTATGTAAACGATGGACTTTGGGTGATAATGATGTGTCAATGTAGGTTCATCAGTTGTAACAAATGTACCAGTCTTTTGGGGGATGCCAATAATCAGGGGAGGCTATTCATGAGCAGGGGCAGAGAGTGTATGGGAAATTTCTGTACCTTCTGCTCAATTTTGCTGTGAAACGAAAACTACTCTAAATAAAGTCTATTTAAAAAGAAAAAAATGATCATGCAGACTAAGAGGCAGCATCATAGAAAAGACAAATCACCATTATTGTCTTCCATGGGAAATATCAATATATTTATGCTAAGGTATACCTTGTATTTTCAGAGTTAGTGAATGTCGTTCATAAGATGTGATGGAATCCAAAATGAAATTCCGTAGTAATAATTACTGGTATTCAAAGTAAAAGTGGGTTAATTAGTTCTATTCCTAGGGTGAATACATACATGTACATTTGCGTATGCACTAACATACACATACTTGTACACATGCATACACACAAGAACATTTCCATTTCACAAAAATGCCTAGACAGGAGCAGAGGCTCCAACTCAACTCTGAACTTGGGGACTTTCCACGCAATATGTTTGCTGTGTGTGTAGATTTGGTGAAACAAGCCTGTGCTGAAGCCAAGATCCACTGTGGCTGTGGCTGTTTATCTTGGAGATGCAGGGCTTTGCCAGTGAACTGTGTGGGTGTAAAACAGAGGGGAGAGAAAGTGATAGGACAAGATTCAGCCTTGGCAGCCATTACGGAAGCGTAACATTATGCTTCCTAAGGTACCTTCTCACTAGTGATTAAATGATGATATGTTCGGGCTTCAGATGGAAGTTTAATACCTTGTCTTAAGTGAAGTGCTCCTGGAGCTCCTGGAGACAAATTCATCTGCTTTCTCGTACACTGCGCATGCTTAGTAAATATTTAATGTCAACTCTGCATCTTCCTCAGGTTCACTAAGTCGTTCTCTGCTTGCTAGAGAGCAGCCCCAGTGCTCCCCTAAAACCTCATTGGGCTATAGCTTCACAAGTAGCCACCTTGGTATGACTCTAGCTGACTAGGGGCAGACATGCTACCCACAGTCATAGCCAATAATAGCAAACACTTAAGAAGCTTATGAGTTAGCTGTGGGCTAAGAGCTTTGCCTCCTTTTTTACCTACTTTTACAGCAGCTTAAACAGGTAGTTCTTATTATTACCTCCAATTTACAGAAGAGAAGGAAGAGGTTTAGAGAGGGTCAGCTGCCCAACACAAACTAATACTAGAACTTGGTGGAGCAGAGGTTGGGACCTGCAGATTTCTAACTCCAATTGTGTAGACTTAGATCATGGACAGACAGCTTACTCTTCCACCCCTACAGTTTTTTCTAATGGCATCATTTGTCTGTTTTGGTTCCCATATTTGAAAGTTATTTCCTAAGAGGGCAGATGCCTCTCCCTCCTCTCTCTGCAGGGGAGTCGTTCTCCCAGAAGCGAAATTAGGAAATCCATTGAATGATTGGCCTAAAACACCCCCCTATATCACACACCACAAAATCACCTGAGGGTCAGGGCTGACAACTTAGAACGGGTTTTCCAATTGTGCTCTGGCACTGCATGGCTGCCTGCAGCAACAGGCGTGCTTTTGTCTCAGAAATTGTTGCCAATCTCGTAACTAAAAATGGAGAGTTTTTCCAATCCACAGTAATCAGCCATCCTACACTCACTGCTGGTGGGTGCACAGAACACAGAATAAAAGGAATCAGCAAGGCTTTCTACTTGCCCACCATATGTTTACGTTAAGTGATCTGCCCAGTAATGCCATTTGTTCTTCAGAGTTATCCATGCTGAGATGCCTCCTCACTTTTTGGAGCTGAAAAGCCGAATTTAACAAGATGAATGGTATGACCCTTGAGGCTACATGAAGCAGGAGCAAGATTATCTATTTCTCAATTGCCAAGTACATTCTAACGAGTTTTTAGACCTACAGGTCATGGGTCAAAGCCACATGGTCTCTTCAGGTTGGCCTGATACATGAAAAATTTTCTAAGACAAAAAATAACATGTATTTTACAAAGGCCAATAAGAGTAAAATTTCAGGAAGTTAAAGAGTTACCAAGTTTATAGCAGTTGGTGAAGACTTGAATATAGTCAGGCAAATGCTTACCTATACATGAGGACTTCATTTTCACTCAATGCGGTTCTCACCTGCCCTCAGTTGCAGTCTTGACCAACAATTGGGGCTGTTTATGCCTGGCCTGACAAAGCTACGAGTTATTGTTAGAGACGAGATCTTGCCATGTTGCCCAGGTTGATCTCAAACTCCTGGCCTCAAGTGATCCTCTTGCCACTTGCCTTAGCTTCCCGAGTATTTGGGATTACATCTGTCAGCCACCATGCCTGGCAAAGTTATTAACTGTAGTTCAAGACAGGTAACCTTGACTGTGGGGCTGCCCAGGGCCCAGGGAAGTCAGAGTATTTCTGAACTATTCAGGACTTTTGGCCTGCCCCTAACACAACATCCTCCTTTCAGTTAGACTTTTGGATAGAAAAGGCAGATTGACCTTGCATTTTCAAGGTCAATCTTGAAACTACTCAAGCTCCCTCAAACTACTAAAAGGACTATAAGAGGTTAAAAAAGACAGAAACCCTCAACAAAGAGGAGCAGGGGCAACAGAAGCCTAACTTTGCAAGTTGGAAAGCAGGTGGCTGAATGGTCACTGCCTTGGCAGATCCCAGAAAGCTGAAATCTAAGCTATCAGTGGGTGAAGCCAGGAAGCAAACTGAATTGCACTTCAGAAACCAGGAATGGCGGTGGCAGATGCTTTTCAAAGCGGGGGTGAAAAGGGGGCTGCAAATAGGGGATGATTTAAAAGTATATTTAAAATACAGTAAAACCCTGGATTCCCTCTCTCACTCTATACAACCCTGTGATCATGTTTCCTTTCCCCAACCCTGGCAGATGATGACAAGTATATTTCTTCAAGGAGGTTAAAAAAAAGAGGGGTTCTAGCATGGGAAAACACCATACACAGCAGATATAGTGTGTTCGGTGGTGCTCTGCGTATGTTTCACTATCAGCTTGGAAGCTGGGAAGCAACTAGGGCTCTAATTTGTAGTCATTGCCAATTGCAGTGGTGTAAATACTCCCACCAAAGCTAATTTCAAATGGACAGCATAAAGTCTCTGGTCATGGAGTTGGGAAGAGATGCACACAATCAGCTTTTTGTGAGCCTGTGCAAACTGGTTTCAAGTTTCAGGTTTGATGAAAATAGAGAAATTAAATGGAAGTTTACACACCAAACTATCAGACAGCCTCCATTTTCATCCCCCTTCTTTGTTTGATGCCCATGTTTAAGCAGCCAGGATAATACCTTTTAGGTAATAGGTTACAAGATTTTTCCCTGAAGAACCTGAATGGTTGGAGAAGATATGGGAGACCTGGAAATACTTATAGTAATGAGTTACCCCATGAAATGCTCAGCCAGATTACAATATAGTATATTTCATCTAACAACAAGCCCACCTACAAAGATCTTCCAACAGCACTTTATCAGCCCACTCATCTGTAAGCAGACAACCAAGGATGACCAGTAATTTTAGGAAATCTGCCAACCTGAAAGTCAGAGATGAAAATAAAGAGATAAAGAAATTTGAAATTAAAAAAGACAATGCAGTGAGAACACTTCAAAAAGATTAATTACATTCATGAAACAAAGAAGATGAAGTCTTTTTAAAGGAACATTCAGAACATTCTTGTAAAAGGAATCTAGAGATTAAAAAATACGTACAAAAAAGGTAAAGCTTAATAGATGAGTTAGAAGATAGGGTTCAGAAAACCTTCTAGAATGGGGAAAAGGCAATAAATGAATGAGGGAAAAATATTTTTAAAATGTGGTGTTAATCCAGAAGGCTTAAAATCAAATGATAAGAGTTTCATAAAAAAAGAGAAAACAGAGAGGAAAAAAAATCCAAGAAATACAACAAATAAAATTTTGAAAAGTGAAGTACATGAGTTTTCACATTAAAAGTACGGCCAAGTGCGAACACAATGGATAAAAAAGGCCCAAGCCCCAAGCACATCATTCTTAAATTTCAAAATACTAGAGACAAAGAAAAAATTGTATAAAGCTTTCAGAAAGTAAAGAAATAATCAACATTCAGAATAGCATCAGACTTCTCAATACCACACTGGAAAGAAGAGAAAAATAATCAATGCCTACCTTCAAAATTCTTAGGGTATGATTTCGAATACACTATTCTATACCTAGCCATATCATCAATTAATTGAGAGGATAAAATAAAGACATTGTCAGACATTCAAGGTTCAAAAATTTTTCTTGCACCTTTCTTGCACCTTTTCTCAGGAATGTAATGGAGAATAAGATCCTCTCAAATGAGGGAGTATATCAAGAAAAAAGACACTGGATCCAAGAAACAAGTAATCAAGTACAGACAGGCACCAAGGGAATCTCCCAGGATGCTGGCAAAGAGAGGTCCCAGGATGACATCTCAGTGGTAAATCTAGAGAATATTAACTCTAGATTGGAGCAGGAAGACAGAGCTCTGGAGAAATCTCTCAAAAAAGAAGAATAAATAGCAGACCTAATGTGTCTATATAAGAAGATTTACATTTCTGGTAAAGAGTTTGTACAATTAGCAATTGGCACATAGAAAACCAAGCAGCACCCCTCCAAATAAAAAAGTAAAAAATTACTAACTCCAGGGACATAAAAATGTAGTATAAGAAAAGAAATGTAATAATAGTACATTACATGGCTCAGCTGTGAATAGTGTGTTCTTGACTCAGAGCAATGTAAAACACTGTCTCTCAATCCAAACATCATAATATAATTATGTAGAAAGAATGTGGAAAGAGGAGCACATGCACGTGTGTTTGAGCGTGTGTGTGAGTGTGTGTGTGTGTGTGTATTTTCTTGGAGGGGGAAGAAGTGAAAAATCAAAAGTTTAGTCTTCTATAAAGAGTTTAAAAATTAAGAAGAAACAGTGTAAGCAAATTATTTAGGTACATGTAGATATAATCCAAACAAATAGTTAAAAGTTAAGGTAGCTGGCAACAGGTGAGAAAAGATTGTTGGGATTTTTAAAAAATGAACCTCGTAGAACAATTTTCATTTTTAAGCTATGAACGCATATAATTTTGATTAAAAAGTAAATATACAGTAAGAAATAAAAAGACCATTTAGGAAAAAACAGAAAACCTTTTATAAGGCTACAATTATCTGTGAAGGTCTAACTAGTCTCAGAATGATTGGATCAAAGCATAATATGTACCTCTGGCAGCCACAAACCTTAAAGCACTGCACCCAGCCCAGAGTCCTGGTGCCCATTTACAAGGGGGAGAGAACAAAGTAGACAACTACTTGACCATGTCTACTTTACCAAGAGACTTCCTAAAATTTGGACAGTTTGTCAATGTGCTGGCTTCCAAACATGTTGTGCCTATAAATTTCTCCTATATATCACTCCTATCCTTTGACATGCTTCTATGTAGAAGAGACTTTCCAAACTCTCTTCCAATGATGAGTTTCTAAGTCTGTGCTATCCAGTAAATGTTAACTTTATGAATTGTTTCATGTAGTAATATTTCTGTAGGATAAATATTCTGCCAGACTGTGCAGTATGCTCAGGAATAAAAGGCATTCATTCACTCCTTCATTCATTCAACATTTCTGTCTAACATGTCTAGAAGTTGGGGAGACTTGGTAAGTGAAATAAACAGAATTTCTTCCTCTGGAAGCCCAAAGTCATAAAAGAGAATTTGATGTGTAAAAAAAGTTAGACTGGAGATGGACTGATTCTTCCCATTCTCATAAAAATTTTAAATAAGGCTTTTAGCTTTCACAGAGGCTTTTAACCCCATTTTTTACCCGTTGGTTTTTTGTTTTTTGTTTTTTGTTTTGTGAGACAGAGTCTTGCTCTTTTTCCCAGGCTGGAGTGTAGTGGTGCAATCTCAGCTCACTGCAACCTCCACCTCTCGGATTCAAGCAATTCTCCTGCCTCAGCCTCCCGAGTAGCTGGGACTACAGGCATGCACCACCACACCGAGCTAATTTTTGCATTTTTAGTAGAGAATGGGGTTTTGGCATGTTAACCAGCCTGGTCTTGAACTCCTAGCCTGAAGGAATCTGCCTGCCTTGGCCTCCCAAAGTGCTGGGATTACAGGCTACCCAGCTGATTTTTTAAACATATGGATTAGCAACAGGAGTACAAAAGAGGGAGTGATTAAATTCGTTTGGATGATGCGGGGAAGGCAACACAAACTAGAATTTGAGTCTTACTCTGCCTTTATCCCTCATGTCTAGCAGAACTAGACACATAGTTGATACTATGTAAATGTTTCCTGAATAAATAAATGGTATAAGGATGGATGGATGGATGGATGGATGGATGGATGGATGGATGGATGGATAGACAAGCTGATTCAACTAAAATTCACCTTGGCTGAAAGAGGTGATTCTAAGATTAGAGGGACCAATATTGAGTACTGCACAAATAGTATTGAGGAGGCGATGCTGAGAGTATTGGGGACTTTTTTGATTAAAAAACCTTTTGGACAGACCTATGACTCCTATGCAGTCAGAATTATGAGTAATCGTCCCTTCAACTGTGGTATGTTCAATTGTGAGATGAGCCCAAACTCCTGGGAGACCACGCTTTTTAAAAGAACTCATTTTTAGAGCTTTTTGTTTCCTTAGTTTAGATTTCAGGGAACCATGAAACTAATTACACACATGGACTTTGGAATTTTTTTGTAGCTATTTTCCATTGAGTTGGAAATATGTTTTCCATTCTCTCATTCTAAGTTGTTCTCTTTATCCATGGTTAATATATATTTTTTATATCCAGGTTTTAAATAATTTTTTTTAGTCCCAAACCAAGTCTTGCTTCATTCATACTCACCCTTGTGTAATTCCAAGGTCATTATATTTACTGAGAAAAAAGTAATTTTCTTTTTTTTTTTTATTTTTTTTTTTATTATTATACTTTAAGTTTTAGGGTACACGTGCACATTGTGCAGGTTAGTTACATACGTATACATGTGCCATGCTGGTGTGCTGCACCCACTAACTCGTCATCTAGCATTAGGTATATCTCCCAATGCTATCCCTCCCCCCTCCCCACACCCCACAACAGTCCCCAGAGTGTGATGTTCCCCTTCCTGTGTCCATGTGATCTGATTGTTCAATTCCCACCTATGAGTGAGAATATGCGGTGTTTGGTTTTTTGTTCTTGCGATAGTTTACTGAGAATGATGGTTTCCAATTTCATCCATGTCCCTACAAAGGACATGAACTCATCCTTTTTTATGGCTGCATAGTATTCCATGGTGTACATGCGCCACATTTTCTTAATCCAGTCTATCATTGTTGGACATTTGGGTTGGTTCCAAGTCTTTGCTATTGTGAATAATGCCGCAATAAACATACGTGTGCATGTGTCTTTATAGCAGCATGATTTATAATCCTTTGGGTATATACCCAGTAATGGGATGGCTGGGTCAAATGGTATTTCCAGTTCTAGATCCCTGAGGAATCGCCACACTGACTTCCACAATGGTTGAACTAGTTTACAGTCCCACCAACAGTGTAAAAGTGTTCCTATTTCTCCACATCCTCTCCAGCACCTGTTGTTTCCTGACTTTTTAATGATTGCCATTCTAACTGGTGTGAGATGGTATCTCATTGTGGTTTTGATTTGCATTTCTCTGATGGCCAGTGATGGTGAGCATTTTTTCATGTGTTTTTTGGCTGCATAAATGTCTTCTTTTGAGAAGTGTCTGTTCATGTCCTTCGCCCACTTTTTGATGGGGTTGTTTGTTTTTTTCTTGTAAATTTGTTTGAGTTCATTGTAGATTCTGGATATTAGCCCTTTGTCAGGTGAGTAGGTTGCGAAAATTTTCTCCCATTTTGTAGGTTGCCTGTTCACTCATGGTAGTTTCTCTTGCTGTGCAGAAGCTCTTTAGTTTAATTAGATCCCATTTGTCAATTTTGGCTTTTGTTGCCATTGCTTTTGGTGTTTTAGACATGAAGTCCTTGCCCATGCCTATGTCCTGAATGGTAATGCCTAGGTTTTCTTCTAGGGTTTTTATGGTTTTAGGTCTAACGTTTAAGTCTTTAATCCATCTTGAATTGATTTTTGTATAAGGTGTAAGGAAGGGATCCAGTTTCAGCTTTCTACATATGGCTAGCCAGTTTTCCCAGCACCATTTATTAAATAGGGAATCCTTTCCCCATTGCTTGTTTTTCTCAGGTTTGTCAAAGATCAGATAGTTGTAGATATGCGGCGTTATTTCTGAGGGCTCTGTTCTGTTCCATTGATCTATATCTCTGTTTTGGTACCAGTGCCATGCTGTTTTGGTTACTGTAGCCTTGTAGTATAGTTTGAAATCAGGTATTGTGATGCCTCCAGCTTTGTTCTTTTGGCTTAGGATTGACTTGGTGATGCGGGCTCTTTTGGTTCCATATGAACTTTAAAGTAGTTTTTTCCAATTCTGTGAAGAAAGTCATTGGTAGCTTGATGGGGATGGCATTGAGTCTGTAAATTACCTTGGGCAGTATGGCCATTTTCACGATATTGATTCTTCCTACCCATGAGCATGGAATGTTCTTCCATTTGTTTGTATCCTCTTTTATTTCCTTGAGCAGTGGTTTGTAGTTCTCCTTGAAGAGGTCCTTCACATCCCTTGTAAGTTGGATTCCTAGGGATTTTATTCTCTTTGAAGCAATTGTGAATGGGAGTTCACTCATGATTTGGCTCTCTGTTTGTCTGTTGTTGGTGTATAGGAATGCTTGTGATTTTTGCACATTGATTTTGTATCCTGAGACTTTGCTGAAGTTGCTTATCAGCTTAAGGAGATTTTGGGCTGAGACAATGGGGTTTTCTAGATATACAATCATGTCATCTGCAAACAGGGACAAATTGACTTCCTCTTTTCCTAATTGAATACCCTTTATTTCCTTCTCCTGCCTAATTGCCCTGGCCAGAACTTCCAACACTATGTTGAATAGGAGTGGTGAGAGAGGGCATCCCTGTCTTGTGCCAGTTTTCAAAGGGAATGCTTCCAGTTTTTGCCCATTCAGTATGATATTGGCTGTGGGTTTGTCATAGATAGCTCTTATTATTTTGAAATATGTCCCATCAATACCTAATTTATTGAGAGTTTTTAGCATGAAGGGTTGTTGAATTTTGTCAAAGGCCTTTTCTGCACCTATTGAGATAATCATGTGGTTTTTGTCTTTGGCTCTGTTTATATGCTGGATTACATTTATTGATTTGCGTATATTGAACCAGCCTTGCATCCCAGGGATGAAGCCCACTTGATCATGGTGGATAAGCTTTTTGATGTGCTGCTGGATTTGGTTTGCCAGTATTTGATTGAGGATTTTTGCATCAATGTTCATCAAGGATATTGGTCTAAAATTCTCTTTTTTGGTTGTGTCTCTGCCCGGATTTGGTATCAGAATGATGCTGGCCTCATAAAATGAGTTAGGGAGGATTCCCTCTTTTTCTATTGATTGGAATAGTTTCAGAAGGAATGGTACCAGTTCCTCCTTGTACCTCTGGTAGAATTCGGCTGTGAATCCATCTGGTCCTGGACTCTTTTTGGTTGGTAAGCTATTGATTATTGCCACAATTTCAGATCCTGTTATTGGTCTATTCAGAGATTCAACTTCTTCCTTGTTTAGTCTTGGGAGAGTGTATGTGTCAAGGAATTTATCCATTTCTTCTAGATTTTCTAGTTTATTTGCGTAGAGGTGTTTGTAGTATTCTCTGATGGTAGTTTGTATTTCTGTGGGATCAGTGGTGATATCTCCTTTATCATTTTTTATTGTGTCTATTGGATTCTTCTCTCTTTTTTTCTTTATTAGTCTTGCTAGCGGTCTATCAATTTTGTTGATCCTTTCAAAAAACCAGCTCCTGGATTCATTAATTTTTTGAAGGGTTTTTTGTGTCTCTATTTCCTTCAGTTCTGCTCTGATTTAGGTTATTTCTTGCCTTCTGCTAGCTTTTGAATGTGTTTGCTCTTGCTTTTGTAGTTCTTTTAATTGTGATGTTAGGGTGTCAATTTTGGATCTTTCCTGCTTTCTCTTGTGGGCATTTAGTGCTATAAATTTCCCTCTACACACTGCTTTGAATGCGTCCCAGAGATTCTGGTATGTTGTGTCTTTGTTCTCATTGGTTTCAAAGAACATCTTTATTTCTGCCTTCATTTCGTTATGTACCCAGTAGTCATTCAGGAGCAGGTAGTTCAGTTTCCATGTAGTTGAGCGGTTTTGAGTGAGATTCTTAATCCTGAGTTCTAGTTTGATTGCACTGTGGTCTGAGAGATAGTTTGTTATAATTTCTCTTCTTTTACATTTGCTGAGGAGAGCTTTACTTCCAACTATGTGGTCAAGTTTGGAATAGGTGTGGTGTGGTGCTGAAAAAAATGTATATTCTGTTGATTTGGGGTGGAGAGTTCTGTAGATGTCTATTAGGTCCACTTGGTGCAGAGCTGAGTTCAATTCCTGGGTATCCTTGTTGACTTTCTGTCTCATTGATCTGTCTAATGTTGACAGTGGGGTGTTAAAGTCTCCCATTATTAATGTGTGGGAGTCTAAGTCTCTTTGTAGGTCACTCAGGACTTGCTTTATGAATCTGGGTGCTCCTGTATTGGGTGCATATATATTTATGATAGTTAGCTCTTCTTGTTGACTTGATCCCTTTACCATTATGTAATGGCCTTCTTTGTCTCTTTTGATCTTTGTTGGTTTAAAGTCTGTTTTATCAGAGACTAGGATTGCAACCCCTGCGTTTTTTTGTTTTCCATTTGCTCGGTAGATCTTCCTCCATCCTTTTATTTTGAGCCTATGTGTGTCTCTGCACGTGAGATGGGTTTCCTGAATACAGCACACTGATGGGTCTTGACTCTTTATCCAGTTTGCCAGTCTGTGTCTTTTAATTGGAGCATTTAGTCCATTTACATTTAAAGTTAATAGTGTTATGTGTGAATTTGATCCTGTCATTATGATGTTAGCTGGTTATTTTGCTCGTTCGTTGATGCAGTTTCTTCCTAGTCTCGATGGTCATTACATTTTGGCATGATTTTGCAGTGGCTGGTACCGGTTGTTACTTTCCATGTTTAGAGCTTCCTTCAGGAGCTCTTTTAGGGCAGGCCTGGTGGTGACAAAATCTCTCAGCATTTGCTTGTCTGTAAAGTATTTTATTTCTCCTTCACTTATGAAGCTTAGTTTGGCTGGATATGAAATTCTGGGTTGAAAATTCTTTTCTTTAAGAATGTTGAATATTGGCCCCCACTCTCTTCTGGCTTGTAGGGTTTCTGCTGAGAGATCTGCTGTTAGTCTGATGGGCTTCCCTTTGAGGGTAACCCGACCTTTCTCTCTGGCTGCCCTTAACATTTTTTCCTTCATTTCAACTTTGGTGAATCTGACAATTATGTGTCTTGGAGTTGCTCTTCTCAAGGAGTATCTTTGTGGCGTTCTCTGTATTTCCTGAATCTGAATGTTGGCCTGCCTTGCTAGATTGGGGAAATTCTCCTGGATAATATCCTGCAGAGTGTTTTCCAACTTCGTTCCATTCTCCCCATCACTTTCAGGTACACCAATCAGACGTAGATTTGGTCTTTTCACATAGTCCCATATTTCTTGGAGGCTTTGCTCGTTTCTTTTTATTCTTTGAAAAAAGTAATTTTCTTATGTTTAAAAAACACTATTGCTGTTACGGGAAAGCTCTCTGTTGTAACATTAATTCTACGGTGAAAGAGCCTTCTGCAACAAAATGGTTGCCTGTCAAGCCAATTACATCATTTCAGCTGAGTTGTAAGAAAATTCCAAACTGCATTTTGCTCACCTTGTGAGCTGGCTGCTCTGTGCTTTCTGCAAAAGGCAAGAAGAAGCCCCTCCAATAAATCTCAGAGTGCTTTTGCTGAAAGGAATTTTTGCTGCAAGTTAAGTATAAGTCCACTGAAACAGGATGCCACCTGCTTACTAGAAATTAAGAACAGATATGGCCTAATTTCTTTGCTTTTGTTGAACTGCATTTAGTTTGTACTTAACTCTTTGAAAACTCAGTATAGAAAATGAGGTGACACTAAATTTAAGTAGCTGGATTATGAGGCACCTAGACACGCACACACACACATGCACACACACACATACCCATAAAATTAGGCAGGGAAGCCCATAAATTTGCTTTCAGTTACATGGCTACTCATCGCTTTGTTAGAGCTGAGCTAATCCATATTTATTGGCATTGGCTTTTCATTCTTAAGAATAAACTCCTTAGAATGAGAATCAGGAATTCTGGCTTTCCAAACTTGTTCTTATTAGCATGGGTGCAGCCAGAGAGTTGTTGATTTTACAGCCTTCTGAAGAGGGATTTATTTTATTTCACTAATCAATAGTTTACTTCTTTAAACTTACATTTTTCTAACACTATAGTTTGGGCAAAAGTGGAAAGAGTTAATTCTCAATTTTTCAGTTGAGATAGTGTCATGCCAAGTTCTGTCCAAGACTAAAGATGGAATTTTCTGTGGTTTTTTGAAGATATTTGTTGGTTGTCAAATTGTGGCCTATGGACAACAGCATCAGTTCACCTGGAAACTTTTAGAAATGAGGAATTGAAAGCTGAAAGTCCCACCTGAGACATACTGAAGCCCTTTATCTTCTTTTTGAGAAAATTCCAGGTGATTCATTTGCATAGTAAGGTCTGAAAAGCACTGGTTTGGATGTTGTCTTTTACTGAAGCCAACACAGAATGGTTCCCAATGGCATTTAGCATTGAGAGGAAATTCAATCCCGCTGGAGTGCATACTCTGGTGGCTAAGAGCTCAGCACCTGCTTTTGCCCACCACCTCTACAAGCTTTGGGGTCCATTCTCATTGCTTACCCATTAGAATCATCATCTCAAATTTTTTTGCAGCTACATTGAACCTCACCATTGAGGGTAAGGATAGTCTTTGAGTAGTTTCCATGCCAGGGTTGGACTTCAAGTCTGAAACTCCCAGAACATGTTGGAACTTCCAGCTATTCTAGTGACTTTTACTGTAGTGTGAAAGTCAAAGGTACTGCACTGCCCTTAGTGCAGTAACACCTTGGGCTCAGTTTCAGGATAAATTTATACAAACAACTCTGAGTATTCATTATAATTAATACTATAACTGTAATTTATGAATGAGCAGAAAGTTTAAGCATCACCTTGGAAGTGTCAAAAATACATATCTATCATAGAATAGTATACTCTAGATGATCATGAATTATATCATCACACTGATAGAATATAAACATTCCTGAAATAACTGGGAACTTGAGAGCAGCTGACAAATGAGTGCTTGCCATGTCTTCAGTTGCCGTGAGCTGTACAGATTACCTAGAACTGGTACACACACTTGCATGGTGTTTGGGATTTATTTTTGAACACATAGTTATTTCTTACAAAGATAAAAAATTTAATGCAGGATACAGGGTCTGAGGAGTACATCTGTGTCAGTCCATTCTTGCATTGTTATAAGGAAATACCTGAGACTGGGTAATTTGTAAAGAAAAGAGGTTTAATTGGCTCGTGGTTCCACAGGCTCTACAGGAAGTACAGTAGCATTTGATCAGATTCAATCATGGAGGACAGCAAAGAGGAAGCTGACTGGCGTAGGAGGAAGAGGAGAGAGAAGGTGGGGAGGTGCTACACACTTTTAAATAACCAGATCTCATGATAACTCACTCACTCTCACGAGAATAGCACCAAGGGAGAAATGCGCCCCTAAGAGTCAATCACCTCCCACCAGGCCCCACCTCCAACATTGGGGATTACAATTTGACATGAGATTTTGGGCAGGGACACAGACCCAAAGCGTATCAACATCCAACTAAGATCTACATCAAATCGACTCTAAGAATGAAAAGTATGGTAGGAGAAGAGGAAAGAGACGGCTTACTGGATTGCAACCTTGCATAAGTGGAAATGTTAGGTCCATGAGTTGGGGCTTATATACTTGGATTCTTGCAAAGTAACCTCTCATAGGTGGAGAGGTGGGTGTATTTTTCTATTTCACACCTGTTACTTTTAACATGCATACTCATATGTAGGTTGCTTTGTCTTATGGCTGCAGTTCCTGCTGCTTATGGCTGAGGGAATTATAAAAATACGAAGAGCAGGTTCTAAAGCCCTGGGATAGATGTGTATCTAGCGCTCCTCACTGTTTCTTCACTGTTCTCAAGAGGAAGTCAGCAGTCATTATGGAAGAAAAAGAACATTGTGCAGCTCAGCCTCTCTCCACCAGCACAGACTGGCTGGAGTTAACATACTCATCTGTGCATACTGCTCACAGGAGTGTAAACCTATGAAAGATAATGTTTTTTAGTAATTTATCTTTTGAGATCTATCATAAAACAGGTTTATTTTTGAATGACTAGCTAAAATCTATAATGGGAGAAGACTATAGACTGAGTGAGAGAGATAGGAGAGTCAGGATATTTGGGGAAATGATGGCAAGAAACAAAGGTCGTGAGAATCTTGTTTCCTAGGAACCAGATTCTGAGGTTCAGGGGAAGAGGAAGGGATCAACACTGAGATGCTCGAGAAAACCATTTCCTTTGTCAACCTGAGCTGCAGAGTGATGGGATTTGTAGACCACCACCACTCTCAACAACACCAACAACAAAGAATGTGCTGTGTGCTTAAAGGTTTGAGGGTAACAAAGCAAGAAGCAGAAGAAGCATTACAGCATCAGGGCGTAGGGTCCGGCTTGAAGGATAACATCTTTGGTGATCTGACTCCACTCTTCCTTTCTTTTTTTTCTCCAGGCTATAATATTTGTGGTTTGGAAAAAAGGACAAATCGAGGTCCAGATACCATGTATTCAAACTTGTAAACAATAAAATAAGCAGTCCAGCAGCTAAAGAAGCCAGGCTTTCCCTAGAGCAGCCTTGCCCTGTGGAAGCCTGAGAGGGAGGTAGCCCTCACCACCTAACTGGGATGGGACAGGGTGGAAGCTGGTCCAGGCACACTCCTCAGCTGTGGTAGAATTTGGCAAATCTGGGAAGGGGACTGATCTCCAAAACTCTATGGGGTGCCAGGCCAGGCAGTTGCCCCTTCTCCGCACCTTGTATTTCCAGCTCAGGATTTCTCAAAACTGTTCCACCTGAGCAGATGGTAGGAGAAGAATTGCAGCATCAAGGGAGCCTAGTTTACCTGAATACCCACTGGGTGATTGGGGGTGGCCAACTTTATACAAAAGCACCTGCTCTTCCTCTCGCTCACACGGCAGAGGCTGTGATTGTAATCTCCCTGCACACACCTGCACACACTCTCAGCAACCACCCCCTATCCTCAGGGAAGGGGTGGGCCCTTAATCCACTGTGATGGGTGTCCTTATAAGAAAAAGGGAAATTTGGACACAGGGACACAAACAGACACAGGGAGAAGATGCTCACATGACCACAGAGGCAGAGATTGGAGTTTTGCATCTACAAGCCAAGCAATGCCTGGGGCTACCAGAAGCTGGACTAGGCAGGGAAGAATCCTCTGCAGAACTTTCTAGCACAGTTCCTTGGATATATTTTATTTTTCTTTTTACTTTTTTACTTTTTTCTTTTTCTGAAACAGGGTCTCGCTCTGTCACCCAGGCTGGAGTGCAGCGGCACAATCTTGGCTCACTGCAGCCTTGACCTCCTGGGCTCAGGTGATCCTCCCACCTCAGCCTCTCAAGTAGCCTGGACTATAGGTGTGCACCACCATGTCCAGCTAATTTTTTGTATTTTTATTAGAGACGGGGTTTCGCCATGCTGGCCAGGCTGGTCTTGAATTCCTGGACTCAAGCGATCCACTCTCCTTGGTCTCCCAAACTGTTGGGATTACAGGCATGAGCCACCGCACCCAGTTGGTTATATTTTATCAAGGCATTAATCAGATTGGCATATTAGGATTTTTATGCCTTTTGGTTCTTTTCAGTGCCACGACTCTGCTTTATTAACTGGTGTCTCTTAGTGCAATGCCTGGTACACAGAGGCCCTTAATAAATAAGGAATGAGCAGATGAATGAATAAATCAATCAATGAACAATTAAAAAGATGTGTGCAAAAGAAAACAATTTAAATGCCTAATTGCAAGTTTAGGTGAAGCAGCAGCCAAAATGCAAAGAGAGAAGTGAAAATGGTACCATGTAAATATCACTATTGTGCTGTAGCCTAACAGAAACTTTTTTTTTTTGGTAAAGTGGTATATTAATGTTTATATTATCCTTTAAGACAGAGCCAAATTTATACAAATTTTTACAATTAAAAAGGAGGTGATTGATTTTCTCTGTTTCTAAATAATGCCAAGGGGAAAAATGTCTCTTAATTCTGGAGAAACCCTGTTCTGATTTTGCTCCTGGTCTGATGCCCATCCATCAGTGACCAGGGCTCCTTGGCCACATATGAAGATTTGGTGTGGCCTTCCTGTGGGGCTGAATCGAGCAGTTCTCATTAAGTTTCCATTCTTAGAAAAAGAAAACAAGGCTGGGCGTGGTGGCTCACGCCTGTAATCCCAGCACTTTGAGAGGCCGAGGTGGCGGATCACTTGCGGTCAGGAGTTCAAGACAAGTCTGGCCAACGTGGCAAAAACCGATCTCTACTGAAAATACAAAAATTAGCCAGGCATGGTGGTGATCACCTGTAATCCCAGCTACTCAGGAGGCTGAGGCATGAGAATTGCTTGAACCAGGAAGGTGGAGGTTGCAGTGAGCCGAGATCATGCCACTGCACTCCAGCCTGGGCAACAGATCAAGACCCTATGTCCAAAAGAAAAAAAAACCCTTCATTTTCAAAACAAATTTTAAGGGTCTATGCTAAAATATAGCCTGAAGGAAATGAGGAGAAATGAATGTTTTTATAATAGTTCTTTAAAAGGGGACTGTCACC
The DNA here is from genome assembly GCF_000001405.40 of Homo sapiens. Classification (NCBI taxonomy): domain Eukaryota; kingdom Metazoa; phylum Chordata; class Mammalia; order Primates; family Hominidae; genus Homo; species Homo sapiens. The sequence continues at coordinate 97,165,327 of NC_000013.11, forward strand.
GTAATTTAATTGGGGCTTTGCTATTACATTTCATCTCTATCTGTGACACAGTTAAACTCTATTATCTAAAGCACTGACCCAAGATGAGCTACTTTTTCTTAAAAAATCATCCTGACATCATTTTTAAAATGCCTTTTATGGGTCCTTTAGTTCTGAATTAATTATTTGGAGGAAGGGAGAGTGAATCAAAATTTCAGTTGGGAGGTTTAGGGTTTACATAGCTTGAAAATCATATTCAACATTGTAATATGGACTTATTCCTAGAAAAAATTAAAATGTTTTAATAATGCAAATTATGAAATGTAAAGGGTAGTGAATCCGCACTAACAGAGACACTCAACAAGTCAAACATCTGAGTCTTAGCGACTCCCTAACATCCAGGACACTCCCTCAAGAACAATGCTATTTATCAGAATCTAGAACTTGAAAACTGTGTGATATAGTTATGCTTATTGAAAAGAGGTGTATACTTCAAAAAGCATGCCACCTTGTCTAGTCTCTTTATTTTCTCTTTATATAATTCTGACTGGCCATGACATGCAGAATCTCCTCTGTATATCAAGAGCCTTGAAGCCTGTTTCCAAACTCAGGAGCTGTAAGCTATTACTTTGTGTAGACTTTCTCCATCATTGAAATTCTGTTTGCCTCCTCTTTGGCTACTGTTTATCAAGGTTTTCTGATAAGTAAATAGAAAGCCTTTCTGGGTGGAGCATGGTTGCTATGCAAACACAAAGTAACAGTTGCACTGTTTGTTAAAGATCTAACAGGAGTGGAGAGAATTGTATGAGTCTCTTTGGAATATCAACATAGCATTCCATGTTGGGTAAAGAAAATATTAGGGGCAGACATGGACTTTTTTAAAACTTAAAGGATGTATTATTTGGGATATTTCCTTCTGAATTAAATAATGAGGTAGCACATGAATAGTATGAACTGAAAACAATCCTTGTGGTCTGTTAACATATTCATGCACTTACAGTAGTGGATCCCCTTTATCTTTACCTTAGTATAGGTGTGGATGAGACAGGTAGATAAGGCATAAGGTAGCCACAGAGTGAGAAGACACATGTGATGGTTAATACTGAGTGTCAACTTGATTGGATTGAAGGATGCAAAGTATGGATCTTGTGTATGTCTGAGGGTGTTGCCAAAGGAGATTAACATTTGAGTCTGTGGGCTGGGAAAGGCAGATTCACCCTTAATCTGGGTGGGCACCATCTAATCAGCTGTCAGTGAGGCTAGAATATAAAGCAGGCAGAAAAATGTGAAAAGAGGAGACTGGCCTAGCCTCTCAGCCTACACCTTTCTCCAGTGCTGGATGCTTCCTGCCCTGGAACATCAAACTTCAAGTTCTTTAGTTTTGGGACTCAGACTGGCTCTCCTTGCTCCTCAGCTTGCAGATGGCCTATTGTGGGGCCTTGTGATCGTGTGAGTTAATACTTACTAAACTTCCCTTGATAGATAGATAGATAGATAGATAGATAGATAGATAGATAGATAGATAGATAGATAGAAAGATAGATAGAGATATATATCCTATTAGTTCTGTCCCTCTAGAGAACCTTGGCTAATACAACACAGTTCTTTCCAATTCTGGGTAATTCTGATTTGTAGCATTCAGGGGAGAAAAACTCAACAACCTGAAATTTGTACTACCCAGGTCTTGTTCTAATCTGATTCTCCCCATTGGGCTCTGCTTCTGGTAACAAAGTTGAGAAAAGGGAAATGCCTTGAATATTACAGAGCACAGAGTAAATGCTCAGTAATATTTGTTGAACTAATGAATAAATAAATGTAAAGAATTAGGCAGCTGCTTGTCTATATTGAGAATAGCAATTAATAAAATAGCACAGAGTCATTCAACTTAAAATCCCAGGAATCGAGGCCAAAACCAAAATAGCAAAATAAATTACAAAGAACATATGCAAGAGGGTGCCTTTAGCTTAAAGAGGTAGATGAATTGCTGTCAGAACTGTCTCTTGATTGTATGAATTCATTTACATGCTCCACAATGTTGCCATCATCGTTGTCCAAACATGGAAAGATTCATTAATGCTTTATGTAAAAAAAAAAAAAGAAAAAAAGTGTGTCTAATAAATGAAAACCAGAAAGTAGATATTTTTATAGGAAAACCTAGAAAGTAAAGGGGATAAAGCGCAGGCAAAGAAAGCTAGAAGAAATTAATTTCCTTTATTTATAAAAGTCTATTGTTTTCTAAAAAGTAAAATTAACCTCAAATTGGACTTATCCATTATATTTTCCTTTTTAAATAAATCAGTTCCTTTAACATATTTAGGTGGGTAATAGCTAATTACCAATCTAATTTAATCATAAAGCAGAGGATTTAACTAAAGGTCTCCATTCTATATATATCATAGGCCTGGTCTTAGAAGTAATGACATTCCTGTCTTTCAGAGTCTTTTGTGCCTCATCAAGTTGAGACCATTTTGAAAATAGAAAATGAGGTCAGGGGAATGAGTACATTTCATTCTGTCTCAGAAAGGGTCTGTATCATGTTTAAAAAATTATTTGTCCCTTAACCTATATATTTGTCAAATTAAATTAATATATTGTCACATCAACACACTTGGTAACAAGAAAAGAAAAAAGACAAGGTCTATAATTTTTGTTTGGAGATATATATATATTTTTTTTTGAGATGGAGTTTGGCTCTTATTTCCCAGGCTGGAGTGCAATGGCACAATCTTCACTCACTGCAACCTCTGCCTCCCAGTTTCACGTGATTCTCCTGCCTCAGCCTTCCAAGTAGCTGAGATTACAGGCATGTGCCACCATGCCCAGCTAATTTTGTATTTTCAGTAGAGATGAGGTTTCACTAGTTGGTCAGGCTGGTCGTGAACTGCTGACCTCAGGTGATCCACCCACCTCAGCCTCTCAAAGTGCTGGGATTACAGGTGTGAGCCACCATGCCCGGCCTTGCGTATGTTTTAATTAAAAACAAATGTAATCCAGAAGTTTAAAAAGATCAGCTTCAAAACTTATCAAATCTAATTAATTCCTAAATTAACTTTCATTTCCCTTGCGGCTCTCCAAAACTGTCAATAAATGAAGAACAATGAAGAAAAAACAGATATTATATAAATAAAAGAGAATATTGTATAAATTTTGCACTCCCCATCCTTATCTCTCTTTTGTGCTTTATTTTTTCCCCTGGGACTTACTAGCTTATCATATTCTAAATAATTTTTAACTTGATTTGTTTTCCTGTGTCCCCACTGGAAAACCAGCCATGAGAGTCTGGATGTTTGTTTTATTTTCCAATGTCTCCCCAGTGTTTAAATAGTGCCCGGCACGCAATAGGCACTTTATGTATTTGTTGAATTGATTAAGCATAATGAAGAGATACCAATATAATGTAAACAAATAATCACTCAGGGTCCCAATTTTCTATCTGCATTTATTTAGAACAGAATATGGTGCAGTGTTTTTTCAAGGACTGCCAAGTCATGTTTTACAGAAACAGTAAATTTAATAACATTTCTGTGGCACTTCAGCAATTTACAAAGTGCTTTCTCATGCCTTGTCTCATCTGATCTCTCAGAAGCCTCTTGGGGACCTTTTACTATTCTCACCATGTTACATAGGAGGTATCTGAAATTTAGACAGGTTACAGAAGGTGTCCCAAATCACCAAAGACAGAAAGTGCTGGAGCCTAGACCTGCAGCTGTGTCCTTTGTGGGCAAAGGTCGTCTACTCCCCCCTTTGTCGCATGGCTTCTCATTTCTGGATTTCTTTCAGAAATGTACAGGGTGTGCTCAGAGATGCCCTCTACACAGCCTCCCTGTCAACAGCCATTTTAGGGACCAATAACTTCTTATTGATGTATCCAAGTCAGATTGCTGAATACTCCATAATCTGGGGTAACTCTTACTTGATTACTCTGTTCTTGTAGTTCTTACTGGACACTACTTTGTCAAATGAAACGAAGGGGCTAATCAACTCAGGTGGTTCCATTTTCTTACATTCAGATCCTCCAAGAGTGGATTGAAAAACCAAATAATGCAATAGTGTTTCAGACACTCTGCTGGACACCAGACATAGAGTGGTGACAAGAAGGGCTTGAAAAATGGATGGTTTAATTTCTATCTATCAGTTTTCGAATACTTCCTCCATGTGTCCCCAACCAGAGGCAGATTGGTTGGAAATTTCACAAAAGCAAGATTTCTCTGATCTCATAGTTTTCTGAGAAAACTCAAGCTGGCTGAAGCCAAATGTTTTATTCTGAAAGCGTTTTGTGTTTCTAAATGGCATCATGAATTCAGAAATGACCACATAATAGTCTTTCGCATTTGAAGATCTTCCTCCTTCCCAGGGCTTATGGTTGTATGGGTGAGAAGGTCAAGTTGAAAAGTATACACTACTCTTGCAGCCTGCCCTTCCATTTATGACTGTGCCAATCTTTCCAAACCTTGTCTAATATGTATGCTTAAAAGGAGCTCCATCATTTTATTTAACTGATGATGAGGTGGTTTCCTGGGAGGTTATTTCCCTACAATGCTGCCACAATGCTTGATGTGGCCCTTCGTCATGGAACTCACAATGCTGCACTTGATTTCTTGACTTTAATCCAAATGTGATGGCTTCAATTTAGTGCATTTTGGGAAAAAGATCCAGTTGCTAATAAAAAAGGATCTCGTCATCCTTTACTTACATTGTGACTTCATCCAAACAACCATCACCTTACTGCATGACTGAAATTATTATCATCTTAACAGTGGTAATTCTGGTCATTCTGACACTGCACTTCATAGGGTTACATTGACCCCTTTCAGTTTTTTGTGACTAGAATGTCAATTTCCTTACTTGCCTGAGTTCATCTTAAATTCTACATGCTGAAAGACAAGAATTATATGTAAGCTTGTGATTATATGTAAAGCATGTGTATATGTGTGAATGATACTGATAATTACCACTCCCATTTATTATTAACTGTGAACCAGTCATTTTGCTAAGTGCTTCACATGTGCTATCTCATTTAAAACTCTTAGTAATAATTATGGAACATAAGTATCCCATACTTGTAACTGCCCAATTAGTTTCCCTGCCAGTTGCACAAACAAAGATGACAGCATTGCTGTAGAGAGAGTTTAATTGACATGAATCCAGCCACACCACGCAGGGATATAGACTTATTACTCAAATCAATATCATGGAAAGCTCGTAGGTTAGGGATTTTACAAAGGAAGTTTGGGGGTGGCTAGGCAGTGGGTGCTTGCTGCTGATTGGTTGGGTTGGAGGTGAAATCATAGGAGCTGAAGCTGTTCTCTTGCACTCAGTTGCTTCTGGGTGGGGGCACAGAAGCCACTGGTTGGTGGATCCAGGTGGAGCCATGGGTATCAGACATGCAAAAAATCTGAGAAAAAAATTCTCAAAAGGCCAATCTCAGGTTCTACAATAGTGATGTTATCTGCAGGACCTCTGGAATAATGGCTGGCAATTGTTCATGTCTACAGTTTAGCAGAATTCAGGCTCCTCTCCTCTCCCTAGCCTGGTGGTCTCTTATTAGCTTTACATAGGTGGTTAAGTTTTTGAGAAGGCTTATTATCATTTAAACTATAAACATGTCTCCCAAAGCTATCTTGGCAGATTGAAGGCTAAAGACAAGAGGGAGAGGAGCTGGATCAAATCTCCTCCATTGCCATAATTTTCTCACTGACATAATTTTTGCAAAGGCAGTTTTATACTGAGTAAGTAACTCACCCAAAGTTGTACAGTGGAAGTACTGGAATTCAAATGTAGGTTGGTCTGATCTCACAGTTTGCACAGGACTGTCTCCCCACTTCAACCCTAGCTCTTTCTCCAGAGTTCAACTATGCCCACTTAAGTGTAATAGTAGTTCATATATAACACTTCCTATAAGCCAGAAATTATTGGAGCTTATACGTTATCTCATGTAATTCTCATATATAAGGCAAGTGCTATTATTGTTAAGGAAACATAACTATAGAGGCATAGAGTCGTTAGGGATCTTGCCAAAAGCCACACCATTTGTAAGTTATAGAACTGGAATTTGAAAGCTGACAGTGCCAGAATCTTTGCTGGCAACTACTATATTATATTGGTTTCTCAGCTTATTAAATTCCTTTGAAGACAGTTTTGCAAAATCATTAGAGCTGTAAAAAAATTTTTTTGAAGCTACCTAAATATATTCATGTGTACATACAATATACAACACACACTGTCATACTTCATACACTTTTCTTGATATCCTCATTACATAAATCATTTAGAGTTGAAACCAAGCCAAATATATGCCATCTGCCTACAGGGAATACATTTAGAATTATGCCCCTTTTCCCAACCAAGTCTACCTAGATTCCTGCAGTCAGCAAGTCAAACAGGATAGAAAGGAGGATGGACCTATGTAAAATTCATTCTGGGTCTTGATATGGTTTGGCTGTGTCCCCACCCAAATCTCATCTTGAATTGTAGCTCCCATAATTCCCATGTGTTATGGGAGATAATTGAATCATGGGGGCAGTTTCCCCAGTCTCTTCTCATGGTAGCGAATAAGTCACATGAGATTGATGGTTTAATAAGGGGAAACTCTTTTTGCTCGGCTCTCATTCTCTCTTTGCCTGCTGCTATGTAAGATGTGCCTTTTGCCTTCCACCATGATTGTGATGCCTCCCCAGCCACGTGGAACTGTGAGTCCATTAAACCTCTTTTTCCTTATAAATTATCCAGTCCTGGATATGTCTTTATCAGCAGAGTGAAAACGGACTAATACAGGTCTGCCACTTTATTTTCATTAGTCCATTTCAAGATGAGGGTGAAGAGCTTGTTTTTGTGGTATCCACCAGGATCACGGGCAGTGGAGCAGAGGTAACCAGGGTGACCCCAGCCACAGAGTGCTTAAGGAGCTCTGTTCACTGAGTCCTGTGTGTGGACTTTAAATAGTAGCACTCTTGTTCCGGGGCTGTCTTCCACCTAGCCCTGGGCACATTCCTATTTCCTCTATTTTGTTCTCCAGGTAAAGTGCTAGCAATCTATTTAGGGCAGCATTCTGATTTGGATGTCAAATAAAACTGATTGATTTTATGATTCTGTAAAGGTCACCTGAAAAGGTGAAACGATTTCTGCTGTGGAAGAGCACCCATAAATCCAAGCTATCTGTGACAAGTCTTGTCGCACTGTAGCAAGATGAATTCTTGGGTCTTCATCTAATCCTAGAAGAGACTGCAAATTTTCCACTGGACTTGGCTCAGGAGCTCACACTCTTTAGATATCAAGGAAGCTTACATATATGAAGACAGCATGGTTAAATGAGAATCTTTTATCAAATTGGTCGTAGCATAGAACTGTAAGAATGAAAACTTAATCACACTATTCAAAGGAATAGTGTGTAAATAAGAGGACACCTTTCACACCTGTTGGTGGCTTCATCACCATCAGTTAAGAGCCTAGAACATGAGGCCTCCAAATGACTGAAAAGGTCAGCATGTAACTGTAAGTCTCCCATCTCTTCCACCTCTTCCAGAGCTCAGTGAAGGCAGAGTTTTCTTCTTTGGTGCTTCCTATTTTGCACAGAAGAGTGTTTAGCACAGAGTGGAGGCTCGAAAAAAAATATATAGATATATATGTAATTACACAAGTTGCATGACCATGACATCTTTGATACATCTTAAAATTTCTGGGTATCATCAAAACTCACTGGGGTTCTTCGTCCATCAAATGGAGGAAAGGAGCAGTGGGAAATGAGTATGGAAGAAAAGTGAGGAAGAAAAGGGATGTGTTGTATGTATATGTGTGTGTATGTATACAAGCATCTATAAAAATAATATAACGATGAATGGATGGGCTTTGGTCCAGGCTAGTCTAAAGCAAAAGGATCCACTAAGACTGTTTCCTTGTCATTCCAATTTTCTTAAAACAACTATGAATCAAAGGTAAGACACTGAGAGGAATTGGAAGTTACTTAGAAATGTGGAATGAGGAAAGGGATAAAAACAACTGCTTATGTGCCAAGTGCTATGTCAGGCAAATATGGACTAGGTCACTGTCTTCTCTAATACAAAGAACTAACCAAAAGGCAGAGATTGTGGTTCCCACTATGCAGGAAGGAGGCTGAAGGACTTAGTGCACAAATGATTGGCAGAGGAGTGAGGTCCAGCCTAGTGTCTTGGCTCCAATGACTGCCTTTCATTTGTCCCAGTTTTTGGCATCACCAACATGGTTCAGGCCATCATTTCCACTTGCCTGCCTGCCCTGGCCTCTCCTTAGTCTTTATAGCCTGAGTGATGTTTCTAAGACCCAAATCAGACATGTCACTCCTCCTCTTTAAGTGGAACCAAAGAAGCCCGTGATCCAGCCATTTCCCTTTTCCAGCCTCCTTTAAGTCCACTCTAAACCTACCACTTCCTCCTCTTGCCTCTTTGTTCCCCCACAAACAGCAGGATATGTCTCACCACCACATGCTAGCTAACCCATCACCTGTCTCTGGAATATCTGCGCCTTCTATCTTTGCCTGGCTAATGTGGAATCATCTTTCAGTACTTATCGGATACCTCCATTCCTTTAGGAATCTTGCTTAAGTTCCGGGTTGATGTTAGGGCCCTCTTCTGCATTTCCATGGAACTCCCTAAATTCATGTGCCGTAAAAATTTATCACATTCTGCTAAAATTGTCATTTTATATCATCTGTCTCACTAGTTTATAAGTTCTTTAAAGGCAAGAGCCAGATACTGCCCATTTTTGTACCTATAAAGCTTTGTACAAAGCATCTGCAGTAAAGTAAACTTCTAGAAGTTGCTTTTCTCTATTCTAAGGTAAACACAAAGAAAAATGAGATTTCTCTTAGGCAGGGTGAAAAATGCCATTATTAATGTAAGCTGCTTCTGGAATGAAGCTGGTGGGTGGGCAGCTGGGCATGAGATAAGACAGGGCATTCAGGAGGGAATGGCTTTAACTTCCTAACTCTACAGCCATACTTTTCAGTACCTGATTTCTTCTGTCTGTCTTCTGGTTACACAGAAAAGTTGACCCTTCTCTTGACTACAGTTGCATCTATTCCTTACCTCTACTCGCTCCTCCAAACCAATAAGAACAAAGGAATAAAAATTATACAGACTCATTAGGACAAAGAAAACCAGAAACAAGGTCTACAATGAATGAATAATGTCAACCAAGTTTGGAAGATAAAAAGAGGATGGATAAGTGGTGATTGACTTAGCAGAGGGAAAAGAGCTGAAAGCTACATGTCTTCATAGGGAGATGCTAACAAAAAGCAAATCAATATGTGCTGCAAACCCCAAGACAAACTGAGGGATCAAAGGCAAATAGGTATTTTGGAAGGCAGGCTCACAGAGCATGGCTGAAAACAGGATTGGCTGTAGAAGAAGCAGACTCCTAGATCACATCTGCACACTTCAATGCCAATTAATGATCTCCCTTATCTCAGCATCAGAAGGTTTCTTTTCTGGAAAAATGAAAGCAGAGACTCTCTAGACTCTGGAATACTAAGGCCAGTGGAAACAGGTGGTGAGTCACTACCCTGGAAAAAAAAAAGACTCAATGACAGTCCACAAACTGATGATGGCATCTTCAGTCCTTTCTCCCACTTCAGCTCACAGATTACTGGGAACCAGACTTGGATCCCTGGGAAGGAGACTATAGAATTCTCATGTTGAGAAAATAATTACCTGTGGCAGCTGTGGAGGTGTGCCTCAGGTTTCCTTTAAGAAAATACCCTGCAGAGAGCATAGGAGCATTGAGGCCATGTGTCCCTGGGCTACATTCAGCCAATGACTGAACATTACAGTTGTGGAAGACTCTTCCAACAGGCAACCTTTGGGAAGTCTCAGGGACTTCCCAACAGCCTGGCCAAGCCACTCTAAAAACTACACTGCAATCGTGGGCTCTTCCTACCCAATCCTTCCTTCCTTCTCTCCTCTCACAGGTGCCAGACCTGCACTGCTGCCTGAAGGCTCTTCCTACCCACTCCTACTTCTTCCCCGTTTATCCTTCATAGGTGTCTCCCCCAGCAAATCTCTTATACAACGAATCCTGACTTGAAGTCTTCTTCTCAGAGGATTTGAACTGACCAAGTGATCCTAACAGTGATCCAGGAAAACGGGTGCAAAGATGGGCCTGGGGACTGACCCACACACCACCTGGATTGCAAAGAGGACCCCATCCTGAGTAAACATGGAGAACAGATTGCCCCTGGAATGAGATGGTGGCCAAATTGCTGAAGATGTCACTGGTGTTGACCTGGAAAAATGTCCCAGTAGAAGTTAATATCCTTTGCTAGTGTGATGATTCCAGATAATCAGGTATTTAAAAGCTAAGTGGAGAACAATGCCCCCAACAAGAGCAGAGTTGGATGGTAATTACAAACTTGTATTGCCACCCTGCAAAAGGGTGATGAGAAGCTGAGGGCAATAAGTGTGAGAGCCAGAGGGACTCTCTGGTAGCTTAAAAAAGAGGTACTTATTTTGCTGCAGTTGAAAAGTGGACACAGCTAAGGGGCACTCAGGACCTGATAGAGTTGCAGACCTCCAGTGATGTTTTAATGCATAGCCAAAGCAGGCTTGTTGTGCTAAGATCAGGGTCCTGGTTAGGAAAATCTGAAACCCTGAAACATGAGATGGGTATATCTGGATGGATGCCCCCCAGGATTTTGGCTCTGCACACACTGAATACTCAGAAACCCCTGAGGTGGCCAGCCGTCCCATCCCTAGCAAAAGCTATTACTCTGCCATGCTGGAAGAATCTGTAGAAGCTTCTCCTCTAAAAGTAAACACATGCTTCCCTCCTCTCTTTTCTGCCAGGCAAATAGCTCGAGTTAAATCTCAGCATATCCTGGCCAGGGACATGCTGGGTCTGACAAGAGAAGAAAGAATGCTCATCAAAGAAACTGAAAGAATTAGCAGGGATATATTAAGTCTGTATAGTACCCCTGGCATTATATTTTGAGGGTGATTGATCAAGGAGGTCAGAATATAAAGCTGCAGAATACAAAGCAAAAATACATTAACTTGGGGGCACTTTTTTGGAACACAGAATTAAATACCCTGGCCAAGGTCCCAGGGGTTGGGGCAAACTCACTGCTAATAGAAGCCTGAATATGCTTGGTCCACAGTAAAGTGGAAAGGCCTTAATTTCCACAGTAGATGGTAGAGGGAGGCATAAAAGATGGAGCAGTGCAGCCCTGCCCATGTGAACCTCAAAGCCTCTCCGGAGCATTATACTCCTCTAGAGGGTTCAGAGGATGCAATACTCACCTGGACTTCCACGAATGTATTGCAAGAGGGTAAACAGCATCATTAATGAGTACAGCTTAGCCTGCATAAGAATTTGTAGATACTTTGAGGGGAAAAGTTCTAAAGAATGCAAGTCTCACTTCAAAATGTTTCTCTTCAGTTAGAAATTTCAGTCCTTCAAGTCCTGAATACCTTAATAGCCTTTTCCTACCTCCCAGCAGACTTTCAAGGTATATTATATTTTTTCAATTATACTTTGTAGGAGAATTCCCCTACATCGACCTACTTTGCCACTACTGCAATTGGACATCTCACCAAACAACGTTTTTAGTCTCTCACTATTAAATATAAACCAATAGTCAAGGGTCCACAGACAATAGAGAAAATTCTCTCTCTTGAAGGGCAGAAAAAAAATATAGAGAATAAACAAATGGTGAGAAATGGATACGAAGCAAGGTACAAAAAATGTATAGTTATCTTTGCCATAGAAATAAGAGACACTTTGGCCAGGTGTGATGGCTCATACCTGTAATCCTAGCACTTTGGGAGGCTGAGTCAGGTGGATTTCCTGAGCTCAGAAGTTTGAGACCAGCCTGGGAAACATGGAGAAACCTCATCTCTACTAAAAATCCAAAAAATTAGCCAGGCATGGTGGCATGTGCCTGTAGTCCCAGCTACTCAGGAGGCTGAGGCAGGAGAATCACTTGAACCTGGGAGGCAGAGGTTTCAATGAGCTGAGATCACGCCACTGCACTCCAGCCTGGCTGACAGAATGAGAGACTCTGTCTCCAAAGAAAAAAGAGAAATAAGAGAAGCTTTTGCAGCCATGAAAGAACAATATGATGCCATAAAAATAGAACTCTTGATGAGGAATTAGAAGCTTTTGAAACTTAAAAATTATGGTAACACAAATCAATAACTCTGTAGGAGTTTCAGAAGATAAAGTCCAGGGTAAAGTACAACAAAAAGACAAAAAAGAAAAGGCAAATGGAAAAGAATAATATAAAAACAGGAGACCAATGCATTAGGTCCAATGATCCAGAATGAAGAAATAGAGAAAAGTTGGAGAAGAAAATCATCAAACAAATAATATGAATATTTTTCCAAAATGAGAAGATATGTGTTTTTAGAAAATGCCTGTTAGATACAAAGACTGAAAATGTAAACAAGACACATCACAATTAAACTTCAGAATGCTAAGTAAAAATATAATCTCAAAAATTTCCAGAGACATAAAATGTGTTAACATATAAAGGGTCAAGAATTAGAATAACATCAGAATTCTCAATTACAGTATTGAGGGCTAGAAGAAAATGAAACAGTATCTTCAAATTGTGGTAGAAAATGATTTTCCACCTAGAATTCTCTAAGACAAACCATCAATTAAGTATAAGCGTAAGTTGCATCCATTGCCAGACATTTGAGATTTCAAAAATTTACCTCCTATGTATGTGTTCTTGGAAAAGCTCCTGGAGATGTTGCACTACCAAAATGTCAGAATAAATCAACAAATAAAAAGACATTGAGTCTTGGAAACAGTGGATACTACACAGAAAAAGTCAATGGAAGTAAATCCACAGGATTCTGGCAAAGAAAATGCGAGGAACATAGCACTTTGGCATGAGGAGGGACCAACTAGGGTAGATTTGAACAAGAGGCTAGATGGAGGATGACACTGAGAATGGTTTAAATGGTAGCCATGACTATGAAAATGGAACTGATTTATTTATGTGTTTAACTATCTGAGACGAATATACAGTTCTATGAGACAGTATGTGGAATAATTAATGATCAGCACAGGGAAATTTAATGAAAAAACAAATAAGCTGTACAAAATGGAAAAAGCAGTAATAGTGTACTTTGTGGCTCAACATGAATAATAATTACATAGTAAAGACTGAATATTTAAGTAAAAAATTGTTATACAACCATTTTGGGAAAATAGAGGAGAAACGTGTGTGGGCCCATGTGATTTCTCCAAGGGTGCTTCAACCTCATCTTTCATAGCAGAGAGAATCAATAGAAATGTCTAAAATAAACACTGCTTAGAAATACAATAGTAAGCCAGGCACAATAGCTCACACCTATAGTCCCAGTACTTTGGGAGGCCAAGGCAGGCAGATCACTTGAGCCCAGGAGTTCAAGACCAGTCTGGGCATCATGGTGAGACCCTGTCTCTACATAAAATTACAAAAATTAGCCAGGTATGGTGGTGTATGCCCATAGTCCCAGCGACTGGGGAGGCTGAGGTGGAAGGATTGCTTGAGCCCAGGAGGTCGAGGCTGCAGTGAGCCATGATTACACCACTGCACTCCAGCCTGGGTGACAGAGAAAGACCTTGTCTCAAAAACACAAAAACAAAAAAGAAATACAATGGTATATATCAAAATAGCTTTAAATGTTTAATTTGAGATAAATAGTTGAAGCTGGGAATTATACATATTCTTAGTAGTCTTTGAACCACTTGAATCACTTTGGTGAAAACAAATAATCAAAGACCTGATCATTTCCACAATAAGGAAGAACAAGGAGTAATTCACAGACATATCAACATGGATCAGTCTCTCCCATTTCAAAACAAGCAACGCCTCCCTTAACGTAATGCACCACTTCTCTTTACAAGCCAGCTTCATTAGTGTTCACTACTCACTGCCTCTACTTCTCACTGGCCACTTAGTTATTCACCTGCCATTATTACTGACTTTTTTGTTGTTCAATACCATGAATTCTCTTCTCTTATTTGACCATGTTAAATCATCTTCTCTTTTGACTTACCTACTGCAACTTCTGACTCTCTATTTTCCTCTAGTCACTCTTCATTTCTTCACACCTCCTCCAAAAGTTCTACTTTTGCTATTTGACATGAAAATATACTCAGAAAACAACTGTTAGGCCACAGCAAACTCATTTCCTGGGTGGCATCAGAGTCGGGGGTGGTCTTCCCATTGCACTTCCTTAACCTAGGTTCCTGTCTGGACTGTCTTCTGGGCTGATTCCTTAGCAAAGTGCTTTCTCCCTGCTTCCCTGGACTTAAATTCCAGGCTTGCTTGCTTCCTGACCTGCTGACATGTAAGAGTACATCACCAGGTTCCCTTGAACTATGCCCTGACTCTCTGGGCCTTTTGCGCCTTCTTCTGCTCAGTTCCAACTCCTAAGAATGCTGCTGGGCCAGAAAATCCAGTTCGTGCTTGTCCCAGCTAAGAAACAACATGTGTGATGGCCCCAAGGAGAAAAGGAGCATGGAATGTCAAGGGGACAGAAGAAGAAGTCCAGGGTGGCCACAGTAGAGAGAGTTAGGGGGTCAGTGACCAGAGATGATGCTGGAAAGATGGGCAAGGGCCAGATGTCACAGGGCCTTTTGTTCCCCTTATAGATTCTTGTCTTAAAGAGCAATAGAAAACCGTTCAATTGCATAGAGCATGAACAATTTCTGACCAGATTTTCATAAAAAAATGAGTTTGTATGAAGTACAGAGAATGTATAAGGTATGAATGAGAGAAAACCAGTTATGAATTGTGCAGATGGAAGATTACGGTGGTAGAATTAAGGTGGTGAAGATGGAGAGATGCAATTGAAACAGAGAGAATTAGGAGGTAAACTCTACAAGACTTAGTAATGACTTGGTTAGGGATTTTGAGGGAACAGCATCAAAGATGACCTCCAGGTTTCTGGCTTGAACGTCTGAGAAACTGATGGTGCCAGTCACAGATAAAGCAGATACTGGAGGAGGACCAAGTTTGAGGGAGAAGTTACCAGTTTTTGAGCTTGAGATGTGTTTGTGACCACTGGGTGATGATTTACCAGAAGTCATTTGGATATACAATTCTGGAAAACATTGAATAGAAGAATGGGCTGAGTTGATATTTATAAAAAATTTACCATTTTTTATCAAATGGTGTGATCGGCCAGGCATGGTGGCTCACACCTGTAATCCCAGCACTTTGGGAAGCTGAGGCAAGCAGATCACGAGGTCAGGACTTTGAGCCCAGCCTAGGCAACATGGTGAAACCCTTCTCTACTAAAAAATACAAAAACTAGCTGGGTGTGGTGCATGGTGGTGCACGCCTGTAGTCCCAGCTACTCAGGAGGCTGAGGCAGGAGAATCGCTTGAACCTGGGAGGCAGAGGTTGCAGTGAGCCGAGATGGCACCACTGCACTCCAGGCTGGGCGACAGAGTGAGACTCCATCTAAAAAAAAAAAAAAAAAAAAAAAACATGTTGTACCAGTTCCTATCACTGCTCACTGCTATACAAAATTGAAAATTGTCACAATCTATCTGTTGGTGGCCTTAAACAACACAGATCTATTATTTCACAGTTCTAAAGGTTAGAAGCCCAAATGGGTTACATTTTATTAAAATCAATCTGTTAGCAGAGCTGCATTCCTTCTGGAGGCTCTAAGGGATAATCTATTCTCTTGCCTTTCTCAGCTTCTAGAGGTCATCTGCACTGTGTATTCCTTGGCTTATGTCTCCTTCTTCCATCTTGAAAGCCAGCAGCACAGTGTAGCATCTTCAACTCAATCTCTCTCTCTCTCTCTCTCTCCCCCCCACCTTCTCTGACTTCTGCTTCCATTGTCACATCCCCTTCTGTGACCCTTCTGACCTCCCTTTTATAAGGATCTTTGTGCTTACATGGAGCCCATTCACATAATCCAGAACAATCTCCCCATCTGAAGACCCTGAATGTAATCACATCTTAATTTAACCATGCATTTTGCCATATAAGATAATATATTCACAGGTTCCTGGATTTGAATGTTGACATCTCTAGGGACCACTGTTCTGCCTGCCACATGTGTAGGGACACGACTCTGTAAATGCTTATTGAATAGGTGGTTTTAAAAAAGGAACGCAATTTTTAAGTGAGATGGTGTTTTCCCCTAATCTGATAGAATCAAACTCAGAAACATAGGGAGATTTAATGGATGAGCCAGGGGAAATGATGAAATGTATAGTAGTGCTGAAACCAAGTTGTTTTTACCAAAAAAAGTTTTACGTGTTTTGCTCCTAAAAAATTCTCCCTTTTGAACACGTATAGGAAAGATAATTTATGCCTAAAGCCTGTCATCTTAGAAATTGGTTCAGCTTTTTTCAGGAGGCAGTCTAAGCATGACTTTGGTGAGTGTAATATATGATATATCAACCTCAGTTAAGCACCATTCAGTAAGAGGACAGCTATTCCTGGTCTTCTCTCTCTGGCTACTCACATCTTGACTGACATTGTTACAGCCTCAATACACAGAATACAAAGCCACCATGAAGATGATGTCTCTTATGGTTATGTCCAATGAGCTACTTGTGAAAGCTTTGTTTCCTGCCCCTGTAACTGAGATCTTCTGGTTGAGAAGTTTTAGTGCCCAAGAAAGTTGTCCTTCCATCAATGGATACAGAATGGTTCTAAAGGCGTAGTACTTCCTTGTAACCTGGTTATTTTAGGCTCATCATTGCCACTGGACAAACAAGCAAAAGAAGGGTTAGTAGGGGTTTTTTATTTTTAATTTATTTTTTCTCCCTGTCTTATGGTGCTGAGGGTTAGTGTTTAGGATGATGTATTTTACTTTGACTATTAAAAGATAATAGGATGCTGCCACAAAAGTGGAAGGAAGGCATATGGATGGAACCCAGGCAATCCTATGGATGCTGCCTTGCAATACCTTATATACTGATGACTCATGCAAACTAAACAGGTAGATCTACCAGGGCTCAGAATATACACATGTTAGAGAACCCCACACAAAGGGAAGTCAAAGCAGCAGGTGGACGAAGGAAGTCATAAATATTCAGTTAGCACTGGTGACAGATAACAGAACTAATCTTTGCAGCTATTACTTATTTTTCCTTCTTTGCTATGCAATACATATATTAAATGTTTTATCTGATTTTCCTTCTCTTTCCTCTACCTTCCTCCACTATCTTATATGGTGCATATTGGTGACACTTATGCCATTTAGCTTTAAAGTGGAAAACTGATGAGACACCACAATGGAATGAGAGGAGACATGGACATCACTCAGATAATCTAGGCTTGGAGATGAATGGGGTAACTGGTAAGACTTCGGGTTATCTTCCTTTAGGAAGAGGAGGTTAACGCACTTTTGACGTGTTAGGAAAGTTAACTTTCAGACATTTTTTGAACTGTCAAGATAGAAACGAAGATATGGTGAATTTTAGGCAACAATCAAGAAGAGGTTATAAGGGCACACGTAGATTTTTGTTGGTGGTGGTTGTTATTGCACAAAACACATTTCCCTCCCAAGAGCATCTTGAATTCCTTCTTGAGAATTATTCCCCTCCATTGTGTATTTAGTCTTAGCAAGGAAACTGGGTTGATCTTGGGGGAAAGGGGAAGAATAAATGCTCATTATGAGTTACCCCAAGTATAGATATATCTACTGCTATGTTTGGAGAATAAATTCAAGATTTTTACAATATCAATAAAAAGTCTGACTTCATTACTACAGAAGGAAAGTACATACAGTTTAATATGTAATTGCTATATAGTTAAGTCAAACATAAACGCAGATGCATCAAAATCAAAGGTTATGGACTAGGGTTGTGTTAACTCTAATATCTTTTCAATAAGGAATTGAGGAAATCTTAATCCATATGTGGCTATGGATGTTTTTCTAATTTGATTTTCTCTTCTGTTTTCATGGTTCAGTATCACTGATCTCTGTGTGTCTCTCTATCCCAACAATTTAGTCCTTGTATTATAATAGTTAATAGAAATCATGGCAAATTCTATCTTTCATAGTAGTTACCCAAAATTCAGCAGCTATGTTTCCTAAACTCTAGTTACCTCTGTTCTTAATCACATTGAACTTAAGAAGACTCATTCGGTTTCCAGTGCACTCATAAAATGTCTTCCCCTTCTTGCCTGAAATACAGGTTTGGCAAACACCTTCTCATCATCCTACTGATCTCTCCCTCTACCCTTCTCTGAGCCCTCTCCAAACTGTCATCATATTCTGCCAAATACCCAAAGGGATCCTCTCTGCCCAGATACCATTTGCATTTCTCCTAAGCACATAGTGGCCAGCACCTGGTGTTTTACAGTTTGACAATTTTACGCCCACAGTTGGGTACGCCTCCAAAAGCACCTTGCCCAGCTCTGACAGGAAGGTAAAATGGGCATTGTCCTGTGCACCTTCTTTAATTTTTCTCTTAATGGCAATTTTCAATCCTTTGCCTAGGTGGATGGTGGGATTTACCTGTTATCTGATATTAATAAAAGGGAGGAATTATTGTTCCACTTCCTCTGGCATTACCAATCTTTCTCAGTTGTTGAATTGCTTCCATAAACATGCTTCCAGGCAAGTGAGCTGATTATTTGGCCTGTACAGGAATGAGACATTTGGATATGAAACCAAATCCCCAGTCTCTTTTTTTCACAATCATGCTTTGGTCTAATCATTCTGATGAGAGAATGAAACTAAGACTTTTTAAATGGAGCTAGAGACTTCAGAGATGGATATAAAGTATTACAGCTTCAATGATCATTAGAAACTATCTGATCCAAACCATGGGTTTTAAAAATGAGGAAACTGAGGTTCATTGAATGGAAGTATCTTTCCCATAGCTTGTTAGGGGGAGAAAAGACTATTCTCACATTCATTCTGCTACCAGGCACTGTTTCTCTATCCTACAAGATATAGAGAGTATCAATTTAGGAAATTCTAAAGTGTGCATGCAATATAGTCTAGTTCTTGTTACACAGATCTACTTAAGTTTTGGTAAGACGTGAGAATAATCTCTCTTTTCTTAAAAAAATTGTTTTTCAAAAGAAGAGGACAATAACAAAAAAGCTTACTTAACCTTACTGCTCCCTGGGTTCCATGATGTTTTGCTCTCATCTTTCCTCCCTAAGCAATGATTTCCAGCTGTCGTCCTCATGGTCTCCAAAATAACCATCCCATCCTTCCGTGTTCCCCCCTCACCCCTGGAAATAACCCCTCCACTACCAAGCATCAGTGACTATCCGATTTCCAGGCATGATCTTGGCTCACTGCAACCTCCACCTCCTGGGTTCAAGTGATTCTCCTGCCTCAGCCTCCTGAGTAGCTGGGATTACAGGCACCCACCACCACAGCTGGCTAATTTTTGTATTTTTAGTAGGAACGGGGTTTTGCCATCTTGGCCAGGCTGTTCTTGGGCTGGGTGTGGTGGCTCACACCTAGAATCCGAGCACTTTGGGAGGCTGAGGCGGGCAGATCACCTGAGGTTGGGAGTTTGACTCCTCCATTTTCACTGTTTTCACCTCCTGTCTGCAGTTGGCAATAATAATTTATTCCTCCATCTTTTCCCTGAGTCAGACACATATTCTTTGGCATGTCACTTTTCAAAAATAGCCAAAAATTTTTTTTTTACTGTAGAATGCTTGAGAATTAGAGAAAAGGACCAAAGTGTGACATATTCCCATGTTTCTAATGAAACAACAATTATTCATTTTACATATTTCCTTTTGGGCTATTTTCATATTGCACATATGTTATCTCAATTATTTCTTGTGTTTCTGCATGTTTTCATGCTTTTAATTGTTGCATAATATTCAACAGAGTGTTCATACCTTAAGTTATGATGATATTTGATATCCAAAACAAAGAATAAAATTTATATCCATGATGTCCTGAATTACTCTAAGAAGAATCCCAAATTGAGAGTTAAGTACAAAATGTGGTGACCTGAAGTTGACCTGCAGTAAATAATTCACATCACTGAATAGAGAATAACTTAGTTTTATAAAAGAAATATTTCATAAATCTGAAATACCTTGGAATGAGAATCAGGTTTTTCCAGAATGCCTTTACATTCCTCCAGGAGGCTGAATAATCACTCTCCCAAAGATGTCCACATCCCAATTCCTGGAACCTGAGAATATGTTACCTTACATGGAAAAAGGGACTTTGCAGCTGCAGTTAGGAATCTTGAGATCTGAAGATTATCTTGGATTAGCCATATTGAGCTCAATGTACTCACAATGGACCTGATAAGAGGGAGATAAGAGGGTGAGAGAAGGTACTGTGACCACGAAAGCTGAGGTTGGAGTGAGAGGCTTTAAAGATGGAAGGAGCCATGAGCAGAGGCATGTGGGCAGCCTCCGGAAGTTGGAAACGACAAAGAGATTTTCCCCTAGAATCTCCAGCAGGGACATGGGTCCCCCACACCTTGATTTCAGCACAAAAGCACATTGGGGCTGACCTCCAGAACTATAAGCTGTAAATGTGTGTGTCTTAAGCCACTAGGCTTGTGTTAATTCATCACAGCAGCCACAGGAAACTAATCAAATTCCCTCCACCCTGACAGGCAAGGCTCTAGGCGCTCCATAAAAATCACCCATGACTTTCCTCTGGTGGCTCCTCCTTCCTTCAGAATGCTACCTCTCACCCGGCATTCCACTGCTTCTCTTCATTTTGCTACTTATGGCCCATGCCTGGGCTTTTTCTCTATACCCAGCTCCTCCAGGTTTAGATTCGTGAGCCAGATTGCCCTCAGCCTAGATGCTCTCTCTTGATAACTCAGCCCTTGTCTCTTCAATGTTTGGCCTTAATACCTGGGATTCTAGCCCAGGAACAGTGCTCAGCTAAGCACCAAAAGGGGAGGTGAGACGACGGTTTCCAGATGGGTAAATTTCATAACCCCAGAGCTTTCCTGATTTTTAGACCCATACTTATTAGGCATGCTACCGTAGATGCTTAAGTTCAACACATCTGAAACTGAGCTCGTAATTTCCCCAAATCCTGCCCCTTCTCCTGTAATCCAATCCTGGTTACTGGCAACACCTAGTCATCTCATCCACAAGCCTCAGAGTTCCATTAGATCTCTCTGACTTCCTACGGTGTACACTCTATTTTCCTGCTCCTACACGGAGAGCTGCTCAGATGTTCATTTTGGAATATTTTTAGTTTACCTAACCATCAGGAGCCCTGGTTAGAGTAGACCTTGGCTATTATTTTAGTATAATTGAGCTACCATTATCTTTTAATAAAAGTTATACATTATATATTCATAATATTAAAATTGGTTGATCAATTAATAAAGCAGGTCAGAATGACTATCTAACCATATGACTAGAAAACTATATTGGGCCTTCATTGGTCTAAACACGGGATCTGCCATCTCCAACTATGGATACTTTCAGATTCATCTGGAGATCACAGCAAATCATCGTTTTAAGATTAGGTTAGTATTACAGAAAGAAGTGATTCCTATCATCATGTTACTCTGATGATAAAACTTCAAATGATCATTCTGTATCACAATACAGGCATTGATATTTTGATCATACACCAAAAAAAAGGGGGTGGAAAGGGTGGCATTTCACACGTGACACCTCCAGTGCTCAAAGAGTATCACCAGGTTGAGATAATATATTAATTTTGGATCTCAGAGGCTCCCAAGTGATCACTCAATGACTTTGTTTTGTAGGGACCCACTGGCTTCCCCTGCCTTATTGCCACCCTCAAAATAGTGAGAATTCCATCTTCAAAGAATTTCTTGTCCTGTGCATTCTGTCCTATGGGGAATGAGATTCTTGGAGATCCCACCTGATCTTTACTAACAGATGAGTACTTAGAAAGTGCAGATGTTAAGAAATGCACAAACCAAGTTTCTTTTGGAGTGTAGACTAGAAAGTATGTAATTTTTGTTTTTTCACAAAGGACCCAGCCTTATTGTTTTTCTGTTTATAAAAGATAGTCTTATTACCAAAAAGAAGAGATAAGTACAAAGTAATAGAGACATATAATAAATACCATCTTAAATCCACCACTGAGATTTAGTCCCTGTTCACATTTCCTTTATATTCTTCCAGGATTTTGTCTAAGTAGCAAGTCACTCAAAGGCTTTTGTCTGTGCCAGAGATGGGGAAAATGAAAGAGAAGCTAAAAGGTTCAAAAATAGGAGAAGCAATCTCCTATTTTTGCTGTGGCAGCAAACATTAGGAATGAGGTCCCAGAGCCATGCATAGTACTGCCTAATGTAATTAGGAAGCCAAACCTGTCTGTTGCCTTCTGCCACTGGGAATCCTCAAACTATGCAGCTTAAAAAAAAAAAAAAAAAAAAAAAAAAAAAAGAGGCCGGGCGCGGTGGCTCACGCCTGTAATCCCAGCACTTTGGGAGGCCAAGGCGGGCAGATCACCAGGTCAGGAGATCGAGACCATCCTGGCTAACACACTGAAACCCCGTCTCTACTAAAAATACAAAAAATTAGCCGGGAGAGGTGGCGGGCGCCTGTAGTCCCAGCTACTCCGGAGGCTGAGGCAGGAGAATGGCGTGAACCCCGGGACGGCGGAGCCTGCAGTGAGCTGAGATCGCGCCACCGCACTCCAGCCTGGGCGACAGTGAGACTTCGTCTCAAAAAAAAAAAAAAAGAAACTGGCACAATATATTTCTTTAAATGCACTGAGGACTGAGAATTGATGTAGCCCTTGATTTGCTAGAGAAATCTGCTGGGAAATATTTTGTTTCTCATCACCACCACTGACAGATTCATGCTTAGAACAAGGCTGTTTTAGGTTTCAGAGGGAATATTTTCCCTAGATTCACCCGCAGAGTAATTGTCCTTAAAATGAAGTTACAAAAGGTGAGAGGAACCTTAGGAGGTACTTGGGCTGACAAATGTCTCAGCTGAAGCCATTACCAAGGAGGGGGTGTGATCCCATCACCACTCCAGACCTTGGTTCTCTCCTCTGCACCGGGGGCTCGCGATCCATGTTCAAACACCTCACAGGATGCTTCCCCAAATAACAGTTCCTAAGTGGGCATACGGGCACTCCCAGACAAGTACACTCATGCACAAATATCAGGAATTATCACCATTCCTGGGGCCATAATCATACCCATCATCTCAGAGTGGAGACATTTGCTGGGAGATACACCGGCTCTCCTTTTCCCCTGCATTTCTGTTCAGATCATAGAAACCACACCTGCCGCACACACATATTGAAATATGCATGCCTTTTCCTTAGCTTGACCTACTGCTTCCTGCAGCTTTCTGAATCAACCAGCTGAGTGAACCAAACATCTGCACGTGTCTGATGCACGTATAATTCCCCCAGAACACTAACACACGTGAAAACCCAGCCAAAAGAGAAAGGAAAAAAAAAAAAGGCAAAGAGAACATGCATGTTTGAAAGCTTATTTTTCACTCAGCCCACCCTGATTTCTTTTAGGCAGAGGGCCAATACTTCTCCAAGCATCTTATCCTGACACCCCAGTTCTCCATCACCTGATTCCTATCAATCTGTCTCCTCTCACTGTCATACTCCGTTGTCCACTTCCCCCAACCCAGCCCTCATTCCTTCCTTTATTTTCAGCCAAGACTGCCCAAAATTCCTGAAAGATCCATGCCCTCTGAAACCGCTACACCTTGACCCACACAGACTCATCTGTCCCTCTGGGACCCTTCTATTCCCGTTAACACCATCTCATCCTTTGAACAATTCATACATCCCTCCATCTAGGGAGACTTTGTCACTCCAGGGTGGACAATGTGCTCCACCTTCTACTTCTGTATTTTTTTTTTTTAAGAAATGTGTTCTTGCTGTCACTCAGGCTGGTCTCAAACTCCTGGCCTCAAGCGACCCCCTAACCTCAGCCTCCCAAAATTCTGGGATTATAGGCGTTAGCCACTGTTCCTGGCCATCTCCACACTTCTTATACTTAACTGTCAAAACACTCAGTCACCGAATTCTAAGGTCGATTTAATTACCTGTATCTCTCACTCATTGTTGATGGAGACTGTGCCTTCCATCTTGGTTCTACAGGTACTTGGCATATGGTGGAAATCAGTAAATGCCTATTGCAAAGAAAAAGGAAAAAGAAAGGGAGACAGGGAGGGAGGGAGGTAGTTCAAGGTAGATGGAGTACATTTTAGTTTTGTTAGGATGAAACTAAATGTTGTCGTAGGAAAATAACCAAAATAATTCCTCATTTGTGTACGGGAGGAAATATAAATACATGTAGGTGTGTATATATACTCATGTGTATACATCTGTACAAATGCATATGCATATACATATATGTATGTGTGGCTACATTCCTGTATATATGCATGCACACATGAGCATATATGTAAATATGTATGTGTGTCCATTTGCATACATATATGTGTGTAAATGTGTATGCATATTTTATGTCTATATATACATACATGTGTGGACACATACATGTTTTGGTCTTCTTGGCTCATCTATCACCCTATGTACAGAACTCGCGGTACACACAAATAAAATTAATATGATCACAACTTAAAGGGACAGATAAGGAATTTTAACCAATTTTCAGCAAATGGTTATTAATGTTTACTTTCAGAACCACACGCACAGCATGTGCAGCTGGTGACTCTGCGTGGGCCACCTGCTACCTAGTGCTTTTTCAATCATGCCTGATTACAACGACGAGGGAGAAAAACACCAGATAGCTCAGCCTGATATGTTTTTTATCATTCAGTCTGCTTTTGGGCAGAGGAGTTCAAACCACGAGTGTCAGCAGTGTGTAAGACAGCGTGGGGCTCGGGCCACCTGCCGCAGTGGACCCCTGGCTTAGTTTCCATGTGCTATCTTAGCATGGCAGAAAGCGGATTCCAACCAGCCACAGCAGGTGACAGGAGCTGAAGCTCAGCCCTTCCTGAAAGCAACCCATGCCCTCGAGGATGCTGACGGTGATCTGAGTACATTTTCCAGCTCCCTTGTTCTGTGTAAATAAATGTTTAAGAAGAAATAAGCACTAGCAGCGATCCCTAGCACTTTATGAAGACCAGGATACTGATACTCCCTTCCCGTTGGATGGCACACCACAGTTTGTTTGCATTTCATTTGCTATTTATAACAATAGAGGAAGAAAGACAAAATGTTTTTGTTTTTGTTTTAACACGTGAAGAACATGAGATCGGAAGAGGTAAAGTTAATTTCCCAGAATTATCTATGCTAAGCCTTGAAAAGCCATGTTTATTACAGATCAGATATTTACTCTAAAACAAAAGTGTAGAATAGCAGAAAAACAATGGACTTAGAGGTCAAAAGGCTATAATTTTGTCCACATACATCTCTATGATCCCAAGCCAGTCATTTACTTTCTCTGAGCCTGATATTCTCATCCATAAAGTGGAACCACCTGTCTTTTGCATAGTCAAGGAGGCAGTGCCCATGGAGGAGCACTGAGTTATAAAGGGCTAACTCCTGTGAGGGATGACTCCGGTCATGGTGACCAGTTATCCTCTCCTCTGAATTTTGTTCTTCAGAGGCCAACTTGAAAGAGTTTGAAGCCTGAGGTTGGATTTATAGGCACTAGAATACATCAGCTTCAAACATTCACAAATCAGGAACTGATTTCATCTCCTCTTGAAACCTATCATCTGTTAGCTAAAATAGCTCTGGTTGCTTTTATTCCAGATAATAACACTTAAAGTTTTAATGAGAGATGAGCATGTTCATTAAAAAACAAGTCAAATGAAACTAAAAAAAAAAATCATTTACTTGGAAATCCATGCCTGTAATGAAGTCATACTATTGTGTAGACAACAGTGGAATGATTAGGTCTGATTTTAAAAAAAGAGTTGTCACCAGCACCCTATGTAGAAAGACTTTTTTTCAATTTCCATGAGAGTTGTGTTCACTTGCAAATTGGTTGTGAGGCAGCCAGGTGGGAGGGGGTCCCCGGAAAAATTCCAACCAGACTGCGCCCTGGGAAGGGTGTGCACTGGGGTGGAGCCACAGAAGTGCGAACCCTTTGCAGTGGGGAGGAGCCTGGCCCCTCCTCTTCCTGGGTGGAGCTGGGGATTCAAGCTGCGAGGCAGTAAGCACACTAGATGAACTCTGGCCTTGAGGAGTCCCTGTTTCCCTTTTTTCCTTTTCACCCAATAAAACCCTGCTTTACTCACCCTTCAAACCATCTGCCAGCTTGAATTTTCATGGCTGTGGGACGGACAAGGACCCCGTCTTTAGCTGAACTAAGGAAAAGTCCTGCGGCAGTTGTGTGAGGTTATTAACACAAGCTACACAGAAACACATGTTATCCACGTTAGGCCAGCCTCTCCATGCCTATTTGATGGAAGTGCAGGCAAAATGTAAGAAGAATAACTCTGCTGTGTTTTGGATTAAAAGGATTTTTGTGGACTAGCATGATTATTTATTTACTGTACCTATAGGCAAATGTATTCATGAATGGTAGCTCAAAATGTTGCAAGTAGACATCAGCTGTTTTCAGAACAGCTCAGAGAGATGCCACCCTGCCAATGAGAAGAAGCTTAGGAAGGGGGAGCCCTCTGCAGCTGCTCCGGGTACTTGGCACATGGCCAGAAGGGATCCCACACCCTGCATCTGCCATGGCCTCTCAAAGAAAGAGAAGAAAATGTTTCACCCATGCATCGAACATGCCTCTATACAGGACAGTCATAATTTGGGTGTTTATAGGTCAGGGATGACTGTGATGCATTTCCTAACTTTTATTCTCTGCTGTAGCTATGTAAGATGGGGAGTCTTTAGCTATATGCCCTAAAACACAGAAATAACCTGACCCCAGGCCTGTTACTGTGGCAGCTTGGTTGGCCTTTAGAGGTTAACATTCAAATCCTCAAAAGGAAGAAACTCGTATGAGAGAATAACATCTTCAGATACTGAAGCAGAAAGAATATTAAAGCATATGGATTCAGAAAAAAAGAGAGGAAAAAATCTTCATTGTTCACGCTTTCCCAAAAATGTACCAGCTATTTAATTTAGATCAGATCTGACCCCACCCCTACGTTTCTGTGTTATCTTCGCTATTAGAATAGATATGACCCTGGGCTGGAACTGGTCTGTCACTAGAGGAGATAAGATCAGACCTGGTCCACCTGGCAGGTGTCAAATGCAAACAGTCAGAGGCAGAAGTGAGAGTGAAGAATTTGGAATTGAAGGCTGGGCTAACACCAGAGCTTAAGAAAATAATTAATACTCCAAGGGTGAAACCAGTTGGAAAGCAGAGGAAATTGAACTCCTCAATATAGACAGAGGGTGCCCAAGAATTATTGAACCTGAACAGCCTCGTGGGTGCCCAGCTGAGCTGCCCTATTTCCTGTCCATGGTTTGGCAATCAGGAAACCCATGATCCTGAGAAAAGGCTGAAAAGAGCCTTTAGACACCAAAGATTAGAATTAGCCAAGGACCTGACCTGTAGAGATTCTGACTTAGGGTGGGCCCAGGAACCTGTGGCCACAGTTCGAAAAACATAGTATTAGCTTTCACTCTCAAACAAGCAGCTCAGCTGCAATGCCTCTAAAGGTGTAAGTTATGATAAAAAGGAAGTGAAGTCAAGGTGTGTATGGATGTCCAGTATCCAATAGTTTCACCCGAAGGCTGAAACAAACCCAGGAAGCCAGCGGGTGAAAAATAGACGTTAGTTTACAATTCTGGGCTTTAGTCCCAAGACAATTCAATCAAGAGAGACCCGGCAGCTATTTTGATGTGATAGCTTTGTCCAAGCTGCTGTCCACTTCCCACCCAAGTCTAAAGAACCCTGACATTTTTTTAGCTCAGTGGTTACATGGAGGACAAGAGCTGTTTTGAAAGAAGGCTGCAGTTGGGTGCCTGGTGCAAAGGGTCAGACTTAATGTAGGTTGTCAGGAGGAAGTCAGAAGTGAAGAAAAGAGAAACCCAGCAGGTGAGAAAGGAACAGCAGTTCCGCTCTCCCCAGCGGACCAATGCATTCTCTGAAACACTTTCCATCCTAGACATTCCAGCCTGGGGGCAAAGATACCCTCTTTTAGTTGGATTTTGGTTCTGCCAAGTTGATGGGGCCCAAGGGCCCTACGACAGTTGAGGGCGAGATGTGGCAAGAGTGGAAAAGCAGAACACTGAAAAGTATGTTTGGTAGACACTGGGCTGGACTTGGCTTCCACTGAGATTAAAGTTGACAAATGGGGAGGATGTATTATACAATGTATGGGTTAAGAGCACAAATCCTGCAGCTGAACTGAGTTTGCAAATCTTGGCTTAGGTAAACATGAGCAAAATATTTGAACCTCAATTATTTTATCAGTAAAATGTAGATAACTATAGTTTCTACCTTTGGGATTTTGTGGGGATTAAACGTGATAATCAAGGTAAAGTGACTCTGGCTACTAGGTGGAGAATGGATTGCAGGTAGGCAAGAGTGGGAGTGGAGAGATCAGCATGTGGCAGTTGTCTGGAAAGGAAACCACAGTGGCTGAGACTTTAGTGGTGGTAGGAGAGACGTCAAGAAGCGGGTAGCCAGAGTCAGGCCATGTCATCACACTGCTTACTGCCCTTAACTGTCTTTCTCGAGCATCTTCAATGAACCTCACAGCCTTCCAAGGGCAGACTCCTGATCACACCTCCCACATCATTTTGGGTCACTTTCTTCTCTCTCGCTATGCTCCAGCCTCCCTGGTCTTTTAGTTTCTGCAACAGGTCAAACTCCTCTCCCATCTCAGGGCATAATGTTACTTGGAACATCCTTCCACAACATTCTTCACTCGACTTTGTGTATGAATGGATATTTCTCAGCTTTCAGATCTTTCTTTCAATGATACCTTCTTAAAGAGGTCTTCTCTGAACATACCACTCAAAGTCTTCCCATCATGCACAATTCTCAATGCCAGCATCATAATTCCATCATAGCACTAATAACAAATTGTACTTACTTTACTCATCAAATTGTTTTACTTTCAGTGTCTGCCCCATTGCATTCCTTTTAGAATATAAGTTCCACAAGGAGAGGGATCCTTTCCATTTGGTTCACCTTTATATCTTCAATGCCTACCACTGTACCTGGTACATAGGTGGGCTCCTTAAATACTTGTTAAGTGGCCAAATGAATTAAACTTATTAAAAATGTCAGTGATCTCCAGAAAATACATAGCACAAGTCAAACCCTTTGGCAAACAAGACCCCTGCCCACCCATTCAGCCCCTTTTCTCATACACAAACATCTCTTTGTATAATCCTGGAACTGTCAGAGGCATTCCGACCATAGCAACTTCGTCTTGAATAAGGGCAGGGTAAAATGAGGGTGAGACCGACTGGGCTGCATTCCCGGGAGGTTAGACATTCTTAGTTACAGGATGAGATAGGTCAGCAGGGCTGGTATCACAAGATACAGGACATAAAGACCCTGTTGATAAAACAGGATGTGGTAAAGAAGCTGGCCAAAACCCAACAAACTCAAGATGGTGACAAAAGTGACCTCTGGTTGCCTTCACTGCTTATTATATGCTAATTGTAATGCATTAACATGCTAAAAGATGCTCCCACCAGCGCCATGACCATTTACAAATTCCATGGCAATGCCCGGAAGTTAACTTATGTGGTCTAAAAGGGAGAGGAACTCTCATTTCTGGGAAATCCCTGCTCTTTTCCCAGAAAACTCATCAATAATCTACCCCTTGTTTAGCATATCATCAAAAAGTAACCATAAAAATAGCCAATCAGCAGCCCTCAGGTTTGCTCTGCCTATGGAGTGGCCATTCTTTTTTTTCTTTGCTTCTCTAATAAAGTTGCTCGCACTTTATTCTATGAACTCGCCTCGAATTCTTTCTTGTGTGAGATCCAAGAACCCTCTCTTGGGGTCTGGATTGGGACCCCTTTCTGGTAACACAAATGCAGCCATATCAATCTGGAGGCGACCTCTCGATGGAACATCGTCGTCTCAGGACACTACTTTTTACCTGGAATCTTCTGCCTGTGCCTTGTTCTCGAGAACTCAGGCATCATCTCATTTGTGATTTCAGTTGTCCCCCAGCCCACCCCAAGGGTGCCAACTCATACCTTCATGCTCCTCATATTCACTCTACTGTGGCATGGCCCCCTATTTAGAACATTTGTCTCTCCCAACCCTGCTCTCCTGTAGACTGTGTGTGCCTCAAGGACATATTATTTGTCACTGTTATCACCAGAATCTAGTACCTTACATAGCACAAAATTGGTGCTCAGAAAAAAAATTGTCTAATAAATTCAAAAATGAATAAATATGCTTGTTTGTAAGGCTCTTAGAATAACTGTCTTTGACTGCTCATTTTTAGTCTTGCTGCAATCAGTATGTTGATAATTTTAGGCTAGAAATTCAATATGGCATATAGGGTGAATTAACATGATCTAAGCCATGGTACTAAAATTATACATAATAGCATAATTATAATACCTGGTATCAGATAATTAGATGTGATAAGTGACTTTAAAAGGTTTTAGGTGCATTTTCACTAATGGTTGATTCTTGGTAATTCTGGACATTTTTAATATTGCCAATTGACATGTAACATGGTGAGGATCCATTTTAATTACGAGAGCCTCATATTCTACAGCATGTTGTTTTTTTCTCTAATGGTACAGCAAGTGTTGCTGTATACATGTACTACACTGGACAACATCAGTAAAAGGTAACTGAAGAATAATCTCCAAGGACTGCTATAGTCCCAGCAAGACAAGTGTGTATAAGTGCTGCATTCGTTTTAGCCTAAGGAACATTAGTTTTCAAATAATTTCAACCTTAATCTTACCCTTGCCGTGTCTCATATCAATTCCATAAAACAATAAGAAATATAATCTAATCTACCCTTTTGTGCCCTCCAAGGTTGAAGCTCTGCCCCTCTGGTATCCTCTGTGGGCAAGGTAGAAAACCGTAAAGGCTGAGAAATTACTGTTGAGAGACTCATGGATCCAACTGATATAGGAAATGCACATCTTTGCATACAGCCTATAATTCACCAACAATTTCTGCAGAGAAGTATTAAGATTGCACTACATTTGAAGTATCCTGGAAGGTATTCTAGGGATTCTAAGGCTATACAGTTCCTGCCCTTCCCCTTTTTGTTGCCATTTTAAAATTATTTAGCACTCCTTTGTCATTCAAAGAAGCAGAATTCAATTTAAATGGTTCAGAAAATTTTGAGGAACAGACGGCTATTTAGAGGTGTAGGCATAGTAAAGTGAACCTACAGGCGGTATTAAGGCACCCAGAGATTAGCAACAGCAGCAAGCCATTATCACCTTTAGGTCTGGAGGGGACTAGAGGGGAAGTGTTACTGGAGCCATGGAGGAGGGAGCCCAGGACAACACCTATAGCTATGGAGGTCATAGTGGCTTCTAGAAACGATGCTCAAAATGAGGAAGAAAAATGTCTTCCTCCTGAGTGTCCGGGTGATGAATCCTGGGTGTCCATAGGGGATCAATTTCTGGGCACAGAAAGGTGGTGTGAAGGAGAGACAAAGAATAACCAGAACATTTCCACAATTCTCATTACTGTGGTATTCCTTACACACTTTCTCCTTAACTGTCCTCATTTCCAAGGTATCTTTTGCCACCATATGGTTCTGAAGATCCCTCTTTGAGGACCAGCAGCCTAGAAAGATGCAATTTAAATTGAATGTCCCTTTAATGTCCCTTTTGTGATCTTTGTTATTCAGATTGTTTACATAGACCAAGGGTCACCAATTACTTTGCCCCTAGAGCTAGATTCTGGAATGCCAGGAAATTGCTTTCAGTGATACTGCAAATTAAAAAGCAGAGTCACAGAACCTCAAAAGACATTGATTATTCAGCCTGCTACTTGACTGGGAGGTCAGATGCCTCCCATATTAACTCTCCTATCTGTAAACTCAGCTCATTGTTTTTCTCTAGTTGAAGTAACAAATGCACTTTATTTCTTAGGTAGATACATTGTCTTGATATTGTGTTTCTATTTTTATTAAAAAATTATTGTCCTTTGCAGGCACGATTATTCTGCCTTATACCCCCTACACTTTTACTAAATCAGAAGAAAAAAGAATGACTTCCTAATCTCTGCAATAGATTCATATTTTTGTGAGACTATCTATTACACATCTTTGGTTAAAAATGATTTCTGGTTCCTAGTTATTGAGTTTCTATGTATATTCCATTAACATGTCAAACTCAGTTTAATGTTTATTCATTTTCCTGGAACAGTATTGATAATCTCTCAAAGTTCTCTGCTATAACCAGTTTTCTTTTCATTTGCCTTAGAGATGGTTTTTCATTTGTTCAAGCAGTTTTTGATTAGCTATTTTTTCTCTAGCCAGTTTTGCTCATTTTTGGTGCTTTCTTTCTCTTATTTAATTCTCTTGATAAAAATCACATGAACATTTGTTTGTGTTCTTTGATCTATGAATGCATTACTACTTTATTTGAAGTATTTCTAATTCCTCTAATTTTTATTTTCAGTAATGTAACGTTTCTCTAGAGAATAATATTATTGGGTATTTGGATTATGTTGGGATCCAATTAAACAGTTAAGGTTATTAACTACTTAAGCATTCGCCTGATTTTTATTCTTTGTTTTGTGGTTGTTTTTATTTATTTAATTCTATGGCTGTGTACTGAGCTCCTACTTCTATGCTGTATACAAATGTTTAGCAAGTTAGAAAGATATTAGTAGAAATAAGACTCTTGCCAGATCTTTCTTCTGAATCTCAGACTCATATTGAGTTGCCTTCCTCTGAGCATCTCATAGGCATCTCCCATGGTTGATTTTATATGTAAACTTGACTGGGCCATGAGATGCCCAGATACTTGGTCAAACATTATTCTAGGTGATCCTCTGAGGGTGTTTATTGGTGATATTAAAATTTAAAGTAGTAGACTGAGTAAAGCAGATTCCTCATTGATGAGACTGGATGAGATTCAATGTCATTCAATCAGTTGAAGCCCTGAGTAGAGCAAAAGTCTCATCCTCCCCAAGTTAAAGAGAATTCTCCTGCCTGATGGCCTTTGAACTAAAACACTGGCTCTGTTCTTGCCTTCAGACTCAAAGTAAAATATAGGCTCTTCCTAGGTCTCAAGCCTGTTGGCCTTCGGACTGGAAATACACCATGGGATCTCCTTAGTCTCCAGCTTGCTGACTCACCCTGCAGGTCTTGGGACTTGCCAACCACATGATCATGGAGGCTGGCAAGCCCCAAGATCTGCAGGGTATATAATAAATCTTTAATATATATATTTAAGATATATTTAATATATAAATTAATGATAAATCTATATATACACATTATATTAATTCTGTTTCTCTGAAGAATCCTGATTAATAGAGCATCTTAGACTTAACAGGTCTTTAATCAAAACCTTGACTTCCCTTCCACTCATTTTCTTTTCCCATAGTCTTCTCATTCGCAGTAAATGGCAACTCCATCCTTCTGGGCACTCAGGCCAAAATCCTTGGAACCATCATTGGCTTCTCTCTCTTTTTCTTTTCACAACAATCCTTCAGAAAGACCCATTGAATCTATCCTCAAAATATATGCAGACCCTCCACTTTTTACCATCTTCACTGCCACTGCTCCAATCCAAGCCAGTACTGTCTCTTGCCTACCACCATAATCAATAACCTCCTAACTGGCCTCCTGCTCCCACCGGTCCTCCTACCTATTCTCAGTGTGTGAGTCAGATCAGTCACTTCTCTGCTCAAAACCCTCCAGTGGCGTCCCATGTGACTCAGAGGACAAGCCATAGATCTTACAAACTGCTTGTGGAAGGTCCAGCATGATTTGCCCCACTGACTCTCTGACCTTATCCATATCCACCTTTCTCCTTGGCCAAGAGTGCTGGTCACACTTGCTGTTCTTCAAACATGCCCAGCCTCCTGCTGTTTCTGGCCTTTGCATTTGCCATTCTCTCTTCCTAGATACTGGTCCTCCAGAGATCTGAGAACTGGCTCCCTTACATCGTTCATGTCTCTACTCTGGCATCACCTTGTTGGAAAACCTTCTCCTAACCACCCTTTTGAAAAGGGCAGCACTTTCCATATGGCAATTTCTATCTTAGCCTTATTTTTTCCATAGCAGCTATGGCCACTTCATGTATTATATACACACTCTTTGATCTGATGTCTGTCTCCCTACTAGAATGAAAGCTCCATGAGGGCAAGGAGTTTGTCTATTGTGCTCCCTGATATGTCTCTGGCATCAAGATCTATGCCTGCCACAAAGTAGGGGCTTAAGTATTAATTGTGGAATGAATGAATAAACATGTGCATAGACAACCATTATCGAACACAGAATGTGTAATTGCTATACAAGACATTTAAAAAATGCTGTGGGTATGGAGAGAGATTACTTCTAACTAGAGAGACCAAGAAATGCTCATCCCTGGGAAGCCTCTGATCCGTATCTCATGGAATGGAATGCTGACAGCGCAGTGGCTAAAAGCTCAGGCTCTCTGTCAGATGTACCTATATCCAAATCCTCACCCTGCCACTGACAAATGTGGGGACTTTGGTGTCTCCTTAATTTGGCCTTGAATAGTTTTCTTATCTTATAGGGTTGTTGTATCACTCAAGGTTTGATCAAGAAGCAGAACTGCTTTGTATGATAAAACCTAAGGGACTCATTGGGGTTAGACCTCCCTGCAATTGTGGAAGCCAGTGGGGAAATCTCTGCAGGCTGTTGGCTCTGCACCTATGTTGAGCCTGAAACATGTGGTCTTTGGATCTGCCAGACTGGCAAATGGAGATGAAAGCTGGAAATAATTGAGAGCAAGAGCAAATAGGAGTCTACATTGATGAATTGAAGCCCCATAAATTCAACTGGATCCCACAAGACAAATGGGAGCCTGCATCTTTCTCTAGCCACCTCCAGCCTCCATGCTGTGGGCCACTTGCTGGAGATGC
Organism: Homo sapiens; assembly: GCF_000001405.40. NCBI lineage: Eukaryota > Metazoa > Chordata > Mammalia > Primates > Hominidae > Homo > Homo sapiens. The sequence continues at coordinate 97,200,163 of NC_000013.11, forward strand.
TGGTACCTTTCAGCACAGAGCTGCACGTACACCCACTCCAGGCCTTGGAGAGGTGTAAGGAGCAGATCTTTGGGGAATTGGAGGAGCGGTCAGTTGAAATGCTGAGCCACACCTACCAGGTGAGCTGGTCGATTAGCCTCATCATGCACAATCCACCACAGTGCCTGGGACCTGCATTAACACTCAGGATGCAGGAAAGATGGCTGCTGGGTCATGTCTACATCTCATGTCAAATATCTCTTGTGGCAAGTACTAACCCAGAACCATACAAGGAAAGGAATCTGGAGAAACATAGTTCCGGCTTAGCTAAGTGGACACACCACATTTGTAAGAATTTCTACTTATAATATTTACATTACAAGTAATCACTCCATATAGAATATTAATAGTCATTGGACAACAAAAAAATCCTCTTGGATTACATTTTTCATGATTTGACAGCAAACAGTTTTAAAGACATTTTAGCCACATCTCTTTAAAATTTGCAATTCACTGAATCCCTCAAACATTATTTGTGTTTGAGTATCTTATTTCATATTATAGCACCTACAGACACCACTGAAAGACGAATGAAGGAATTGTGAAATATTTTAAACTAAGTAGGCTTATTGCATTGTCGTGGGCTAAGGAAGCATGTCACTCTACCCTCCATTCCTGGAGAAAAACTCCAGTTGCTTTAGGGAGGTAGACTGAGTGACTTTTTGGAGAACCTTGGCTGCCTGACCTTCCACCCAAGGTCCTGCAATACTATGCTATGACTTATTTCCTTTAAAACTCTACTTTTGTTTATGAAAGTTCATTTCTCATCAACTATCTTTACCCTTTTTTCCCTACTATGACCTCAGACCCTCTTCTCCCTCTGAGATTATTTCCTCTATCTCTCTCACTCATCAAGCTAATGGACCAAAAAGAAGAAGAAGAAAAAAAAACTTTCTTCGAAAGCCACTTCTTCTTTGGAGCCCTTGAGTGATGAGTTTTTAATGATCTATCACTTTCTTCTTGGTAAAACGAGCTGGGGTCAGAGTCATCTGCCCATAAGAAGAAAAGTGGGACTTCAAAAGACCATCTTACCTTTAGAAACACATAGTCCTCCTGTCTGATTCGCATTCCCGTTTCCAATTATTTCTTTTTCTTTTTCCTTCATGTCACATAACAAAGTATGATTATACTTATAATGTTGCACCTCACATGCTTGACTGTGTTTTCTGTTCTTTTCACATATTATTTTAAAATACCTTTAGACATGCATCTTGCTAGCATAGAAGTAGGCACATAGATGGATGAACAAATGGATTGATAAATGGATGGATGGATAGATAGACAAATATATTGAATATCAGACAGGAAAGAGGCTATTTGAAATTATTTACTTATTATTCCTTTTGGACACCAATGATTCTATTTTTTTCAAATTTAGAAAGCTCTGTCTACTAAAAACTTTTATCTATTCATTATAATTTTTTGGAGCTTTATCAGTAGATACATTGAAATTATAATCTTCAGAAGGTTCTATAAGTTGAAAATTCTGAATTATTTATCACTGATAGTTCAAACCCCTTTCTATATATAGGAAACTGAGGTTTTATGAGTATAAGTGATATGCTTAATCACAGCAACAATACTTGAACCTAAACTTTCTAAATCCTATTACTTTCTACTCTGCCACATGGAGAAATATATGGCCTAAGCAACTTGCATGCAAAATAGTCTCATTTGATCAAACACCATTTAAGTGTTAATGCTGGAATACAAATGATGTGATTAGTGGGTTGGTAGATTTATTTCTTCATATGTACCAAATCATATTACACCTAAAAGATTATGACCTTATAGTTAAATCACAGCTTGAGGCTGGACATTTAAGACTGGAGGCTTTTAATGAATTATTGTTAATATTTTTAGATGTGATAATGGTATTGTGGTTATATTTTTTAAAGTTCTCTTTTAGAAATACATATTGAAATGTTTGTAGTTGAAGCGATCTGATATCTTGGATTTACTTCAAAATAACATTGTGTTGGGCTGGAAATAGATGAAATAGAACTAGCTTTATGTGATATTTACTGAAATTGGGTGATGCATACATGAGGGCTTATTATACTCTTCCCACTACTTCTATTAATGTTCTAGTTTTTCCATAACGAAAAGTTAACTTTAACAAACACTGCCACTAGAGCATTAAGGTGATGAGTTTAGGCTCTGGTGTCAGATGGGCCAGATTTGAATTTCGGATCTGCCAATTACCGGTACTCCATCTATAGAATGGGTGTAAAGTACCTACCTTCCAGAGTTGTAAAAATTAAATGAAATAATACACGTAAGTCCCTTAGAATAGCCCCTAGCACATTCGTAATCACTCAAATTTTACCTAATATGTAATGACTGTTATTGTCATTGATGCCTTATCTCCATGGTTTTCTGTTTCCTAGAATCCTTATCTACTGCAATGTTTAAAAAAAATAAGTATTAAATTAAAGACGTGAATACCATTATCCTAGGTTTTGAGATAGAAAAAATGCTCACTAAAGTTTTCAAATGCCATGCAGCAAGGAAGTCAAAAGGTTAAACTGTAGAACGTAGAACGGAAAAGGCAAGAAATGCTCTTGACTATAAAGATGAACCGTTACCCAAATCAAAGCAATCCCTTTTCCTCCGTTCAGCTGAGAAGTGGGTGCCATGGCTGGGTTTGAACTGGGGCTGGACAGTGGCTGGGTTTGAACTGGGGCTGGACAATGTGCTGTCTGTCACAGCCAGTAGATTTTGTTTATTGCGAAAGGAATTGCTCAGTGTTGACTCCCCTTGGCTCCACTTCTTGTTTTGTGCTCCTCCTCCTTCAGGTCTCCTTCCACCTCTGAGCTTCTCTTTCTTCCTTTGGGGAGGAGTGACATGATTAGAGTAATGGGTAGACCAGAAGGATTCACCGACAAGGGCTGTGCTGGACAATGGGAAAGCTGTAGGGAAGTATGCCTCTTACCAGAATTAAGGGTCTAGCACTTTATTCATAATATAGACCATTTGCAAATAAAAAGGTCAAGATTCACTGCTTTGCAGAAGACATTTCTGGGGGTCATCAGAAATTTACCAGTGCCCATATTAAACACTATTATGTGTATAGATGTGAAAACAAGTCCTGGTGTTGTTAATTCACATACAAATTGGCAAATACAAATGGATCAATAATTCTGTGAATAGAGGCGCAAGTCTTTATTATATTATATGACTCTGTACACCACCTGCAGCACCACTGGCCATCACCCCATCCCACATTGCTACTAGTTTAACCTGTATTCCTACCACGTCCATCCCCAACCCTCTGTGCTCCGGGGAAAAATGCCTCTATCTCAAGGTCTTTGTGCTGGCTTTCCTCTACCTCAAAAGCTGCGCTCACGGGTAACTCTATGCCTTGCTTCCTTACTTCCTTTTGGTGTTTGATCAAATATTACCCTCTTGGCATGGCCTCCCCTGCCAACTGATTGATACCGTCAAGCACCGCCTGACTCTTCATTCTTCATCCCTTTTCTCTGTTTTACTACTCTACCTAACCTTCATCATTTTTAAATACTCTATGTAATTCCTTTAGTTAGTTAATTATCAATCTCCCTCTTCTCCATGAGGACCTGTATTTAGTCTTTAAAAGATTCCAATGCCTAGAACATTGCCTGGCATATAGTCAGTATTAAATAAACACTTAATTGAATGAATGATAAGTGAATGGATGGATGGATGGATGGATGGATGGATGGATGGATGGATGGACGGACGGATGAATGGATGGACAGACGGATGGATGGACAGATGGATGGTTGGATGGATGGATGAATGGACAAGGTAAATAAGTACTAAAAGAAATACAAAACTTGTAATTGCAAGGTGTAGTTCAATCCTTTTTAAGTGGCAAAGGCCAGTTCCCTCTCCTGATGACCTGGGGTCTGTCTGCTGAGTCTAGCTGTCTCTCTGAGGATTGGATTTACCCGAGACAGAGGCAGCAGCAACACACGTACTCTTTCTGGGAGAAAGCAACCATGTGACCTTCTCCCACAGGCCACAGGATAAGGTCGTCTTCTCAACGCAGTGAGCCCCACTTTTATGTGAAAGACTCGCAGGTGAGGCGAGGGCTGGGATTTGTTATAGAGTCCCAGATCTCATCCATAGAGAGTTTGAAGGTTGGGACTTGAATTTAGTGCCTTGGTCAGTTATTAAATATCTTAGAAAAAGGCTTATCTAAAATAACAAAACATCCATTTAAAATACTTTATAACACACATTCAAAAGAAGACAATTTTGTCATTCTAAGTACACATAAGCTCTTGAAGCCATTAGCAAAGTATTACCTATATCAGGAACTCCTAGCTTTATTTCCTTAAATACATTAAGTTCATTTTTTTGTGAAGCATTTATTTGCATAAATTGCTTAAATTGACTTTCAGGAAGAAAAAAAACTATACTTTCTTAAGAATCTTGAAAAAATTCTTAATTATGTAGCCACTAAATGATGTATAGACTTATTTAGAAAACGTTTTCTTCTTGAGGAGCAGGGAGTGGGTTGCGGCCCAATCCATTTTGGCCTCACTCTGGAACTCCCTTCAGTGCTGGGTCCCCCAGGTCAATGTAATTGTCGTCTATTAGGTATTTCAGGCCAGGTGCGGTGGCTCAGGCCTGTAACCCCAGCATTGTTTTGAGATGGGCAAATCACCTGAGGTCAGGAGTTTGAGACTAGCCTGGCCGACATGGTGAAACCCCAACTCTACTAAAAATATAAAAATTCACTTTGGGAGGCTGAGACAGGGGTTCATGAAGTTAAGAGATTGAGACCATCCTGCCCAACATGGTGAAATGCCATCTTTACTGAAAATACAAAAATTAGCTGGGCATGGTGGCACGCACCTGTAGTCCAACTACTCGGGAGGCTGAGGCAGAAGAATCACTTGAACCCGGGAGGTGGAGGTTGCAGTGAGCTGAGATTGCACCACTGCACTCCAGCCTGGGAGACAGAGTGAGACTCTGTCTCAAAAAAAAAAATTATATATATATAAATATATAAATTATTTATATATTTATATTAAAAATATATATATAAATTAGTACCTGCTTGGTGACACATGCCTGTAATCCCAGCTACTCAGAAGGCTGAGGCACAAGAATCACTTGAACCTAGGAGCCAGAGGTACAATGAGCTGAGATTGCGCCACTGCACTCTAGCCTGGGTGACAGAGCGAGACTCTGTCTAAAAAAAATAAAAAATAAAAAAAAGATAATTCAGTGGTTTCTACAGAGTAAAGTTCTGCATATAAAGTATATGACAGAAGCAGAGTGTTCTCCTTGAACTTCTTGTCTTCTCTAATGTTCCTTCTTAGCAGGAAGTTGGAATCTTTAAGTCCTTCATTACTTAAGGGAGTATCCTTTTAAAAGACTCTAAATATGGCATTTCTGTTGGATTACACCTTAGATCAATTTTTCCTTGTAAGAAGAAAACTCTCATTTGAAATACAATCTGTCAGAAGGTGACAGCTGTTTTTTGTTGGATGTAGAATTAAGTAAACAGTTAAGACAGTTGAGCTTTTACTAAGATGATTTAATAAAGCTCATTAATGTTGTTGATTTACATAGCTGACCCAAATAGAACACAAAATTCAACTCTGTGTTATCAAAATATATGGAAGAATTACATGCACGACTGATGTTAAATTCTAATTTCAAATTTAATCAAATTTGTTAAGACAAAAGACAACACAAAGAAGGAAATCTTCGAAATATTGGGAAATGTTTTACATGTATTTTTCTTTGTTTTGTAACCCATGTGAAGTGCTTAGTCTACCTCATCAGGAAAGTACTAATAGCTTCACTTCTATGATAAAAAATGAGTTATTTTTGAGATTATAGATCAAAGCTATTAAATCAATCAATATAAAAGCCAATGAGTAGTCAGAGAAGGGCTTTAGTGCTCAGTAAACATCCTCCCTTCTCTATCAGTCATATCTACAGTAATGAATCAGAGAGAAAGCATTTGACCCAGCAAAATTTACTCCCCTGTCTGAATCGTGATTTCTACAGTTCTGATCCTCAGAGAGCAAGCCACGTAGATTTTTTTTCTTTTTTCTGTTTCCATGCCCAGTTCTTTCAATCTTTGTTCACTGCATCGTGACTGAGGATGTCATACAGTCTACTAGATAAGCATGTGATTCACTTTTCATATATTAAGATCTCTCAGCTTTCCTTCAGCTTTATGGGAGTGGAAGGGAGGGGGATTATATTTTATTTCTTATTCCAGTAGCTCCTGAGTGTTGATAATTAGGTTTGGCTGTGAATCTTGTGAAGTGTGAGAAATAAGCTATGAATTGTCATAATAAAAACAATTGGCAACATTTAATATTTATTATTTTCTGAGCACTAACTCCTTTAATCCTCCCACAATCCCATGAGAATTGCTATATCCTTGTTGCAGAGATAAAGAAGAATCTTAGGGACAGGAGACCCCAGGCAATGGCACATGCTAATAGTGAGAGAGATAGGACTTGAACTTGAGAACTGATTGGAGCCTGCTCAATCAGTTGTAGTAATAATGATAGTAATAATGATAATACTAATAACATAGTAACAATGATAACAGTGTAATATTGTAGTAATAATGATAATAGTGTAATACTATGCCAAATACAATGAAATGGAAAGAGAATGGCATGGGGTTCAAAGTCTGCAATATGGGTTCAGGTTAAAGTCATGACCAAACTAGTAGTGTGACCTTGAGCAAGTTATTTAACTTGGCTAAGCCTCAGTTTCCTCCTTTGAAAAATGGATTTAGTAATACAAGGGCAGGTAACAGGCTTGTCTTCCTTGAATGCCTGTTGTCCCTCTGCTGTGTTTCCTTTCCCTCTACTCACAACTTTCTCCCTACCTCCTTGGATCCCCTTCCCTTTCCTGCATGCATTCATTTTGAAGCTCAACTCATTATACAGCTAAAGTGCTAGAGAAAACCTGTAAATGGCCAAGGTTGTGCTACACACTCTATGATGGGCACTAAAAACCAGCAATCAATAAGAGTGAGGTTAGGGGATAGTCTTAAATTATGCAGAGAAGCATTATTTATTGAACTTGTTATTCTGCAGATTTGCATTTCCCAATGTGTATTTTTTATATTAACAGGAGTGTATTAGTCCGTTTTCATGCTGCTGATAAAGACATACCCAAGACTGGGCAATTTAGAAAAGAAGCAAGTTTATTTGGACTTACAGTTCCACGTGGCTGGGGAAGCCTCACAATCATGGTGGAAGGCAAGGAGGAGCAAGTCACATCTTACATGGATGGCAGCTGGCAAGGATAGAAAGCTCATGCAGGGGAACTCTTCTTTTTAAAACCATCAGATCTTGTGAGACTTATTCACTGTCATGAGAACAGCACGGGAAAGACTTGCCCCCATGATTCAATTACCTCCCACCAGATCCCTCCCACAACAGGTGGGAATTCAAGATGAGATTTGGGTGGGAACAGAGCCAAACCATATAATTCCACCCCTGGCCCCTCCCAAATCTCATGTTCTTACACTTAAAAAGAAATCATGCCTTCCCAACAGTCCCCCAAATTCTTAATTCATTTCAGCATTAACTCAAAAGTCCACAGTTCAAAGTCTCATCCAAGACAAGGCAAGTCCCTTCCACCTATGAGCCTGTAAAATCAAAAGCAGGTTAGTTACTTCCTAGATACAGTGGAGGTACAGGCAGTGGGAGAAGTTGGCCAAAACAAAGGGGCTACAGGCCCCATGCAAGTTTGAAATCCAGCAGGGTAGTCAAATCTTAAAGTTCCGAAATGATCTCCCTTGACTCTATGTCTCACATCCAGGTCATGCTGATGCAAGGGGGTGAGTTCCCATGGTCTTGAACAGCTCTGCTCCTGTGGTTTTGCAGGGTACAGCCTCCTTCCCAGCTGCTTTCAAGGACTGGTGTTGAGTCCGTGAAATTAAGTTTGGAGATAAACAAAATTAAACTTTTGTTTCTTGCAGGACTTCTCAAAGCCTTTAATATGCTCATGTGCAATGTGAATCTCCAAGTGGACAATGTAGTATGCATTGATTCCCACATAAGCCCAAAGGGGAATTCTTTTTTATTTTCCGAGATCATGTTGTGGGACCATTATTTAGCAGGAAAACGATGAGAAAGACTTGGACAGGAATAGTGCCAATTAATAGATGTAGGAATCAATGATTGAGGATCATTATTGTGACTTAGGCAGGGGACAACATACCTCTGATTCCTTTGTAGGGCTGGAACTTGAGCCTTTTGTGGAACCCACAGCTTGGCCCAGATTGTACAATAGAACTGGATAGTTCCTAGAACTACAAAAGTAAAAGCTGATTCATGGATTTCTCTAATCAATCTCCCGGGGTGTAGAAACCCTAGTCCCTAGTCTTTACCCTATTACAGGCCATGTAAAAAAAGTCTCAGTGGTAGATGCATGTGGGTCAGGGACTTGAGAAATTTGGAAAAATAATGACAAAACTAGGAAAGAGCCAGGGCAGAAACACAAAGATTATCCAAAGGTGAGAAGCTCCTAATAATGAGATCAACCTCTAATAACATTCACCTTCCTCAACCCTAACCTTAATCTAAAGATGTTAACTGGGCAGATGTGTACAGTTGAGTAGGTTGTGTACTATACAACTCCAGCGGTACATATACTTCAAGAATGTGGACTGTAGAATGGTAAGTATGACCTAAATAATGCTCTAGAGATTTTCTGCATGCAACCTTCATGGTCATACACAGTGGCCCTGGACATAAACTCAGCAATTAAGTAAACTGAGAATGTACACTTAAAAATTATTATTTTGATCAAACTGTGAGTGGTTTTTATATCCAACAGAGTTCTTAAATGCGGGGGCAAACAAATCAAACTGGCCAGCCAACCAGCTAAAAAGGTACAATAAATGAATTCAAAATCCTTGAAAGACATGATTTGGGTAATTATATTTTAAATTAAATCCCTATATTTCCTTTAAAATATTGCAGGAAGTTCTCTGTTTTCTACTTCGAGGATAATGTCACCCATTATTATTTTCTTCTATATAAACAAGAGAACCCACCAAAATTTGCCAGCTTGCCAACTCCCTGTCAAAACATGTTAATAGAGTACGAATCTTTGCTCCACTTTTAGGATTAGACTGTGAGTATTTGCCCCACTAAGAGGCCTAAATTTTACACAGAATCCACTTCAGCCACTAGGTTCTTTAGAGACCCAGGATTAAGTCTTTAACCTGATGTGCCTCAACTTCTCTACTTGTAAAGTGAAGGTAAAGAAAGTGACTTCCCAGATTGAGTGAGTATGAAGTGATAAATTACTGCAAAGTAGTGTTCAAAGGAGAGTGTGCAATTAATGCTTTATAATAATCTTTCCAATATTGAAGACATAAAGATAAATTAGTTAGCCCCTTTGTCTTCTTTGAGAACGATGATAAAACCCTTATTTGGGTGTCAGTGAGTCTAATTAAGGCAATTAATACTTATTAGTTTATACACTATGAAAAATGTGTACTCATTGCTCATTTGGTAAAATTTCTAGTTTTCTAGAAGTTTGATGAACTTTTTGTTTGGCTATTGTCAATATTAAAAAGTTCTTTAAAAAAAGACACTGACTTCTTTTTATTTTTATTTTTAACTTTTTGAGGCAAGATCTTGCTCTGTCACCCAGGCTGCAGTGCAGTGGCACGATCTCAGCTCATTGCAACCTCCGCCTCCTGGGTTCAAGCAATTCTCATGCCGCAGCCTCCCAAGTACCTGGGATTACAGGTGTGCATCACCATGCCTGTATAATTTTTGTGCTTTTAGTAGAGACGGGGTTTCACCGTATTGGCCAGGCTGGTCTCAAACTCCTGGCCTCAGGTGATCTGCCCGCCTTGGCCTCCCGAAGTGCTGGGATTACAGGCATGAACCACCACACCTGGCCGACATTGACTTTTAACCAAAAAAACCCAAAGTGTCCTCAGTATATTTAAATGTGAAATCTTAAGAACAGAGATTTTTTTCTAAGTGTGGTCCAAAGTATTAGCTCAGTGATGTTACATAACTCAGAGTATGTATCTATAAAGCAAGGTTATAAATGCTTAATTATGTTAAAAATAACTTTAAGATTCAAATAGATTAAAAATGTCATCTGTGTTTCTTAGTCAGGGACCCAGCAAATTGAGAACTTTTAAAATTACTTTTAGAACATGACGGTTAGTGTGTGATGAAAGCTTATAAAGGAAGTCTTTGTCTTTGTGGCATAGCTTGTGGTTTTGAAAACGGAGAGCCTGATTTTACCAAAGTGTAGTATGTATGTGGATAGTTTTCTATTCATTGACAGTGAATTTTTCATATTGATATATACAAATTTTATAACTATACATAAACACAATTTAAATGATTCTATACAACTGTGAATTTTTTTTTTTTTTTTTTTTTTTTTTTTTTTTTTTTTTTGAGACAGAATCTCACACTGTTGCCCAGGCTGGAGTGCAGTGGTGCAATCGTGGCTTACTGCAACTTCTGCCTCCCAGGTTCAAGTGATTCTCATGCCTTAACCTCCCAAGTAGCTGGGGTTACAGGCATAAGTTTCACCACATTGGCCAGGCTGGTCTTAAACTTCTGGCCGCAAGTGATCCACCCGCCTTGGCCTCCCAAAGTGCTCAGTTTTTTAAATGTTATTTGCTGTGAGACCAAAGTCAGTATTGAAACTTCTAAGTGGAAGGGACTCAGTCCAGTTCCTGGTGTGGGAAGGATTTCTGGCTGCTGTGATTTAGTGACTTGGGTATATGGGATTTTTGTGTATGGAGAAGAGGGGTGGTGAAAGGGTAGCAGGGAGAGGAAGGCAGGGGTTGGGTGGGGTGAGGGAAGGGGTGAGGTACATAACATTTGATGCATGATCTGACACCCTATGAGAATCCTCATTGAAATTTTGAGGAGCCACAAACTTCCAGGGAGTTAAAATCTTTTCTGTCTTTTACAAAAGTAAGCCTTGTCTTGCTGTCTGCTTCCTCATCTTCAAATAAGAAGCTAGGGTGTAGATGAAAGATTTCTTCTAGCCCTAGGATCCATGATTGTAAGCTCACCATAATCGTCTCAGGATTGGACTGCTTTGCGAAATAAAATCATTCTATTTGTAAGTGATTAGGCTTGTTGGAGAGGTTGGCAATCCCATGGGTTGGGGGTATAGAGCAGGAGTGTGTGGGCCTGAGCTTGAGAGAGACGAGGGTTGCAGGCAAAGCTGCAGCAAAAACTGGAGTAGAAAAAGCACAATTCTCATTTTGTTTTGCTGTGGAAAAGGGACCTGCTAACAGAGTTCAAGATTAGAATGACTCAGTGAATATTTAAGTATGGTTATTTCTTCCTTTTTCATTAAGCCTTCTAAATGCAGAGATCTATAAAGCTGTGGCTTGAGATTTTAGAGAAAGAATGCAGTGACATGAGACCAAAATGATGTGAGGTGATGACATCAGCATCAGAATGCTGTTGCTAAGGTGAGCCTGTTTTTCTCTCTAATCCAGCTGGAAGGCAAAATAATTGCCCATTTCTGGTAAAGAATATACCCATGACATGATCCCTTTTCTGTAGCAGATAAAACAAAGCCAGATGCCTTCTCTTTGCACAAATTATTTTAAAAATAAAGATTAAAATTTCATTATAAAACATAGCACATGTCCTTGGGAGAATAGGCAGAACATTTTACGTAAGTTTGAAATTTTAATTTATCAAGACTATATGCCGAGATCTAAATGGATATCGGAATGAGTTAGTGTGATGAATCTACTGGGAAAGAGATAGCAGTATTTTGGATTTAGGGAAAGGGGAGATGGGGAAATATCTAAAGGTGTCAAAGAAAGATCTCCAAGCTTATGGTGGCTGATAGAGGGAAGAGAGTGAGGAAAGTCCTGGATTTGAAGAAAGACAGGCAGAAGCCACCGTGCTATGGCTCTTGATAATGGTGCCCTTTGTACAAAGAGAACAGTATCAGTGGAATTCAGAAACAAGGGGTGGGACTCAGGCAAACTAGAGGCCAAAGTGGTTGCATGCAGAAGTCCCTCCCACATGAACGTTTTCCAGAATTGCTCCTGGGGTTTGAATATTCTGCTTGGAACACACTTCTCCAGAGATTTCTATTCATTTGACAGTGGAAACACACTCCCTCACCCCTACATGTCTCTGTTCAGAGGGCGCTTTCTGCATGAGCCTGTCCTGGCCCCACGGTAGAAGCCACAGCTACCCCCACAGTAGAAGCCACAGCTACCCCCTCCCAGCTCCACCTGATTGCCTGATCCCCTCTACCAGGCCCAAATTCTCCTTTTCCTTTTACTTTTTTCTTTGCACTTAGCACCTTCTGATTTGCCATATAATTTTTCTATTACATTTAGAGCCAGTGAGGTGTCGCAGTAGAGAACATGGCCTCTGAAGCCAGCCTGCCTGGGGCAAATGGGCTGCACCACCTGCCAGCTGTGCGACCCTGGAAAGGTTACTTAATCATTCAGGTGTTTTCCCATCTGTAAACCTGAGATAATAATAGTGTCATGGATTTCACACAATAGCATTGTGCTTGACTCAGTATAATCACTATGTACATATTTAATAAATAGATGTCTCTCTTTGTCGTCAACACTATGTGAGCACCCCAGAAGTGCTTGTCATGAGTAGCATTTGATGGAGGAAAGAGATGAGTAACACATTTTCCAGAAATTGATGTTTTCGCTGAAACATGGAATTTAGACAGGGTTAAGCTTTGGAAGGGTAGTTATGCCCATAGGTCACTAGACAGCTACCAAGGGCCCTCTACTGGTCAGAAAAACCCGGGCAAATCTTCTCTAAGATTTGCCTGAGGAGAAAGGCTACTGTGAAGATCTGGTCCAGACAGGAGATCCTGGAGCCACAGGGACTTCCCAGATAACCATGGTTGTGAGAAACAAATAGAAAGTAGCATTGAGGTGTGCTAGATGCCTCAAGTTAGTAAAGCTAAGGACCTCAGTCAAGTAAGAACATATAGCATCAAATAAAAGAGGTTGAGTTGAATGAGGTTGAATAGAGGTGACAAAGAAAGATCTAGAAGCTATGGTTGTTGACAGAAGAGAGTGAGGGAAGTTCTGAATGTGAAGAAAGATAGGCAGAAGCAGAGATGGACACGGTCTAATGAACAGGAAAAAAAAACCATTTTACCTGGGCCAGAGTTTTCCAAAATAAAACCCCCAAGAACACCATACTAGTTAGATTTCTTTTTTTAAGTAAAAGAGCCTCTGGTAAAATTAATTCTCAGACACAGTGAACTAGAAAACCCCGTCTTGGAAATTTGCAATGCACATTCCCAGAATCAAGGCTCTGAGAGGTCCTTCGGTAAAAACACACATTTAATGAGTGATTTCAACGGTTTCCAAACTTAGCCCTGGGTCCTTTTCTTCAGAAACATTTGAGATGAGTGCCCAGAGATCTCACTTTGGGGATCATGTGAAATAATGTGAGATTCTCGGGGTCCCATCTACATCTTGCTTATCTTTACATCATGAATGTTTCAATTGGGACCAACATGTAGCAAGTCACGTGATAAACCCTAATCAGATGAGTGAACAAGTGGATCTAGGTAGGGTGGTGATCCTAAAATAAACAGAAAGAGATGGAGAGGGGAATAGGAGCACTGACAAGTCTTTCCTTCAGGAACGGTATATTGTAGTAAATCAAAACCAGTTGCATTTAATTTTTAAAGTCAAGATTGTCATCACACTACAATAACACACATGCTATATGCTTCATCTATTCCCCACGTCCATTCCATACTCCCTGTTGGAGATGACAATGTCTTCATCAGGCAGCAGGCTCACATACTTCCACTGCTACAGAGACTCCTACAATCTCACCACAGTCTTGTGCTAGAACCCACCCACTTCTGAACCGTTGAAGAACAAGTTACGTTATTCTCATTCCATTAAAGAAAAGGTTATTAAAGACCCTTTGATTCCATTAAAAACTCTTTGTAGGGATCTAAGCTGCTCATCAAGCATCAAAGAAATAGAAAATCCTGATTCTGCCATAGCATACACTATTTGGTGACACCAAAGTGATACTCTCAATTGGTAGTTTTGACTTTTCGACTCTTTCCTGGTTTTTTAAAACTTGGCTTTAATGACCCTTGGAAGTCCCTTAGAAATGCCACATTAGCTTTGATCCTTGGCCTTGTGTCTCAAACCCAATTTCCTACTCATCCTGTACCATATTTCAGTCCTGCTAAATTTTGTTTAACAAATATTTATTGTCAGTCCCATATGTTGGGTACTGGACAACCAGTAATGAGTATCAAGTAGATTATAAATTTTGACAAAAGGCAGTAAATGCTCCAGAAACAAAAGGAAAAGTATAGCACATGAGTGTATGTCCTTCCATCCGATAGCCACTGGACCCATGTTCAGCCTGGCCCCTCAGTCAGAAGGTGGGCAGAAGGTTATAGACAGAAAAATCTTACTTTCAAGTATCCCAACAGGAGGGAGATCACAGCCCTCACCTGCAGCTTAGAGACCCACCTTTCAGGCTTGGACATTCTCTGTCAGAAACACCACTTTCATAGAAGGAGGTGGAGAAGGGGCTGAGAATACTCATCCTTTATTATAGGAGAAAGGGCGAATTCTAGTGAGCACAGTGACAGATGCACAGTGATCCCTCAGCCAGCCCAGAAGAATAGCAGTCAGGAGCTGCAAAAGAAGTCTGTAATTTTATTGAAGACAGTGACAGGGGAAATGCTCATTGCTGCTTCCTCTTTGTGCTTATATTTACAATTCACCATTTGGAAAGGTGGATGATCCTGGCAAGTTCCCAGGCCCATCAACTGTGGGCAGATCACTCAGCCCCTGCCTCAGAGTGTTCTTTCTTTGGCCCAGAGAACATCTGCAATCCTGGAGAACCATAGGCTTCGCCCCCATCTCCAACGCTTGGAGGATTTCACATGACCACAGCTTAAGGGCTGGGCATGTCCTGTAACCTTTGACCTGACCTCCTCTCTGCGACTTCAAATGCCCTTAGGCCTGGGTCAGGAGGCATGATATGACCATCAAACCAGAAAAACAATGAGACAGTTAACATTGGCCAAACTATTGGGACTTTTGCCTTAGTGCCATGGTTCCCAAACCATGCTCTCAGGCACCCTAGGAAACTGTAGTGAATTCACTGGGGTTCCATGGGCTGCTGTACATTTTCTAAGGAAATACAGCAATATTCATCATCTGTCAGACACTGTGCGACCTACTAGCTCAAGGTAATTCATGATTTCAATAGAATCACACTTTGTTCCTTTTGATGGTAACATATATCTTTGCAAAGCTGGGTTTTTAGTAGTTGTTAAGCTGATAAAACAAGTACCATGCAAGAAGCAATGTGGAACAGGAAATGAGAGTTGTGGTTGCAAACTGATTTCAAGCTTTGAGATAGGCATGCTACAATCCATTAAAAACTAATTCGAGTTAAGCATGTAAGAAAAATGTTTTTTTTCAAATATTTTGCATTAACTTTTCATATAACTCCTTACTTGTTAAAACATAAGCACTTACTAAGGTATTTGGATATAGCTATTTAATAAATGGAACAATTAGGTATTATTTTTGGCCTAGGGACACAGTGAAAAAAATTATGGAATACCAAGAGTGTCATGAAGCAAGGAAGTTTGGAAATCTCTACTTTAGTTATCACTTTTTTGGCATACAGAAATCACTCTCACTAGGATTCTAAGCCCTAAGGGCTATGATGATGTTGATAATGATAATAGTAGCAGTAAAAATAGTGGCTAACAGACATTGAGCACTGCTATGTACCATGTTCTATGCTAAGGGAGTCTCACACATGATTTCATTTACATGCTTTATGCAATTTGCTTCCTCCTATTTTCCTTAACCCAGAAAATGTTAGTCCTAATTTTCCCATCTTCTGCCTCTAGACCTACTGGAGAAAAATTAAAAACCAGTTGACATTTCTTGCGATAAATTCAGGAAAAAACACCATAACTTTTTTTTTCTGAAAATTATAAAACCAATTTTCTATTCCCTGCTGCATTTTCAACCAACATGTTAAAAAAAATACTAATCTCTTCGAAAGTATGTAAATTTTCTCCAGAATCCTAAATAGAAATCAATCAACCAAAATGAATTCAGCACCACTCCATGTTCGGCATTGTGGATGACGAAAAGTACTTTAATGCAAGGTCTGTACCCTCAGGGGGCTTATGATTTGGTTTATACATGAAATAACTAGAAAAAAAAGTAAAAAATAGCAGTACATACTAAAGGACAAAGAGGCGGGATAGGCTTGAAACATTATGTTGAGAGAGAAATAAGCCCTAAGATTGAATAATCACAGACCAGGCCCGTCAGCAACTTACCTTTCTGTCTCATCTCTCTCTTGCTATGAACAACTTTTTCTTCCTTTCTAGGGACCAGGCCATCTCTTCCAGTAAACCAAACACTACCATCTGTCCTAAGACACCTATCCTTTTCTATTCAAAGGGAGACTCTGTTTCTCAGGAAATCACCATGATTTTAAACATCATCAAACATTAATTTTCTCCTTGACTATAAGCTTGCTAACTTTGGTATGCCCAGCAAAGGAGATTACTTCATAACTGCATTGTGCCTTTCAGCTTTTATGCATTGCTTCTTTTCCTTCTCCGGTCCAACTTTAAATTCGTGCATGTGTGCTTGTGTGTGTGTGTGCATGCATGGATATATATTATTACATATGTAGTATATTTACACATACATAGAGTATAATATATAATACACATATAATGTATAATATGCATATTATATACATAATATAAAATGTATACATAATACATAATATATACGTAATACATATTATAGAATATAGAATATACATATAACATAATATACACATAATATGTAATATATACATATATACACATATGTGTTGTATATAATATATGATATATACATATCATATACAGTATGCATATAATATATAGTACACATATTATATATAATAATTATACATTATACATAATATATATGTCTCTATGGCTTCTCTACCAATTTTTTTACTTAAGCCCTGTAACTGTCTTTATCACCTTATTACCAGTGCCATTTCCAAGTTTATCCATTTAACCATTCAACAACTATTCAGAAAGTGTCTGCTATTATGCAATGCATGTTCTAGGCACTGGGGATAAACTGATGAATAGGAAAGACATGGTTCATTCCCTCATAGATTCTAGCGAGGTACATAAACAAGCAAGACATGTTTACTATGTACTGTGACAATTGCTACGATGAATAAAATGTCAAGGTGCCGTGAGAGTCATGGTGGTCAAAGAAGGCTTCCTGGAGGAGGTGATGTGTACATTGGGTGTTGCTGGATAGAAAGATGTTAGATGGGTGTGAAAGGAATAGAAGATTTTTCATGAAGAAGGAATCCAGGCTCTAAATTAGAAAAGACATGACACACCTGAGGGACTAAAGTTAGTTTAATAATACTGGATGTAAAGGTAGGAAGGAAGTGACTTCAAGAGGAGGGTGAAAGAAGATAGTTGGGAACTAGTTAGGGGACTTCTCTGGAAGATAATGAGGAGACATGGAGTGAGTTTATGCATGTAAACATTTTTAAAAAGATGATTTTGGCTGAGGTGTGGTAAATGGAGTGAAAGGTGAGGGGCAAAATTGGAGGCAGAGAGGTAAGGAACAGGTAAAAGGTGGTGGGGGGTTTAATTAGGGGCCCAACAGTAAAGATGGAGAGGAGTGGATAGATTCCAGAGACAGGAATTCACAGGGTGTGGGACCATTTGGTTGTTGGTGATGATAAAGAGTTAGGCATCAAAGATGGTGGCTCCATTTACCAAAGTGGGAAACGTAAGAGAAATGATGCTTTCACTTATTGAAATGGGAAATGATCAAATAAAAAATGATTTTAGTTTGGGACAAGGTAAAAATGAGTCATCTCTGGTACATTTAGGTGAAGAATTGGGCCGGCTGGGCACAGTGGCTCACGCCTGTAATCCCAGCACTTTGGGAGGCTGAGGAGGTCGGATCATGAGGTCAGGAGATTGAGACCATCCTGGATAGCACGGTGAAATCCCATCTCTACTAAAAATATAAAAAATTAGCTGGGCGTGGTGGCGGGTGCCTGTAGTCCCAGCTACTTGGGAGACTGAAGCAGGAGAATGGCGTGAACCCGGGAGGCGGAGTTTGCAGTGAGCCAAGATCGCGCCACTACACTCCAGCCTGGGCGACAGAGCGAGACTCTGTCTCAAAAAAAAACAAAAACAAAACAAAACAAAACAAAAAAAAAAAACTGGGCCTAGAGGTCAAAAGAAAAGGATGGAGTGATAGATCTCGAATTTATCAAACTGTACAAGACAACTGACAATTTCTATTGGGCAAATTCGAAGGTACTGTTTTGTATTTTCTTTCCTCTGGCCACCTCCTTTACTTGAATATAGTTGATATCTTCTTGCTACTTGTTCTTTAGTTTCTCAAACATTCTGCTTTCTAGTTAGCATGTCATGACCTCAGGAAAAATTAAGCTTCTATCCAGAGTTTCCAGGAACTTATGTAGATATAGAAAAATAAGGAAAGAAGAAGGAGGAGGAGGAAAAGGAGAAAGAAGAGGAAGAAGAGAAAAAAGAAAAAAGATTAAGTCCAGCTTGGATCTGTAGGACATTGTACCCATCAATTAATTCATTTAACATACATGTGTTACGGAGCGCCTCCACCGTGTGCCACGAACATACTAGATTAGATGTTAGAGAGTCAATTGTGACTTCTGAGGCCAACAGTCTGGCTCAGAAGGTAGACCTTAAGTAAATAAATAACAATAACCAAATTAATGTATAACCATCCCCTGTAATAAGTGCTATGAAGCAAACAACATCCATAAACATTTTGGTGCTCAAAGAATAGTCCGTGGACAAGAGCCATCAGTGTCACCTGGGAGCTTGTTAGAAAAGCAGAATTTCAGTATCCACCCAAGAACTATGGAGATGGGATCTGCATTTTAACAAGACCCCTGGGAGATTTGCATGCACATTAACATTTGAGATGCACTGCTCTGGAGTTCACAGGGCTATGAGAGAAAACAAGAAGTAGATCTGAACTCATCCTGTGGGTCAGGGAAGGGTTCCCTGAACAGACGGCCTCTGGCTAAGCTAGAGAAGCAGGCAGGGGCTACATGGCACAGAGCCTCATGGGCCATGTTGAGGGCTTTTATCTTTTTCCTAAAAGCAATCTAAAGAGAGTTAAAGGTTGTCTTAGTCAACTCAGGCTGCCATAGACTGGGTGGCTTATACAACAGAAGTTTGTTTTCTCATAGTTCTGGAGGCTGAAAGTCCAACGTCAGAGTGCCAGCATGGTCAGGTTCTGGTGAGGTCTCTGTTCCTGGCTTGCAGAGAGCTGCTTTCTTGCTGTGTCTTCACATGGTAAAGGGAGAGAGAAACAGGCCTCTTTCTGGTGTCTCAGAAGAACACAAATCCCATCGTGAAGACTCCACCCTCACGACCTCATCTAAATTGCCTCCCAAAAGTCCCATCTCCAAATACCTTCCTATTGAGGGCTAGGACTTCCACATATAAATGTTAGGGGGACACAATTCAGTCCACAGCAAAGGTTTTACACAAAGGAGTGTGGAAAAATTAGACTTTTGTTTTTTAATTCCTGTTCTGACTGAAGTGTGAAAAAAGGTTTGAAGGGGTCAAGAATATATTCAGGAGACCAGTTAAGGGGCTATTTAAATCATCATGATAAAAGATACCGATAGCTTGGACAAAGCCACTGGTAGAGATGAAGCAAAGTGAAACATTTCTAAATATTTAGGTGTTAAACCTGAAAGACTTTGATAATGGATTTCAAATGGTGGTTGAAGAAGGAGGTTTAAGAATGACTGCCAGGTTTTTAGCTCATGCAGTTGGATGAATATGATATCAATTCTTGAGATAGGAATCATGAAGTCAGCAAGTTTGTGCATGGCATTTTGCTAACTGCAATGAACAATGCATTTAGAAATACCAGTAAGAATGGCTATCATTAGTGAGCATTTATTATGTGCCAGTCACTGCATAGACATTTTGTGTGCATTATCTTAATTAATATACGACACAAGCCTTGATTTCTGAGATGGAAAAATCAACTCAGGCAAGCTAACTACAGAAGACTACATTGTTAAGGGTTTCAAAGCGTCTGGTACAATAAACAATACAGAATGCTTTCACAGGAGAACATCAGAGAGGGTAATGTGGCCACAGAAGACAAGACAGAATAAAGGGAAAGGTAAGCTGAGGTCTAAAGATTGAGTAAGGCAGAAATAAGCATGACTCCATCAGGAAGTTCACTTGGGAAAACAGTGGAGAAAAAGTTGAGTTGAAAGGGAGAGCCCAGATTATGAAGGCCCTTGAAAGTCTATAATTCAGATTTTATAGAGAGAAAGGTTTGAATGTGAAAGGAACATGACTTTACATGATTTTAAAAAACCCGTCTGGCAACAAGGGAGCTTGAAGATGAGGAGGCCTGAGTTCCAGAGACTGCCTTGTTAGCATTTGTGTTTTCCAGGTAATAGGTCAGAGTTCTGGCCTACCTGGGAGGGAAAATCAACAAGGCTTAGTTTCATTGGTTGAGAATGGGGGAATGTGTCAAAGATAACTGAAGTTTCAGGAATGGGATTCATGGAATGATAGTTTCAAAGACAGCAGAGGGAGATGAGGAAGAGGAGAATCACAAATCTGTTTAAGTATATTAATAATTAAAAGTAGTTTGTATCTGTTTGACCACAGAACTAATTTAAATTTCCAGAAGTATTACAGTAGATGAAAGCCTGCAAGTTAGGATATGTGATAGAATTACATGGGGAAGACAAAGAATGTAAGTATAAAAACTGAGGGGAATAAAGCATGGTAGTTATTGAAGAAAGTAGCCTAGAAATTATATGAAATATTATGTTTTTAAGATGCAATGGCAAAATAAAAAGAAAGCATTCCATTGCATTCTGTTGCTTCATTACAGATGCGCTGAACAGTTGCTTATAAAAATCGTGCATTGGGTTCAACCTTTCAGATGAATAAAGGCTTTGTTCTGTCTTGGTCTCATCATGTAATCATCATACTTTTTTTTTCTCAAAATGTGGTATTTAGGGGAGGAAAATGTATGCTTGTTGTGTTTGCTCAATGCCATATGTTTTTGAGTTTTTGTTTTCAAGGCATACAGAAATGCTGTAGACTGGGAAATAAATAAATAAATAAATAAATAAATAACCCTTCCTAAACTTTCTCTTCTTCTGCTTTATCTCAGGAAACTCCAGCACCTCCTAGAACATCTTTTGTGGAATGGCACCTCATGGGGGCCCTTGGATCATGTACCCCTTGTATTCAACAGTAAACATCTTCCTATAATCATTGCTTCATTAACGATAATGTGAGCCAATGCACAGTATTTATCAAATGGCATCTAAGATGGTTAAAGCACACCTAATCCTCTCGTGGGTGCCTGCCAAGAGTAGAAAAGGGTAGTGTATAGATATCAATTTTATTGTCCAGCATTCCCTAATCGAAGTCCCAAGTGGTCTGAAAACTTAGACGAAAGATAAATGGGCCGCAGTAATTAACCACTGCAATAACAGATGTTATACAGGAAACCTGTGTGTGCCAGAGCTATAAGCATGTTTTGATTTTGAATACGCACTTGGGCTAGCACATTCTTCCTCAATAATGGAAATATGTAAATGTTTTGTAAGGTATTAACTGCCATGGCAGACGTTGAATTATTTTTCCTTTAAAAAACATATACATATGCTTTGTCAGATAGTCCAAGGACTTCAGTTTCATGTACAACCTGGATTTCTTTGGAATCTGCGGAGTTTCACATTTTCCCAAGTGTTCACGGTGAAGCTCCTGGCTTCGAGCTGGCTGTCTTCAAGGGTGTTTTCTTGAGCTACCCCTCTCTCTGCTCTGCCAATTATGTGCCACTTTGTCTTGGTGCTATGATTGCTTTCTTCTGAGAGGGAAATTCCTCTTTCATCAGTATGGATGCACTGTTTTTACACACTGCAAGTGCTGTGTTACTGTGTCAGTCATCCTATTAGGGCCAGTTTCAGACGAGTAGGGCTGACGAGCTGGCTGGGGATTGGCTGGCCCCGGCTGGGAGGGATTTGTCGGAAGGAAGGGCTGCAGCTTACAGCAACAGAGTTTAGACTGTCTTTGCTTCATCATCTGAAGGTAAAATTTTCCAGATACGGCAGACGGCTTTCAGAGTACAATAAACAGGGAATGAGAACTATTTACATGGAAGTTTCTTTCTCATGATGCGGTGGAGAAGCCTCGGCCACTTGGTTCTGCCAGATGTTCCTGGGGTTACTGTAAATGGGAAGGACAGGCAGAGCTAAACAAGGTAGGAGAATCGCCCCCCTTTTTTGAATGTTTAAAGAGTTTGCTGCAGTATGCTGCATTCCATGTGTGCTGCTTACGGGAGCCAGGGAAACTGGATTCCACTAATTCAATTGTAATACTTGCGGGGGACCCTGGAGTTTTACGTAACATTTTGATTTGAGAAAAAGAAATGGCAAAGCTTGAATCTATGCCGCCTGTTTGGGGTGAGGCAAGAAATCGAGTTTTTATGCAAAGAATCGATTCATTTATTATATTATTTTTTAAAAACCATTTGAATTCTTTGGAGCAATCTTATTTTCTTGCTGTGAAAAATTGTTATATTGCCATAGCTAGTTCCCAAATAGATAAAGTTTACATGGATCCTATTATTTGAAAACAGACTTGCAATTAAGGATTAAAAAAAAATTCATGGTAAATAATCATCGGTTGAATGTTTGGCCAAACGTATGTGTCTATTTATTAAAAATTAGGGACCTACCTAGCTCTACAATGCTACAGCTTTAATTGAGTTTCAAAAGCACATTTTAAACAACCTAGCAAGAGGTAGCTTTCTGGCAAGTTTTCGATACTGTAGTTCAATGTTTACATTTCTTTTCCTGGCATGTCTGAGCCTTTGTTTCCAGCTTAAAAGTGGAACCATTATATTCAAAAGTAAAGCTGGGTTAATAATGCTTACTGCAATTATCTGATCTTTATGCATTTTTAATGAGAACACACAGCCAGCAGAATAATTTAATGAGGGCAGGCTAGCTTTTAAAGCTGTGTTTTCACTATGCCGAACCATATCAACTTTCTCGCTGAGAAGCAGCAGTGAGAAATGATGGAGAAGATTTATTTTTAACACACTTGGCCCAGGAGAAGGAAAGGATATATTTGCTAAAGAATTCTTTCTGCCCTTTTCCGTTTTAAATTTCTGCCAGGCATGAGGAAACTGTGCTTTTTTGTTAGGCCTCGGAAGCATGTGTTTACAATAAATGTGTAACATTTTTAGAATAGTTAGCAAGCACTGAAGCGAAGAAAAAAATCTGACTTGCCTAACCACCACCACCTTGAATGTTCTACAAGAAACATTACTGTCCCTTTAAAAGACAAAGGTTAAGTGGAAAGCTATTTGTTAATTGGGTAATGTGTGTGTTTTGGGGACAATAAGGTTTTTAAAAAAGGCAGGGGGAACATTCTTATAATCTTTAAATAAGAGGAAGTTTCTTCAGCTATCCTACTTGTTTTGCAAGGAGCAGTAGAACTACTCATTTAAATAAGGGCAATGCCACGTAGATTCTTCTAGACCCACTGTTTTTACTTTCAAGGAGAAGTGCAGGACACTAGCCCAGAACTTCTGACGTCATCCCCCAACTATTTCTGCTGTGTGTTCCTTTATTCGAGCTTGTGGAGAGGAATATTTCTTTATGTCCTGGCCAGGAACATTCTAACTCCCCACTGGCAGGACTTAAGTTATGTCTTTATATTTTCGCCTGTCTTTTGTAAATTGTAAACCTGTCCCCTCATAAATAGGGCATCTTCTTGTACCTGCCACATGTCGGGCCGGTCAGCACAGGTTTTCTGCAGGGCTTCTGGCTGGGCTGGCAAAAAGCAGCAGGGAGCAGGGCAAAGCTTTTTTTCTGGCCTGACTCCCCCTTGGTGCAGCCCAGCGCTGCCACCTGGGTGGATGGTCCCCGGGGCCCTATTCCCAGTTGCTCCAGAGCCACTATTTAGGATCCAGGTTGTGCCACCAAGTTCAAGGCTGGTTGTGATGGTGAGAACAGCTGCTTTCATAGAAAAATCATCATGTCCTAGCACAGATGGCCCCAAGCAGGGGAAGTACAATACTGCAGGCTGCAAATCCATGTCACAGGTGGCAACCTTGGTCACAGAGATCGGGGGAAGGGTAATGTTTACAAAGGAACCTTTTAAAAAAGATTTTGACTGGAGCACATTGGAGTTCTCGGGAGTTCCCAAAGCTAATTTGTGTCTCCTCTCTGACTACTCACGTAGTTTTGAGCAAGTGCCTACCTTGATTTTTCTGTCTTTTAATAGAATTGAATCATACTTGCTACACTTTCCCTCATCATTTAGCATTTTGAGACCTTGACCTTTTACCAAAAAAAAAAAAAAAAAAAAAAAAGTTGTTTGTCTCTTGGCACATTGAGCTATTTAAAGTACAAAGGGATAAAACCTCGGTATTAAGAAACTGTTGGCAAACACCTTAGAGTATTAAGATACATAGTCATATACACAAAACCCTTCACTCTACTTTGTGCTCATGTAAATTTTTTAGGGATACTTTTTCTTAGTTCAACAAATGAAATTTCCAAGGAAATCAAAGCGTTGTTGTTTGCATTTTTTCCATCGATCTAATCTAATATACTAGAAGCTCTGCAAAGCACACTATTCTGGCCACAGGCCTTGTAGTGCCCAAAACATTTAATGCTGTTTTTCCTTTGACTTTTGTGTTAAATTTGTGAAAGTGGAGTAAATAAGAGAAAAAACAAGAGGGAAGGAGAAAAATATGCTTGTGAAATATACTGGTTAGGTAGCTTTACTGGTTAACAGCCTGCCTTCTCTCTGCTAGTTGTTTCAATTTGCTGTTGCTATGGTGAAAACAAATCAATATCACATGGCTACCAGCCAGTCCCGCGCTCAGGGAGTGCCATAGAAATTCAAGATCAGGTACTCAAGATTCCAAGCAAGAATTGGGAAAAGAGGATTTAGATGCTGAGCTTAAGAGAATTCCTTATAGTAGAATAAGTAGGTTCAATCTCTCATGCATTTTCTCTTCCTTTTTTCCTGTACTTTCCTACCGATAACAAGAAAAAGATGAAAAGGAAGGTATACTGATTTGTTTACATTTCCAAAATGACAAAACAGATTATCAACATAGAAATAGGTTGGCAACATTGCAAGGGGTGAAGGATTCTGATTCGGGAAAAGGTGGATAACTACAAGACATGTTGGTTGTTGAAAACATAGTTTTGGGGGCCTTTACCATCTTCAGGTACAGCTACATGTCAGAGCTGGCTGGGTTGTGCCAAGCAGAGAAACCTGGCAACTCTAGGGGGCAGGTGGGCAGTGGAGATAAAGGGGGTTATAAAAAGGTAGGGAGGTGTGGGCATAAAAATCAACAAGCAAGAAAGCCCAGAGAGAGCTGCAGGTCAAGAGTCAGGCCAGGCAAGCACAGATCCCTGGGGCATGGCAGAACAGGAGAGGACAGTTCGCCCTGTTCACGAAATCTGCTCAAGACCCAAGCTAAAGGCCTAGCAAAGAAAGGCAGGAAATAGCTGCAAAGAGAAGTAAAGGTGTCATGGGCCCAGGCATCCTTTCCGGAAGGGTCGACTCAACTGGATGAGCATGGATGTCCACTGCTGGGGAGAGCAAAGAGCTTGATATTTTAATGCTTTGGTTTCTCTCAGAAGAATGAGGCAGGAAGACTTAACCGGGCTTTGTAAATTAGTTAACATACTATTTTTTTTTCTCCAGTTTTATACTCTTCTCAGTTTTTTTTTTCTTTTAAAAAATGTGCACAAACTATTTGTTGCAGCCGTGATAATATTCGTAGTAAAGAGCCAAAGGTGCTGCGTGGCTGGGTCTGCATCAGGCCTGGGCCTCCGACTGCACGGCTCCAACTACACAGTTGTTTATGGAGACCAGTCCCGGCCTCCTCTGCTGAGAGTAAAAACAGGTGTGAAAGGTAAGGCCTAAGGGTTTCTTTTGTAAACCTGAGCTCTGAGGCTGATGGACGAGTTTTGGGCTGGCCTGCCCTCCTCAATACAGCAGAAACGCTTGGTAATAAAAGTGGACTCAATAATTTACCTTAGTGTTTTGACAAAGAATGCATTGTCTGAATTATACTAGGTAGTATATTCCATCAATCAGTCAACAAGTGTTTATTAAACACCTCTGGGCTTCCCTGGCTTTTGCTATTTGGTGAGAAACCCAACTCAGTAACCTAATACCTGCCTTTGTGTGTGTGTACAAAAATAAATGATGCAAAATTGTAAGTTTCAAAGACTTGAATAACTTTATTGGCTAATATTAATTTAGCATTGTTAACCATCAGATTAATTTTAGGCTTGGGGCAGTTTTAGTGATTGGGGGAGAACAAGAGATGGACTTTTGAGTTTTAGGTATCTGTATGTATGTACTTTCTTGACCTCTGTTATATTTCTCCAGATAAGTACTGTTTAAATAACATATAAAGATGTCAGATGAGCAATAGATAGATAAGAATGGTGCAAAAAAAAATCAAAATATGAAGCTACTGAGAGCAATTTCTGAGTCTCAGCATACTGAGTTTTGGCCCCAAAGTGCCTGGGGAAAATGGACATATCATCTAAAAAGCTGTAAATACCAGCCAACAACAGGAAGTCTTAGACTCCTGTCCCACACTTCTGAGCTGCAGGGTGTGGGGGAAGCCCCATGCCTTTATCTCACTGTCTCTATCTCTAGCAAGGAAACCTGTTTCCTGACTCTGCAGAATTTCGCTTTCCCCCTTTTTCCTTAAAAGCAGAGTTACAAAAAAAAAAAACAAAAAAAAAATCAAAAAAAAAAAATATATTTCCTTTTGAAACACTAAGTTTTGGGTTTATTTGTTGGTTTTACCCTAACATCACAGTTAGTGTGTATTCTCTGGGCACAGACAAGCTGCGAGGTTCAGGGACGCAGCCTGGGGGAGAGCTGAGAGAGGAGGCTGAGGATGTAGCCATGTTTATAGAACTCTTTTCAGGCATGGGTCTTGGCAGACAGATGGGCAGGTCCAAGGTTTATGGGCATTGACTGCAAGCTGGTTGCTGTAGAAGAGCTCCAGGGTGGTACATGACCTCAGAGGAAAAAGGGAGGAGTCAAGAACACTGAAAATGCTGCGGCCGTTTGCAATCCACAATAGCAAGGAAACAAGATATTTACAAATGAGATAAGGATGGTTAAGCACTCAAATGTCTTCAGAAGGAGAATTAACATATGTGTAGTTTCTTACACTTTACAAAGGGCGTTCACAGGCATTATCTTAATTAGCAGTTCAAATAGAAAGTTAAAAAGTGGGAGTCTAAACTTAGGGCACTCTGGCAAGGATGTGCTGGGTAAAGCTGCTGGAGGAGATGCATTATAAACTGGATTTTTAAAACTTGGAGTTATTGATTTTTTTCCAGCAGCTAATTGACTTGAATTTTGAAGGACAGGAAAAACTTAGAACTGTCCCTGGGGGTGCACATGCTTGTCCCCAAATGCCTTCATGGGCAGCGTGTGCATTTAGACTAGACTTTGGGACCATTGGTAGCCTAGATGCCAAGGAAGAGCAAGAAGACAGGTTGATTTGCTTTGCTTTTTCAGCTCTGACTGCTAGGCATTCAAGCACAAAACCTGTGCTGGCTCTGCACCCCAAATGGTCACACAGAAGTAAGGTGCTTCTAGAACAGAAAATCCATGCGTAATTATGAATGGTCTGCAGATCTGGGAAAAACCAAAGTCTACAAGGAGACCAAAATTCAAAGCATTCAATTTTCCCATGAGAGCATCTCATTGAGTTCTCCTAAGCCTGTTACAGGGAGTTGGGGGGGAAATGAATATTTCAAGGGCATGTGTTAGAAACTGGCTGTTTTACATACATATCTCATATAATTTGAACCTAAGAAGAGCAGGAGAGCCCCACAAAGTTAATACTATCCCCAGCTGGCCAGTAGAAGAGAAGCTCTGAAAAGCTCTGACAGCCATGATCCCACAGCTAATACTTGGCTGAGCAAGTATTTAAACTCAGGCCCATAAGACCCCCAAGCTGTATAGGTAGGTGACATTATGTTTTTCAGCTGAACGAATGAAATTGAGGACATAAAAATAATTCATTTGCAGAAAAAAAAGCTCAAGGTGGAGGTAGGAGATTAATTATTTTAAAACTCTCAGATGTACTTTATATAGTTTACATTATAATATGCAAATACTGAGTGTACTAGTGATAGTAACATATATATATCTTACATGTATATATAATTTCAGTTTTTATATTTATTATCTTTTTTTTTTTTTTTTTGAGACAGAGTCGCACTCTGTTGCCCAAGCTGGAGTGCGGTGGCACTATCTCAGCTCACTGCCAACCTCTGCCTCCCAGGTTCAAGCGATTCTCCTGCCTCAGCCTCCCAAGTAGCTGGGATCACAGGCGTGTGTCACCACACCTGGCTAATTTTTGTATTTTTAGTAGAGACAGGGTTTCACCATATTGGCCAGGGTAGTCTCGAACTCCTGACCTCAGGTAATCCACCCGCCTCAGCCTCCCAGAGTGCTGGGATTACAGGTGTGAGCCACTGTTCCTGGCCTATTATCTCTTTTAATGGTCACATTTTGCCCTCTGTTTTACAGATTCAATGAAAACTCAAATTGAGTAAGGTTAAGCAATGTGCTAAAAGTCTCATTGGCCACAAAAGTAGAAATAGTAGTCCTCAAACCTCTGGGAATCCACACGTGATATTTAATGAGATAAATGAAATTAAACTTCAGTCTGACTTGGAGTTTTCTTTTAATGGATGTTGCGTAATTGAGTAGAGCCCAACCCAAGCAATTTTGAGAAGACAGTAATATTTTTAATTAAGATATTGAATTATTCTAAAAATCTATAAATTTCTGGCATCCTAGATGCAAGCTTCAATTAATCAAACTTAAAGTATTGATGCAATATATATTGTCTAAATGATTTACTACATATAATTTTCAGTGTTCTCAGAGTTCAGGAAAGTGGAGCTCAGTTTGGGTGGGAGTAAGAGATAAGGCTTCCCACAGGAAGAGCTGCCTCCTCTGGGTCTGAATGGATGTATTTGGTCTGGATCCATGTCTCTAATGTGGTATGTCCACACCCCGGGCCAAGGGCAAGATTATTCACTTGGCAAGGAAATAGGTGAACTTCCATCTTATATATTATTTAGCTCATCCTTTAAAAATGTCAGTTTTCATGGATGTTTGATAATGTGTGTAACATATTAGCAGGGTTATGCAAGAATAATATTTATAAAGTAACCATCCTTAGTGGTTGTTTCTGATCTAAAAAAAAACATTCTGATAAGAATGTATGATCAAAAATGTTTGGAGAGGCCAGTGGTCAAAATCTCAGGAAGGAGGAATAGCATGATGTGGTATAGTGGCCAGGAAGGAACCTTGACCTTGGAGATGGAGATGAAGTGTTAGGGTGCAGTGGGGAATAAAGTTAGATGGAGGGGGTGGAGTCAGGATATGAATGAGCTGAAGGGCCCTGTGGAAGAGTTTAATTTCATTACCTATAACATCACATCTAATGCTTTATAAAGATTCAATTGGGACTTGTAAGATAGGGTTAGAGGTCAGAACATTTGTAACTAGTGATGTCACCGGCTAGAAAACTTTCACAATATTCCAGGTACAAAGTGGAAAAGGGTTGCATTAGCATGACAAATGAAGGAGAAAGGGCAAATCCAAAAGGCATCTTGAAGGAAAAATAATAGAACGCAGTGAGAGCTTAGAAGAGTGAAACTGGGCCAGGCACAGTGGCTCACGCCTGTAATCCCAGCACTTTGGTAGGCCAAGGTGGGTGGATCACCTGAGGTTGGGAGTTTGAGAGCAGCCTGACCAACATGGTGAAACCCCATCTGTACTAAAAATAGAAAAATTAGCCGGATGTGGTGGCACATGCCTGTGATCCCAGCTACTCGGGAGGCTGAGTCAAGGTAATCCCTTGAACCCAGGAGGCAGAGGTTGCGGTGAGCTGAGGTCACGCCATTGCAGAAATTCTAGGAGGAGTGATATCAATGGTACCCTGACAGAAATGGGAGTGGTCTGAAAAAGGGACCAATAAATGGGAATAGGGTTGAAGGAGGGTGGGCGATGATGAGTTTTTAGACTTGAGAATGGTGTTTTTAGCTAATGATGAAACATCTAAGTGGAGATGTCTCATAAACATTTGACAATGTGGGAATGAAGAACAGCCTGGACAACAGGCTACAAATACAAGCTCAGACACACCTGTGTTGAAGCCGTAGTTGAAGCCATTGGTGCTCACACCTCGTGAAAGAAGGCAGCGTGAACAGAGATAGGCAATGACAAAGGATGAATCTTGGGGAACATGGCAAGGGCCCAAAAGAGAATAAGAGCTAGCAAAGAATCAGAAAAATAAATACCCACAAAGGAGCAAAATTGTTTTTAAAAAATGAACAACCAATACTATTAAGCACCATAGCCTAATCTCCAGGATTCCATAAGAAAACAGTGTAGTCTCCTGGGTTGAACTACTCTCCTGCACATAGCTTTTCCTCTCTGGCAAGGGTTTCTGGCTGTGGTCCTTTTGGGGCAAATATTGGTTCAGAATCTTGTTTAGAGCCACAGAATATTAGATAGTTAAGGGAACCTTTGTAGCTGTATCTCTCGTATATACAGTTGACTTTTTAAAAGTCGATCTTCACTAATAAGCAGAGAGAGTATTTAAAAACCAATAATTATCAATACTTCTGCATCCATCTCTCAAAATGTATATATTTTGGGGATGTTACTGGTTAGAACAGTAATTCCAGAGTGATTGGAGATATCACTTGACACTTGTCATCCTGTTCTCAAAGACCCTGGGGATTCATTTATTTCTGATTCTAGCAGTTCTCAATTGAACCCAGCCATAAGGACTTCTCTGAAGAAAATAGCCTTTCATGATGAGAAAGTACTTGAAGTATGCAAATAGATTGATGCCGTCACACCAGACACCTACCATAAGTAACCAGACAGCACTTCTCAAACTCTCATGTGCCTGCGAATCACCTGGGGATCTCATTAAAAATGTAGACTCTGATTCAGTAGGGCTGGGCTGAGGTCAAGATTCTACATTTGTAACAGGCTCCAGGTGATAAAGCTGATGTTCATCCAGGAGGCTCCAGAATACAATAGCTGCTTTGGAAGTGTCACTGCCACAATGTGAGTGGCAGCAGATCACTGGGTCTGGGATGGCTCCTTGGAGGATCTTCTGGCAGTCTGGAGACTGGGACCTACCTCCTCCACACAGCAGGTCTTTCCAGGCTGTTCAGCCTCAGAGTGAAGCTGAGGTTGAACTGATATATCCCACCAGCCTTGCACCAATGTGGCTGGGGCTGAAGGCATGAAGCCAGGGACTTCAGCAGCTGCAAGCAGTTCTGTGACTACACACAGCCTGTCTCTGGCTATCTCCCCATTCCCGAGACGTCTATCTTCTCAGTGGACACAGACTCTCACAAGTTCCCCAAGAGATTTGGTTACTGCCTCCAGGGAAGGCTGTTGTGTTTATCTGTCTGCTCCAGAGTTGTTTTTTTTTTTATTATCCTAAGGAATATATGCATTATAAACCGGCCTTAGATTCCTTTTCTTCTGGATGGTGGTCAGAACTGGAGCCCAGAAGTCTGATGTGCCTACTTGCATCCTCACATCCTTGGTGAATTAGGTCCAGGAGCTCTGACACATTCATTCCCTAAGATGTAGATAGCGCCATTCTCTCCTCCTCATCTCCAAAGAATGTGAAGGATAGAGAGGAAGGGTTATATGCCATTAACATCGCATTTATTTAAAAAATGCTAGTTTTAAAGTCTTGTAATAGAAACGAAGACATTATGAGAAGAGACAGCTGTCTAACGAAGTAGCTTAAGTGAAATGCCCAGGCCTGATTGTTGAGTCTCATACCTTGTTATAGGTCATCCATCTCGTGCCCCTGTCTGTCCTCCCTCCTTTCAGATGCCTTGTTTTCCTGTGTGTCCCACATGTGGCCCCCTCTTTCCTAGAACCAGGAGTCAAGCTAAACTGATTTAGAGGAAGTGTTCCCTACCCAGATGCTCATTTAGTCCACACACAGATGGCCGGTATTTTTATGCATTTTTAATTTACCAATAACCTTTTAGGAATGAAACAGAACTAACATTTATTGAATTTATTGAGCACTTACTATATGGAAAGTCCTCCTCTGCTGATAGCTTCCTGTATATCAACTCAGTTAAACCTTTTCATGAAGAAAATGAAGCTTAGAGAGACCAAGTTACTTGCCAAGGTTACAGAATAAGGGGTAAAACTCAAGATGGTAGGATGGAAACATGCAACCCTTGTCCACCAGTTCTTACTTGGGGATTGCAGCAAAAAGGGTTTGCTTTAGAAAAACTTCCCCGACAGTTGTAAGTACTGTTAGTGGAGCTCACTAAATAGTTAAATAGACATAAGCAATTACTGGCATACTGTGCAGGCATGAGTTCAGTTTTAGCCAGAAGTCCCTCCTCACAAAGGGACTTGGTATATTGCCAAGGATAGCTAGGGCATCATCTCCACTATTTGCTGTGATTATTTGTCGGCCTTTTTCTTACTCTTGACGCTATGTGTGTGTGTGTGTGTGTGTGTGTGTGTGTGTGTGTGTGCGCACGTACACTGAATGAACTTAAACAACTTGATGGATCTCAACATTTAGACACCTTAAATAGATACCATAGGTAAAAGCTCGTTATCAACTGTAAGACCTATTCCAAAGTGAAATGTTTGTGCTGTTGTGATTTTGTTGCTCTCTATGAGAATTCTTAGAGATCCCTTTTTTCTTTGACTTCCCTTCCTGTGCAGTGCCGTTTTCTTTGATGCTCTCGCTTCAGGCTCTTTTTCATATATATATATATATATATATATATATATATATATATATATATATATATCTTTTTATTATACTTTAAGTTCTAGGGTACATGTGCACAACATGCAGGTTTGTTACATATGTATACATGCGCCATGTTGGTGTGCTGCACCTATTAACTCGTCATTTACATTAGGTATATCTCCTAATGCTATCCCTCCCCCCTCCCCCCACCCCACAACAGGCCCCGCTGTGTGATGTTCCCCTTCCTGTGTCCAAGTGTTGAGCAGGCTCTCTTTTTCTAGTGCTCTGCCTGCTCCTGCGCTAGCCCATGGTCTCTTTTCTAATGTCCTGTTCTCTCTTCGAAGTCTGTACCTGGCACCCCTACTAAATGGCACACACAGACACCTCATATTTCTGGGGTTCTAGTCACACCTGAGTCTTAGCTGGTGGAAGGAACTATTTATTTTCCCCTTTAGGAAACCAATCATTTGAAGCCTCAAGTATCAGCCTCCTGGCAGCCACCACAAAGACCATCCCCTCAGGAAACAAAACAAGCTCTATCTCTAGAGTTTCCCTGTTTTTTTTTTTTTCTTTAAAGTTCCCTGGTGCAAGTAGGCTGCAATTAAGAGTCAGGATCAAAGGGACTGGCTGCCTCTGGGGCTGCTGGGACCAGCAGAGAGCTTTGGTCCTTTTAACTACTTACTTCCCACAATGCGTGCTACTCTAGCTGCTTCTTTGTTCTCCTGGGTACTCAAGTACCAGAATGGTGGTTTGCTGTGGGAAGACACATTAGAGTCAATGGAAGAACTTTTTCACATTACACAGGATTCTGACGGCCCCACCACACCACTCCTTGGAGATCTACCCAACTGACAAAAAATACAAATATAAGGTAGAAATTAGAAGGAAATCCCAAGTGGGAAGGCATCTGAGGGATTATTAGCACAATTCCTGTCTACCCTCTTCCCCAGCCCTGACAAGCTGTTTCCAGCTATTGTGTATCTTTCTTTATTGACCGGACAATCATGACCCTATGGCGCATACAAGCCATAACATTTTGTTAGAAAATTCTTCCTCATGCTGAAATGAAATGGGACTCTGTAACCTGCACTCTTCATCCTTGTTCAGGCCTTTGGAGTAACCCTAAGCAAATCAAGTGTCTCTTTAGGAGGCGAGCCCCTTCACGTACTTGAAGATGTCAGAATTCCTCTGACAGGACCAGTATGGCACCTCCCTAATTCATGATAGAATACCTTTATATATGCAACCCAAGACACTGAGCTTCTCTGGCAGTGTTGACCCATTGTAGACTCAAATTGAACCTTGAACCAGCTGTGATAAGAGAAAGAGGTGGGGCTCTTTAACTTCTCTCAGCTTGGTTCAGGCCTGAGCACAGTGCGGGGGCGGGGGGTAGTGAATAGATGAAGGTAAAGTGTGGCGGGACAGATGATCTTCCACAACTGCATGATGGGATGCTTTAAAATTGTTTTCAGTCCCAACCACAGGTAACAGCCCCCTCCAGAAATCCCTGGCAATGTGCGGGACACTGGCTTGCAAAATTACCCACAAGGACAATAGACTGATGGATCGAGATTTAAATAAACATACATGCAGAGATAGATTGAGGTATTTCTTCACATCAACCATTTGAATAACACACTCGGGCAGTGTTTAGAGATAAGGTACACGTTTTTGGTTTTCTTCCGTCATCGTCTATGTGTTTTGGTTCAACGAGCATTTTCGCAGTAGCGCTCAGTCCTCCCGAGTTTCTCTGCGGCTCTCAGCAGCTTAGAGACACACTTCGCCATCAGTAGGTGCCAAGGTCACTGGAGGAACTAATTAATCCCAGCTCCAGTCAACAGCAGGCTGCACTAACCTGCCCTCCTTCCTCGTAGAAGGAGAAACCAGGAAGGATTTTCTCCCTCAGTTCCGCCCAGGCCTTCTTAGGGACACGCAGAGCAAACAAAGGAAGGGTGAGGAGGGGTGTTGAACCATTTCTCTATGAGGTGACCACATTTTCATGTAGAGAAGGCCCAGAGCTTGATCTGAAGCTTTCAGACTTGAGTTGATATTTAACGTAGAGATCCCCAGGCCCCTACTCTATCACAAACTCTGTCTTTTTTTTTCCTCTGTACTAGTATTAGTTTTATTAATGCCCTATAAACCCAGCAAGCATGATTTGCCAGGCCAAAAATTTGCATTTTTAACAAAAATTGCCAGCTTTCTAGCTGACCACTCAAGAGCATGAGTTTTCCCCACTCGGTGAAATTTATGTTGTATAACGCAGACCTCATTCAATAATTGATCAGAAAATGTAACTGAGAGGAGTGATTATTTTTGGAAACATTGACGACCAATAACCCAAGATACAAAGTTAGAAAACATTGCCATTTAAAACCTTGTAGATACCGGAATTCTTGTGAGTCCCCTTATCCAGGTACATGTTAGGTCTTGAGTTAATTGCTCTGTGGCTGTGGATTTTTATTTGATGTTCTGATCTCTTCCTTCCAGTTTGATAAATTAGTGTAGAAAGTGGAAGAAAAACATGCCGGCGCAGCCTGTGCGCTTTGTCAGGTTAACAGAATGGAGTCCTGCTCTGGCATCAGTCAGTGCTGTTGTCCGAACCCTCTGTGGCTCCTTCCTCCCTCCCTGGGGCCCAGAGCTGCAGACGCTAGAGGGGCATCGGCCTGGGAGTGAGGTTCCCGCTACAGTTTGGAGAACCCAGCAAATCCTGGAGTTAGGTTTCTGACGCTCCCCATCTTGCTCCCTAGTTACAAACAGAAAAAAAAAAAAATCAAAACCATATGTTCAATACACTGTCAGCCTTCTAGTGAACATGTTACCGTTAAATAATAACCGTCAGCCTATCCGCAAATTTGACGGTGATGGGCGTTGGAGCTGACCTGCCCTGGCGGAGGCTGGGGAGGGTGGAGAAGGGCGATTGTGTTTGCTTCCTTGCTCAAAATGGCATGTCGCTGGAAGCCTTCCAGCTCCTAATGGTGGAGGCATAGCAAGGACTGCATTTACCGACTTATTTCCCTCTTTTTTTTCACGTATTCTTTCTTCCCCTCACATTTTCAGGACTGAAAATTAGAAACACTTTTCTCCTACACACAAAATTACTCCCTCACACACACTTTATTTTCCCCCTGCTTTGAAGTGACAGTTGCTGCAAGAAAAGGTTTCTCTCAGAAGAGCACAGGCTGTCCTGGCCAGAACGAAGGGGTTAATTTAAAATACAGCCAGCTAGGTAGTCCTAGGGGCATGCTTTCCCTTGGGGTTGGGGGTGGTATCTGAAAGGTTGGAGGGGGTGCTCCTGGGGCTCTGCTAATATTTTATTTCTTCATCTGGGTGTGAGATGTACAGATGTGTTCACTTTGTGAAAATCCAGTGGGCTGGATACAGGATATGTGGTCTTTTTTTTTTTTTTGTCTTTAATAAAGTTTTAAAAATGTAGCTGGCTACCTTGTACTTTGTATTATAAGATAAAGTTCGTGGGAAGGTAGTCCTATATTTTTATTCTTTTCCCACTTGGACCTCCGCTTTTTATTCATTTCTCTCTTCTGGAACCTTCTGGGCTTCCAGCAGTGGTCTCTGTTCCCGCCTATAATCAGAACCATGAAGGGTCATGACAGCCAGCTTATCATTCTACCCTGGACCAGACGGAAGTTAATGCTCCAAATTAGAAACTTGAAAGGAAATGATCAGTGCTAACTAATAATGATGCTGACAGTAATAATAACAGTTACTTTGTCATTATATACAAAACATCTCCTTGTTTCTCCCTATTTTTATTTTATTCAAATGCATGAAAGCTTTGCTTAAGAGACTTTTTTTTTTCTATTTGGCAATCAAGACAAATGGAAGGAAGGAAGAGTGTGGGGACAGCAGATGACAAAGCCCTTTGCCCTTTTCTGGCGGTGTAGCCCTAGATTAGCCTGTTAGTCTGTTTAAGTCAAGGGATTGCAGATCTCAAAAAATAAATAAGGATGGCTAAGGATGGCAGGAATGCAGTTTGTGGGTCATCAACACAGATTTGAATCCCGGGGTCCCGTAGGAAGCACGAGTTACCAAATTCATTGGACCTCTGGTTTCTTGTGCCCACCTCTCAGGATTTTTGTGAAGATTTGGTAAAACAATGGACCAGAATTGCCTTATGCATGGTGAGGGACCCTTTGTCAGTGGGAAGGAGCTGATGGCATTGTTAATTTAAGGACCTGCTCTGCCAGGGCAAATGTGTTCTCCTTAATGAAGCTTTCATTGGCTATAGAAAAGTTTGCAGGAAAAAGAAATGTATGAAAGATAGTGGATGAGGAGAAAATTATTTCTTAAGTCTTTCCCATTTCCTTTCCCCTCATGGAATTTATACTCTACCGTTACAGGTAAGATGTGTAAATAAATCACCATGGTGAAGGTATTATGCCACAAGGGAGGTATAAGATGCCTGTGAGATTAGTGCCATCCAAGTAAGGCAGTCAGGGAAGGCTTCCTGGAGGAGAAAACATCTGACATGGCCTTGAAGGATAGATAAAATCACATTGTGTGCACCTGAAAAGCACCCATGCAGGTTTTTCTGGAGCATGAAGTGCAGTCTAGGGTGTACTTGGCATGGACTAAATTGTGAATGACTTTGAATGCCACCCTATGTATTTCAAACTTTATTCAGAATGCAGCAGAGAGCCACCAAATATTTTTAAGCAGGTAAATGAGGGGTCAGACAATGCTTTAGAGAGATAATTCCGTGAGCAGAGTTTAGACCTGAGAATTGCAGACGCTCAGGCAGGTCATGAAGGCATGGGCTGGGATAGCAGCAATGAGAATGAGGTGCTGTGCTGAGGCCAGGAGCAACTTACGAAGAGCATGGGCAGGATTGACTGGGGCCAAGGGAAAGGGAGGGAGTCAAAGCCGACCTGGACACGATCAGCTTAGAAAACAGAAAAACCAGTGATGCCAATGGCATAAACACACAGGAGGATGGGGGAAGACAATAAAATTGGCTCTGATCATTAAGAGTTTGAAGTCGGAATGTCCTCTGAGAAGTATGGGTCTAGGCTTCTGTAGCGTGTGGAGCCCAATGTATATTTGGAATTCATCCACAGAAGACTGATGTTTGAAATCATAGAGGAATTGAGATAGCAAAGAAAACAAGTGCAATCTAGAAAATGGTAGACGACACAGGCTTGGGTAGATGACACAGGCTTGGGAAAGCCTTACATTGAAGGGAATTTCCTAGGCACACTTCCACTGGCACAAAAATCCAAAGTGAAGAGCATTTCATCCAAGGTGAGGGCACCTTGGAACAGGTGTATGGGCCTCATAACCTCTCTCATTGCCTTTGGATCTGTGACAAAGGATCATGCTATTCACTGTGTCATAGATTAAGGCTTCCTGAAACCAGGTGAGAATGGGAAATGGTGGCAGATCCTAAAGAAAGTTCAATAAAGATGAAGACCGGGCCCAGTCCTATGAGGTGCAGAAGCCAAGACAACGCCTCTGACCTTTGGGAAAGTCCCTTTTTGGAAGAGTGCTGCGTGGGCTGCTGAACTGCAAGGCACCAGGGAAGTGGAAAGTGAAAACGATTAGGTAGGGAGTGGGAGACAGGTAGCACAGCCAAAGGGGAGATGGCGGTGAGCAGAGAAGAGGCAGGGATAAAGTAAGCAAGTTTAGGTTGGAGGGCAAGGTGTGCTGGGCTGCCTGGTGGCACCTGGGGCAACTTTTGGCTCATTGGAGGCTGCCTGCTGGGGATTCATGAGCTGAGGCCACTGGGAAAAAATGGTTTTTGAAAATTGATAGGCTTAAGTATGATTCTGCTCTACCAGGAAAGGTGAAAAACATTAGATAAATGTGAAGGAAGGTGGTGAGGTGAGGTCTAAAGGCGTCTCCAAGGAGGCTTCCAGAGGCCTTTGCCTTGAAATGAATTCTGCTCTACTCAAAATAACCGTTTCGGAGAGGGCTCAAGATGCTACATCCAGCCTCACTGCTAATCAAACACGATCTCTGTATTACCACAGGCATAACTGCAATACAGAGACTGCTGCTTCTTTCTAAAGTGCTATACAAATATTTTTTGTACTACTGTTTATTATTTTCTTTAGCTTTTCCCTTCATACTACAGGGTATCAGCAAAGGCTAATTCATGTGCCTAGATAACTCTTCTCCTAAATAACAACCTGCCAATATAGATACCTCATATGGAATATTTTTAATGTCTCCTTATAGTAATCTCCATGCATTTTAAACTTGAGCCAATGTCTGATAAGTAGTAGATGCTCAATAAATAATGTTTGTGGAATACTTGTGAATGGCTGAAGTGTTTTAGTATTGAGGCAGGCATTTCTCTAGATAATTATTAGCTATGAGTCATACTCACAGAAATCCATAGTCCATCATCTATACAAATATACCCAGAAGTTTATATGGTGATGAAAAATGAATGCATTTTCCCCCTGGGAACATATGCATCTCTATGAAGTTGTGCTTTAGTGCTAAAGAGAGGCCAGCTATGCTCCAATCCCTTCAACCAGGGATCTTTTTTCATTTAAACTTCAAAGAAGTTTGGCTGATGAAGGCTGTGGACAGAGAGAAACTAAGTGTGAGATACGTGAACTGTGAGTTCTCTGGAGCGTCCTAACTCTTAAAATAAGTTTTAGCTGCTTGAGTGCTGTAGGATAGATACTTCTGGTTATGTGTGGCTGCACAAAATGTACAGCACGTCTGACAAAATGGATTGACCTATTTCTTTGCCCTTGAGGGCCACTCGAAAACTTAATAAAAGACAAGCACATCTACAGACAAACCCAGAATAAGATTTGTAGCCACTGGTACAAGGTTGTATTTCTGGACTATATTCACCTCTCCACCCAACTCCAACCCCAGGAGAAGAAGTTGTATTTTCTTTCCATACCCATTTCAAAAGCTCTCCCAAGTTACTCTGAAGGTTGATTTTGTTAGATACACATACTCTTGGGAAGCTTGTTAGAAGGACAGATTCCAGGGCCCCACCCCAGACTTCTGAATCCTAGGCCCCACCTCCCATGATTCTGACTCGGGGAGTCTGAGGTGGGGCCTAGGAACCCACATTTATTGCTAGACTACACAGTGATGTTGACACAAATTATTCACAGACCTCCTGGCACAGGGGTTAGGAGAACATTCAAATCCTGCACCCAAATCCTGGCTCTGCCACAGACTAGCTGCACAACTTCAGGCAGATTTTGACATCGATTTGAATCTCAGTTTTCTTATCTTTAAAATGGGAGTAATAATTCCCACTTCTTTGGGCGATGCTTGGGATTAAATGAGATCACCTCATGTAACTTAATTACATGAGAAAGTACTTTCTACACTGCACAAAATATACATTAATAAATAAGATATAGTTATCTGGGGTGGACATAAAGCTATTAGAGAATAACCACCAATGAATGCTATAGACCCTCTAAGCAATTCTAGAAAGAGCAGGGGCTTTGACATGACTATTTCTGCAAATTCTTAAAGGCTTGATATCCCTCACAAAGATCCCATTGTTCTTTTAGCAAAATGCAAGAAGGCTTTTTATTCTACAAAAGACTTTTGGGAATGTTTACATTTGAAGGAGATGGTAAAACACTGGAGCATGTTACCCAGACTAAAGGAATCATAGTATTTCTAGGATGATTGAAATGTAGCTGCTTTTGAAAACAGGAGGGCTGGGCTACATTTGGAAAGTTTCATGTAGTGCATGTGTGAAAATGAAGCACTTGAACGAGCTCCGTGATAGGCCATGCCTTGAGCTGTTTTGGCACAGATAAAATTGCTTCTGTCCTCACTCGGGCTGTTTTTAGGTTGTTCAAGCAGATGGTAACTGGCTCACACAGGGGCCAAACTCCTGAGCTTAAAACTTTTGGAAATGAATGACTGACTGACTGAATGAATGAATGAATTTCCTCTGGGTCCAGGAAACACTCCCATTATATCTGCCGTTCCATTCTAGCCCTCTGGTCCCTCAGGAAAGGTTAGCCTCTTTGTTGCTCAGAGCATGAATATGTAAGGATTGGTTCAAGGTGTTTCCTGGAACTGAAGTCCCCTTCCTTCCTGGATGTGCTGACCCAGTTGCCTGTGTTGGAAGACTCAATATCACATGTCCTTTTTTTTCCCCACTGAGAACCCATTAGCAGCAGAGATACTTTCACAAGTTAGGTGTTTGCTGGAGCTCTGGGTCATAAGATTTGGGTCACACACAACCAAGAGGAAAGAAGTGTGGTACAGAGTCCATTTGATCAGCACACAGGGAGAAATAAGAACAGAAACGTGAAAAAAATTCAAAACAGAGGAGGGAGTGCAAAGAAAAATGTATGCTACTCTGAAATCTAAGTCTCCGTTTCAGCTTTCAGTTGAGAAAGGTTTTCAATATTTTCCAAATCAAAGTATATCTACAGATCTTCAAATCCATTGTGAATCATTTTCAAAAGGCTTAGTCCTTTCATTCAGAGCACTGATTAAAATCCAACTGTGTGCCTAGTATCCTGATGCTAGGTAATGAAGTGAAACAATCATGATTGGTAGCAATGGAATTGAGCAGTTAAGACACACATATGCATAAACATTGCACACACGCACGTGTGCAACACAGGCATGCACCCCAAAAGCCATTGGAGAACCCTGAGACCAACCCTATTTCACTTGGGCCCTGGATACTTGCTGCTTCATTTAAGGTGGGAAGGAGGGAGGGGCCATCAGAGTTAGGCGAGTTGGGTCTGACTCCAATTGGAGTGGGCCTTGTGTTGAGCTTAGAAGGATGCCTGGTTTGAGATAACTGTGCAGGAGAGTGGCATACATCCCATATCAAAGGAAACCACTCAAACAAAAGCCAATAGGAGGAAATGAGCTCTTATTGTGTGCACACATGGGGTTCCTCCGAGAGGAAATTGCCTGATTGAGGACACTTCCGATGCCTTCTGAAGCAACAAGGAAAGGCTAGGCCCATGTTCCCACAACTCGGAGAAGGTGTCTCCCTCAACCCTGGGCTAGCTGCAGTGAAATGGGTAGGATTTTGACGACACCACTGCCCACCCCCAACACACTCCTAGACCTCCAGAAACTTCAATTACAAAATGTGTCTTTGGAACCCAAAAGGCAATGTTCTTCTTTGTGCTTTAGGGTGTTTAGATCTAGGAAAGAGGAGGGAGCGGGCACGTGGCTCAAATATGTTGCTCTCTTCATAGCCAAGGCTCCCGCATTTCTTGGGCTGCATTAGGCAACTGAGACACAGCCTGTGCCTTGCAGGGTCACCTTGTTACCAGGATCCTGTTGACTCCCTGGTGCAGGTCAGGCCAACTGAGATGATGTCCCTGGATCTGCTCAGAGGGGTTTTACATTCAGTCCCCTCAGCTAGACAGTAGAGGCATCAACAATCCTGTTACCTGCCGTCTTCTACCCAAAATATAATCCTGACCCTGAACTTGTGATTTTGCAGGGCACAGAGTGGTGTCTGAGACTTGTCCTCGGCCCCATGTGGAACACAGAAACATCCCCAGTCCCCGAGAAATGTAGGGTCTAGAAGAGGAGCATACATTGCAGTTGACATAGCAGAATGAGGACTTCCTGGGTCCCGGGAGCCCCCCGGGGTTGGGGATGAGGGTACCTAAGAAACATTAAAAGAGCTTGGAATAAGCAGGACTTACTTGTTCCTTTTTTTTTTTTTCCCCCCTCCTGTACGTTGCTTGATTGACAGTTTGAGAACAGTTAAGCTTGGATCTGTGGGGATGCTACTATAACTGGCATGTATTATGGAGTCGTTGTCCAATGACATCATCCTCTGAAATTGGTGCTGGTGGAAGGAAAATGAAAGCCGACTGAGCAGGGCTCCGCACGCGGCAGTCCCTCCCCTCCACTGAGCGCATGCGCTCCTGTGCAGGCGTCTCCTTCTTGCCCTCTATCAGCCTGAAGCCCCAAAGCTTGGGCATGAGCTCAGAGTGTCACCAACCCAGC
Organism: Homo sapiens; assembly: GCF_000001405.40. Lineage (NCBI taxonomy): Eukaryota > Metazoa > Chordata > Mammalia > Primates > Hominidae > Homo > Homo sapiens. Next base: position 97,243,067 of record NC_000013.11, read on the forward strand.
CAACCCCTCCCATATATCCCCCACTGCCCAAGTGACTATCTGCAGCGGTGGCCAGTGGCAGGCACGGACAGTGGATGTGGGAGAGAGAGTTGAACAAAAGACAATGTCCCTTGAACATATCAAGTTCCACTGCAGTTTAGGTAGATGCATTTTCAGTTTACCCTGGAGGATGAAAAATCAAGGTTCTTAGATTGCCTTATGGACTGCTCCTGACGGCTTATTTATTTAGTCAGTCAACAAACCCTAAGTGAGTAGCCAGCATGTGTCGGATGCTGTACTAGGGGTTGGGCTACAAAGATGCATTAGCCTGGCTGCTATTCTGGCCAGGTACAGCAGCAGCAAGGTCAGCCTCAAGGAGGTGAGGATAAATGGAAAGGGGGCACAAGGATCAGGGAGGACAGGACTGGCTGGCTGGGGTAGTAGGGGTAGGGGACAGGGCTGGTCATGATTTTCCAACAAGGGATTTGAACTGGGTCTTGGAGGATGCCCCATATGCCAGAAATCAACGAAAGTGGAGAAGCACGTCAGTCTTCTAATTAGCATGTTCCTTCTAATTAGTTGCTTCTAAGGCATATCAAGTTGCATCTATAAGCTAAAACTAATAGACAATTGAGCATTTAACAGTTTCTTTTTCTTTTCTCTTTTTCTTCTCTCCTCCCCACCCTTGGAGGGGGAAAAAACAACAAACGAATTAAGAGCTAAATTTGCCAGCAAATAGCATTATGTGGATGCAGAGAAAGAGGACTATTTTGCTCATCCTGGATAGGGCTGGGTAACTGAGAATTTTATCCTCCGGCATGGATCTTATTTTGTTATCATTCATCAGAAGTGGCAGGAGAAAAAAGGTAGAGGGAAACTTCTCTGTGGGCTTCTACATGTTCTCCCTACACTTCTGTCTTTCACAGTATCAGAAAGGCAAGGGGGAAAAAAACACACTCTGGTTCTTGATCATAGTAAGGACAGTATTTTACCCTCTCTTTTGGCTAAAAATGACCAAATAAAAAACAGATTCATCTCATGTAACAACGAATAATGGTGGTTTCAAAGTCCTCACAGTTTAAAGGCTAACTTACAGGATTAGGTCATAGACATGCTTGTAAAATTCCAATGTGATTCTTTAGTCATATTTAATTTCAAATATTATCACACACCAACGATAAAAATTTTAAGAAACCTGCTAGTGAAATATTTTCAATGAATTTAAGTTTTCATGCATTTCAAACACGATGACTTTTGTAGCTGTCCTGAATAAACACAAGCTGTAATTTTGAAAGCAACAAATTGACGGATGCAGAGAGGAAACCAGGCCAGTGTCTCGTTAACACTGCTGAATAGATCAAGATCAGAAAAGCCAAGGAAAGCCTGTCATCTGCTAAGAGAAATCGGGAAACAAATAGAGACAAGTCAACTTATAGTCAGTATGAATCCCCTAACCATTGAACTTCACTGAGAACCATGAAACTTTGACTTTTTTCATGTATGAACAGCACTTTTGTGCCTTTGTTTTACAATGTAGACCAACGACTAGATAATGTGCCTTGTTCTTCATTGACTTTGTAATCTCATTCTTTGCCACAAATATAATGGCCTGTTTGTTTTGCTGCTGGTGCACATTGGTCAAAGAATCAGACATTTGTTTCACGGTGCTTGTTTTGAAGAAATCAGTTCTGGGTACATCTTTACACTGCCCATAAAAACAGGGGCTTATCTGGGTGAGAGATACACCAGGTCTGCACTGGGATGGGCTTACATTTATCCACTACTATAGAAAATGAAATTGAAATATAATAAAACTGCATTTTAATCTAATTACTGAAGAGCTTGAATTATAGACTATTCATAAAGATGTACAGTTTTATTCATTATAATGACACACAGCAATTTGAGTTGGCCAAGAGTATTTTATCTAATAATGACCATTAAGAAGTTCTTATTAATAAAGAGATAAGAATGATTTATAAGTAAGATTACAGGTATTTTATCTAAATAAATAGTAATAAAACTCCTGAGAAGTTTGGTCTCAGAAGTAGGGTAAATATTCCCATTAGGATTAGGTTAAGACTTAATTTCTTCAACAAGCACACCCTCTCTGCCCTTTTGTTAATAAATAGTTCAAAAGTAAACTTTAGCCCAGTCTATAAATGGTTTCAACTCACAAAGGAATTCTGATCAGTTGGTGGTGGCTGTCTGCCTCAAAACTTGCTTGAAGAAGTTTTTGGGTGCCAAGTCTAAGCTCCCAGGGAAAAAGTGCTGGGATCACTTAGTGATACCTGCCATGGACAGGATAGGGGGAAGGGAGGAACAGATACTATTCATTTGCTACCCTTGGCATATCATAGGCTATTCCAAGTGGTTACAAAGCTAGGATTCTCACAAAAGTCATCCCCCGTCTTCTCCCTACGAAAGCGTAATAACTTTTATGTTGCTGGTAACAATGTTTCTAGATGTCACCACAATCCTGAAGTTGAAGGTTCTTTCTGCAAGGGTGGTAGGCATTTCACTATCTTAATTGATTTAGACCCTAAGTAAAGAAATTGAATTTACTAAAGGTAGCCATGTACAATGCATTTTTATTTCTACTAAGTTGGAGGAATAAAATTATTTAACAACTCTTCTTTCTCCTGAATTTGATATTTAGGCAGGAGGAAGGGCTGTTACATTGGATTGAGTCCATCGAAATGGTATTTTAATATTTCATTTTAATTTTGCTTGTAATTATTATTGCACTTTTTGAAAGAAAATACTTAGTTCCTTCCACTGAAACAAATCTGAAATTCAGAGCCAAGTCCATGCAGCAGCACAATTTTCCATTATTTTGAAGTTAAGTAACAGATGATGAGTAGGACAAAGGAAGGGAACTAGTGCCTTTAAAGCACCTACTATGTTTCAGGCACTTTGATTTACTTTCAGAATGTTTTTCTCCCTAATTTAATGCTCCCAGCTACCTAAGAGATATATGGTATTACTACATTTTATAGATAAGAAATGTGAGGTTTAGAAAGGGACTGTTTGTTCATTGTGGAACTTAAATTGGAACTAGCCTCCAAAGTTGGCTGAAATTTCTGTTTGGAATTCAGAATTTGAATGCATACCACTTGTCCCAACTTATAAACAGGACTCTTGTAGTGAAGTTTTTTGGATTGACTAATATAAATTTAAGAACTTTAGCATTTTTGAAAGCCGTTAATAACTGTTGGCTACTGTTATTTCACACACACACACACACACACACACACACACACACCTATTTATGTGGGTGAATCCCTATTGAACTTCAAACATTTATTGCAAACCACTTTGCCTTTTTATTTCAAAAAGAAAATGTGAATGACTACTCCTTATGTTAGAAAATTATTTAAAACCTAAAAAAGTGAAAATTTTACATGAGGATAAAGACTGTTAACGTATACAATAAAGTCAGCAGTGCGTGTAAGAAATCTGAATATCGTCCTGACATTTTATATGTGTGTAAATTGAACTTCTAATCCAGAGAGAAGTCTGCTTTTAGTTAACTACTGCGAATAAACTTCTGTTTCTAAAATTCTCAGTCTCTGTCTTTGGGTAGGAGGAGGCAGCGGGATTTGTGGCAGAGAGATCCCCTTCCACCCCACCCCGAAGAGGCATTTTATTAATTTCTCTTGCTGAATTTTTGACCCTGTAAAGAAAAAAAGATGCATTGTACCAAACCACGCTACAAGACAGGCTCCTCCAGACGGGCTTTTTCCTTCCTGCTGAAGGACATGGATATCGGCTTTATGAGCTGGTTACAGTCAGCTTTATCGCCAAGCCAGTAGATTTTCTTAATATACTTATTGCTGTTCTGTAAATAGCACAAAGGCAATCATGAATCTGAATCACTTATGGGGTCACAGTGAGATTGATAAAGGTAATCTTGGGAAGAAAGTGTTGAGTAGCCTAAATAATGAAACTAGTAATTGAAATTCTTTCTTATTGTGCAGGCTGACAGTCTCGAAACCAATTCTTTGAGTACCTATTGTCTATCTCTGAAATTTAATGAGATAATGCATGCTAGAAACACTTTATTCACCATACACAATTCTATGTAAATGCCAGCTGATAATATTAAAGATAATAATTGTATTAAAAATTTTAACTAACACATGAAGAGAGCTTCGAGATTGTCTAGTATGTTTCTTTACAAAGTTGATTGATTAAAAACTGCAATATGTTTTATTTGTTTCCTTATTTTCAAGAATATTTGGAAGAAAAAGCACTTGAAGCCTGGCTTTATGGTAATAATATAAAAACCAACAGGGCACTGGGTTTTTTTCCTTTAAAATGGTATGCCACCCTGATTTTTAAAATTCCAAGTTACCCTTTGATTCCCCTTAAAAGTGAGATAGGAGAAGAGATATGCTGTAAGTTCTAGGACAGGAGATGGCTAAACATGAACCCCGACATAGGTCTTCTTTGTGCTCTTAGGGTTGGCTTCATTTCTCTCATACCTGTTTCTCTTGTTTATTGATTGAAGTTAATGATATAACTTGGAGCATTAGAATATTCCAATGTAAAATGTCATGGTTATTGAGGCAGTGGTGTTACTTATAAAAAAATTGTTTAGAACTCTAATATTTTCTTTAGTGCGTTCATTAAACAGCTAAAAGAAAGCAGAATGGTTAATTAGCAATATCATTTATTCCATATTTTAAATCACATTCTAGTTCATTCATCATTTTACTTCAAATAGCTTCATAAGCAGTTAATATTTGAATCTGCAGCCAATTAATTGCTCTACCTGTGAATTTTACCCCAAAATATAGGTTTACCCAAATCTAGAAAACATTTACTACTCAACACTTTCTCCCCAATTACCTTTTCAGTCTCAAAGCGTATACGACAAACCCTTCATCACATGTTCTAAACTTTTCATCAGAAAACCTTGTTCTGGTTTAGTGTTTTAATGCTACATTAGAAATGATATTTCTTGGCAAATACTCCTTTCCATATTTATTATCTGGATTTAGCATGTAATTATTTATTATTTGCATAGCAATTCACTTTTCATTATATATACGTATGTGTGTGTATACACACACATATACACACATACATATATATATTTTAAGATGGAGTCTTTCTCTGTAACCCAGGCTGGGGTGCAGTGGTGCGATCTCGCCTCCACCTCCTGGGTTCAAGCGATTCTCCTGCCTCAGCCTCCCAAGTAGCTGGGACTACAGGCGTGTGCCACCACAACCAGTTAATTTTTGTATTTTTGTATTTTGTATTTTTAGTAGAGATGGGGTTTCACCATGTTGGCCAGGCTGGTCTTGAACTCTCGACCTCAGGTATCTGCTGCTTCAGCCCCACAAAGTGCTGGGATTACTGGCGTGAGCCACCGCACCCGGGGCCCCATAATATTTCATAGTCATGGTTGAGGCTCTTGTACATGGGTGAATAGCTTAGTTGGTTAAAGCAGGAGACAGTGATTATAAGTCCCTGATACCACAGTCTCATATTTCACCCCAGACCTGAGCCAACCATTCCCAAAACATGTGCTATGGGTCTCCAAAGGGACAAAGCCCTAGCGTAATATCTCTAACCATTTAAAGCACAAAAAGAAAGAAATCTTGTGTTTATGATTACTGTAAAGAATAATAAAATCAAGATAACTTTTTTTTTAGAATCCTCTCTTTCTTCTAAAATCCTATAAAATCAGATAAAGAAAAGGTGGGACAAAATCCTAAATGTAATGTTCAAACTGTCATATGTGGTGCCTTAATGGTTAATTTTCTATTAGTTATGTTTTATTATTAGAAGCAATAATGAGCAGTTATAATTTAACATTTTTATGCCAAGTCTATGGAAAATGTTATGCAAATTTTACTATTATTAGAAAGCTACAATTTGCAAGCCATTGTCACTCCATTCTTTTATTTAATCTCTTTTCTTAAAAGTGGCCACCCCCAACCCCACTCATTGTGAGTTGAAATTATTCAAATTAATGTCAAGTTGTTTATATATTAAACTATATTTTACCTTGATACTTAGTTTTTAAAAACACATAATTTCTGCTACACAATTTGGACAGCAGACTGTGATATATGATATGCCTACTATATCGTCGTAATGGGCAAGGTTCATTATAACAAAAATGTGTCCAGACTTAGTGAGATAATGTGAATTCCCTATTTCTCAACTTGCTTGCATTTTAAGATGTTCAGTCTGGAAAGTGTTTCCACTGTTTGTGAATGATTGTCCCTAGATGGTGGTGACATTTGACCTATTGTTCAGTTTTGAAGATGGAAATGACATGTTCGCAAGCATAAAAGCCCAGGGGGCATTTTTAGAATTTTTGTCTTAGAATGTTTTTAGTTTTATTTTATTTTCTGATGATAAAATACTTGCTTCCTCAAGGAAAAATATATAACATTTAATATCTTCTGGTAAACACTGGAGCCTGACAGTCTCCATTGCTAGAACACATGGTTTTTAAGAGCTGCTTAATGTCTGATGAAATGAAGATATCATTATTTATTTTAGCATTTCCTGTTGCTTAACATTTACATTGGTTCTAATTGCTTATTTTCATAAATTGTGCTGTGATTAACATGCTGATACATAAATATTTAATCCCATGCCTAATTTTTTCCTTTAGGATATATCCCTAGAAGTGCGAGCTTTAGGAGCCGCTGAATTTTCTTTACCCTTTGCATATCTGAGAAGGTTTTTCATTTTCATGTTGGAAATAAAATGCAATTGGGTGTACTGTTTTGAGTATTAGGTTTCCCCCCTCAAAGTTCTATAGACATATTTCTATTGGCTTTTGCTGTTTTATGCTGCAAAAGAGAAGTTGGAAGCCAATTGATTTGTTTGTAGTTAACTTTTTTGGGCAGGAGGCTAAGTAACTTTAGAAATCTTCCTTTGTCTTTGTGATTGCTACGAGGTTCCAGCTTGGCAAAGCTTTTTGCTGGCTTAGCCCAGGACACGGAAGTCTGGTTGGTTCTTCTTTCTCAGCTTTTTTTGGAACTTTCCAAGATTCTCTAAGCTACAGCTTTTAATTATTGCTTCTATTTCATTTGTTCTTTATTTCTTTTTTCTCTCCAGGAACACCAATAATTCTTAGGTTGAATCTTTGTTTTCTGACTTCCATATCTGCCAATAGTTCTCTGAGCAGTTTAATCTCTTTTCCATGTTTCTCTATATTGTGTAAAAAAAAGTTTCAGGTATATTCTCCAGCTCATTGGTTCTATTTTATTTGCTGACAGTGCACTTTACTGCATCAAATTCAGGTTTTAATTCTGCTGTTGAGATGTTGGTTTCCTCTCATTCCTTTCTTATGTCAACCAACTGCCACTTTTATTTCGGGCTGTCTCTTGGTCCCTTTTCAGCTCAGTCTGCCTTTTCCCCATCTTTACTGTTCTGTTGTATAAGTTCTTTAACAGGCATTGAGCTTACTCAAGAATGAAGTTCTTGAACTTCATTAAAAACATAAACCAAAATGCTCTCTTCAATTTTTTTTTTAATGATAAACCTTGAGCTCCCTTTCTGACCCTCCTTTTAGTATGCAGAATCTTTCCATCAGTCATTTTGGATTTTTGTTGCATGTTGAGCTATTCATTTGTTTGCTTTTTATTCATTCAATGATCTTGAAAGAAAAGAAGTCTGTCCAGGCTTGGCTTGTTTTTATTTAAGACAGAGCTGAGAAATCATTTTAGACAGCCTCACTTCCTGCCTGATATCATTACAATCCTCTCCTCCAACACTAAGTAGAAGGCTCCTTGATGGAAATTTGATTTAGCTCAGTGGTACAGCAGCTTCAAGATAGTATGGAGGGAGTTTTAGCCATGGTATATACAGCACAAGTATGTCATCTTTGCTGAGTTTCTTATTGTAAGGGGTTACTTCTCTCCAGCCAACTTTTTCTTTTCTTAACCTGGATGCCAAATATACAACTCAGCCAAGCCTCCTTGCCATTGCTATTTCCACTGCCCAGGAAGAAGAACTCTTGTACGGTCAGTTTTGGATTTGGTGCAGCTACTGGGCAGAACTTAGGAGTTTTCTGTAAAACTACTAGGAGCATGGAGACTTCAAGGCATGTGGCTGAGGGAATGGTTAATAGGTACAAAAATATGGTAATGTAGAATGCGTGAGATCTAGTATGTGATAGCACAACAGGGTTACTACAGTCAACAATTTATTATAGAGTTAAAAATAACTAAAGGGGTATAATTCGAATGTTTGTAACATGGAGAAAGGATAAATGCTTGAGGTGATGGCTACCCAATTTACCCTGATGTGATTATTACACATTGCATGCCTGTATCAAAGTATCTCATGTACCCCATAAATAGATACACCTACTATGTACCCACAAAAATTAAAAACTAAAGAAAAAGACATAGCTGATACACTTTCTTAACCCTGCTTTAAGTTTTCTTTTTGCTGGAGATTAATAGGTAAAGTCAGATAGCTACTTGTGCTCAAGTGGATGTTGCACAAAAAAGTCAGAAGCTATTAGTAAACACGCACTGAAGTGTTTAAAGATTTATTTTTGTTGTTGTTATTCTTCTTTGCATTGTTTTGTATTGTTAGAAGGACTTGTATGTCTATTATCCATGAAAGATTCTTTTTCCCTTTGTGGATTATATTTTTAATTAGATCAATTGGTGAATCGATTGGTGAATAGAGCAAGTTGAGTTTATAAATAAATTTATTCTTTATTTTCCTTAACTTTTCAAACAATACTTACTGAAGAATAAGGCATCCTTTCTCCATGTGTGATATTTATTATCTTGTATCCTCAATTCTTTTTTTTTTTTTTTTTTTTTTTTTTTGAGACGGAGTCTCGCTCCGTCGCCCAGGCCGGACTGCGGACTGCAGTGGCGCAATCTCGGCTCACTGCAAGCTCCGCTTCCCGGGTTCACGCCATTCTCCTGCCTCAGCCTCCCGAGTAGCTGGGACTACAGGCGCCCGCCACCGCGCCCGGCTAATTTTTTGTATTTTTAGTAGAGACGGGGTTTCACCTTGTTAGCCAGGATGGTCTCGATCTCCTGACCTCATGATCCACCCGCCTCGGCCTCCCAAAGTGCTGGGATTACAGGCGTGAGCCACCGCGCCCGGCCGTATCCTCAATTCTTATATATACTGGGATCTCTTTCAAGAAATTATTAGTAAATTTCATTGATTTTTCTGTCTATTCTTTCCATAATAACAAATTGTTTTAATTGTTTTAGATTAATAGTACATGTATCCAGATATACCAAAGCCAATCCCATAAATTGTGATTCTTTTCAGGAATTTATGTTCTGTCCTCATCTGCTGTTGCTTCCAGAGATATGCCACAATCATTTTTCAGGTTCTTCCCCATACCCATACAGCCTCCCCAACAATAAAAAATCCCTTTGAGGTTTTATTAAAATAGGATTAAATCTACAAATTAATTTAGTAAGAACTAATATTTTTAGATGACAAGAATCTACAAATATCTTTCAATTATATTCAAATATTATTTTACATCTCTAAGTAAATTTTGTTAATTTTTTTGCTTGTCCAATACATTTTCAGTTAGCATTATTTCAAGCTGTCTTATTTTTATAAAGTTATTATAAATGAAATATTTTTCTATTATATATTCTACTTGATTATTGCTAGAAAACAAGAAAATTATTGGTTCCATTTAATTTTATTTAGTTATCTCATTTCTGGCAACTTAACTGAACTCACTTTTTCCTTGTGAGAACTAAATTTAATTCTCTTGAATTTTCTGGCTATATAATCATATCATCTGAAGATAATGATAACATTTTCTCCTCTTTTCCAGTAGCTATGCCATATATTACTGTTACATGTTAATGCATTGGCTGCACCATTTCTTGACTTTTTGAAAATTTCGAACAGCTTCTTTTCTGAAAATTCTCAAAAATAAATGGTTAGTGACAGAGGTCTCTCTCTATTTTACATCTTGTTGTGAATATGAGTTTCCCACTGGGAATTTTAAACTAATTATAGCAACCAGCAGCAGATTTTTCATCTTGCTAACTGAAATCTGAGACACTCAAGCATCTCATAAATATCAGTTTTATGATATTAAAAACAAAGTTCAGGATAGTACATTTAAGACTAATTACACATCAGTTTCCTGCTGGCATAGAAAATACAAATTGATATATACATTTAAAATAAAGATAACCAACTTGGTTTGCTTTGTTTCATCTATCCATCCATATATCCATTTATCTACTGAACAAATATTTATTAAACTCTGTGCTTGAAGCAAAGAAATGAAAAAGTATAGTCCCAACCCTACAGAATCTCATCCTAGCCTTATTAGGGATGCATAGTTCTGCTCATATAATTGTGCCCCAAATGTTCATGGCTTGAATAGATGATATCAAGTGAAAATGTATATACTTATTAAGTTCTTATTATATTCTAATTATACGCTCCTGAGTTAAAATTTGATCCTTTGAGATAGACACACCTGTGGCAGGTGAGTAAAAACAAATATCACTTGTGGATCCTTTTCATTCATTACCAAAGCCCTCTCCAGTTTCTTGTATTCTTATCAAGGTTTCTCAGATGAGGAAAGTTGGGAAGAATGCAGGAAAATTAAACATGTTTCAAATTTACTAGTTTTATCACTCATATAAAAAATTCTTTAGTTAATTCTCTTTGTAAAATAGCAATACACAAAACTTCTCATTTGAGACAGTAACATTGTATTTATTAATACGTATTAATTTATTAATACGTATTAATAAGTTCTTATTAATACTTATTACAATACAATGTTATATTGTGTAATGTTCTTTGGGCATTTACATTCCAGGAATGTGCTGAATTTTTTTTTTTAGGAATTTTCAATACAATTTTTATTTATTTGTTTTTGAGACAGAGTCTCACTCTGTTGCCCAGTACAGTGGCATGATCTTCGCTCACTGCAACCTCCGCCTCCTGGGTTCAAGCGATTCTCCTGCCTCAGCCTTCCAAATAGCTGGGATTACAGTCACGCACCACCATGCCCAACTAATTTTTGTATATTTAGTAGAGACAGGGTTTCGCCATGGTGGCCAGGCTTGTCTTGAACTGACCTCAGGTGATCTGCCTCCCTCGGCCTTCCAAAGTGCTGGGATTACAGGCATAAGCCACCATGCCCAGCCCAATGCAAATTTTTAAAATATGTAAAATTTTAACTATTAAATGCTGCTGAGTAAGAAGCATTTAGATATTTAGATTAAAATGTTATAACACTGAATAGTTTCCAAATGTGAAATGTTAATATTTCTTTCTCTTTGAAAAATAAACTATAACTTACACATAAAAATCTAAAATATAATTATTTTCAATTTTTGAAGCATGATAAGGGATTTTGATGCATTATGATTGAAAAGTATTTATCAATATTCTGAAAATAGCTCATGAAAATTTTGACTGTGAAAGTTTCAATTTAAACAAAATCCAGTGTTATTAACTTCCTCTGTCTCTAAAATGTCCACTGAAAGGCATTTGCCTCTATTCAGAAATTTTTAGAAATCTAAACATCTGATTTTAACTTCTGCGTTGACTTCTTTTGACCCTAAACCTACCCACCCCTCCACTGTTCCCCCCGCCTCTCTTTTATATGGGATCATAGGGATCGTAGGGATATGAGACCCTCTAAACTTCCAAATTTGCTTTTTAATTACTGTAGTATTTTCAGCTATAGCATAAATTTTTAACAAAAACGGTCAATGTGATGGATTTCTCAAGGCAAGATTGAGTCTTGTCAAATATGAGCAAACACGACTGAAACCCAATAGATGCTACTTTTCAGCAGCAGGAACAGCCCAGGTACTCTTGGGTGGCCCTGATTTCAAGCAAATAAATCAGTATTTCCAGCCGCAAAGGTGACACTAAAGCCAGAGCATACATCATGACCATTTCAGGCATTTAGATGTGGAGAAGTATTATTTTCTTCTCCAACAAGGGTGAGTGATTCAGATGAAATCATCAACCTTAATGAACCTGTGCTTCTGCTGCAGGGTTAACAAACCAAACCCCAATGAGTCACAAGCAGCTCCCTAAGGATCCCTCCAACTGCGAGGCAGGAAACATGATTCTTGGCATGTCCAAGGTAGAAAGCACCTTGGAGACCCTGCTGTTCACTATCTCAAGTTTTTCCACTGAAGCACCCTTAGAGCAGAGCAGAGTTAGAAGAACTGACAGAAGAAATCTGCTTAATTATCTAAAAAAGTCTTCTAAATCTTTCCTTCTACTCTATTGTATATCTTTGCTCTAATATAAAAAACACATTTTAAATTGCATACCACTTCAATTATTTGACTTTTCTGTTTAACCCTCATCAAGTTTTTAAGTAAAATGAATGCTTTCCTAGACTGCACTATGTTTTCCTTGGGCCACGTAGCCACTCACGTCTGAGTATGAAGACTGCAGCTTGGTCCAGAGTCGTCTTTTAGGATTGGGTAGACTGAGGACTGGACAGGAATTGTGACTTACTCTAAATCTCCCAGCTAGCATGTGACTGTGCAGGAACTAACACTCAATCCTTCTAACTCCCAGACTTACCCATTTTCAAATAAACAATTAGGCAATGAGGCTACCCGTAGATGGCAGCCAAATGTATTTCAGAGAGCCTTCACTTTTTACATTTTCCCACTTTGCAAATAGGAAAGCTGGTTGATCTTTTATTCAAGAAACTGTTTAGGACCTCATGTGCTGTGTTTAGATATAACACAGGAAGGGGAGGGCTGAGCCAATTATCCGTGAAGCATCCATAATCTACCTACTGACTTGCACATCCACTCACTCTTGGTAACTAAAGTGCTTCCCTTTCTAAAGAAAACCACTGGGGAAGCCAAAAGCATCAGCTAAGATAGATAACTGTGAGCATGATCGTTTAGGAATGGATATGGTTTGAACTTATTCATGTTTAGAGAGAGTGTCAAATTGAGAACTAGGCAGATTCACCTACTCTACAAATGACTCTGAAGCAAATTGGTTGAAGAAATTAGATCTGAAAGATTCTTGGTGGAGAATTTTGAACTTTTATCAGTATATCCATATTTAAAAGGAGATAAAAGAAGACAAAATAAAAAAAATTATTGCAAGGCTGACAGAACAGTTGGATTAAACATCAGTTCAATTAAAAAGGACTAACAGATAAATCTTTTGAAGATAAATTTTGACTCCAGTTCTTTAGAGAAACTAAGGTGACCTTGATGGGCAGTGGAAAGAATCATGACATGTGAAATTCCTTGAATAAAAATTTATTGACTTTAAGTAAAAAAAAAAACTGCCAGCTTGGGACATGGATTTTTTTTAATCAATTTTTTTTTTTAAATATTGGAACTACTATTTGTGAAGCTGGGTGGAACCTTGGAATGCCTGTTAGTAGGCTTGCTGGGAAATTGGTTATAGCAACCAGCATAGTAAAGAACTCATAGTCAGACGTAATAAATATTTGCTGCTGATGAGTCATTCGTACTGGAAAAAGTGAAGCAGACAGGAATATCTCCGCCAAATGCTGCAGGTTATCAGAGTGGCCTTAACCAAAATTTCCATGAGTAATGTTGCAATCTTCTTACCATGGCTTGGTAAGACCTCCAGGAATGATAATGCCTTATACGAGTGTTCTGTTTTAAGTCCTCCAAATCTTCCATAGACAGTATGTAGATAGAATCTCAGGACAACCTGGTAGAGAGGAGGAAACTGAAGTTTTGAGTTCATTGGCTTGCCCGAGGGTATAGGGTTGTATAAGCTGTTTCTTTTGATTCTTAGCAGTGTGGATTCAAGTAAGCAATCATTTCTCATTTAGAGGCACACTTTCGTTAAATGCTAAGTAAGTCATTTTGATTACCACCAACAAGACACATTTCAGTAAGCAGAACATCATTCACATCTGCACATACAGAGGGTTTCATTGTAATCATAAAAATTGTTTTGCATTTATTTCATCGTTAGTTAAAAAGAGACTGTATTGGCAAAATAATACTTTAAATCGGAAAGCATTACTGCATGGCCAATTTGCTTTTTCATGCATGCCTTTTGGTGATTGGAATATGCAGAGAGCATGAATAGGTAACCCTGTGATAATCTGCATACCAGTAAAAGGTATTATTCAGACCCTACCTTTTTTTTTTTTTTCTTCCTCATTTTATCTTGTCAGGTTGGGTTTGATTCAAAGTCATTGGTTCTCTTAGAGAAGGAGGTCAGACCAGTTTAAGGAACAAGGAGCAGGAGAAGAGCAATTGAAGCCTGCACGTAGGAACTCAGATGATAAAATCGTTTTGGAAAATAATGAACAAGTAACTTGAGAGCTTGTCTTGAGGGTGGTATCACAGGTTAGGCCAGGTTATTAATTTTCCTACTCAGCAGTATGCCTCTTAAAAAACACTTACAGGGAAATGGATATGTTTTTGAAAGAAATGCAATTGGCAGAAGGGAATGACGGAACTGCATGGAGTCCACAGGCCAGTGGACCTGGGAGAGCAAAACTACTTCCATGTAAATAAGAATTGCATAACTGAGAAAATACCCAAAAGATACAGCTAACAGGACAGTGTTTAGTACACCAAAGTCGATGTCTCAAGATTTCTTGGTTCATCTTTATGATGCCAAAGCACACACCCTCTACCTCGTTTGTTTCAGTCACCCTGGGTTCTTGTTGGAATGGCCCAGGGAGCTCCATGTAAATCATGAGCACAGGCGCCTGTGCAGGGTGTGCTCCTCAGATTTTACATTTCACTCCTCCATTCACAGGATTTAGGGGGGCACTGGCCCATTCCTCAGCTTCCCCTTCCATAAAATGTGAAGAACCACGTGTGCATCTCAGAAGTTGCTCGCGCCCAAGGGCAGATCAGTGACTGTGATTTCGCCTTTCTCCCCATTTCTCTGTTGCACTCCTCAAAGTGGTGGCCTGTTGTTACCATGGAGACACAGCACAGGGTGACCTTGCTTAGAAATGATGACAACTGGTGACGGCAGGGAAGCAGAGCCCAATAGTGACGAGCCTCTGAGGAGCGCCCCCCGTCTGGGAGGAGAGGAAACAGAAGGATCTGTTCCCAAGTAAAGGAAGGGGCGGTAGGATGCAGGATTTCATGAGTCCTGCCTGATGCATTTAGCAATAACATTACCTAATAACTCGTGGTGTCACATTTTTACAGAAGATATGCTTTGTTGCCAGGGTTTTTTTTTTTTAATTCCTCTGAACTGGAGGCTTTAAACACAGTAAATATTTGTTGTTGATTTCAATACCTAGCAGTTAGCTTAATTTCCTGAAAGATAAGAGGAATTGTTGACTCATTCATTTCTGTAGGCTACTTCATACTTGTGGTTTGAGTCATTGCTCATCGATGGCGATTTTTAGAAGTATGGCAGTACTTTCTTTCTTTCTTTCTTTTTTACTTCTAGGATGAAAGTAATAACAACAAAACAAAATCTTGTTTTAATAAATTACCCTCTTCCTGTTCCTAGATTACTGGGTTCTGCTTTTTCTGCTGAAGTCAAATAGTGGAAATTATATTTTGTTAAATATTAATAAAACCCCATCACCTGTGTGTGAGATCCTGCTGCTATCTTTCCCACAGTGTTCAAGTAAGTGACTAGCATTCTGTGTCCTTCTGAGGTCTTCTGAACCCTTGGATCCTCCAAGCCACATATCCCATATCAGGTTCTGTGCTAGAATAATTGGTTTCTGCAAAAATAGTGGGATGGGGCTGGATGTGGAAAGAGTTTGGACAACTGGATGGCTCTTTCTGGTAGATTATCTCCGGCATAGGATCAATAGCCAGATCACAGATCTTAGGAAGGAGACCTGTGGCCACTGCCTCAAGGGCTCAGGCCAGAGGAAGGCCTGCTCTCTGTGACCTGAGTTCAGACATATGTTAACCCCCCAGGCCAGAGGAAGGCCTGCTCTCTCTGGCCTGACTTCGAGATATGTTAACCCCCAGAGTATGCAATGCTGAAGGTTCATGTGACTCAAAAATGCAGTCTTTCCTTGTGAGAGAATACCAGAGCCAAGGAATGGGGCCTCTTGGAGCTTAGCCTTAATGAGAATCATGTTCACATCTTCTCAGACTCTGAGCAATCTTTTCTGCTGATGGCCTTCAGGACCCAGCACTGCCCCCATTCAAGTTAGAGACCCTTTTCTAGGTCCAGGACCGCAGTATCTCCCACCACCACATCATGAAGACTGGGCTTGGGTGTGCTGGTGAAGTCTTGGTGCACAGTGGCATTCTCTATATATTCTGTGCTAGGAGAAGAGAACATGTAAAGAAGAAGAATAAAACCTCTGGGGCACCAAGTCCCCCAGCTTTTGTCCTTTTCACAGTCCGGGGCATAAGCATTCCAAATCTACCTCCCCAGTCCTCTTCACCCCTGCACCGACTCCTCAAGGCGCTGAGTGCTACAGGCAGAACCTGCCACCTTTTCACCCTCCCTGAATCCCCTTTTGTGCTCCCTCCTTGGTTCTGGACTTGGGAGCAGGAAGAAAATGGGCTCCATGCATGTCCCCCTTCCCCCGATTCAGATGCTCCTTTTAGATCCCACGGCTCAAAAGGCCTGCTGACAAATCTAGGCCAAACTCAGCCGAGCTGGTAAGATTTCCAGAAGAGTTCCTAAAAATACACTTCTCCTTAAATCAGCCTTGCCAATCACTGTACAATCACAGAACTTTAAGGACAGAAGTGGCTCTAGAAATTGTTGGGGCCTCTCTGTTTTAAAGCTAAGAAACTGGAGTCCTAGCGTGCTGAAATAATAGCAACAACAGCGGTTGAGAAAGATTTCAAATCCCATCGAGAAGATGGAACAGAGCAAACCATGAAGGCGGGCACAGACTGTAAGCTCTGTGGCGTATTCATTCATTTATTTGCTCATTCATTCACTTGCTCACTCAGCAAATATCTATTCACTGCTCACTGTGTTCTAAAGTTAAATGTTGCCCTAGATGTTAAGGATACAGACAGACCATCCCCTTACAGACATTACAGTCTGGTTGAGAGAGAAAATGCACAGATAAACAAGTATGCATGTGAGTGTTAAATAATGATAAGGACTTTGGAGGGAAATAAAGCACGGTGAGTCAGAGTAAGGAGGTAAGACTGATGCAATATTACATCAGGAAAGACTGCCCCATAGGCTGACCTCCAAGCTATGTGACTATCTGGGACAAAAGTATTCCCAGCAGAGGGAACAGCGAGGTCAAAGCTCTAAGGCAGGATGTCCCTGGCTACTGAAGGAGCAGTCAAAGGCCAGGATGGTTGGGGGGAGTCAGAAAGTATGGGGCCAGTCACCGAGGTCAGTGTAGGCCGTCAGAAGACTCTTGACAGTCCCGCTCTGTGAGGTGGGGAGCCATTGGAGGTTCCTGGGCAGAAATGTGACATGATCTGATTACATTTTCAAAGAGTCCCTCAGGATGATTTATTGAGATGTGGCTGCAGTGCGGCAAGGGTAGAGGCATCAGTAGACTGGTGAGGAGGCTTTGCACTCATGTTGTGAGAGAGAATGCTGGCTCCAAGGCAGGGGCCAAGTGCAGCTGGTGAGAAGTGGTCAGACTCTGGCGCCGTTAGGAATGTGGATCCAGAGGCATCTGCCATTGGATCAGATGTAGGGTATCGGAGAGAGGGAGGAGGGGAGAAAGAAAGAACACAAATGTCACTGTCTAGTGGGTTTTAAAGCCATAAAACTGTACAAAAGAGTGCATTTGAAGCCATAAAACCACACAAGAGAGTGGTTAAACAGAGGCCTGGTGGATTTTGCAGCCAAACTGCCTGTGTTCCAGCCATTCCTTCTCCTCTCCACCTTCCCCATCCACAGATATGCTAACCTCCTTATTTTTTTTTTAAATTAGCACAGGCCACCAGGCATAAACCCTTGGATCACTCTCATCTTTATTTTCTTTCCCTTTAAAAACATTATCTCAAACACTTCTCAGTAAGTGTTTGTTCTGAGCTCTTCGAGGGTGTTGTCTTGCCAATGAAGATGCTAACCCCATCCCAGTAATCTATCAGTTGGCTCCCCACACTGCTTCCTCCAACACTGTCCAGCACCTGCCTTTTTCTTCTCCTTGATACCTGTGTGCATTCTTACTGCACCTTCTCTGCAGCTATTCATTCCGATAGAAAGGAAGCCCCCGGCTCTTCCCTCCTGTGCACAGCACATGTGATTATGATGTGCTGAGCCCATGATGGATACAAACCCTCTTGGTGGGGAGTATCAGCGATGCCCACTTCTGACATCATTCACTGCTGCCACTTGGCATGTTCACACTCACACACATGCACACACATCAAGAAATTTAACGATACACTCAGAAACAAATTGCAAGATCACAGATAAAATTTCCACCCAGGAGAGAACAGCCCTTTTATCCACCTCCTCAACTGCCGTCACCTCCATGTGTACTAGCCTCATACCTCAGGCCTTTTTGTTCTTTTAAATTGTCCCATCTCCAAGACCTTGACCTTTGAAATTTGGCAGCACCCTTTTTCTGCCTCTGCTTTCCACTGGCCAAGGGTAGATGGAGACAGCATAACCATTCATCTCAGAATAAATTAACGCTCTTTCGCTGAAGTTGTGCCTCCTGGGCCACTTGAGATTCCCTGCCTTTCTCTTTCCCTGCCATCTTCTGTAACTGCCCACCAAAGATTTCCCACACTTCAGGCACTGGCTGGAAGGCCCCAGCACCACTTTTGCAGCAGGTAAAACAGCTCTGATTTGACTGAGACGATAAAGGCTGCAGGACTGAAGCTGCCCTGGTTTCATTTCCTGCTGTCTAGCCAGGCTGCATCCCTCACTTCCCACCTTCTGTGGGTCCTGTGAGTGTGAAATGAGTGTCTCGTTTCCTCGCTGAGGCTGGGCCTCCATGACAGCCAGCCACCCTGTCCTTCCCCCTTCTTGAGGCCAGTGGCCGCACGCTGGCCCATACCTCTACCTTGCCATCTCCCCAAGCTCTTGTCCTGTTTTTCTCCTTCCATTAAAATGAAAGAAACGTGGGAAGGGTCAGGGGAGAAGCAGGTGGTCTCCCACCCTCCCAGGGGCTTCAGAGAGTGCACCCTTAAAACTCTCTTTACAAACCTGAGGTTCCAAAAGGGTAGCTGCTCAGGATCCCGCAGGCACCAAAGCATCTCTGACTTCAGAGCAGAGAGTGCAATCCCTGCCTTGCCGCCACACTGTTCTTGCAGCAGCAAGTGCTCCAAATTCTCCAGGCACTGAGTGCCTCCTTCCCCAGCTCCAACAGCGTCATGTCACAGAAACCACCCCCTTGAAAGCCAGCAGGGACTTCCCCTTCGTGACACCTAGCCACCACAAATTGTCCACATGCCTTGATCTCTCCGTGGCAGTGGCAGTGGACGCTTTTCGCTACTCCCTCCTCTTGAAACTCTGAACCTTTCTCCCTCACTGTTGCATTATTGGAAGGATCTTTTGTCGCTTTCTTTTTCTGTGGTTTGCCTTACTCCTCTTCCTTCTTTCACCTCCAAATCACTAAAGAAACTGTTCTTGATCCAGTCCAAGCCTTCCTGTTTTCTGTCCTAGATGTATACAAATAAATCCCTTCTCCCTCTCTTATTTTTGCCATTCCATGGTTTTAGCAGTCATTTCCATGGCCATGAACTCCAACTCTGGATCCATGCCCATCACTTCTATACCCGTTTCTAGCTGCCTTCTGCTTTCTCCTGGGCAGAGCTTTGATGTCCTTCTGCACACACAGGACCCACATTTTGAAGTCCTCCCTCGCTTTTTTTTTTAATAATTTTTTTTGAGACAGAATCTCGCTCTGTCCCCAGACTGGAGTGCAGTGGCACGATCTCAGCTCACTGCAACCTCTGCCTCCTGGGTTCAAGCAATTCTCCTGCTTCCGCCTCCCAAGTAGCTGGGATTACAGGCATGCATCACCACGCCAAGCTAATTTTTGCTTCTTTTAAAATTTATTTTATTTTATTTTTTTGGTAGAGTAGTTTCACCACGTTGCCCAGGCTGGTCTTGAACTCCTGAGGTCGGGTGATCCACTCGCCTCGGCCTCCCAAAGTGCTGGGATTACAGGCTTGAGCTGCCACGCTCGACCTTGAAGTCCGTTTTGATCCATCTATTTCCTACACGCCTCATTCCCAATCCCCAAAGATGAATTTGCTTCTAATGAATTGACCTCAGCAGTAACACCTCCGTTTTGTTCTCACCACTGCAGTGTAATTTTTGACCTTTCTGCTCTACCATGGCTGTAACCTTTAACCAATTTCCCCTCCCCTGCCAACCTTTTCAATTCTAATGTATCCTAGGTGGTGCTTCCAGAAAGAGCTTCCTCCAGCTGGGAATCTTGTCAAGATCCTGCCAGTGTTCCCCACTGTCTACTATACTAACTATGCTGATGTGTTACACCTGGGCCTACTTAGTGATACTTAGGCAGACAAAGCCCCTATGTCACTATTCATAATGAGGACCACACTACCCTGAGGGACATGGTGGAAACTTAAAGGACCATTTTTAAAAAAATTGTCCAAATGCCTGGGGGGCATCTCTGGAATTTAATGGACAGGAGTACAGGATTTTGATGTCTTGCAATGGACGTGACTCCCTTGGAGCGAGGAACCAGCCTGTACCTCTGTTGTTATTTATTGAGACGGAGTCTTACTCTGTCACCCAGGCTGGAGTGCGGTGGTGCTATCTCTGCTCACTGCAAGCTCTGCCTCCTGGGTTCAAGTGATTCTTCTGCCTCAGCCTCCCAAGTAGCTGGGATTACAGGTGTGCACTACCACACCCAGTTAATTTTTGTATTTTTAGTAGAGACGGGATTTCATCATGTTGGCCAAGATGGTCTCGAACTCCTGACCTCAGGTGATCTGCCCGCCTCGGCCTCCGAAAGTGCTCGGATTACAGGTGTGAGGCACTGTGCCCAGCCTTACTTTTATTTTTTTAATTATTAGACAGTTGTAGTATAATCGAATTTTTCAAGAATGCAACAACTGTGTAAACTGAGAGAAGATTATTCTTTTTCTTTTTTTTTTTTTTTGAGATGGAGTCTCGCTCTGTCACCCAGGCGGGAGTGCACTGATGCAATCTCGACTCACTGCAACCTCTGCCTCCCGAGTAGCTGGGGCTCGGGACCTCATGCCATTCTCCTGCCTCAGCCTCCCGAGTAGCTGGGACTACAGGTTCCCGCCACCACGCCCAGCTAATTTTTTGTATTTTTAGTAGAGATGGAGTTTCACCGTGTTAGCCAGGATGGTCTCCATCTCCTAACCTTGTGATCCACCCGCCTCGGCCTCCCAAAGTGCTGGGATTACAGGCTTGAGCCACTGTGCCCGGCAGAGAAGATTATTATTTAACTTGTTAGGAACTTCATCAGAAATTATTCAGCAATTTGATAAGCCATGCCTTTTATCAAACCTGTGTCAGTCTACATTTGTACCCGTTACATTCATTACAGTGCTGCAAACAAACAGGTGACAGCTTCTGACACTTCATTCTGTCTTCTAATATGCTTGTGCCTTAGCATCAAAATTTTAAAATACATATTATTTATTGTATAAAGTAGCTTTCTGTTGATATGTAAATTACAGTATTTATAGTTATGGCAATATATTGATTTTGTTTTTAAAGTGTGTCTGTTGGTTACACTATGATTTTCATTTGGTGATAATAAAAGTTGTGTTACAAACATTTTGTCAAAAAAGGGGTTATTAGTATTTATAGGTAGGTGTACAGGCCAATGAAATGGCCATTAGGCTGGTCACTGGAGAGAGAGAAAAAGACAAAGGTCAGCTGAAAGTGGTTCTGTCCACCCAAGGCTATGGCCGGGGAAGGAAATGGAAGTTCTAACAAAGAGTTCTCTGGGAATTCAGGGCTAGATTTCAGCTGACAGATCGATCATTGTTCTGTCTGGCTACAGCCATTGGTTCCTGGACATCCAGGAAACCGGTAAGTGCAATGCAGTTTTCAATGGTCTCTAATACAATTGCTTTTATTTCTAATAAGAGCATCTCCTAACTGAATTATAAATATTTGGATAGAAAACACAGATGCAGTGAAAAACATAATTTGAATACAAATACGTGTTGAATAGATTACATCTGGCTGTAGTTTCAAGAATATATTTAGAAATTTTCACTCTTTGAATTGAGGATGTGATTTCTTTCTCTACCCATTCCTGGAAATGGCAATGAAAAGAGATTGGAAATTTTTGCATGTTAAAATGAGCCCTGGATTTTATGACTTTTTCACTTGTACTTTAAGACATAAGATACATGAAAAAAAAGTTGGAAATTTCTCCTTTTGTTATTTTTATCATAAAACAAAGGTTGGCTTATCTGAGTCATTGAATGGCCTTGGGTAACCCTATGTTTTATTTCCCTTATATTAATATATCTGAAAGTATGTTCCAGAGGACAAAATACCATGTAAAATGAAGATATCATTGTCAGACACGGTTCTTTCTCTAGTTAGAAAGAATGAAAGTTTGGAGTTAGTTTTAGAAGACAGTCTATCAAGGGCGTGTCCAACTCACATGCTAGGCAGGACTTCATAGCTTGTACCTACCTTCAGAGAAAGAGCCTTTCTACTTTCTTTTACTTATACTTCGTTGACTTTGGAGAAAATAACTTTTAGTAAAAAAGTTATTTCCACCTGTCATTTTTGTGTGTGCGTGTGTGTGTACATGCATGTGGATGTCTCAAGAACTAATGTTGATACAGATTAGGTACCACATAGAGATTATTGATAGTATACTACTAAATATATTTTGGTTGCAGTGCATGTATTTATGGCTTAAGTGTTACTATCCCTTTGAAGAAAAACAAGGAAAATGAAGCTCAGATAGAGCAGGTGACATCACACAGCTATTCAGAGGCAGAGAGAGTAGAGTCCAGGTTAGAAAAGCTGGTCTTGTCCTTCAACCAAGCAGAACATTCAAGGCACCATTTTATTTATATTTTCAATAAATTAGGCCGGGCACGGTGGCTCACCCTTGTAATCCCAGCACTTTGGGAGGCCGAGGTGGGTGGATGACTTGAGGTCAGAAGTTTGAGACCAGCCTGGCCAACATGGTGAAGCCCCTTCTCTACTAAAAATATGAAAATTAGCCAGGCTTGGTGGCAGGTGCCTGTAATCCCAACTACTTGGGGGGCCGAGGCAGGAGAATCACTTGAACCTGGGAGGCGGAGGTTGCAGTGAGCCGAGATTGTGCCACTGCACTCCAGCCTAGGCAACAGAGCAAGACTTCATCTCACGAAAAATAAATAAATAAATTAATTAATTAATTAAAACAAAACCAATTTAAAGGTATCTAAAAGAAAAACCATTAAAAGAAATCTCTTTTGCTACCTGCCTCAATGTTTTTCTTTGCGAAGTCAATCGAGTTCTCTATTCACTTGCATTTGCATCTCATTCACATCTGTGTTTCCCTTGGTTCACTGAGCTTCCTATGGGCAGGCCCCAGTTAGGAGCCTCTTCTCCGAGGCTGTGATTACAGGGCAGTCTTACACCCTCCTTCTGGAGATCAAGTGGCTCTCAGCCCCAGTCCTTCAGCTGGCAGCTCCTCCAGGGCCCTCTCCGCCCAGGCGTCTGCATCTGATAGGCTTAGGATGCGGCCAAGTCATCGATCAACAGAGAGAGCACATTGAGAGCTATTTTAAATTAGTCTCCAGAAATAGAGTGGGGACGCTCCAACATTGAGCCACTCACAGGAAGGAAACATTATTTTTTAAAAATATATATTTTAAGAATTTAAAAATTAAAAATAGGAAACTCAGAGATTCCGAAAATTAGAAATAGGAGAGTCAAGGAGACAAGGTTTCTTTCTTGTAATTAGATTTATATAAAAAGAATTAAAGGCATCCTATAAATTACTTAATGGATAATGAGTTCTTGACTGTCTGACTCAGAAATAGGCTTGTTTTGCAAAGATCCTTTAATCAGCTCCCTAGGAGGCCGATGTCTGGCAGGCAGCTAAAATATCATAGATGACCCGAAAGTAAACTGGAGGAACTGTGTGCTGCAGAATTATTTCCCTTAAGGTGGTCTGAAATTTTGATCAATCTCAGTCTCAACATTGGACATGACTGATGTTTTTCCCTTAAAAAATGTACAAACTATCTAGAAAGCAATGGCACGGAGGAGACACCTGGGGTCCACAGCCCCAGCTTGTCTGAGAGGCGTGGAATGGAGGGAGGTCGCCTCCTTGCAGAGTGAAAAGCCAGGCTTTCCAGACTCACCCTGCATAACTTAGCAGCTGCAAAAGAATGTGAGCGGCAAGTTCTTTTATACAGTCAAAAGTGAATGCTTTCTGAAAATCTAACACTTAGAAGAGTTCTTAAATACATTTTGAAAAATGAAGTGTCATGTAAGTAAAGACCCTAAAAATAGCTTGGGATTATTTTGTACAGTTGAACGGCACATCCTTTGGCATTTCAGGAAATACTACAGAACCTCGTTTCTTTCTTCTCGAACTTCAGTCTTGCCTTTTCTTTAAAGATGAGTCAAGCAGTGAACCTGGATATTCCTTAAATCACACGCCTTCTGGAGAGGATGGGGCACTACAAAGCAGCTCCTTCTGATGGCTGAGCTGCTGGTCATCAGGCCACTAGTCCCTTTAAAGTGGTCCTCTCTCAGGCAAGTGTCCGTAAAACAAGGCCGCACCCACCCCCTCTAGAAGGCTATGGGTCATTGTCTTTCCTAATTCTCACAGAAGGAAGTCTTAGCTGAAACAAATCTCTCAGGTGTTTTCTGTGAGTCTGGCTGTTTTGTTGTTTTGTTTTTATTGATCAGAAACAGCCGCTGGGGGCAGCCCGGCCAGCACTCTTACAATTGTTTCTAGGGAAATCAGTGAACTCAAAAGCCTGCAGGTAACTCCAGGTGGACATCTTTGTTCTTTTCAGCAAGCAGCAGGATGCCTGGCACACAGAAGGCAAGGAATGCTTCCGACAGGGGTTTTCAAGCTTGAGCCTGCATCAGCCGCCCCCTGGATGGCTTGTTAAAACACAGATTGCTCGTCCTCGTTGTCAGGGTATCTGATCCAGGACCTTGGTGGTGGGGCCTAAGAGTGTGCTTTTCTTTTTTCTTTCCTTCCTTCCTTCCTTCCTTCCTTCCTTTCTTTCTTTTGAGACAGCGTCGCTCTTGTCATCCAGGCTAGAGTGCAGTGGCACGATCTTGGCTCACTGCAACCTCTGCCTCCTGGGTTCAAGTGATTCTCATGTCTCAGCCTCCTGAATAGCTGGGATTACAGGCGTGCGCCACCATGCACGCCCGGCTAAATTTTTTTCTATTTTTTGTAGACATGGGGTTTCACCATGCTTTCCAGGCTGGTCTGGAACTCCTGACTTCAAATGATCCATCTGCCTCGGCCTCCCAAACGCTGGGATTACAGGTGTGAGCCACTGCGCCGGGCCGAGAGTGTGCATTCCTAACAAGATCCCAGCGGATGCTGCTGCTGCTGGCCCAGGCACAACACTTTAAAAACCGCTGGACTAAAGATCTGGGCATTGAGGCTCACGGTGTGCATCCCTGGGGCAGCTCCCAGCCTCAACCTACCTGGCAGCCGCAGGGTAAGCCAGTGGCATCTGCTGGAATTTTCCTACAGATAATACTGGAATTCCCCATTCAGAGCATTAGTCCTTTAGCTTAGACTTTGGTTCTTATTAAAATGCAAATATTCCTTGGAGGAGGATCAGGAGCTCATTCAACAAACATTTGTCCAGTATATTCTGCATACCAGGCACTGAACTGAACTCTGGGGATTCAAAAATAATAGGCAAAGTCTATCAGATACCTGAGGCAAACCCTGTAGGAGTTTACACTGTGGGGAGGCAGATGGAGAAATCAGTATTTACAGTTCTTGTGAATTAAGGAATAATGATACCTATTTAAAAATAATGACCAGGCAGTATTAAAGATGGGCTGTAGGAGAGGGTGTCAAAAGGGAAAGGACGAAGGAGGGGGCGCTGTTCCGGATGCAGGCCCGTGAGGAGGGCCTGCCGGAGGGTGGCTCAGCTGAACCTTCCTGGCAAGCTCATATCCTTTTCCAGGAGGTGGCTTAGAAAGGCAGGAAGTTTCTAAATGCCTGAGGAGAAAAAGGAGAGGGCCTGCCAGAGAAATAATCGGGGGCAACTACTCCCAAACATTGCCTAGGTTCTGCACTGGAAGGAGCTAATTAGGGTAGGATTGTTTGGGACATTGGAAATACAACCAAAAAAGTCAAAAGAAGTGAAAGAAATGGAAGCTAAAACACACCAGTGAGAGAGACTTACACAAAACTGGAAAATAATGTGGGCAGAGACCCTGTTCCCAGTGCAGCCTAGAAACTTCTGGGAAAGGCTAAGGGTGCCCTGCATATAATGGGGCAATGCCGTTATACATGGAATCTTGATGGAAATTTTCCTAATTTCCAAAATTGTGGAACGTCTGGAGGTGCCCTCTCCAGACATTATTAACAGGGGCACCTCTGGGCAGATGAACTTGAAATGCCACCCCTTCCTCCCTGCTCATCCAGGGCACTGTGAATGGAAAAGCAGCTGCATTTCCACCGTGCCCTCAGGGAAGCAGGCTCCCATTGGTGCTACCAGAGTATTCCAACCCTGCTTCCCACCCAGGGTGACTGTTGGCCCCAGAGGTGTTCCCTTCACTTTTGGGTGAACAGCAGCTGGAGGAAGAAAGCGGGCTTAAGGTTTTTGTAGTGACACTTGGAAAAACCTCTCTGAGGCTCCCTTTGGTTGCAAAATAAAGGCGGTGTGAGAAGTGAAGCCTTCTCCAGATAAGAGGTCCAGGTACTGCTATGCAGTCAGACCATTGATCTCTAGGCACCTCCCTGCTCTCAGACTCTGTGGCTGGAGCAGATCTACACCAGGTCTAATCCTGGTCATCATATGGAACTATCGTAGAGAGAGAGGAAGCCTGAAAGTAGATTTTGTTAATACAGATTGGTATAGTAACTTTTAAAAATCACAGAATACTTTTATATTTCCACTATAATCTGTCTTTCATGGCAGCAACCATGTACATACAGGCAGGAACTATTATCGACATTTAGATGAAGAAGGTGGGTCTCAAAGAAATTGACTTGCCCAAGGTTATGTGACGAGATACCTTGGCAAAGTGAAGGCTGGAAGCTAGTTCTTAGGACTTTCTATCACCCTGGAAGTTCTGTTGACTAATAGAAGAAATGCAAAAGCCCTTGAGACAGCACCGTCAGTAGCAATAGAATGTGAGCTACTTAGACAATTATGAATTTTTGAGTGGGAAAAGGAAGCAGGTGAGATCAATTTTAATATTTAACCCAATATATTAAAAATATTAATTCAGTATGTAATAACTATGAAACAATCTTAATAAGATATTTTCACATTCTTTTTTTTCTTACAAGGCATGTATTTTTGAATTCAGTGTGTATTTTCTACTTGGAGCACATCTGAATTTGGATGCTAAATTTTCATTGGCAGTACTCCATCTGTATGTAGGTTTCATAAAATTTAAAATTAAAAAAGTAAATTTATATACTCAACTTGGTCTAATCACACTAAAAAGTTTTCCAATGACTGAATCAAGGGTGAGTTTTTAAAATTTAAATTCATTAAGAATAAATAAAAATTTAAAATTTAGTTTCTCAGTTTCACTAGCCACAATTCAGGTGCTTGATTGATATGTTGCTGGTGATTTCTGCCTTGAACAGCACAGTCTAACACATGCCCCTTCCTCTCAGCAACTGGCAGGCTAGTAAGTCCAATATTCTATTACATCTATATGTTGGCATATCTCTCAGTCCCGTCTCTTGATGGCCATGCTGAAATGTGGTCTAGCCCATCCTTACCCTCCATTGCTCTTATCTTTGGTAGAACCATCTAACCTAGCTCAAGTGGCTCTCTCCCTTTTCCCCACATCTGCCTGCCTGTACCCACTCCTTGGTACAGGTGCCTATGCTAACAGTAGCCGTATAGCTTTTTGGAAAGGAACAGAGAACAAGCTGGGAGAAAGAGTGGATTCATGAGAGGCTATGATAACAGTATGTTGTACCTGTGATATAATGCACACCTCTTTCCTTCTGAAACATCTTTGCTGTACAAGTGACTCTGGCCATCAGAAAGCTTGGGTACACCTGCTCTTTTTTGTTTTTTTTTTTTTGTTTTTTTTTTTTGAGACAGAGGCTCTCTGTGTTGCCCAGGCTGGAGTGCAGTGGCGCGAGCTCACTGCAATCTCCACCTCCTAGGTTCAAGCAATTCTCATGCCTCAGCCTCCCAAGTAGCTGGGATTACAGGCGTGTGCCAGGCTAATTTTTGTATTTTTAGTAGAGACAGGGTTTCGCCATGTTGGCCAGGCTGGTATCAAACTCCTGGCCTCAAGTGATCTGCCCATCTTGGCCTCCCAAAGTGCTAGGATGACAGGCGTGAGCCACTGCACCCAGCCTACTCCACTTTTTAAGATTTATTTATTTATTTATTTCTAAAAAAAAACAAACAAAAAACAAAACAAAAAAAAACAGGATACATGTGCAGAATGTGCAGGTGTGTCACATAGGTATACGTGTGCCACGGTGGTTTGCTGCACCTATTGACCTGTCCTCTAAGTTCCCTCCCCTCACCCCGTAAACCCCCAGCAGGCTCTCGTATGTGATGTTCCCCTCTCTGTGTCCATGTGTTCTCAGTGTTTAACTTCTACTTATGAGTGAGAACATGCCGTATTTGGTTTTCTGTTCCTGTGTTAGTTTAATGAGGATGATAGCTTCCAGCTTTATCCATGTCCCTGCAAAGGACATGATCTCATTCCGCTGCATAGTATTCCATGTTGTATATGTACCACATTTTCTTTATCCAGCCTATTATTGATGGGCATTTGGGTTGATTTCATGTCTTTGCTATTGTAAATAGTGCTGCAATAAACATAGGTGTGCATGTGTCTTTACAGTAGAATGATTTATATTCCTTTGGGTATATATACCCAGTAATGAGATTTTTGGGTCAAATGGTGTTTCTGGTTCTAGATCCTTGAGGAATCACCATACTGTCTTCCACAATGGTTGAACTAATTTACATTCCCACCAACAGTATAAAAGCATTCCTATTTCTCCACAGCCTCGCCAGCATCTATTGTTTCCTGACTTTTTAATAATCACCATTCTGACTGGCATGAGATGGTATCTCATTGTGGTTTTGATTTGCATTTCTCTGATGATCAGTGATGTTGAGTTTTTTTTCATGTTTGTTGGCTGCGTAAATGTCTTCTTTTGAGAAGTGTCTGTTCATATCCATTGCCCTTTTCATATCCTTTGTATGTTCATATCAGTTTTTGATGGGATTGTTTGTTTTTTTCTTGTAAATTTGTTTAAGTTCCTTGTAAATTCTGGATATTAGACCTTTGTCAAATGGGTGGGTTGCAAAAATTTTCTCCCATTCTGTAGGTTGCCCGTTCACTCTAATGATAGTTTCTTTCGCTGTGCAGAAGCTCTTTAGTTTAATTAGATCCCATTTATCAATTTTGGCTTTTGTTGCAATTGCTTTTGGTCATGAAGTCTTTCTGCATGCCTATGTCCTGAATGGTATTGCCTAGGTTTTCTTCTAGGGTTTTTTATGGTTTGGGTTTTAAATTTAAGTCTTTAATCCATCTTGAGTTAATTTTTGTATAAGGTGTAAGGCAGGCCATCCCTGCTTTTAAAAGCAAGTTTATCTTAAAGACAAATAGGGTGTGATCTCACTTAGAGGTTCTAAGTGTTCTCACAACTAAAAAATGCTAAGTATGCATATGTTAATTAGCTCAATTTAGCTATTCTACAATGCATACGTATTTCAAAATATCATTTGTATATAATAATCCTATACAGTTTTTGTCAATTCAAATAAATACTTAATTTTAAGCAAGTGTATCTTGGTAGAGTCTGATCATCTGAATTCTGGTGGGATTTTCATAGTAAGTTGAAATGGAAATTCTCCCAGGGGGAAAAAATATATATTTCTTCCAGGGGGAATGAAAAAGGCTTCTTACCTATAAGTATGAATAAAAATGTACAGCATTCACTGAACTGCATTGGAAGCATAGCTCCTGGAGAACTTTTAGGAACATCTGAGTAATTATTCTTGCCATCTATGCAACAGTACCTATGTTTACCTCTTTCTTTTCCTCCATGGGAGCCCTTGGGAGAGACTCTGCTGCCTTTGAGGTTGAGCATCTACCTTGGGTCCTGGTACTGAGGACTTGGGGACTCTACGTAATATTTTTCAAACACTAAGTGTGTTCAGCCCATCATTTGAAATATCCTTGTCATTGGTGCCTCATCTCCCTTGATGCAGGCAGAAATATGTCCTTGTCCTTTGCTTTCCTCATCCTTTGTTCTCCATGGGAGCTAGAGGTGCAGGTTGAGGTAATAAAGATACAAGTCCAGGCTGGTCTATGAAACCCAACCCATATTAAATTTGGTTATTAAACTCATCTTCTTAAGCTCCCTAGCTTAGGCTAGCTGATATTAGCTTCTGTGAATGCAGCGTTGCCAAACAGACATGCAGGAGCCTGCCTGGACCCCTCAAATATTTTATAATTGAAGTTTGCTATGTGTCATAGCTTTCAAGATTGCCAACTTCCTTAAATGTGCATGCAATTATAACTCATGCAAACACTTTTATTAAAATGTAAAAGAATTATTGGGATGAAGTAGCAATTCCCACCAGTCCCAAGAGATGTCCTGCTTAAATAAATGTTCCATCATCAGATAAGCTTGAGACACCATTGAGGCTTCTCCCTTATAAGGGACCCATCAGACACAGCAGCCAAGAAAAGCCCTATTGCAGGCCGGACGCGGTGGCTCACGTCTGTTGTCTCAACATTTTGGGAGGCCAAGATGGGTGGATCACCTGAGGTGAGGAGTTTGAAAACAGCCTGGCCAAGATGGTGAAACCCCACCTCTACTAAAAATACAAAAATTATCTGGGCATGGTGGTGGGCACCAGTAATCCCAGCTACTCGGGAAGCTGAGGCAGGAGAATCACTTGAACTCAGGAGGCAGAGGTTGCAGTGACCCAAGATCACACCACTGCACTCCAGCCTGGGCAACAAGAGTGAAACTCCGTCTCAAAAAAAAGAAAAAAAATTAAAAAACTTAAAAAGCCCTAATGCAAGGAAGCTCGTCTGGCTTGATTTACCCAGAGTTAAATAAACTTAATTGATTTGGGGTCATACTTTTTAAGGGAACACTTGTGAACCACTTAAAAATTATTGGGCCGGGCACGGTGGCTCACGCCTGTAATCCCAGCACTTTGGAAGGTTGAGGTGGGCAGATCACCTGAGGTCAAGAGTTCGAAACCAGCCTGGTCAACATGGTGAAACCATGAAACCCTGTCTCTACTAAAAATACAAAAATTAGCCAGGCGTGGTGTCAGACACCTGTAGTCTCAGCTACTCAGGAGGCTGAGGCACAAGAACTGCTTGAACCCAGGAGGCAGAGGTTGCAGTGAGCCGAGTTCATGCTACTGCACTCTAGCCTGGGTGACAGGGTCCAGTGTGGGTGACAGAGAAAGACTCCATTTCAAAAAAAAAAAAATTATTGCTCTCTGAACTTATTTGTTACCTGCCAATTTAAAATAATCTACTTCCAGTCTTCATTAAGTTCTTCTTAGGTATAAATTTTTTAGAAAGACATCAAGGCTCAGCAGGTATGTAAGGTCATTTGTGGCATATCCTATTTATGAAAATAATCAACTTCTGGACTTTAGTCCTTTATTCATGCTTGTCCCAGTAACTGGAATTTAATGTTTAATGATTTCATAACCCTTGAAAAAGTTAAAAGAAACTGAAGGTGCTTATTTTAGACATCTGAACTTACTGACTATATTTTTGTTGTAGCCATGTGTTTTAACTCCAGCATTCCATACTACAGAGCGTTTTTAGATTATGACTCAGTTAAAAACTAAACTGAACTCAACTAAAACTAATTTACATTCCTGCACTTAGTCATCAGTTAAATTGGTCAATAAATATTTCTTGAGGGTCTAATATACGCCGTAGACTAAGGCACTGGGAATACAGAAATGAAAACTACAAAGAATAGTCTTTGCCCTGTGAATGTTGCAGTGTAAATAGGAAGATAAACATTAGGTAAGTCATGGTGGAGAGGAAGTATTAAGATACCTGAGAAAAAATATCAAGAGGATCCTACCTACCCATCTCCAAGTCCACATCTCTGTAAACTAGGAAGAACATAAAGAAGAAAGAGCCCACACTTCATTCAAAATGACAATATCTTTATTACATAGGAGGGACACATCCCAAATAATTGTTTATAGCATTCCCAACAATAAAATCAATGGCCTAAATGTGAAATTAATTGGAAGCCACAGTCCTAATACACTGTTTTGGCGATTAAGCACATTAGATGGGATTGTTTCAGAAGGCCTAATTATTGTGTCTGCCACACTCATCTGTTTGAGTCATTCCTAACTTTTGGACTGCTGCCTAGACAATTCTGCAATACGGTTTCCGTTGCATATTCTTTTTTTTATTTAATGCATAACTTTTCTCACTATACTCAAAGCTCAAAGCTCTAAACTGTGCTTTTGCAAATTCTAGATAAGAGTTCAATAGTTCGTTGAAGTGGTGATTCCATTGAGTTTGTGTAAAGGTTAATATTTCATTTCTGTTTTGCAGGTTTATCATTTAAAAGTGCCTGTGTGAAGTCACTTTTGCTGGAAAACTGCAGCTTGGGAGCTTTCTTTGTATTCACATCCCACTCTTCTGTCAAGTACACTTTACCCTGACCTTATGAGTGGATGAAGATACCTCAGTTGTCTGACTTTGCCAATTGCTTAATTTCAGAATTTAAAAAGGGGAAAGAAAAACATCCTGCTAAAATATGAACATCTGAGTGTCTTATTTTCCAACATCGTCAATAGCTGTGAGCGTCAGCATTAAATATTCTCCCAAGGAGTGCCATGATATTGAAGTCACTTTATTAATAACAGCTGTATCTGCAAAACAGTCAAGAGACTCGGACGTTGAAAGCCAGAGATGACACTGAGCATGCTTTTATTGCGGCCTACCATCTTTAAGTGGGACATATTGATTGATGAGTGATTGCCTGTCCATACACTCTCTCATCATCCTGTTCCTTGGATTGGACTTCACTAAGCAATTTATCACTCACCTTCAGACTTACATGTGGGAGTTTTCACAACAGTAGTTTTGGAATCATTAGAACTTGGATTGATTTCATCATTTAACAGAAACAAACAGCCCAAATTACTTTATCACCATGGCTTTGAACGTTGCCCCAGTCAGAGATACAAAATGGCTGACATTAGAAGTCTGCAGACAGTTTCAAAGAGGAACATGCTCACGCTCTGATGAAGAATGCAAATTTGCTCATCCCCCCAAAAGTTGTCAGGTTGAAAATGGAAGAGTAATTGCCTGCTTTGATTCCCTAAAGGTAAGAGAATGCGTTTTATGTGTCATTTCAATACCACATTGGAATTGCAAACAGAAGGCTTTTCATTGCATTTTTACAGAAGTTTAAAAATTGCTTTTAGATTCTATTTTCTTGTTTGTGGTGACTGTTGGGAGATTTTTCACTCAAATTTTTTCATATCAGGCATATATAAATTTTTTACATACCCATGTTTAAATTAAAAATACATGATGATGTATTTCTGGTCTGGCATGACATTCATGTACCCAAGAGTTTTAAATCAAAGTCTGGCTTGTGACAACTGAAGATAAATATTTTATCAACATTTGATCTTCTGGAGGTTATATAAAGGTGAAGAAATTGAATGTGTCACTTTTAAGTGCCAGTTATTCTGGCTTAGCTCTTGAAGAGTTTTCTATTCTTATGGCTTTTTTTTTTTTCCTTTGACCGAGTACTTCCTAAAACGCTTTTCTGAAAATGTGTCATGGCTAACAGAAATTATTAAGTACACGCTCAATACTCAATACTTGAGAATCTACTTCATGTGAGTTATATGACAAAAGAAACTAAAGTGATTCAGATGGCACCTTTGATGAGCTTACTGTCTGGCAGGGACAATTCAGCATATCAGCAAGTATCTACAATGCAAGAAGGGGACACATGCCTTGTGGGAGGAACAGACAGCAAAAACATTTCTATGGAGTCCATAGAAGAAAGCTGGTTTCCAACAGACTGTTTCAAGAAATGTTTTTGGAGATTCAAGGCATCTGAGTCATATACTGAGTTGGGTGGAGTTAGGAGGATGGAGAGAATTTAATGAAAGATCTAGAAGTGGCATGAGTTAACCGCTAATGCTGGGGGGTGTATTCAGCCCTAACATTATGAATCTGAGATTGTCTAGGGCGTTCCTACAGGCATAATAATATTGTTTTCAGGAGCAATAAGTAAGGCACATAGGTTAAAAGAGCTCAGTGTTTACATCTCTGCAAGACTTCAGCAAGGTTACCAAACAGTTAAGAAAATTGTTTATCAATGCTCTTGACATATGACTTGAGAAATTATAGAGCTGTTAGTTTACAAAATA
Organism: Homo sapiens; assembly: GCF_000001405.40. Taxonomy (NCBI): domain Eukaryota; kingdom Metazoa; phylum Chordata; class Mammalia; order Primates; family Hominidae; genus Homo; species Homo sapiens. The sequence continues at coordinate 97,277,473 of NC_000013.11, forward strand.
GTGACCCTAGCCTATTCTTGGGTGTTAAAGAGACTGAGTTGTCCTTTGGGATAATTTTGTCTTAAGTAAAAAATTATGTCTCATAAGACATAAGTCAAAATTTATAATTTTGTAAGACTTCAAACTTATATTTAAGTTTTAATATATCTTAAAGGGAAATTTTGTCAATACACTCAAAGCAGGAAAATGTATTTCTGACCCAACAAAAGTCTTTTAAGGGTAAAATTTTGACAAATTAGATCTGTAATCTACATCAATACCTACTCCTATTTTATTCCTTTTTATCATAAAAGGTTTATTAGACTAGACTTTAAAATGATGAATTGTTTTGCCTAAAATGGAAATGAATAGATGGATAAATCACAATTCATATAAACTATAACAGTACAAGCATGGTTATATGTTAGTATTTATTTTGCCTTAGTCAAAAAAGTAAAACAAGTCTGTATTTGCCTCTACGATTATCAGCAATAGAAACATTCACTATGAAAAAGCAGTGTAGGCCGGGCATGGTGGCTCACACCTGTAATCCCAGCACTCTGGGAGGCTGAAGTGGGCGGATCACGAGATCAGGGGTTTGAGACCAGCCTGGCCAGCATGGTGAAACCCTATCTCTATTAAAAATACAAAAAATTAGCAGGGCATGGTGGTGCATGCCTGTAATCCAGCTACTTGAGAGGCTGAGGCAGGAGAATCACTTGAACCCAGGAGGCAGAGGTTGCAGTGAGCCAAGATTGCCCCACTGCACTCCAGCCTGGGTGATAGAGTGAGACTGTCTCAAAAAAAAAAAAAAAAAAAAAAAAAAGCAGTGTAGATTTAAAACTAGATCATAAAAGCTTCAAGATATGAAAACAGGTCAGTGATGATAAATTAATTTTTCAGGTCATCCCCAATTTTTCCATCTTATTAATCCAAACCTTCTCCAATTGGGTATTTAATATTAAACATCACAATTTTTGCCAGATTTTTAAAAACCTTATATTCTTTAATGTAATTCGAGAAATATGGGGAAAATAATTCCTGACTTATTAAGGCCAAGTATTTTGTGACTATCAACTGGGCAACAACGCCTAGATCCTTGTTATTCATCACATCACTTTGGATTCAAGTAATCCAGCCCCCAGAATAAAGGGTCATGAATCATTTGTTCAGCATAAAAACATAAGCCAAGTTGTGAGAATGTTGAACAGCATTCAAGTAAAAAAGGGCTTTAAAAATCATTTTCAGAAGTGCCTGCTGGAGCCTTTTTGAGGTGTTGAAGCATAGTTACATAGTGCCTCAAGTTATCAGTTCCCTTTCAGAATTGCAAAATTTCAGGTTATTTAATTTGAGTGCAACATTACACATTTTTAAAACTGTCCAACTGAAAAGAATGTGAAAACGGCCCACAGGCACAGGAGTAAAATAGACCTGAGTCTAAATACCTGCTCAACCACTTCCCAGCCTTGGGTGTGTCATTTATGACTTCTTGACTTGGTTTCCTCATCAGTAAAAGGAGGATATTCAGCAGAGAAATTGGCTGAAGTAAGCACGGTCTGTAGCAACACGCTGGCATATTCACATTACGAGGTTCTTGTGAGGATTGCAAGCTGTTTCCACAGGACAGACCAAAAAATAGTAGCTAAAAAGAAAAATAATGACAATGATAATTATGAAGCTGTTTAACTTTATTTCATAATAGATTTTAAAAAGACAATGTTGCTCAGTGTGCAACAGAGAGAACCAGTGTGCAATACAGAGAAGCAGCAAGGGCTTTGAAATCAGAAGGACCAGGGCTTGACTAAGCCTGGCTGGGACCTAGGCAAGCTTCATTACTTGGGACGAGTTATTTTACCTCGTTGGCTTCAGTTTTCTCTTATATAAAATCGATATAATTCCTACTTCATAAGGTTACTTCAAAGACTGCCTGACCTGTGGCATCCCACATAGTTAGTCCAGGACCGAACAAGTTAGGACCTGGCAATATTAGTTTCTTTCCCTTCATAATAAAGTATCCCAGGATAGTCACTGATTTTGATGACCAACTTTAAAGGCAAGATCTTGTGCCCAATTCTTAACAAGTCCAAACTTTCAAGAATTAACTGTGTGAATGATAGTACCTCAATTATACAAATTAGTCATGACAAGAAAAAAGATTTGGGGGACACAATATTTTTGTTATTTATTACAAGATATTTTGTGCAAACACTGTGGACAATTTATTTATAACTGCGAAAGGAATCTATGTTGGCCTATCAGTATGGGGACAAGTCAATCTGAGTCTTTTTTTATTGTTGTTATATGTTATTTACAAATATGAGTAAACTTTTCCGTAAGTATGTACTAAATTTGTTGGTGGAAAGTGATTTGCTGAGTTCTTTGGCATGAGAATTATACATATATAAATGCATTTGTAGAAGACATTTTGGAAAATATAGTACAGTTCTTACTGTGAAATTTGTGCATTATTCACATACCTCGTTGCATTTTATGTAAAACACTGAACATACAAGTGGCTGTGATTTTTTTGGAAGTTTCAGTATTATTATGAACAGTAGACATTGTTTAATGATTTTTCTGGAAGGCCAGGTCACATTCCAGAATGCTGTGTTCCACGAGTTAGGTTAACTTGACAAAATGCAAACTGTTTTATGAGCAATCATTTCCCTTGGAGCAGAGGCCTTGACCACATTAACCGTGTCTCTGATGCTTTTACGATCCATGAAACGCTTTCCCTCACAGCTAAAATGTTTGAGATTTTTGTTTCCAGATTCTTTTTCCTGTGATTGATAGGAATTAATCTGAACCATTTGGCAAATTGAACATCAAGAAGGGGGTGCATAAATTAACTTTAATGCTTATTAAGACTAAAAGTGTCAGTATTTACCACTTTCGGGAAGTATTTATTTGCTTAAACATTTGAATTCACACTCAGCTTTAAAAAGGGACACAATTTTAAAAATAGTATTGCTAATTTTGGTTGAAAACACTCAGAGTATGGGGGAAAATTGTTTAGACAATTTTTAGAAATTTAGACATAATCTTTTGTAATAAAAATTCATTTCAAGTACAGCGAGATCCTTTTTAACACCTGCATCAGATGATGTCACTGCTCTGTTCAGGATCTTCCAGTGGCTTCTCACCACACTCAGAGTAAAGAGCAACACTGCAAAGGCTGCCTAGGCCCTGTGAGATCTGCTTCCCCCTCCCGCCACCTGACTTCATTTCTATCGCCACCACTCCCTCCAACCCACTCCAGCCACGCATCTTTGCTCTCCCCTGAATATGCCAAGCAGGCTTTGCCTTAGGGCATCTGCACTTGCTCTTTCCTCTGTTTGGAATACTCTTGCCTCAGCCACACAAAGAGCATGTTTCCTGGTTTCCTTAAGGTTTCTGATTAAAAATGTCAGCTTGTGAATGAACCCTTTCTGCCAACTTATTTCAAATAGTAATGCTGCCATTGCTGGGATCCCATTTCCTTCTCACCTGGCTTTACTGCTCCCCCTAACACGAGCATTTGATATGAGAGATGCTTACTTGTTTATTGGTTGATTATCTGTCTCCCTCCTCCACTCTGCTAGAACATAAGCTCTATGTGGATAGGGACTATGTCTGTTGTGATCACTCTTGTATTCCTAGAACCTAGAACAGTGTCTCATACATAACAGATGCTCAATAAATATTTGTTGAATTGCATGTTCTCCATGTTCATCAGGAAAGTTTTCAAGCCTCTCAGATAGGGCTGCTGGATTTGATTGTACAGGGGTGCACTGCACTCTAGGGGTGCCTTTCTCATCACAGTCCATGTGATTGACACCCCCTGGAGTTGTGCAGTGGACAACCTGTACAGACATGTGCTATTGCCCTGGTGTCAGTATCTCAGTAGATTTCAAAATCAGGGAGTTCTGTGTAGGAATTTCAAGACTCTGGAAGTATAATACAACATTGACAAATTTTCAAGTAAATAATTTGATTTCCTCTTCAGGGTAATTCAAGCAGCATATGATGCAGAAACTACTTTTTTTCTACCCTCCTTGTCTGTCTAAATTTCAAAGATGTCAAGTGTAAGTTGCTCATTTACCTATGGGATGCTGTCTGTAATGTAGCTGATGGCAGTATGTAATTTGCCAAGACCTTAAGTTCATGTTCTTAAATTGCTGCTGGGCTCCTTAATAGCAGTGAATTCTTTGCAGAAATTGTTTGAGTATTTTCTAAGTTATTAATTTTGGCCTGATTTGCAAATATAATCTCAGACAAATTGTTTATTATCAATAGTAATCATTGTAGTAACATAGAGCCTACTATATGCCAGGTACTTTTCGTGCATTATCTATTCCAATAACTCTGTCAGGTAAACATGATTAAGTCACCCTTATAGATGTGGATACAGGTTCAAAAATTTAAGTAACTCACTTGTGACTACCAAACTCATGAATGGTGGAGAAGGGGCCTCACTCCAGGTAAGTGTGGCTCCCAGCCAGCACTATCCATTCCCTTCTCGTAACTGCTCTTACTGAATAAATCACTGATGTGGTTAATTTCAAAATTCTTAATAGCTTAATAATATTCATATGTAACAAGATTAGCATGTTGAGGTCCAAAAAAAAAAAACATTCTAGGCCAAGTGCAGTGGCTCACACCTGTAGTCCCAGCACTTTGGGAGGCAAAGGCAAGAGGATTCCTCCAGCCTTGGGAGATCAAGACCAGCCTGGGCAACATAGTGAGACCCCATCTCTACAGATAAATTTTAAAAATTAGCCAGTTCTGGTGGCATGCACTTTTGATTCCAGCTACTTGGGAGGCTGAGGCAGGAGGATTGATTTGGCCCAGGAGGTTGAGGTTGTAGTGAGCCATGATTGCACCACTGTACTCCAGCCTGGGGGACACAGCAAGACTTCATCTCAAGAAAAAAATAAATAAATAAAAAACCATTGTAAAATAGAAGCTCCCAGGAGTAAACCTGTTTAGATAGCAGAAATTTCAATCTTTAAAAGACAGAGACACTACAAGAGAAAGTAAGGCATATGTTGTATTTGTTTCTGTTTTTGTCTGTATATAAATATTATACCATCACCTACTAAATCTCTGTAACAAAAATGGTTTTTGTCCAAGGCATTGTTGGTGTGTGTGTGTGCCCATGTGATTTTGAAATGCTTAAGTCAGTTTTATAATGCAACGGAGTACAGGCAGGTTCATGCTTAAAGATTCTTGGACCCACCAGTTGTACTTCCTGAAAGCAAGCCCATCTCTCTTTCATTTGGCTTCAGCTGTTCTGGGTATATCAACCACTTCCCCTGTGCACCCTCTCTGGACACTATTCAGACTTCATGTCATAGTTTACTCCTGGAAATCCATGCCCAGTGAGAGCCCAGAAATCCCATCTGAAAGATGGGATTGTGTCTTACTTATTGTGCCCCAGCACCTAGCGTGGCATCTGGCACAGAGCAGAAGTGCAGTCATCCCCAGAGAATGCAGACATGAACAAAGAAACCCTTACAACTTTTCCAGTTGAACCTAGTGCTGCTCCATCAGTGATCTCCAGACCAAAACCTTCCTTTTATGTCGTTCACCATTTCCTTTAACATCTCCGTTTCATTTTGCAGATTTGGTCATTCGAGGAGGATTCTCTCCTGCTACTTTTTGCCTGTGTTGTTTTCCTAGTTCTTTCACCACGCTCACCGCCCTTCCTACTTTCCCTCTAATGCCACCTCTTCCTCCCCTTGCTCCCTCAGTGTGGATGCTCTCCAAGACTTAGGATCAGCCTTTCCTAGTTCAGGTTCAGTCATCAGCTCTGAAAGCTTATCTGCTTTCATGCATTCATTTCCCACCTCTGTGCCAATGAATTCCAAATCTGGGTGTGTGCCCTTGCTTGCCACCACCATGGCTGCAACTACCTACTGAACATCCCCATCTGAATGGCCCATTGTCACCTCCAGTGCCACATCTCTAAATCCAAACTCTTGCCTTCCTACTACAATCCACCCCCACCCCTGGGTGCCTTGTTCCCTGGGCACAAAACCTGACCACTATGGCCCAAACTCTTGGTCCTTTCTTTTTTGTTGTTGTTTTTCAGGTTGTAAGGAAGTATAATACCTTTAAGAATTAATCAAAACTAAGAAATCTTTACCCAGGAAAGTATCCATACTCACAGACTATTTCAAACAATCTGCAGGGTTTCATGTTTGCTTCTAAAAATTATCTATACATTGCAAGTTAAGAAATCTTCATCTTAAGAGAAGTCTGAAACATTTAAGAAGGCCTGAGGATCATTAAAAAAATCTTTGGGTTACTTTACAAATTTTCCCAGAGTCAAGAGTAGCACCAAATTCCTCCCAATACCCAAGATATTCTGTGCTAAGGAAGGAGAAACATGCAGCTTTCAGGATAAAAGCAGAACCGTGACTCCCTAAGAGCAAGTGGAATCAGTTTCAGTGCCTTCAGTGAGCAAAGGAGTGAGGATTTTCAGGGCATCAGGCACCTCCAAATGTCTCACTTAGGGATGGCACATATGCACCATAGAGAAAGCCCTTTATCTGGAGAGAGAAAGCCCCTTTCCTGGAGACAGCATCCTCCAGCAAGATGCCTACATTCTAGCCCAGTTTACAATTTAGAGTTAGACAGGATCATCTCTGTTTCAGTTTCCTAGGGCTGTCACAACAAAGTACCACAAACCGTGTGGTTTAAAACACCTGAAATGTGTTCTTTCTCAGATCTGGAGGTCAGAAGTCCAAAATCAAAGTGCTCTTGGTCCTTTCTTTTTTGTTGTTGTTTTTCAGATTGTAGGGAAGTATAATACCTTTAAGGGCCACGCTCCCTCTGAAGCCCCTGGGGTTGGGGAAGTTGGGGGAGAGGGGTGGAAACCAGTTCTTGCCTCTTTCGGCTTTTGGTAGCGCTGTGTGTTCCTTGGCTCATGGCAGCATCACTCCAATCTCTACCTGCCTCTTCAGATGGCCATCTTGCTGTGTGTCTCCCTTCACATCATCTTCCTGGTGTTTGAGTCTGTCGTCAAATTTCTCCTTCTTATAAGGACATCAGTTATTTTGGGTTAAGGCCCTGCCCTTCTTTGGTATGACCTCATCTTAAATTACATCTGCAACTACCCTATTTCTAAATAAAGTCACATTCTGAGGAACTGGGGGTTAGGACTTCAACATATATTTTGGGGGAACACAATTCAACCCATTAATATAATATATACACCTAGAAAACATCAGAAATTCAACACTGTAGTCTAAGTCAATTCTAATGATCGGATTTGGCAAGAGAGAGGAGGCTTGCAAAACTCCAGAAAGTCTTTGGTACTGAATCGAAGAAGGAATGATGACAAACTGGCGTTCCATGATTACAACATTCTTTGGTTAAAACATGTAAAAATAATTCATGGAGAAAAATAGCAACACTTATTTTCACCTATAAATGAATGGAGTACAATATCAATGTTTATTTTAATTGTAGTTTTTAATAGTTAGGTTTGTTTTTACTCATTTTGCTTTGGGCAGTGATGCTAACTTTTGTTAGTCGGTGTATCAGTTCTTATGAAACCATTTATTATTAAGGTGTAAGGAGAAAGAAAGAAATATTTATCATGTTACAGGATTTGTGTAATATTCTATTCTTTCTAAAAATGAAAATAGTCAGCATTTTGTCAGTACACTTCTTTCAGTCAAACTTTTATTTATATTTTAGGATTTTAAAAAATGACACAATAGGAAGCAAAGATTTAAAATAAAAAGCCCTGGCCTGGGAATCTGCATCTGAGCCCTGGCTTTGTCACATGTAACTTTATATCGTTTCACCTCTCTGGGATCCCAGTGTCTCACAAGCAAATGTTCTTTAGCTCACTCATTCATTCATTCGTTCTCTCTTAACTAAACAAAAGGGGGCAAATAAAAAGGAAGGTGATATGAACAAATGACTCAGCTCTCTGTGTTGGAGAGACGCAGGAATTGCTGGAGACAGCAGAAAATTAACTGAGGAGCTCATGACCCCTTTAACGACAGCAGCTGCCACTCAGCAATAGACAGCTGTTGCCTGCCTTGTGATAATCTGAATAATTAATTGTTCAACAGAAACAGAAATTCAAATTTTGATGTGATGTTTCCCAATTTCTGAATCTTGGCGATCAATTAAAATCTTTTTAAACCTTGGAGTCCAAATAAAACACATCTTCAGGATGGATTCAGCCAGTAGACTGCCATATTTAACCTCTGAAATAAACAAATACATATTGATCACGTGCTCCTAAACACTGGGAATATAACAGCATACATTGTTTCTTCCATCAATAGAGATCATTGAGGGCACAGTGAATTTATCAACTGCTCTTAATCATCCTTGGAAGACTGTATTCACACTGATTTGGTGATTCACTCTCATCTGGTTTTCACCTCACCTCATTGGCCACTCTTCTGTCTCCCTTCCTGAATCTTTTTCCTTCTGACCTCTAAATACTGGACTCTCTCCAGACTTAGTCCTTGAACATCTTCTCTACACATCCATGGTGGCACCTGACTCTTCTTAGAACTCACCAAACACGTTCTTGCCTTAAAGCCTTTGTGCTTGCTGGAGCAGCCACCAGAACACTTGGCCTGCCACATGTCTTTATCCAATCCAACGACCATAAACATTTCTAGATGCTAAATATTTCTTAATTTCTATCTCAGCCCTGATTTCTCTCCTTAACTCTAGTCTTATGTATTCAACTGCTTACCTGACATATCTACTTGGATATTTATTTAATGACATCTCAAATTTAATGTGTCCACTAACAACTTTTTAATTCCCCATTCAACCTACTGTTCTCATTGGACCCATTCTCAGTAGATGGTACAATTCCTTGGGTGGATCAGATCAAACACCTTGAAACCTGCCTTCATTCTCCTCTTGTCGTTGCTGCCATATCCAATCCATTATAAGTCCTGTTCTCTCAGTCTTCAAAACAGATCCTAAACTAGAGCACTTTTCATCACTTCTATCATGACCACCCCAGTCCAAACCACCATCGTGTCTCACATGGACTATTATAGTAGCCTACTAGCTCTCATTTCTGTACTCTAGCACTCAGCGATCCTTTTAAAACATAAGTCACAGCATGTCAGTCTCTTGCTCAAAATCTTCCAGTAGTTTCCATTTCATTTATGAAATTCAAAGTCCCTTAAGGACCTATGTGATGTGGCACCTGTTGCATTTCTGGCCCCACAGATCAGCCACCTGCTCCCCAGCCCCCCACACTGTGCTCCAGCCACATTGGCCTGTTTATTCTTCAGGGCCTTGGCACTGGCTGTTCCCTCCACCTGGAATGTTCTTCTTCCAGGGAACTGCAAGCCTCAGTTCTTCATGTTAGTCTGGTCTTTGCTTAAATGCCACGTTTGCTCACAAAAGCACCCCTGGAATTATCTTTACGTGACGCTGTCTATCTACTGTGTCTCTCCACTTTCTGTTTCCTCCACTGAATGTAAGGCTGGGAGGCAGGGACCGCGTTGTTGTATCCCTGTGCCTGGCAGCTACTGGCTGTACACCCATACTTGCTAGTGAAGAAATGTATCCTTATATCCTAAATTTTTAGATTCTAACTGTTCCAATAAAATTCAAATCGCTTTTCTGGCTGACTATTACTCAGTTTTTCCCATTAATGTACAAACAGAAAAACATCAGTGCTACAGGCTTTGTACAAAGAAGGCTCTTTGGTTTACAACTCGAAAGGTGTGGCAGGCTCACTCGTGTATAGCTGTCCTAAAAGCAGGTCACATGGAGACTTGCTCACAGGTGTCAGCTAGAGCTATTAAAATTCATGGATCGGCTTGTTGGGAAACTTCATCGTTCCCAAAAACTTGGCCCTAGACTGATGCTGGTGTTTGATAAAATCTTCACTAGTATGCTGTGAAATAAAGACACTGAAATACGTTTTTCTCATTAAAGTAAATTCATTCAATTTAAAGGCTGTTTGTTTAAACTGACATATATTGTGGGGTACCTAGTGATGTTTCGATGCATATAATATATAGTGATCAGATCAGGGCAATTAGCATATCCATCAAACATTTATCATTTCTTTGTGTTGGGACATTCAATATTCCAGCCATTTGAAACTATAATTTATATATTATTGTTAAGTACAGTCATCCTATGGTGATATAGAACACTAGAACTTATTCCCCCGATCTAGCTGTAATTTTCTACAAAACGTTGTTTTTTATTCCAAGATTGTTTTCTTCTTATTCTTCTGATTATTATGTTTATTTCTTTCTATTTTTTCTTTTCTTTTCTTTTCTTTTTTTTTTTTTTTTTTTTTGAGACAGAATTTCACTCTTGTTGCCCAGGCTGGAGTGCAGTGGCATGATCTCGGCTCACTGCAACCTCCGCCTCCTGGGTTCAAGTGATTCTCCTGCGTTCAAGCGATTCTCCTGCCTCAGCCTCCTGAGTAGCTGGGATTACAGGTGCCTGCCACCAGGCCCGGCTAATTTTCTGTTTTTTTTTTGTTTTGTTTTGTTTTTTTTTTTTTTAGTAGAGATGGGGTTTCACGATGTTGGCCAGGTTGGTCTCGAACTCCTGACCTCAAACAATCCACCTGCTTCGGCCTCCCAAAGTGCTGGGATTACAGCCATGAGCCACCATGCCCGGCCTATGTTTATTTCTTTTATAAAATGATTGTCTTAGTAGGTGAGTCTTGTTCTTTTTCCATAATGCCTTTACTTGGCAAAAAGAAAAAATAAACGGGCAACTCTGTCAGTTTCTCTCTCTTTTTTATTATATATTACTGCTTCATAAAATTCAAAGGCAGGGATCTATCTGTCCATACTACTTGGACTGAAATCCACACCAGCAAACTCACTCATTTGAGTCATACACACTGGAAGAGTTTTGTCATAAGAAAGTCACTGTGAAATCCACATGTTACCTGAGAGGACCCAAGAAATTCCTTAAGCCATTTTCTGTTAGCAAATGAGGACAGCTTGATCCATCAAATAAGCTAATATCCATTTGAGGGTGGGGAAGGAAAGAGCCCAACCAGAAACCTCAAAACCTAGAATGGCTTTGTTTCAGTGCACATAATCAAGTCCCCAAGAAACTGAGAGAAGCCAGCGGAAAATGCCAAGGTCTAAACAAAGGCCAGCGGGCATGCCCCTGGGACTGGGGAGACCAGGTTTGTTCTGCAGGAGTTAGATCAATGATGAACTTCACCCATTTCACAATTTTTCCATTAACTGACCCTGCTAATACTAAATAGCACATTCTTTCCACTTGGTTTGATTCAATTTCCTCTGGCTCAAAGATTATAGTCCAGTGTATATTAGTCTTTCTCAGCACCATCATGACCAAGAAGAATAAAACTGATACTCCTAGGACAAATCCTCCCCTGAGCACTGACCTTTGGGATTCAGGGAATGAGTAGATATTGACATATTTATTTGTGATCAAACTTACCTAAGCCATCCTGCCTGACCAAACAGCATTTTGGGGCTAAGACTGATGAGACCATTTTCTTATGCCTGAGGTTGTACCCACACAATATTAAGCTCTGTAGAACATGATATATTGCCAGGGGAAGGAGAAAAAGAAAATGACTTAGAGGCCTTAACCTAGTTAAAGCAAAACAGAATGGCTAGATTCAACTTCAGGGATGATTATATTTCATTTAGATTATTATCATCTCAATGGAGCATTTCTTATTCTTAAAAAATACATAATGCGTCTAATTTTTTACTGAATACTGATGTGGGTGCTTAGGTACATTAGTAATCAATCTTAATATAAAAACTTATGTGTTGAAAAGTAGAATAGAATATATAGATGCTCTTAAAAAATGACCATCTGGTCTACATCTCAAATCTCATTTGGAGGAACATTTCAAGTGCTCCCAGCTCTTAGTAAAATCATTAATAATGACACTAAAATAATCATTTGCATACCTGCCATGAAACTAGGCATTGACCCAGATGCTTGGGATCTAAAATTAATCAGTAGCAGCCCTCATTGGAGGCATTTAAATCATATGGCCTTTCCCCCATTCCTGCTAACTTTCGGTTGTTAACAGAAGTTGGGATAGCTGGAAAATACCAGGAAAACAAAATTCTTAATGAAGAATTCTAGTAGGTCCAGAATCTTCTGAGTGGTATGTAAAGTCAAGGAGAAAGACATTTCACTTTCTAGGGAACTTTAAATCTCTTTATTCATTTATTTATTTTACAAATAATCATTGAGCCACTATTTAGTGCCAAGCACTATGTTTGGTGACCAAAGGAGAGGCGAGGACCTTGCTTTCGTGGACCTTGCAGCCCAATGGGGTAATCAACAGTATTCCAACACAGTGGTAAAGTAAATTAAAATGGAGACCAGGCCTGAAGAAACTATAAGCAGACATAGCCAGCAAGACCTCAGATGTGACCTGAACCTAGCTTGATTTGCAAACATAAGCAAAACTTAACTTGAGCAATTTCTTGTAAATGCCTATATTAAAGAAGAATACAACTTAAACTCCAACTAATCAGAAGTAACAAACAAATGTGTAATTATGTAACTAGGGAATTTCCAACAGGATAGATGAAATAAGGTAACTGTATAACTGCAATCAGTCAAATATTTTCTCTGCATTACTTCCATGTTTCTCCTATAAAAGTCTCCCCATTGCAATCCCTCATGGAGTTCCCAAACCAGTTCTGGTTTGGAGCCACCCAATTCTTGAATCACTATTTGCTCAAATAAGCCCATTAAATTTTTATTGTACCTCGGTTTACTCTTTAGCAAAAGTAAACAAACTAATAAAATAATCACAATTTCTGAAAAGTGTGATTTATTTATGAAATTTGGAATGCCCCAGTATGACAGGCAGTGGGCACACCGCTGGAAATACAGCATGTTAGAAAGGAGACAAATTTCTTGACCTCGTGGGATTTTCATTCTAGTGGGAAGTGACAAAAAAAAATCAGCAGAAACAGCCCTCCTTGGCCGGGCGCGGTGGCTCACGCCTGTAATCCCAGCACTTTGGGAGGTCGAGGCGGGTGGATCATGAGGTCAGGAGATCAAGACCATCCTGGCTAACAAGGTGAAACCCCGTCTCTACTAAAAATACAAAAAATTAGCCGGGCGCGGTGGCGGGCGCCTGTAGTCCCAGCTACTCGGGAGGCTGAGGCAGGAGAACGGCGTGAACCCGGGAAGCGGAGCTTGCAGTGAGCCGAGATTGCGCCACTGCAGTCCGCAGTCTGGCCTGGGCGACAGAGCGAGACTCCGTCTCAAAAAAAAAAAAAAAAAAAGAAAGAAACAGCCCTCCTTTCCCACCCAACAATTATTTATTTACCTACTATGAGAATTACTAGAAAGGAAATGGAGCAAGGTACTCTGATAGAAAACATTGTGATGGGGGAAGACTTTTGCAGAAAGGGTGGCTTGTGATGTGTTCTCCAAGGAGTTGCTTTCTGAGCTGAGGCCTGAAGGAGAAGAGAGGAAGGCTTCCCAGATGCAGGGGAAAAAGCTCTAAGCCTGGCTGGAGATGAATGCGTTTTGCCAATTCCTGGAAACAAGAGGCCTGACATCATGAGTAAGACAGAAACTGTGTAGGTGTTTGAATGTTATGCTCAGCACTAAGATTTGAGTACAGGGATGACAGGCTCTGATCTGTCTTATGGGAAGGCCAGTCAGCCTGGAGGAGGGATGGTAGGAGGAGGAAGGGCCAGGTGGTTGGTTAAAAAAAGCCTCTGCATCACTCACATTACTAGCAATGCCACCCGGCTGGGGTGGAGGGGGCAGAGGTAGGTAGATGTGTGGATTTACAATATGTTTTGAGGTAGAATTATTATTATTATTATTATTTTGAGACAGAGTCTCACTCTGTTGCCCAGGCTGGAGTGCAGTGGTGCAGTCTTGGCTCACTGTACCCTCTGCCTCCCGGGTTCAAGCGATTCTCCTGCCTCAGCCTCCCGAGTAGTTGGGACTACAGGCATGTGCCACCACACTCAGCTAATTTTTTGTATTTTTAGTAGAGACCGGGTTTCACCGTGTTAGCCAGGATGGTCTCAATCCCCTGACCTCGTGATCCGCCCACCTCAGGTAGAATTATTAATATTAGAAAAGCTGATGTGTCACGACAGGTTATTAAAAAGATCAAGTAATACACATCCCATCTCCATTTGCTCTTTACCTTTGTGGCATCAAGAGTGATTGCTTGGGTCGGGCGCGGTGGCTCACGCCTATAATCCCAGCAATTTGGGAAGCCGAGGTGGGCGGATCACTTGAGGTCAGGAGTTCGAGGCCAGCCCAGCCAACATGGTGAAAACCCTTCTCTGCTAAAAATACAAAAATTAGCTGGGCATGGTGGCATGCACCTGTAATCCCAGCTACTCAGGAGGCTGAGGCAGGAGAATCGCTTGAACCTGGGAGGCGGAGGTTGCAGTGAGCTGAGATCATGCCATTGCACTCCAGCCTGGGCAACAGAGCGAGACTCCGTCTCCGTCTCAAAAAAAAAAAAAAAAAGTGGGCTGGGTGCGGTGGCTCACGCCTGTAATCCCAGCACTTCGGGAGGCCGAGGTGGGCGGATAAGGAGGTCAGGAAATCGAGACCATCCTGGACACGGTGAAACCCCATCTCTACTAAAAAATACAAAAAAACTAGCCGGGTGTGATGGCGGGCGCCTGTAGTCCCAGCTACTCGTGAGGCTGAGGCAGGAGAACGGCGTGAACCCGGGACGCGGAGCTTGAAGTGAGCCGAGATCGCGCCACTGCACTCCAGCCTGGGCAACAGAGCCAGACTCCATCTCAAAAAAAAAAAAAAAAAAAAAAGTGATTGCTCGAAGAGGGAACGACCCTTTCCTCTTACGAAGGCATCTCTCCTGGCCCCATTTGCACTGCTGGTAATTTTACCCTTCATGTTCTCTAAGGCCATTCTTGCCATAGTCACTCAGGAGCTGGGTGTAAACCCAAAGCTTGGGGAGAACTCGGTTTATCATCTGAGCAGACTTCCCTTGGACTGCTTCTGTAGAAAATCCTACTAAACATATCCTGTGTAATTGAAGCTCCCGTCACTAATAGATTTATCTTGGTTCGTCTTGAGATTGGCTCCAGTCTCCTTAACTTTTTCTTTGCCATTTTAAACAGAAAGTTCTATTTGATCATTTGTTTTTTAGAATTATTTTTTATTTCCAATTTCAATTCTAAATAAAAATCTAGCTCATTTTTACATGAAGTTTAAGCCCACTTCTTTAATTAAATTGTAGAAAGTGTTGTCGATATCCAAATTCCTCTCTCGGTGAGCCCCAGGTCCTTCCAAAACTTCTAAAATCTTCACTTGAAGTAACTGTACTTCTTGATACATAGTACAATTTCTTCTTTATTTTCCTGTAGGATTTCTTCCATTAAGTTCATCTTGATTTACATTTTTCTCAGGGAATTATTTATTTCACCAAGATTTTCAATTTTATCACTTAAAATTATTTTACTCTATCAGTCTTCTCCCTAAATATGACTACATAGATAATTTATAAATTATTTGTTTTCCTTTTATTTTTTAAATTAAATTTGCCAGAGGTGTGTCTGTTTTATTTGAAGAACCTGTTCTTGATCTTAGCTACCAGTTCTACAAAGGACAAATTATTTTATCTCATCATCATTATTATTATTTTTACTTCTGTGTTTATTATTTCCTTTCTCCAGCTTTCTTTTTAATTGTTTTGTCTTTTTGCCCATAAATTCTGAGTAGAATATTTAGTTCTGTTCTCATAATTCTTTTTTCGTTGAAGTATTTAGGACTGTAAATCTGCTACAAAAAATAGTTTTGGCTGTATCTTATAGATTTTTGTTAAATAATATTCTCACTTTTGTTATTTTCTAGTTTGCTTGACTGCCTCAGTCATTATTTATGCAACCACTTCTAAAATATCCAAGTAATTTGGTTTTTCTTTTTCCTTTGAAATTCTAGTAATAGTTTGTGGTAGTATTTTATTATTAAAATAAAAAGGTACAGTTTTTACCTTAGAAATGCACTAAAGTATTTTTTTGGTGCAGATGATGATCAATGTTTGTACCTGGTACATGACACTTGAGAAGATGCATTTCCTGTTCTTAAGGTACAAGGTTATATCAGCGTGCAGATATTTATCCAAACATTAAATAATTCAAGTGCTTTGTGCCTGTAATTATTTATTTTTGTCCCCTTGACCTGCCAGAGAATTATGGTGATGCAAGAAATTTTAATACTCCTCACATGTTTCCTTGTATTTCTAACAATTTTTGCATTTCATAGAATGATACTGTGTTGTTCTGAGCTTAGTATTTCCTGAGTCTCGTACCTTTTTTATGGCTCTTGTGTATCAATATGCAATTAACCTTTTTTTCAATATATTCTTTATTTTTGTTTTTGTTTAAAATTTTTTCTTTCCATAGGTTTTTGGGGAACAGGTGGTATTTGGTTACATGAGTAAGTTCTTTACTGGTGATTTGTGAGATTTTGGTGCACCCATCACCCGAGCAGTATACACGGAACCCACTTTGTAGTGTTGTATCCCTTACCCCTTCCCATCCTTTCCCCCGAGTCCCCAATTTTCTTCAATTTATTCTTTAACATGAATGTACCACTCCTGCTTTTTTTTTCTTCATGCTTTCCTGATATATCTTGTTTCATTCTTTTATTTTCAACTTTATTATATCTTTTTCATCTCGTGTAAGCTTCATTTCATTGAATTTCATTTTTAATTTGAATTAATCTTGAAATCTTATATTTCTCTGATATTTATATTATTTCTAGCTTACGCTTCTGTATCTACCTTCCTTTATTTTCTTTTTTCTCCTACTGTTTCCAAAACCCCTCACCAATTAATGAATGACTCTGTTCAATATTGTGCCATACTCCCTGCAAGACACATGGAAATGTAACACTCAGTTCTTGTTCTTAGGGATTTTATAAACTAACTAGGAGACAGATAGCCATGCAGAATTTACAATTAAATACTAAACCATGTGTACCGGTTATTAGCAGAAGAGACTTTTTAAGAATATGGAAGTGTTAGCTGCAAGAACAACCAAAAAATGTCATAGCAGAGAGCATTACGGGCTAGGTAGAATTTAGCTAACTGGGAAGACAGACCTTCATGTTATTTACCCTATATCAGTGGCTGCCAAATGATATTCCTTCGGGGACTTATGGAGGCATCTGGTCAGTAGGTCTGGGTATGGATCCCAGTGTTCTGTATCTTTAGAAGCTCTCCAATGCTGTAGCTGCATGGCCAAATTTAGAAAACATTACTTGAAATAGTTATATCACCTACTCTGAAACAGTTATTACACTGTATAAATCTAGTAACTATCCCTGAAGGTCTTACTTAAAGTTTCCATTTGTCATAAAATGTTCAAATAAGGCACAAAGACTATGTTAACTCATAGATTACATTTCCCAAGTCAGGATAAAAAAAGATCAAGCACCTGCCCTACACCCTTTGGCTTTTTATTCTTGTGACAATTCTAATTGCAGTGTCCAACTATGCAGAAGCCTATAAGTCATTAACTATAACTATAAACAAAACAACAACTGCCCAGTTATTAACCACCCAGTTATTGCCAGTTTGAAATGTTATGGTATCATTGTGAGGGGAAAGTAAGCAGTATGTGAAAAAATGGAAATGAATGAACTGGATGTGTTCACCCTGGAGAAAGAAAGATTCGGAGAAGACATGATAGCCCTCTACAAATGTTCAGAGTTAGCACAATGAAGAGGAAGTAACTTGCTCTGTGTAAAGAACAGGGCCAATGAATGAGATCTGTGGGAAGACACATCTTTGTTCAATATGAGGAAGAAGATACAAACATACCTTGAGGGATAAAAGTTTCCATCTCAAGAGCTGCTCAAATAGGTGCACACCTGGGATTAGTCTTCAGACTGTCTTTTAAAGTTTTTTTTTTTCTATACCAAAGATACTAACAGACAGTCCCAAGCAGAACTAATTGCTAAAGTGGCCAATCCCAGCTTAGCAATAGAAGTTTTCCCCTGTGCCAGCGTTGAAATATTTGGTTGCCTAGCAACCATTATGTATCTATGATGTGTTGGAAAATCATTTGTTTGTGCCTGGGTTGATGTAGTTCTTAACACCATACTTGGTTCATTTCATTCATGACAAGTATCCCCATTATAGTTTGTTACATATCAAAAGGGTGTTGAGCTGCAACGTGCACCGTAGTAATCTTTATCAAACCCTACCCAGCTGGCAAGCTTAGCCATAATGATCACAATAGAAATAGATGTTTGATCCATGCAGGAGATGACAGGATAGGACGATGAGAGCACAGTAACAGTTTGGGGACTCATAAAACTGTTAACATACATTTAAATCTAGTAGAGTTCTTGGAGTGATGGTACAAGTTTAATCATGAACTCTTCAACATTGAAATCCTGTGAATTTTGAATAAGTGACTAATACCAGCATTTAAGGTATAGAACAAAGTTTAAATACATAACATACTTAGGTCATAACTTTGCATTTACAGTCTCCTAGGAAACCAACAAAATATATCTGGATAGTTTAAAAGTATGATCTCATCTATAAAGAGCTGCTTTATATCATAAGAACCAAAGAACTGTTATTTGTCAAACTTCCACATTAAATATCTGCCAAGATATCTTATTAGGTTTTCTTAGTAATAATGACTCAGTACATAAAATAAACCATGGAACTCTGTCAGATTCTATCCACGCTAAATAATTGAGACACTCATTTCCTCTCCTTTGTTTGATTTCTCCAACCCAAATCATAATGTTACAAAGTGATTGATTTTGATTCATTTCTCTTTCTCTCTGAAAGATTTAGAACTGCTTTAGGTAACTTTTTATTAGCCAGTCCAAGACATTTGTACAACAATATAATTAATAGCATTTTTAATGAAAATGATGGCATATTAATTGGTAATTTTTGGATGAGTGTTCTTCCTAATTACTTATTAACCTTTAAATCAGATATACACAAGGGAACAGAACAAGATTCATGTCTTTGAGTATCTGAAAGCTTTATCAAGGTGCTTTTTTTATAAAAAGAATCCAGAGAAACTGTTTTTCCCCCCAGAGGGAACTTAAAATTATATCAGGAGCTAAGTGTGGTATGATGCTCAGCACATTAATATGCTACAGAATTTTTCAGTGTAGCTATTCATGGCCCTTCAGTGAATCATCATTAATAGAAGTACGGTTTAATAGATAGTAAAGAGGATGCTGTCGATTTTTCTTTACCATTTAAATTTGAGCTAGTTGCAAAAAGGTGCTTAAAAGAGAAAAATACTATTACCAGTTGAGATAGTCTATTTGAAGATTTTGACATACATACTAGAAAATGAGGGAGGCTAGACCAACAGAAGATTTCTAGATCTTTGGCCCCAAACATTAAGTCTGACTTCATGGAGCTGAAGAAAGTTCTATAGACAAGGTGTGATCAAGCTGACTCATTGCCATTTAAATAATAGTCCTATCTAAATGGTTGAACATCAACTAGATGAAGAGACAGATGTGGATTTTAGAGGACAAAAGTCCAATTTCATTTTCTCAGATAGGAAAGGGCATCCCAGTCAAGGCTCTTGTCTGTGGCCCTGTCCTGATCTGAGTTTCTGTCTGGCCTTTTTGTCCATGTGGTACCATTGAAAGAGAGTTACTATTTGAAGGTCAAAGTTGCTTTTCCACTCCTTCTGCACATTCATTTTCTACTTATGCCTTACCTCAATGCCTTTGTTCTGTTAACTTTTCTGCTTTCTTCCTCCATCTCTGCCTTCATTCATTTATGTCATGGGCATTTATTGAGGGCCTAACATACATGAGGTTCTGTCTTTGACATAGAGGGTTCAGCAGTGAAGACAACACTACTGCCTTCAAATTGCTGATAGTCAGGAGAGGCATCAAGATGAGTATCAGCCAACTGCCGTACAGTATGATAAGTACCAGGAAGGGTCTCCATGTGTCCTGGAGTATGGTAAGATCTATGGCATGAGCTCTGGAAACACCTTGTGGGCTTAACCCCAGTCCAGGGGTTGCGGAGGTCAGAAAAAACATCTCATCAGACTTGACTGGGAGAATTGGGGTGGGAATGGGTAAGAGTGGGTACCATGGCCATCTCTGACTCTGCTTTCTCTAACTCCATGAAGCTGCCTATTCTCTCAGCCATCCCCTCCCTGTCCCTTCATGTCTCCTGCTTCCATGTTTCCCTGCTAGATCATTATCTGCCAAAAAAGTATCCCCAGCCAAGACGACCCATCAGACCACTCTGCAACAATAGAGACTAAGATGCTGCTTAAAGGCCTTGCTGCATGTTGAGGAAGAGTTGATGAAGGAGTCTGGATATCCATTCTTTTTCTATGGTTTGCCTCCCAGTTTCAAGAGGTCTGAATGCAGTTGCAGACGAAGTTTTAACTGTGGCTCTGCCTGTCATTCTAAACAAGCAAAGGCTGCCAGAAATAAGACGAAAAGACAAAATGCTAAACTATAGCTAGAGCAGCAATGAATAAATAAATAGGTCAATAAACACATAAGCAAGCACATATAGAAAATAAACAAAATATTTCTCGAAAGGAGAGGGAAAACAGACACATAGAAGAAAATGATAATAATAGCTGCCATTTACTGAGTGTATACTACACATTGTGAACTTTCTCGGACCTCTTCAGTATATTAGATATAGTTAATGGGTGCAGCACACCAGCATGGCACATGTATACGTATGTAACTAACCTGCACATTGTGCACATGTACCCTAAAACTTGAAGTATAATAAAATAATAATATAAATAAATAAAAATAAATAAATAAAAAAATTCTTAAAACAGTCCTGGAAGGCAATTTGTTAAAAACAAAATAAAACTTCTGGAGCCATCTTTGGCACAAAGTAGGAAGGCAGTAACTATTTCTTGAATACATGAATAAATCTGTCTATTTGCTTGGTGTCTGTCTTCCTTCTCTCCCTGGAATATAAGCTCCCTCATAGCAGGAACCTTGTTTTGCCTTCTGCTGTATCCCAAGCACCTAGAATGCAGGCTGGAACATGGGAGGCACTGAATGAGTATGTCTTCTCTAAAAGATAGAAAATCTGAGACTTAACAAGATTCAGTATCTTTTGCAAAATCACACAATAGCTGGGAAGATCTGGGACTGGACCCAAGTTAACCCATGCTGTTTTTCCCTTTACATAATGTCTGTCTCACCTTTTCTTTCTCCTCCCACAATCATTCTCTAGTTATCTCAGACCTGTTTATATTCCAGATATTCTTTTCTGTCAATAAATCACCAATAAGTTTCTGTTTAAGGACTTAGCACAAAAGCATGCATTGGTGAATGAATATTTCACACGTACCTATTAAAGTAGGGAATGATGGGGAAGTTTTATTCTTCTGTTTGTGCCGGAAAAGTACTAGAGGAATACACGGCATTAAGGATTGCTTGTCCCTTGCAGCTGCAGTGGGCCTTCTGCTATGAAGACAGTGCAGTCAAACTCACTGATGCATTACAGCTCATTCTCAGGATCACCTGAGGTCACATGGTCACCTGATAAGTGTAGGCAAGCTGTAATCTCATAGTATAATGATCATAGTGAAGAGAATAGCTTGTAGTGTACTTGGCTGGTTTGGGAAGAAGTCAGAAAGAAAGCAATGGGATGTTAGGAATTGCAGGATTAGGACTGAAAATTATTGTGCTGGTCTGAAGAATCCACATGACTCAGAATTTCACAAAGCATGGGCATTGATGGTTTTTGTTAGTACTAGATTCCAGCTACTTTCACTTTTCTAGTTTTTTTTAACATTCTTTCTGTGTTAATTTCTTCTCTGTTTTTCCTATTAGCTGAATGAAATTTAAAGTTTTCTAACATTGACAGTGTTTTAGGGAACTATGCACTATCATAGTGCATGATAGTGTGTAAAGGCAACACAAGGTTCCTGCCATCAGGGAGCTTATATTCCAGGGAGAGAGAGAGGAGACAGACACCAAGCAAATAAATAAATTTATGGAATCGATTGATGTAGGCTTTTTGGAGCACAATTTGTAAATATATATTAAATTCTGAAAGATTCACAATGGTTCAACTCAACCATTCCATTTCTAGATATTTATTCTAGAGAAATACTTGTGCATTTGAACAGAGGCATGTACATGGATGTTCATGTCAGTATCATTAACACTTGGTTACATGAACTATGATTCATTGATACTGTGAAATACTGTATATTTAGAAATAAGGTAGAATTACTATATCTATCTATCTATCTATCTATCTATCTATCTATCTATCATCTATATCCAAGATTACAAACACATGACTTGAAAAAATCTTCAAAACGTATTACTTAGTAGGAACAAAAAAGCTTGCTGTACTATTTTTATGCCATTATCTTTTTTACTTAAAAAACATTCTAAGAGATATATTCCATAGGTACATATGTAATGTGTTAATCAGGTTGTAGCAGCTAAGCTGTAATAAGAGACCCAACAATCATATGGCTTTTAACCATATGGCCTAAACCAGTGAGCAAAAAGCTTACTCTTGTCTCATCACAGGATGTTGGGGGTGTTCTTCCATCATTCAAGGCCCATATTCCTTCCATATTGTGGTAGTTCTGCCATTTTTCAGGCTCTAGGGCCTTAGAATTGCATAGTCAAGGCTGGGTCACTGATACAGCCAGGTCCCAACCAGCCGTAAAGGAAAGGAGAAAATGCGGGAGAGGACTATTCACTACCTTAAGGGTCCCACCTTAGGGACTGTACACATCACTTCCACTCACAACCTACTGGTGAAAACTTTGTCCAACAGCCATCTCTTACAGCAAGGAGGGTTGGAAATGCAGGCCCTGGCAAGATGACCATGTACCCAACCATAGCTCAATGACAGTGAAAGTAACAGAGAATAAGTTTTGGTGGACAGCTAACTATCTTCTTCACCATATAGGGCAGCAGCATCCCCAACGTTTTTGGCATCAGAGACCGATTTCATAGAAGGTCGGTGGGGGATAGTTTGGGGATGAAATTGTTCCACCTCAGATCATCAGGCATTAGAGTCTCATAAGGATTATGTAACCTAGACTCCCCACATGCGCAGTTCACAATAGGGTTCCCACTCCTGTGAGAATCTAATGGCTCTGCTGATCTGACAGGAGGCGGAGCTCAGGCGGTAATGCTTGTCAACCTTCTGTCTAACTCAGAGTCCGTAATACCTCCATGAAGCCCACTTAACCTCCGAACTGACCTCTCTTGCAACATTGCCTTTCTCTTCATCTTCTTTTTCACCTTCAACATCTTTACTCCACTATACTCTCTTCCATGCTAACCACCATTGATCTGCTTCAAAAATTTGGGTGCTCAATCCCTACTGGATTATAAATTTGTAAAGAAGTCAACCAAATTATAATCTGGTAGGAATTATACCTGTAACTGGCCTTTTACCCTTGCACTCGGATTTTTTTCACTCACTCCTTTACTCACACAAATATATTGGGCATCTATAACTATGATAGATAGATACAGTAGGAAGTTGGAGTGATGAGACGGAATTGTCATTGACACCAGCTGTCCCCTTTGGAAACATCTGTTGAATTAGCCAAACAAGACATCTGTGTCAGAACAGATGAATAACAAGGGCAGTTGATGTGCCTGAGTTAGTGGTAAAGCTATTAAGCTAAGTAGGACTTCAGAATGGGAGATGATAACTGGAGATTCCTTAATGAGATGAGACTGGAATTGTACCTCCAGGCATATGTGATATTTGTCTAGACATAAAGACATTAACATGTACGGTGGGAATGGAGTGAACACTTATTGACTGCCTGCTACAGGCTGTGCACTGTGCCAGGCATTTTGCCTGCGTTACTCCATTTATCCCTACAACACATTATTAAAATAGGTACCCTGATATTACAGAGAGAGAAAATGAAGCAGAGAGCTTATATTAATGCCTCAGGATCCCCAGACTGGGAAGCAGAAGAGGTGGGATGTATGTTCAGAACTATTTTCTAGATAGATCTAGATCTGCCTGGTTTCTAATGACCTCACCGTGTCTTGGAGCATTTCAGGCAGGAGGAGAAGCAGGAGCAATGTGATGGAAGGGAGCTAAGTGTGGTCCATCAAGGGACAAGGAGGAAGGGAGGACAGCGGGTTGGTGGCAGGATGTCATTCCATATGCTTTTAGGTTGAGGTCACCCTGGTGTCTGAGGTGCTGTGGTCCAAGAGAATTGAGTTACTTGCAGGAAGTGCTGTATCATGCTTCACTTGGCATTGAGTTCTCCGCCAGCCCCGGGGGAAAGAAACCCCACAAGTCAGTCCAGCTCCACTGGCCCAATTTAACAAACCAGTTTAGATGCGGGGTTTAGTTAACAGAAAACACCACCAGCCTATATTAGTTCGTCAACAGCAAATGCTGACCAAGAGTCCTACAACCTTCCTGTTTCGTGAGCATCAGTTGCTCTGGGTGACTTATGGTCACTAGGACATAGGGCAGACATGTCTTCCTGGTCCTTGACCTACATAGTCTCAGAGCAGTAAGCTCTACTCCTCTCAGATTTCTTCCGGTTGGATACTTGCTCAGCTCTTCATGAGGTGACCATATTCCAGTGTTTTCTCAGAGATCATGTTCTTTAAAAGTCCTTGAGATTTCTGCAGCAATTCCTCAGCACATACTTGGAGGTGTGTTTCTCCCTGGTCCTGCAACTATCTCCCCTTGCTTCTGCCCCGTGAAGGCCCTCTCCTCTGGAAAGCTGAAACAAAACTATCTTCCTAAGCTAGTTCCCCTTCTTTTACTCTCTGACCCAAGCCATAAACAATTCTCAAATGCTTTCTAAAGACCTTTTCTCTAGAAGTGGCTCATTATTTTGATCAGTCAGATGAGAGGAAGAGAATCCCTTTCAATTAGAAAGGCATAGTGGGTAATGCTTTTTACAGAGCGTTACCTCTGTATTATGGGGGACCTGAATGTTGAAAGTAGTTTGTCCTTTTTTCTAAAGGTATTTTAGCTGTGGGGTGTGGTTGGGAGGGGAAAGCCTTGGAGCTCTCTGAGTAGGAAAATGATAGGAGAGAATGGACGTAATCTGGTAATCTAGAGTGGTAATATGTGCCCAGCACAATGCCAATTTCTTTAAAAGTGTTCTTTCCCTTAATCCTCACAACTAACCCTATGATATTGGGCCCATTTTGTGGATGTGACAGATGAACCTTAGAGAATTTTATTTTTCCTATGACTGGTATGTGGCAGAGTTGAGTTTGATCCTGATAATTTCAATCCAAACACAATGGGTGTAAATACGTTACTAGTGAGGACAGAGAAACTTCTAGGAGGCTGTAGTGGAGTCTGTACTTCAGCTGGGGCCCAGACTCTGTTGGCTCTGTGAATAGAATAGAAAGGAAGGGTGAGGCTGTTGACAGGAAAGGCTGGCAGGCAGAGAGTGAAAAGGACAGTGAAGAAGGGAGGGAGGGGCACTGACTGAGTGCCCTGCAGCCAAGCGTGTTCCAGCGGCTGTGCCACCAATCCCTACAATCATGTCATGAAAAAGTTCTTATTTTCTCCATTTTGTGGTTGAGGAGATAGGTTCAGAGATGTGAAATGACTCTACAGTGCCCAAGTGGCAGAGCAGGGATTCGAACTGGGCCCTATGTGATTTCCAATTCGGAGCATTTTGTACCTCTCTGCACTCTTCATATGTGGCTTCAAGCTTCAACCTTGGGCATGAGGAGGAATCACGAAACCTTTCCCAGAAACAGGGAAATCGTGTCCCAGTGAAGGACATGTGGGCAGGCTTTGGGATCATGAGTTCCTCGGGGAGGTGGCAAAAGTCTTTTGGGGTAGAAATTTCTTAAGTATCTGGGGACAGGAGCTGGCAATGCAGATTTGGATGGCAGAAGTCACAAGGCAAATACCAGCCCCCAAGGAAATTCAGGTGGAGTCAGGAGGGTCCTCAGGGCTGGGCAATGGGTGGGGGTGCCCATAAGCAGAAGCGAGGATTAACCACAGGACCAGCAAAATCATGGAGAAGGGACCATTAGCACCATAGAAGTAAATAAGAAGGTGCCAGGGTCAGAGACAATCAAAATGGAGAAGGCATAGAGGTCGGAATCCAGGCCCACCCCAGCCAGCTAGCTGCCGGCTCTCTCAACCATGCAGGCTGCACCAGTGATATTTTGGATCGTTTCAAATTTATTAAGAATATATTACATTCCATTAAATGCTGCAGCCATGAAGGACACTGAAGTGTTTCCTCTCTCAGGCCTTCCTGCTCCGGTGGCAGAATGCCCCATTTTCTCAGGGGCTCCGTCTGACGGGTTATTGTTTTCCAATAAAGTATTTGCTGAATATATGCCTCACATAAACAAATAGAAAAATAATAATAATGTAGACTATCTCTGAACCTTAGAAGAAAGTGTAGGCTTTCATTTAATGAGCTTTGGAGACAACATAGCAATTTTTGATGTCCTGTCAAGTTTGTTAAATTGAAATTCTACCAGGATTTTACATTGAGCCAGAACCAGCATGTCCCAGGGTATAAATTAGGCATAATTGGATATACACCGACTCTTTTGGTCACTGGATATAATTTAAGGCTATAACTGAATAAGTGACACTGTTGTGGCCTGACAAGCCCTCTCCCAAAACTTCTAGCCCACTTTCAGGAAGTAACTGGGGAGGCAGAGTCCATCGTATGACTTGATACCAGTGTTTTCCAAACCTAATCCCACACCTGAAGAAAGGCTCCAACCCATGGCTATTGGTTTATATTTTCAATAGAGGGGACAGGAATTTGCATTTTAAAATCTCTGATTAATTCAGTTGGAAAGCTGTATTAGAAAACACTGTTTTATGTTATTCAAGGAGAAAAGTCTTTGTCACATATTGTATTTACCTAAAGTTTGTAGGGATTGACTTGGTGAGGCTTAGCAGGGAAAGTGTTTATTTGATTATTGCCTACACTGACTATTCATATGAGTTTAATTTTATATCAAAAATATTTACTTACCTTCTTACATATGGGGTCAAATGTAAAAACTCATTTATTTGCTTTTTTATTTTTAATTTAATGATAATTGCTATTATCCTTTGGCATGCTATCCAGAATATCTCATATACTCTAACTCTGAACAAGAATGCAATGATCTGACAAGTGAAGGATTTCATAGTGGATCATAGTATAAGATCTTTAAAGACTTGATTTTGGATCCCAGATCTGTCATTTATAAGCCAGATGATCTTATGCAAGTCATTTGCAAAGTGGCAATAATAATAGTAATATCTAGTCTGCTTAGCTCATAGAATTGTTATAAAAATCAAGTGATGTGATGAAATGACAGAGCTTTGCAAACTATTAAATGCATTATTACATATATATTATTACATATATAAATGCATTGTTACAAATACATTATTACATAAACAAAATGCATTATTGCATAGAATTAAAATAATAAGTTCTATAGTGTTACTTCCACAACAGTCCCTGAGGGGAGAAAGTTGGAGGGATACCAGCTCTGCCTAATTTAGAGAAGCTCTGTTTAACCTTTATACCTTAAGATCTGATTTTTATATTGACCTTCTACATGAGGCTTCATTGGAAATCTGCTGCTTAAAAAAAATAAAGGTTGAAAATCAGTCTTCTGTGTTCTGTTGGGCTTTCTGCCCATATTCTTCCTTCTTTTAATTACCAGCCCACCCTGGATCAAGTAAGTGCTAATTACCACCTTCACAGATATTGTAAAAAGGTAAAATTCCAGTTAGCATCTTGACTTGACTTCTTATCAGGAGTTCTGGTTAAATTCTTAGGTTTAGTTGAAAAACAATGGCTAACATATATTTTTAGATGAATTACTCTTATTTTCAAATTTTCTTTCTACTACCCCTATGCATAATTAAGAAATTGCTATAACAGGAGAATTTCTATTTACAATCTACTACTTGGAAATAATAGTGAAATCTAAGAGGTACACATGTATCAGATGATATGAGCAAATCAGAAAACATATCTATCCCCAATACTCAGCCAATATTAGATTGATGTAATTTTAGATTAACTGTTTAAAAGCCTAAATCATGACTTCAAAATCCCAAATCAGCTGGGTATGGTGATTCATGCTGGTAATCACAGCACTTTGGGAGGCTAAGGCAGGCTGATCACTTGAGCCCAGGAGTTTGAGACCAGCCTGGGCAACATGGTGAAACTCCACCTGTACAAAAAATACAAAAAATTAGCTGGATGTGGTGGCACGCACTTGTAGTTCCAGTGACTCGGGAAGCTGAGGTAGGAGGATCCATTACTTGAGCTTGGGAGGTTGAGGCTGCAGTAAGCCGTGCGCACACCACTGCACTCCAGCCTGGGCAACAGAGGGAGACCCCGTCTCAAAACAAACAAACAAACAAACCAAAAATCCCAGGATTTTTATATTTTTTGTCAGAGTCTCATGATGAGTTTCTTCATGAAAAGTTCAAGATATTTGACAGAGAGCTACCCAAGCAATAATTATTTCTAAGAGGAGCGGAACAGGGAGGAAGGGGAAGAGAAGGGATAAAAAAGGGAACAGAACAAATGTGTTAATTCCAACAGATTCCGGTGGGCCTTTCTCTGCCCTGAGCCCGGAGGTGTCCTGGCATTTTTTGTGCCCTCACTGAGCAGCTTCCACTGCTAGTCTGCACATGTTCCCTTTCTCTCTTCACACAGGGGAAAGGTGGAGAAATGAAAACATTTTCTATGACATTAAAAATCACTTCCTCTCCTCTTTCCCCAGTGTCCCTAACCAGAAGAACCTAACTTAATAGGAGATTTCAGATGACAGAATTGTCCAGTCTTCCTCACCACCACCTCTTAACCCTTGCTCACTGCAGGGCAACCTGGTTGTTGCTCTCAATACTCCACCAACTGCCCTGGATGAAACCACCATTAACTGTTTAATTGCCACATTCATTGATCATTTTTGCAGCCCTTCATTTTATTTGACCTCTCAGCAGTATTTGACACGGTTGAGCACTCTCACTTTTTCTCACTTTCTTCAAACCTTCCCATCTTCTTTCCTCTTCTTCAAGGCACATATTTCTAGAGCCTTCCATTACCCTCTGAGAGCAAACTCATGGTGGTCACTCCTTGCCAGGACTGTGACATAAATGACACCTCTTACATTATATTGCAATGATTTGTAGACATGATGGAGAGGCTGGGACTGGACCACCAGTGTGACTGCCTGGGACATAAATGGGAAACTTACCCCTTGGTGGTCCTCATTTCACTTTCTCCATCTAAGCAAGGAACAAAGAAGCAAATACTTCCAGAAAAACTTGAAGGGCTTCCCAGCACCAGAAAGAGATGAGGAGAATAGGTGTCCTACTTATGAGCTCATTTTTCATGTGGAGGAAACCTGCATGGGAAGTAGACAGCCTTTGGACATTGGTCTCCTGGGGCTCAGTAGAGTCTGGTGTTGTTGCCAGGCAACAAGAACAAGGCTCAAGGACTATAAGTTCTTGTCTAGTTGGGAAGAAAATTTGGATGGATTCTCAAAAGGATTTCAGGAATGTGTGGAGGCTCTGCCTTGGTTGGATCACTCAGTGTTCATGAAGTCTCCTGCATGCCCAGCCCTGTAGACTTTTGATTTTTATCAATATAGCATCTTATTCCTTATTGTTCAAGGCATGTTCCTGTTATCTCCCTGGTTAAATTGAAAACTTTTCTGAAGGAGAGAAAGAAAGTCTAAATCTCGTGGGTTCCATCTCCCAGCATCCAACATAAATAAAAACGTCTTCAATAAAACCATGTTGATTGATTGGTTGATGATTGATTATTTGACCTGCCATCCTAGTTGGTTGTCAGAAATCCTCTCCTTATTTTTCTTGGTGGACACAAGTTTAGTGATACTTGTAGAGGCCAACTTTGCCTTTCAACTTTGAACTTCCATTGATTTTTCCACTGTGTGTGCCAAAGCCTTAAATTGGTTCCAGTTGCTTAAAAGAGATGTATATTTTTCTTCTACACATTTTATGGAAAAAAAAAAACCTGGAGCGTATTTTCCCTAGACTCCACCAAAACCAGATAGTTTTTCCAGAAATGTATGAATGAACAACAAAGTGGTTACTTTGGAAGCCGACATACCGTTATATTGGATTTCAGAAAAGTCAAGTAATCCCATATTTCATGTGATTCCAGGTAAAAGAAAAAATATTTAGTCCACAACAGGAAGGGAAAAATAAATTCAAAAGCTCCCTTGTGCAGATTTGTGATATAAACACTGAAAAATTTAATGTAGCAGCAGTATGACAAATTATATTAGTAAATATGAATTGCTTTTTAGACAAAAGGATATTCATGACATTTTTGCTGTTTAAAGATAAAATGATCTCTTTCTTCTTCATTGAATCATAAAATCTTGGACCTGGAAAAGACTTTAGAGAATTAAATTATTTTCCACCCAAGTGCCAAGATAGTGACTCCTCGAGGGCACGGATCGTATTTTCTGCTCCCTCTTCAAAATGTCCACAGTGCTGAGTCAAACGCTGTGCACTCAGTTCCCTTAAATAACAGTCAATGATGAGAATGCTGTTCACAGATACAGGGGATAAAAACAAAAATCTTATCCTCACTTTCTGGAATTGTGTTTCTCTTTGATAACAACCCATTTTGAGCCATAGAGCTATTATAATAAAAGGGATTACATCTTTGGGATTTTCCTTGTATCACTCATTAAAATGTCATGCAAAGAACCACACTGGTCCTTTTGTTGCTGGACGAACACTGGCTGGCTGCCACATGCCTGCAGGCCCCAGTTCACAGAGGCCCCACACATTGACCTGCTCATTCAAAACTGTTGCGAGGGCTTTACCTTTATATCACCACAGTACAGTGACTTACAATGATTCCAGATCAATACTCCTCTCAGAGTTTGTCTAGGAAGTCCTACCAGCTGTCATGTAAGGGTAATTAACACATCTCTCTCAATTATGCATGCTGGTGGAAGAATTTCAAACATTTGGCTGGATAACAAATCCATCCCCTCTGTTAGAGAAAGGTCATCCCTCTGGCCATCTGGGTATTTACTTTTCTTTAGAAATGAGCTTCATGGAATTTTCTGTTGGAAGGGGAAAATGATGAGGACAAAGGGAATTTCCTAGTAAAAATGATGATGGCCCATTTAACACTGCTCATACCCACACACCAACAATCTTAAATCTTACACCTAATGCTTATTTTATTTATTCCACTATCTACTAACCTACATCATGTGTGGCCTGCCCACTATTATGACAAGAGCTGCTTTAGAGGCCCCTGAAGTTTTATGATGATCGATCTGTATAACAGAATATTTCTTTTTCCTCTGATTTGTTCACAAAAGATACAAGCCTTCACTTTGGGGGAGTTGAGAAAGAAAAGGCACTGAGAGGCATGCAAGGATGAGTAAGTTCCTGCTCTTAAGGAAGGTACAGTCTAGCATCAGGGAACACACAAGTGACTGTGACTATGACAATGGTCATAACCCTTCATTTCTAGCAAGATAAGCAAAAGAAGCCCTGGGAAGGAGGAGACGTTTCTGAGCGGGACTGAGGAGTCATCATGGAGAAAGGGCATCAGAGATGGGCCTGTGGGGGTGAAGTAAGAGGGCAGTCTGTGCAGAAAGAGCCCATGAGCATAGGCGCAGAGGCAGAAAAGTGTGGGTGTGTTTGGAATCTGAGAGTAGCATGGTTGGACTGCAGCATAAAAAACCATGGGGTATGTAGGGAGATAAATAACAACAACACATAGGAACAGGGCTGTGGGGAGCTTGCACGCCCAAGTGAGGAATTTGGACTTTATTTGGTAAGTGGGGACAATGGAAGACTTTGAGCACGGAAATGAAAAATGTCAAAATGACCTTTGCATTCAAGGGCAGTTGCATCACATCTCCCCCAAAATTCATACCTTGAAGTTCAAACCACTGTTGTTGACTGTAACTTACTTGGAGACAGGCCCTTTACAGGGGTGGTCAATTTAAAATGAGGTCATCAGGGTGTCTTAATCCAATATGACTGGTGTCCTTATTGCAAGTAGAAATTTGGACACGGAGATAAGCATAGATGGAAGACAGTGTGAAGAGACAGGAAGAAGATGGCCATCCACAGTCAACAAGAGGGTGCTGGGACGGATCTTTTCCTCAGGGCCCTCAGAAGGAACCAACCCAGCACACACCTTGATCTTGGACTTCTGCCCCTAGAACTGTGAGGGAATAAGGTTCTGTTGTTTGAGCCACCCAGCTTGTAGTACTTGGTTATGGCAGCCCAAGCAAACCAACAGCTGGGAATGAAATAATGTGGGCCTCTCAGAGGATGGTAGCAATGGGAAATTCAGGGAAGAAAGAGAGATGAAAAATATCATAGCGAGAGATGCTTGAGCATGGCTCATGCCATGGGGATTTGAAATTTTAAAATTGTACAGTGTTTCAACCCAACAATAAGAGCTAGCTCTTGTTCATTAGTTGGTTTCATTCAAGTTAACACCAAGAGTAGAAGTTCTTTCCCTTCATTCAAAGAAAAAATAAGATCGAGAATAGCACAGAGAAGGACTATCTGTAATGGAGTATGGGGCAGGCTATGCAAAAGGCGGAATATTGGTGTTTGAACATTCATTTGAAGAGATTTAACCAAAGTGGAGGCCTAGGAGGGTGGTAAGGACAGAGGACTGTCGGGCAGAGGACTTAGCCCCTGGCAGAAATGTCAAGGTGTAAGGCTCAGCAAATAACCAGCTTCTCATGCTGCCTTCAGGGTTCTGATTGGGCTTGCAAAGGCCTGGGTTAGGGTTAGTTCCGGCTCTGACTCCAAAGAGTCGTGTGATCCCAGACAAGTCACGTTCTCTCTCTAGCTTCAGGGTCTGTACCATAAAAAGAGGGGATTGTCCTGGATCATCTTAGAGATTCCAGTGCCAAGAACATTTTCATGATACAATGCTAATTATGTGAAGTTTTATGTTAGATATAATAAATACATGTTTGTATATATGTCTGTGTGTATGTGAGTGAGATTTGTAGCCCTCCTATTTCTTTTTTTTTTTCTTTTTTTTCTTTTTTTTGAGACGGAGTCTCACTCTGTTGCCCAGGCTGGAGTGCAGTGGCGCGATCTCGGCTCACTGCAAGCTCCCCATCCCAGGTTCACGCCATTCTCCTGCCTCAGCCTCCTGAGTAGCTGGGACTACAGGCACCCGCCACCATGCCTGGCTAATTTTTTGTATTTTTAGTAGAGACAGGGTTTCAGCGTGTTAGCCAGGATGGCCTCCATCTCCTGACCTTGTGATCCACCTGCCTCAGCCTCCCAAAGTGCTGGGATTACAGGAGTGAACCACTGAGCCCGGCCTATAGCCCTCCTGTTTCTAAAAGGAATTTGAAAGAACTTTTGAAATTCAGCATCTTTTTTTTTTTTTTTTTTTTAAAGAACAACTAAGTAGAAAATCAACCCAAAGGAAAAGAGAAACATATTACCGGTCACCTGAGATGAACTCTTTATTAGATAGAACTTTAGCTCTGAGTTTCCTGGCAGTTAAGGTAAAAAGAAAAACATGTGCTCATTGTCTGATAAAAATCAATGTAATATGATTAGGTCTTGAGAGAAACATGTAGATATGCTGAGTGCTCAGATAAGATTACGTTTGAGAATAGGCAGATTCAAGACACATTAAAAGCCATGCAAAAATCCATACTCCTTAATCTAATAATTCCAGTTACACTGAGGAAATAAAAAAGAGGGGGAGGAATGACTATGTGTGTGAAAATGCTTTTCACAAAATTATTTATGAAAGTGCAGAACTGTAAAGAGCCAGAATGGGAGGTAGAGTTAATTGTGGTGCACTCATTCAAGCAAACACAATGCCGGCATTGTAAACAGTGAGGTTCTCCAGCAGCACAGAGAAGCAAGGTGCGTGATCGGCTCCATAAGAACAATCAGGAGATAAAATTATTTGTTCACCAAGGTTCTAACTATATAAAAATATGAAACTGTCAAAAATGAGTCTTCAAACATGGTGGTAATTATGGTAGAGTGATGCTTTTAAGCGTGAATCCCCTCTCACCATGTTTCCCAATGTTTAATGATGTTTACAATTAAATTTAAGCAAACAAGCCAGCTCACACACTTAAGCTTTTCATTCTAGCTATGCTTTATGGGATTACATTTTTTAATTAAAAGAAAAGAGATTTCATAAATACAAAAATAGCAAACTGAAATTGTATTCCTTAGAAAAATCAATTTCTTGAGATAGCGTTGGATTTTTAGAGGGGATTTTTTTTCTTTTTTTTTTAAAAAAAAACCATGTGTAGATGTGTGGTGCTCATGCAGAAGTCCTCCTTGTTTGCTTTGAGGTCATGGAAGCTGCCTGAATTAAACATGTGAGGAAATACCGTTAAGGGGCTACAGGTGGGTTAACGTCCAACAGTCCTCTCTCCTTAGCAGCCTCCTAAGCCTCCTCTTCGGTTAAATCTCTTTAAGTGAATGTCCAAACACCAATATTCCTCCTTTTGTATAACCTGCCCCACATTCCATTACAGATAGTCCTTTTTTGTGTTATTCTTGATCTTATTTTTTCTTTGAATGAAGGAAAAGAGCTTCTACTCTTGGTGTTAACTTGAATGAAACCAACTGATGACTAAAAACTAGCTCTTAGTGTTGAGTTCAAACATTGTAAAGTTTTAAAACTTCAAATCCCCATGGCATGTGAGAACATTCTGGAAACGATCCAGCATAGACAATAACTTGAAAAACAGATTCATATAAGAAAAGTATAGCTGCACATGTCAACAGTTGCTCCAGCCTTTGGCAAAGTGCTTCCGAGTGCATGAAAATCAATCAATGGAATACATTCTGTTAATGGAATAAGGGGACGGAAAACATCATCTCAGTTGTTACATAAAAAGTATTTGATAAAATCCAATATCCTCTCATGATTAAAACAGAGAAGTTTCTCTTCTACTTGCAGCATTTCTTCCATTTCACCTTCCTTTTTGAGTACTTTTCCTTATTTCATGTTTTTGCACTTGTTTCTCATGAAGTCTGTTATTTTCTCTCTATTCTAACATCCTCTTTTACTGGAGGTAGGTAATTAACAAATTACTTCACACTGAAGCTTTAATGATTTCAGGATTATTATCATTGCAAAATTCCTGGATCATGAAGAATAGGAAATATCTCCAAGAAACGAGTCTATAATGGTAGCTCTCAAAGACCAGGAAACCCTAGAATGTCTCTTCTCCTCATTGGTCTTCATAACCCATAGTTTGCTCTAACCACAGCCATTGAGTTAGAATTCTAAGTAGCCCACAACTTAGATTCATTTTATTACTTATCATTTACTACTCATATGTTTTCAAAGAATTAAAATTCCTCTTTTGGCATTGAAAAATTTTCTCTGTGCATCTATATTACTAAGTATGTTTTCACTACCTGTTCATTGGGAACACACTTTACAAAAATTACTGTGAATTCAATTAAAAATTATATGTCTGAATCTGCATTTTATTCCTCACAGTAGAGTTTATAACTTTGGAAACTATCATACATGTACTTACTTGTAAGACAGTATTTATTCAGTCTACAAGCAGTATTTGGTGCTACATGCAACCATGTTCCCCTGGTGACAACTTGCATCCATTGGGGTAGCAATCGTCTACAGAGGGAAACACTGAGAAGCACAGAGGAAAATAAATTCTAGAAATTCTTGGGAGAAATTGCAAATAGATAGGCCAAAAAGAAGTCAATTCCTCTAGACCTCAGGACCATGAATTGGAAAGTGGAGGCTCCTAGTGGTGCTCCCTAAATTCTAAAGGTCCAACGGCTCTTTGAATCTTTGCCTTTGTCAGGATAAAGGCAGGTCCAAGGTGTTAACTCTAAATCCTCAAAATAGAATCTAAGCTATCAATTTGCTTATTCTGAAGCAATTTTCAATGGTTTTCCCTGCTTTTCTTTTCCATGCATCTAACTGCACTCTTGTCTTCTCACAACACATAGGACCCACTGCTGCACAGAAGGAACTTGAATTCTAATCAGCCAATGTTTTATTTGTGGGACATCCCATCAAATTTTTTAAAAAAGATCTTATTGAACAGAAGAGGGAAATGGAATTTGAGGATGACTTGACATTGTGAGATTAAATGGGGTTGGCAGAAGTTTGACCAGGACTTTTCCCTGCTCTGCTGGAGAGACTGTCTCTCCTCTTGGTGCCCTTCTTGGAGGAGCATTTTCAGCCTGCTGCCTAAACAGCTGTTGATGGATAGCTTTCTCCCTGCAGCACTGCTCCAAAAGCTGGTAGCAGAGATGGCTGATCTATTCCCAGCTGTCTGGATTTTAAGGCTGAGCTGTAGGCTTCAGGGATAGCCACACACATTCTTTCAAGGTCTGAGGCAGGCACACTGGAAATAGTGTGGCCCACTACACCTGGGCTTCTTACATGTAAGCCCTTTATGCTCTCCCAGGCTCTGACCTGCTCTGTGATCACAAGGGCAGTCCTAAATGGAGATCTGTATGAGATCAGCAGTATTTAGCAATTGGGAGTTTGACATAATGCACTTTCTCATAATTTATTAAAGTTGCTAATACATTTAAAAAATATGTGAAGAACATGGAAACCTCTCAGTAATATGTTCTAGTGCATTAACCCTCCATTGATTTTGCATCTCAATCAGAGTAAAAGCCAAAGACCTTATGATGACCAGTAAGGGTCACCATCTGGTCACCTCACTCTCCCCACCTCTCCAATCTTAAGTTACTGCTCTTACCCTCACTCACTCTGCTCTAGCCACACTGACCTGGTTGCTATTCCCAGAATATTCTAGGCATGCTCCTGCCTCAGGACCATTGCATTTCCTCACTCCTCTCCCCAGAAGCTATCAGACCTGCTGCCTGCCCCCTTAACACCTCAAATGGCATCCTCCCTTTGAGATCTTCTTTGTTCATCCTATGAAAACTTGTAAAGTTTTCTGCACACACACTTCCTGTCTCTCTCAGTTCTGTTTTTCTCTCTAGCACTTATCACCATCATCATATTCACTACATGTTGTATTTATTGATCTTGTTGAGTGTCTGCATTCACCCATTAAAATGTAAGCTCTATGAAGGCAGGGACTTTTGCCTGTTGTGCTCATTGTCTTGTCTCTAGTGCTGAGATCAGTGCTACACAGAGTACCATACATTAAATATGCACCGAATAAATGAACACTTATTTATCACTCAATCATGCAATGAATGGATGAATGATTGAAAACTGGTAGTCAATGCTGTCCAAGAACATGACTCTTGGGAGACTCTTGCCATGCTATTTTTTCTTCTTTGAGATAATCCGCAGCTCAGGCACTGAGGTCAACAACTCTAATGTTCAAGATCTTCCAAGTAGGAGGGAGGAGGTTGGATAAACAGAGTTTGAGTAAATTTGCCCTTGGCTTTTGAGAGAGCTAAGTGAGAATCCTGGCTTTCCCACCTCCTAGCTCTGTGACCACTGATAAACTATTCAACTTAGGTCAAGCTGTTCAACTCTGGCCTTAGCTCACTCAATATGTAAAATAGAATGATATGAAATTCAGGGATTTATAAGAATCAGGGTTGAAAACATTGGGCATATAGTAATATACTCTTATTAAAATGAAATGTATTTTCATATATATAAATAATTTGTATTAATTTGTAGAAGTTTGCTTATTGATAAAGCAGACAGTCATATATTTATTGACATTTTCATTTTAGGGGACACACCATATCTATATTTAAAATAGTATTTTTTGTCTTACTGGAAAAAAAGCCTCCTATGTATACTTTGATTAAATTATCACATGTATTTCTGTTATTTAAGGATCCTAAAATGAAAACAAATAGCTTCTAAAGCAGTTAAAATAATTATCAAGGTATATTTGTTCACTCCAGATCTCATCCCACAAGGTTTACAAGAGTCTTGGCTTTTGAAATCTGTGTCTTCCAAAAATTCATTTGTTAAGCAAGCACTGAGCACTTGCTCTCTTCCAGGCACCGGGCTCTACATTACTGGCTATTCCCAATGGCAGGAAAGAGCTTCTGCTCATGAGAAACTTACAAGATAGGCCCAAGATGGGATCTGACATCAATACTGATATTGATAATGGTTAATAGCAGGCATTAGGGGTTAAGTGCTGCCCCAGAGGTGCAGATTGTTACAGACATGCAGAGAAGGGGAAAGATGCTTTCTCAAGGAAGCTTGGAAGTGGTCAGAGAGTCATTCATGTGAGGGAAGGTCAGGGGACCAAAATAGAGGAATGGAAACAGCTTGAGCAAACTCATAGACGAGGAAGGAAGGCATAAGTCTTTGGATTTTCCCAACTCCAACTGACCTCAGCATGAAAAGAAAGCAGGGCTTGGACTGGAAAGGAAGCTCACTCTCTGGCAATGTGGAAGGCCTTGCTCATGGGTGAGGATGTGGAAGGCCTTGCTCGTGGGTGAGGATGTGGAAGGCCTTACTCGTGGGTGAGGATGTGGAAGGCCTTGCTCGTGGGTGAGGCAGTTGGATGCGATTCAGGAAAGAATGGGGGTTCTCTGAGGGTTCAGTGGAGGAGAGAGATACACTCATGGCCATAACCAAGGGTTTGTTCTCAATTTCTTTCATACGCCAATGACTTCCAGACCACACCTCTCTCCTGGACTCTAGATTCCTGGACCCAACAGCCTGCTTGGCACCTCTCTTTCAATGTCTTATAGGCATCTCAAACACCACTCCTGCTATTTCCCCCACATTTGCTTGAGCCGTGCTTTCTGCACCTCGACTGATGACAAAAATCCCCTTCCAGGGGCTCAGGCCCAAAACCTTAGAATCATCCTGACTGGTCCCTTTTCC
Organism: Homo sapiens; assembly: GCF_000001405.40. Lineage (NCBI taxonomy): Eukaryota > Metazoa > Chordata > Mammalia > Primates > Hominidae > Homo > Homo sapiens. Next base: position 97,316,217 of record NC_000013.11, read on the forward strand.
ACTTCACATTCAGTGTGTCAGGAAATCCTATTGGCTCCACCTTCCTCCACTGCCAGCAGCCTGGTCTGAGCCACCGTCTTCTTCCCCTGGGTGACCACCACAGCCTAACTGGTCTCCTGATGCCACCTCTGGCCCCTTCGGTCCATTCTCACACAGTAGCCAGAGCCATCCTTCTAAAACACCAGTGAGATCACATCACTCCTCCCCTCAAAATTCCCATTTCCTTCAAAGAAGAAAACAAGTTCTTACAATGGCCTGCAAGACCCTACCTGGTCAAACCATGGTTGTTTCTCAGAACTCCTTTCCAGCTTGGCCCTGGCTCATGGAGTCCAGATTCTCCAGCCTCTTGGCTGACCCTCAGATGCACCAGGCATGCGTCCTCCCGAGCCCTTAGTGCTGGCTGTTCTCTCTGCCTGGGATATGCTTCATCTGGATACAGGCAGGACAACTCCCCACCTCCACAAAGTCTTTGCTGCTGAATTACTTTCTTAGTGGTAATGGCCCTGCCTATGTAACTAAAAAGGGCCACCCAACCCACCAGCACTCCCCATCCTACTTACCCACTTGTTCTTCCCCAAAGCCCTCAGCACGTTCTGCTGTGTAACTTGTGTATCATCTTTATTGCTTATTGTCTGTCTCCCCTAACTAGAAGCTAAGTTCTGTGTGGACAGGGCCATTTGTGAGTTTTGTTGTTGATATCCCATGTCCCTGGAACACTGCCTGGCCCAAGGTAGACTTGCAACATATGCCTGTGGAGTGAATGAAGGGGATAGTGCAGCAGAGGGTATAGGAAGTAGAGAAGGCATCTGTTGGCAGCACTGTCACACATCTGATGGCCTGGACCAGCCTGACAATGCCAGTGGGAACGGAAGGTGGCAGGGGATGCAGGAGACAGGGTGGGTATGTATCTAGGGCTGGGTAACTCAATGTGGGAGATGCCAAGCTTTGTGATGGATGATGCATCAATTGGGCTTCAGTCCCGTGTGGTCCTATAAGTGTCACTCTGTTCCAGGGCCGGGGATCATATGCTTTTCGCTGCTGAACTGTCTGTGGATCACAGAGGCAACCAGGTAAAACTGGGTGGATAAAATGAACAAAATATCAATCCTGTAAAAATAGCTCAGAACTGCGTACCCTCCCAGTGGACCCCACAGAGTGTCAAAGTATGACATGCTCAGGACAGGCACGTGTTTCATATTGGGGTCATCTGAAGGAGGTGGACAGTTCTCCCACCCTACTGTTCCTAGGGAAAATTCCCTCATCTGGGGCTTTAGTCTTTTGCCATAAGCAAAGCATTGATATGTGCCTAAAGTATGCATGCAGAACTCTTAAATGATAGTTTTATGTATGCATAATCCTTTTGGCTGTCTGAAATCCAGGTGCCTCATTTGCAGATTCTGAAAGCTTGTGATCTCCCTGTAACAGGGCAGTCCCAGAGGCTGTTAGTGGTGCCTTGTCTTGCCCTAATAGACGGAGATATGATGGCAGTGGCCTACTTTGGTTATTCACTTCAATTATTAGTTTGAAGTATTAAAAGCCAACCATATTTATAAAATATACTCGATCACTTTAATGGGATTTTGAAAACTGTATGATTTATGAAACATTACATAGATCCTTCTGGCTAATATTATACTTAAATATTACTTATTACCATGCTTTCTTCCCTTCCATTCATGTGTATATGCATTGCAGATTTATGTATGTAGAGTTTCTCAAAGATAAGAACAGTTTGCTTTTCATCTTTGTAGCCCCTTGGGCCTAGCACAGTACCAGACATAAAGTAGGAATCAATAATTTGTATTCAGAGAGTGTGGTGGTTCTGGAGCCAGGCTGAGTAGGTTCAAGTCTGGATCTTCCTCTTACTAGCTGTGTCACTTTAGACAAGTTATCTAACCTCTCTGTGCCTTGGTTTCCACATCTGCAAAATGGGCATAAAAATAAGACCTACCTGAAAGGCATATTGTGAACACTAAGGAGATCATTCCTGTAAAGCACTTAGAGGCATGCTTGGCACATTGTGAGAATTCGGCAAACATAATTAGTTTTTATAACCATATGAATGTGTGGAAGAAGTATAGTGATTAAGAGCAGTGGCTTTGGAGTCACACTGCCTGGGTTCAAATCCTGGTTCTGTATCTTGCTACTTGCACACCCTAGGACAAGATCATTCATCTCCTCAGGCCTCAGTTCTCTGTCTGTCAAATAGGGATATTAAGAGCACCTCCCCCTCTCAAATGTTTGTCTGAGATTTTGCATGTGAAACAGCACGGTGTCTAGCATGCATCTAATGAGTAAAAATAATAACAATGGTATTTGACTGCATTCAAAAGCTGTTACCAAGTATTATTACCATCTATGTAATTCCTTTTTAAAAAATAAAAAATTGGACTTCATAATAATGCATCAATTCAGTTTGTAAATACATTTGACTAGCAGTTTCTGGACTACCCAGAGCTTAAGTATCCAGCCAGCAGTGACAGATGAAGAACAGCTGGGGTTTGCTGAGGGAAAAGACTTCTTCCACAGTTTACAGGCAGGTCCTAAGAGAAAGAGGAAGTAATGTCATAGCTCACTAAGTTGGGCTGAATTTGACCAGAAGAGACCCCAGGGTCTGAAGTTAGTTCTGCCCACTGGGACACAGAGATGGAGATTTCAATGCTGTGAGCCTGGGTGTGTTGTCTCAAGGTCTCCGCCCTCTCTAGGTACGTACTGGAGAAACATGCAGCAGCAGGAATTCTGAGAAAAATTAGCAGGTATCTACTGAGGGTGGACCACAGTGAAGAAAAACCCTGGATGGGGACCCTCAGAAAGGGTGAGTGAGCAACAGCTGCACAGCAGGGGACACAGGACCCCAGCCTACAGGCAGGGTTTTCTGGAGGCAAAGGCAAAAGGCAGAGCTTCACTCTGGTAAGGAGCCTGGAGGGAGGCAGGTTCTCAGACCTTGAACTTGGAGGCAAAAAGAGAAGCCTGCGGGACCCTGTAGCATAAGACGTGGGACACCCGGCGGGTGTTAGGGCTTGAAACAGAGCAGCTGTCTAGTCAAAGCTAGGGCCATGAGTCAGCATCAGCTGGTGCAAAGATTCAGTGTCACTTGAGGATTGATTCTGGGGACTTGGGTCTCACTGGGGGAGTGCTGGCCAGGCGGGAGCTCTGGCAATGACCAAGGGCACTAAAGGCTGGGCCTGATGAGAAGGAATGAATAGGCAGGGTGGTCGTGAGGGTGATAGAAGACTCCAGCTGAATAGAGCAGGCCTCTCCCCTGTCCTCCTCCCTACCACTGTCCCTCTGTATGTCAAAGTGCCAGCGAAGATGACCCCACCCGTGTCACGGGTGAGACTCTGCCAATGCACATCTATCTAGCTTGTAAAAGCAACTCCAAATTAATTGCTGGCCACATTCACCCATTTTCTTTGACTTCCATCCTGCTAGACTGAATGATTTTCTTTCCCCTCCATGCAATTTTAATATCAAGGATGATTTTTATCAAGTCATTCTCTGTAATCAGAATACAAAAATTATCCCAACATTTCTCTTTGAAAATGGATCTTCAGAGACCCAGTAGCCCTTTATGCATTACTAATGAGTTCTTTAGTGAAACATTTTGTCTTTTACTAAAATAAATCTCTTCTATTAAATCTTCCGTGGGAAAAATCGGATGGCATTTAAGCTGACTAGTTTCACTGGTAGAAAATCATCGTACTTGTTAGGGATTTGGGGGTTGTTATAGTTTATTTTTGAGCAAATAGGGAGATCTCATTACCTAAGATCATGAAAAAAATTGAATACACATTCACAGAAACAACTCTTAGTGTTGGAGGAGACTGTAGTATTTTGCTGGTGTAACCGCCAATCTCAAGACAAAATACATTATCTAACATTTGTTAGAGGTGGCTGTGCTCGCTTCCCAAGGCTGCTATAACCAGTATCATAAACTGGATGGCTTAGAGCAACAGAAATTTATATTCTTACAGTTGTGGAGGCCAGAGGTCCAAAATCCAAGGGTCAAAGGCTATGCTCCCTCAGAAGATTCTCTGGAAGGGTCTTTTTTTTTTTTTTTTGAGACAGTCTCTCACTCTGTCACCCAGGCTGCAGTGCAATGGTGCGATCTCGGCTCACTGCAACCTCCGCCTCCCGGGTTCAAGAGATTCTGCCTCAGCCTCCCGAGTAGCTGGGACTACAGGTGTGTGTCACCATGCCCGGCTAATTTTTTGTATTTTTAGTAGAGCCGGGGTTTCACCATGTTAGCCAGGATGGTCTTGATCTCCGGACCTCATGATCCACCCACCTCAGGCTCCCAAAGTGCTGGAATTACAGGCGTGAGCCACTGCTCCCAGCCTGGAAGGGTCTATTTTAGACCTCTCTCACAGCTCTGATAGCCTCAGCCATTCCTTGGCTTAAAGATGGCCATCTTCGGCCACGCAGGGTGGCTCATGCCTATAATCCCAGCACTTTGGGAGGCCGAGGTGGGTGGATCACCTGAGATTAAGAGTTCGAGACCAGCCTGGCCAACATGGTAAAACCCCATCTCTATTAAAAATACAAAAAATTAGCCGGGCATGGTGGTGGGTGCCTGTAATCCCAGTTACTTGGGAGACTGAGGCAGGAGAATCGCTTGAACCCGGGAGGCGGAGGTTGCAGTGAGCCGAGATCGCACCACTGCACTCCAGCCTGGGCGACAGGATAAGACTCTGTCTTAAAAACAAAAAGATAGCCATATTTTCCCTGTGTCTCTTTCACATCGTCTTCCCTCTATGCATGGATCTCTGTGACTAAATTTTCTCTTTTTATAAGGACACCAGTCATACTGGATTAGAGTCCACCCTAATGTCCTCCCTGTAACTTGATTACATCTGTCAAGACCCTACTTCCAACTAGGATCCCATGCTGAGATTCTGTGGGTTAGGACTTCCACATGCAGGGAGACACAATTCAACATGGTCAACCAGGGCACTCTGGCCTTGTCACAGTATATTTATAATAAGATGTGATATTCAAAATATTTTACCATAAGTACCTCCCAGATGGGCAGCAGCCAATCAGAGTGCACCACAGCTAGTCCCGGAAACCCCCTGCTGTGTGGGTTTAACTCTTTGATTGCTGGGGTCCAGGAGGGGAAGATGCTGGGACTGTGGAAGAGGCACTGGAGTGGCCAGAGAAGCAGGGAAAACACTTGACATTTAACAGGCTTGGGACAGTGTCTGTTTTCTACTATCCACTGTCACCTCCATCGAGTGCATTATCATGCAAAGTCACTCATTCTGTTTTAAACAAATCTCACATATTGAGCCAAAAATCTGTAACCCCATAGTGTCTCCCATGGACCACAGCAGGCGATGGAGAAGGCACGTGTTTTGGTGAGGGAAGAGCAGTATTTAGCCCTGGTTGACTTTAACAACATGACCTGGAAATTACCTTAAATCTCTCTGAGCCTCATTTCCTTACCTTTAAATTGGGGTAACAGAAAACAAGAATATTGTGAAGGTCTAATAAGACAGGGTGTGAAGAATGCTTTTTAAGGTGTGATATAGAAGTTCCATCGTGAGTTTCTTAAAAGCAGCTCTGGGTAGTGCTGACGGCACAGAGTCCCAGGCCAGCCAGCTTGACTGACTGCACAGATCTGCCACTTACTTACTAGCTGTATGCCCATGGAAAGTTATCTCCCCCTCTCTGTGCCTCTGTTTCATCCCATAAAATGGGATTATTAACATTACCTCTGCTAAGAGCTTGTAGTGAAGACTAAATGGGTATGATCTCTAAGAAGCACTTAGAAACTGCCTGGTAGATGATATGTACAACGTTATATAAGTCTCTGCTATTTTTATCGAGGGCAGGGCCACAGCTTACAGTCCTGTGTGCAATTCCTTCCCAGTTTCTGGCATAGAGCAGATGCTCCAAAACTGTCAGATGAGTAAAGGAGGAGGCACACCGCTTCCACCCTCAGGAGGTGCAGGATAAAGCCCACACCTCTTCCCTGTACCTCTGCTCTGCATAGCCTTCCCCAGCCGGTGCATAAATGCCCACGCCATGGTGCAAGCTGCCATGCCCTCCATCTTCCCAGGCTGTTTTTTCTGAAAAAAGTGCAGCTTCCCCCTGCTGCAGTCCAGGACTGCAATGCAGGTCTTTCCTGAGACATCAAGTACAGAAAGTCCCTGGCTTATAATGGTTCAATTTACGATTTTTGACTTTAGAACAGTTCAAAAGCAATATGCATTCAGCACACTCCTGGACTCATGATGGGGTTACATCAGAAAAACCCATTGTAAATTGAATATGTCATAAGTTGAAAATGCATTTTCAACATATACTATTTTCCATTAACCATGGGTTTATCAGAACTTGAGTCTATGGTAAGGCAAGAAGCATCTGAAATCCAAAACCGCCTAAGAGGAATGTTCTTTTCCTGTGTTGCTGAAAACGAAGGAACTCTTAATAGGATGCTCTATTTTTCCCATCTTCTTCCAGTGTTTCTTAACCTAGTCTTCCTTCCCCTCCAGCCCACCCCTTCCCTATTCCTGTCTCCATAGGCACACAACCCTTCTCCCACTTCTTCCCGGAAGCATTCCCAACTCCGACACCAGCAACCAAGGCACTCTGGCCTTGTCATAGTATATTTATAATAAGATGTGATATTCAAAATATTTTACCATAAGTAACCTCCCAGATGGGCAGCAGCCAATCAGTGTGCACCACAGCTAGTCTCAGAAACCCCCTGCTGTGTGGGCTTAACTCTTTGATTGCTGGGGTCCAGGAGGGGAAGATGCTGGGACTCTGGAGGAGGCACTGGAGTGGCCAGAGAAGCAGGGAAAACACTTGACACTAAACAGGCTTGGGACAGTGTCTGTTTTCTACCTGAGATGGAAGTCATTTCCAGTGTTTAAGTAAAATGGCACAGCTGTGCAGGAACACACCCACAAAATGTCGGCCTTTAATACATGTGTCCAAATTCCAGGCAGCCTTCTGTGGGGGTAGGTGATTCACCATATAGTATTGCAATCAGTTTGAAAAAGGCTGTAACAGAAGATGCATAATAAGGTTTTGTATCTTTGGACAGATTTCACTTATTTCAAAAATTGACTAGCTTCTGGAATTGCTAAGGACTGATGATAATAAAAATAGAACCCAACATTTACTAAACATTCAGTTGGCCCTCAGTATTCGTGGATTCAACCAACTATGGATTGAAAATACTAGTTAAAAATTGCGTCTGTACTGAACATGGTCAGACTTTTGTCTTGGCATTATTCCCTAAACAGTAAAGTATAACAGCTATTTACATTAGCATTCACTTTGTATTAGGTGTTATAAGTAATCTAGAGATGATTTAAAGTATATAGGAAGATGTGTATAGGTTATATGCAAATACTAGGCCGTTGTATATCAGGGACTTGAGCATCCTGAATTTTGGTATCTGTGGGAGGTCCTGGAACCAGTTCCCCATGGAAACTGTGGGATACAGATGTCATGTGATGGTGTTTATAAGGCTTCAGGAAGTAAACCCCCATAGAGTGGTTGTCAATTACTCTGGCTTCTTTTAATTCTCTAAATGGCTAGCTCTAATTAAAAAAAAAATTTTGTGGGTACATAGTAGGTGTATATACTTATGGGGTGCATGAGATGTGTTGATACAGACATGCAATGTGAAATAAGCACATCATGGAGAATGGGGTACCCCTTCTCTCAAGCATTTATCCTTTGAGTTACAAACAATCCAATTATATTCTTTAAGTTATTTAAAAATATACCATTAAGTTATTGTTGACTATAGTCACCCTATTATGCTGTCAAATAGTAGGTCTTATTCATTCTTTCTGTTTTTCTTGTACCCATTAACCATCCCCACCTCCTCGCTCCAAATGGCCAACTCTAACTCCCACCTTCCTCCCCACTCTCAACTAGATAATCTGATAAATATCTTAGCTTAAATGTTAAATGTCCCATCCTCTGGAGTCATCCCTGACCTCTAAACTAAGGAGAGCTCCCTGCAATGCATTCACACCGCCTATCATGGCATTGATCACTCTATTTTAATTGTCATTTTAATATCACAGGGCTTGGCACATGGAAGGGGTTCAATACATATTTGTTGAAGGAAGGAAGGAAGATCACTGGATAACATGCACCCGTCGTATGAGGTTTCCTGTACGGTTGGGGTTTGAGGAGAAGTTCGGGAAGTAGACAGAAAAGGCCTGCCCTCCCTAGCAGGAGAAATTCCAAGGCTCAGATAAAAATGTTTCATGGGATTTCTATTCACCCATGGGGCTGCAGACATTAATGAATGTGGTATCAAAAAATCTAGACTCTATGAAGTCAAACAGCCACTAGATTGGTATATTTGTCAGTGTTCTCTAAAAAACAGAACTAATAGGATAGATGTATATATGAAGGGGAGTTTATTGGGAGAATCGACTCACACGATCACAAGGTGAAGTCCTGCACTAAGCTGTCTACCAGCTGAGGAGCTAGGAAGCCAGTCCAAGTCCCAAAACCTCAAAAGTAGGGAAACCAACAGTGCAGCCTTCAGTCTGTGGCCAAAGGTCCGAGAGCCCCTGGCAAACCACTGGTGTAAGTCTAAGAGTCCAAAAACCAAAGAACTTGGAGTCCGATGTTCGAGGGAAGGAAGCATCCTGCATGGGAGAAACATGAAGGCCAGAAGACTCAGCAGGTTGTTCATTCCACATCCTTCTGCCTGCTTTTTTCTAGCCTTGCTGGCAGCCGATTAGATGGTGCCCACCCAGATTGAGGGTGGGTCTGCCTCTCCCAGTCCACTGACTCAAATGTTAATGTTTGGCAACACTCTCTCAGACACACCTAGGAACAATACTTTGCATCCTTCAATCCAATCAAGTTGACACTCAATATTAACATCACAACTGGTTTCATGTAAGGTTGATATATGATTATGGTCCACACTAACCAAACTACCCCCGTGACTCAGAAGACATTGATATTCTCATTAAATAAAATAATTTCCAAATGAAGCATCTGGTGCCTGGAAATTTGTTTCCCTGAATCTCTAAAGAACTGATGGGCTATTTTTAGTCTCACTGATTTCTCTTAACTGGCACATTTTCAGTTAATGAATAAAATTAAGAGAATTAACAATCCTTATCGGTAAGAGGGGTTTCTCCCTTCATCAAGCCAACAAACAGCTCTCCCCATCACAAGACACAAGTAGTATGAGAAATTGGAACTGCCCAGCCAACCAAAATGCATTTAAAATTTTTTTAAAGACTGGGTGCAGTGGCTCACGCCTGTAATCCCCGCACTTTGGGAGGGCAAAGTGGGAGGATTGCTTGAACCAAGGAGTTTGAGACCAGCCTGGGCAACACAGTGCGAACCAGACTCTACAAAAATAAAAAAATTAGACTGGCATGGTGGTAAGCACCTGTAGTCCCAGCTACTTGGGAGGCTGACGTAGGAGAATTGCTTGAGCCCAGGAGGTCGAGACTGCAGTGAGCTATGATTGTGCCACTGCACTCCAGCCTGGGTGACAGAGTGAGACCCTGTTTCAAAAATAAAAATAAAAAATTTTTAAAAGGCTTAAACATGCTATGAAATGGCAAACTACAAACAATTCACCTACTTTGCCTTTCTTCCTCATTTACTAGTTGTTATGCTTTGTTTATTTAAAATAGTCACAAAATTAATGTCAGGGGCCAGTGCCAGTGGTGCTTGAAAGAAGAGGGCAGTTGCATTGGCCTAATAAGGAATGAGTCACAAATCTACTCCCAAAGCACCTGTGGTGGCCTGAAGGTTTTTCCCAGCCCTCAGGTGATAGCAAGCTATCCTAAATGCAAATCCAGAGATGAGAACACTCAGATTTGCAACTCCCTTGAAGAAAGGTAAAAGCACTATCATTAGAGAAGAGCTCTGCCCCATAGTCCAGGTGATGCAGTGGAATGATGCTCTACACCTATTTGTATGGGTTTTTGGAAAGAAAATGCAAACTGATTTGGTCCACTTACCTATGTAACTTCATTCCCACTTTTCTTTATCCTCTCCTAAACCCGTAGCAATTGGTGGTGGTGGGTAAAATTGGAGGTAGTAGTGACTGTCTACCACTATTTGTGTTTTTCCCTCATTTATCCACCAGGCTACACTGCCAAATATTCCTTATATCATTCTAGGCATTTCTTCCATATAATGGAAGCAACAGAGAAAAAGAACACACCAGAGAAGAAATGTAAATACACCATTTTTATCTGTCATTAATAAGTACAAAATGTTGTGGTATTCACCAAAAATTATTTGCATATCTAGACTGTTAAGGATAAATTGTAATATATGTTGAACCAAATAATAAACAGAAAGAGCTTATTAGAGGCTTATGCATAATCTTGATGATACTGGTAATTATTCATGTTGATAGACATTCTGGTTATCATTTGTTTATAATGATCCCCTGAATCTAAAGTTACTTTCTAATTCTGAAGCCGTTATGTGATTGCATTTTATTTGCTATATTAGGTAGTTGGAACTAATAATACAAGGAGCTCATGTGGTTCAATTAGCTTATTTAAATTCAAAAGAAGCCCAAAAGCCTAATCTGTCACTTGCCTTAGAGTAGAGCTATTTCAGTCTCATAGTTAATGTCATAAATTAAGCCTTGATGTAAATAACCATTTTATTCCCCTACACTTTTACTTGCCCATATCCTTCTGGAAATGTACTGGGAGGAAGAAGAGGAGGTTCAGGCCAAATGTTAGACTCAGCCTTGGCCTATGTGACTGAGACCTGTATAAATGGACTAATAAGAATCGGCTCACCCACTCTAACCACAGCCTTTATTGCTTCCCCACTTTCAAAGACCTTGAGAGCTTTTGAAACTATGGGGAAACTGAGGCTGGGAACATCTGATACACCCAGTCAGCTTAGTCACTTAGTAAATAACTGCTGAACAACTTACGTGGCACAAGGACGAAAACAGAGGTCTGTTTGATCGAAATTTTCACTTCCAAGCTGTGTACACTGTGGGTACTTAATAAATCCTCCTAGACTTAATTGATTTTGACTTAATTCACCACTTCTGCTGAATCTCCTCAAACCTCATCACGTAGACGTCTCATAATTCTCAGAACATACCTGGACCATTGCCAACATACATCCCTGGTGTCACTTTTTACTGTAACTGTTGTTTCATGTGGCTTTCCCCTTTTACTAGATTAGGAGCATTCAAGGAGAAAATAGATCTGGAAAAAATATAGATAACAATTTACGTTTCTTCCTGAGCAACTCCTGCTCTAACAACTGTCAGAAGGAGTTGAGATATAGGAACAGGATCACCCCTATTTGACAGATGAGAAAATTGAGGCACAGGCACAGACTATTATACGTTATTTGTAAAAAAAAAAAAAAAAAAAAAAAGTTCATATAACCATTTTGGAATGAAGCCACAGCCAGAATTTTGGGATTTTCCAACCACAATACATAGCTGCTTTACACTCTAGATAAGTCATGCCATGTTGATTAGCCCTGGCAAGTTTCAGCAGGGGAGATATCAAAGAAAAACAGATCTGAGGCTGTTTGAAGAGATAAATGACCAAAGTTGGCACTGACAGAATGAGAATAGCAAAGGTTTAAAGAGATTGGTAGACAGGCCAGAGAGGAGCACAGTGATAAGGAAATGGAGCAGGTATTAGAGAAGTTGTTTTCAATACCATATATTTTTACCTACTATGAAAAGAAAGTGTCAATAGTAATAGTGATGATGATGATGATTATGATGATGATGAAGCTTAGGGAATGCCTACTATGTGCCAGGAACTGTTAAAACACTTTATATGCATTAACTCTTAATCCTTATTGAAAGTCCGTGAGGCAGAAACTATTCTTAGCCCCATTTCACAGATATGGCAGCTGGAAGCCACAAGGTCCCACTTGCCCAAGGTGCCCAAGAACAGCAGCGCTGCATTTTAAATCCAATTAGTCCAGTTCTGAGACGGTTTCCTTAACCCTTTTTTTTTTTTTTTTTTTTTTACACTGCTTCTCCAGGAGAGGTTGCAAGACAAAACAGGCTTCTGAAATGTAACTCCAGAGCAAGAGCCTTTGTCTTGACCTCGGGATTTCACCAAGCTGGCCTCAGCCATGTGGAATGCGAGGAATTTCAGAGGCTCTTCCATGATTTTCCCTGGCCAGCTTTGGGGTCTAAAGCAGGCTCCAGGACTCAAAGTGTCCCTGAAGGCTGCGTCTAAAGCACATGCCATCTGCCCTTAAACCTTAGGGCCAGCACTTGCCGTTCCGCGGCCTGGCCTGCTTGCTTGAAAATATCATCATGCACCTACAGCAGCAAGTGCTGCCAAGGTGGCACTGAAAGAGGCAAAATTCAGAAAATCAGGTTGGGATTCCAGCCCTTCGCTAGAATCGTTTTCCCCAAGAAAAGTGTTGCTGGAGTCTGCCGGTCAATGACTCAGCCCATGTAAAGACACAGTTCAAATTATTCCAGCGGAATACAAATGGCGGGGGCCTGTTAACTGAATTGTAGATCGTAGAAATCCATTGCTTTTCCCATGAAAAACTAATGGGATGCAGTTGTCTGACAGCTATTCCTATGGGCAAAAACTATTGTTAATGGGAGAGTCTTTAATAGTCTTCTATGTTTTCTTTTTTGTGCCCATATTTTAATTGATTTTTTTTCAATTAGGAGCATACTAGAAAAAGATTCCAAAAATTACTTGTTTTAAAATAAGCCATTAGGAAATCTCATCCTTCAATTATGCTTTTTCTTTCTCACAGCAGCCTGATTCTGAAGTCTTTTCTTAGCCAAAGTTGCATTTATTCTATCCCATGCCATGTAATTTAATGGCTATGTAATTCCAATAGCACCAATCTGTTGTTCTGTCAAGTACATATTACAGTTATTTAGCATCTTCCTTCCTCCTGTCGAGAATCAACATGAGTATTCTGTATTAGAATCTTTCATGGTTGCTGATTTTAATAAAATTAATTCAGCTTGAGGTTCGAACTTGATTCTAGCCATCATCCCTAATCTAAATATTCCTGGAGTACAGATTATTCTTGGAAGTAGAAACTGCACAAATCCAATGTCGACTCCATCAGAATTCTGTTATTGTTTTTAAAGAGGTGGTCTCCAAACAATATAAACTATAATAAAATTAGAAATATGAAATATAATAATCAGGGTGCGATTTAAATGTAGCATAAAGCATAAATCTGATCTTGTTATTCTCCTGCTTAAAAACTTTCAACAGCAGGAACTTCATACCCCTTGGCTCGTCTCCCATTGTGTGGCTTCTTCCTGCTTCACCTCTTCTCACTCCTCATGCTCCTCCCCACACCCCTTCTCTGCACTGGCCTTAGAGAGCTGCGTGCCTGCCCCTAGATGGGACATTCTCCTGGCACACGCTGCTCCTCTAAAGAACATTCAACACCCACAACACACACACACACTAGACACACAACACACACACAATACACACACATGCAGCACACATACAACATACACAACACACACAATACACACACATGCAGCACACATACAACATACACAACATACAACACATACACCATACATACTACACACACAGCACACACACAACAGGAAACACACAATACATATAATACATACAACATACATGCATACACATGCAACACACACACACACACACACACTTTGACCACCACACACTCCCTTGCCAAGTTCCTACTCATTTTTCAGGTCTCAGTTTAAATGTCACTTCTCCAGAGATCTCCTCTGACCCCTGGTCTCAATTCTGACCCTCTCCCACCATTCCTTCTCAGCATTCTTCTCTAGAATATGTATCACAACTTGTAACAAGACATGTTTTGTTAACATCTGTCTTCCCCACAAGACTGCAGGCTTCATGAAGGGAGACACCATGTCTTGATTTTCCTCACCTTTGTTTAACTAGCACTAAGCACAATGCCTGGCACATAGTAGAATCTCAAGAAATATTTGTTGAATGAAAGAATGAATGAGATCGTAGCCTGGAAGTATATGACCACCTGCTGGTTCCATACCTGGCATGTCCCACGTGGGATGAGCAAAGGCCCTGAGGGCTTATGTGACCCATGAGCTGGTCCCTGGTGTGAGCCCACCTTACTGGCCCTAGCTGAGGCTCCTAGCTCCCAGTTCCTGGGAGGCTCTTCACAAGCACTCTGCAATGGCGCTCTCCATCCCCATCTCCGTCTCCACCCCACAGAAGCTGCACCAGTCCCTGCCACTAGGCACTGGACCCTCCCTCCCTTATCTCTCCAGAAATAGTGTGTTACCAAGAACTAAAAGGGAGGAAGAGTTAAAACAAAACAAAGCAAAAAACAAATCCTAGCTGCCACAAGGAAGATTTTTCCCAGACATTTTTGTCTTTATTTCTTGGAATAAAATCAGAAGACACTATTTTTGACACCTCTGTTTTGTTTCACAATGATACACAAAGACGCTTTACGCTTCTGCACACTGCCCTGTACCATTTGGCTATGACAAGTTGCTTTGATAACCAACAGCTTTTGTACACTGATGCATATCCTGGCAAATCTTATGCCTTAACAAAAACTTCCTTACAAATTGTTCACTGTGTCAAATAGCTTGTTTTATTTTGACAATAGCTTATCCATTAGGATTTTACAATCCTATAGGATCCATTACTAAAATTCTGTTACGTAGAGTCTCCGAGGGTTTGAATTAGTGTGCCTCAGACATCCGTGGTGCATAATTCTTCAAAATATTAATACTAGATTGTACTAGGGTTCAGGGTTGTCTCTTAAAATGTGGACACTTACACAAATACCCTGTAGAGTTGAAAATAATTTTAAACATAAAATATTTGAATAAGTACAATTAAGTAGCTTTTAACATGTTTGGTGTGAAAGTTTATTCTGTGGAAGAATCAAAGAGCCAGTCAAAATACTACTAAATGTATGATTCTGTACTTACTGAAAATGAAATATCATATAGAAACATTTATCTTTCTTTTGATAATAACATTTACTCAGTGCTTACTATGTGCTAGGCATTTTTCTAAGCCTTATGCATGTGTTAACTCATTTAATCACACAACAGTCCTGAGAAGAAGATACAATAATTATTTCATTGAACGGATGAAGAAAAAAGTCAAGTAATTGCTCAAAGTCATGCAGCTAAGAAAAGGTCGAGCCAAGTTATGAGACCAGAATCTGTGAGCTTGATTACTCCTCCATCCTCCTACCAACGGATAGGTCCATGCAAATAATTGTTTCCCATTCCCAAATCCCTATATATACATATCTTATTATATTTAAAATTTTGTTATGCATCCCATTATTATACGAAAGATCATCATAGATTTTTATCCTCCCTGGATTTTAACTATTGCTAATGAATAGCTTGGCAGCGTGATGTAATTGGGTCAGGTAGGTCTGGATTTAAAATCTAGTTCTACCACTTACCAGTTATATATGGCCTTGGGAAAGTTTCTTTATCTTCTGAGCCCATCTGCTATTTTGTAAAAATAGGGATCATTACTGCTGTTATAAGGAGAAAATGAGATGACCATATATAAATTGCTTGGCATGTAGGTGATCAATAACATTCTTTACTCCAAGTATGTAAGTAAGGACACTAGGAAATTACAGCAATTCTCACAAAAAAGAAGGTTTCATTGATAAACTACTAATTCAATGTTGTAAAATACTTTCTATTAGCTGAAATAGCTTATATGGTTCCCTATGAGTCCCAGTTTTATCAAGAGATAAGAGCATTTATAAGAAAATTGTATTTTTCCAGCCAAATTGAAATGTGTGTGTGCAGCCACAAAGCATTACATTAAAAAACTAGTGATCAAATTGACAAGTATATGAGTGAATACAATATAACAGCCATACTGGTAGAAATGTGGACATTTCATTAATTCCATCCTCATTTTCTGGAATTCTGCTTTCCCAAGTCTCTCCATTAGACCCATCTGTGCACCTTGAATACATGAGCCTTTCTGGGTGTCAGCTTCCAAGAGCAGTGTTTGTGGCTAAAGAGAGTTTGGAATGAGGTTAGAGAAACCTGGGGTGGCTTATCCTCTAAACAAGAAATGCATTCTGTATAACCCTCCTCCACCCCAGCTGATGGGCTGTGGCTATGTTTTGATCCTCATGGATACCTCACATCACAAATGATAGAATTGTATTTGGCCACCTGATATAAAGGCAGCCAATTCAAAGACTTTGCACACATGAACTTTGTAGGAGCTGGCTCAATCTGAATGCTCTCTTGGAGATTTGATTTTAACAAACAAAGAGACAAGCAATTGTCAAGGAAGAAAAGGAAGTAAAGTAAGAGATGCCTGAAGCAAGTTGACAGGGCTGGAGGGACCCTGGCAAGTCATAAAGCAAAGAGATTTAGGATTAAAAATTTTAAAAAGATTCAGTTTGCAAGAGAAGCAGATGAAGAGAGAAAAGAGAGATTCGTATACTACTTTGATTTAGATTAGTGTCCACTTCACCTCTGTCTTTACAATAGACTTTCCAATATTTTCCCTGGAATGTCCATGTATACATAGGAAGCTGAATGAAACATCAACAATATGAACTTGAGACTAAGGAGACATGTTGGCATTACCCATTGTTATAGACTCTTATTAACAGCAAACAAGGACCTATTCCCTTTGGTGTCCTTGGCACCTGCCTGGTTATCCTCCCCAAAGAGGGTGACGCAACTATTAACGCTGCTAACAGTAGATCCTCAGGACAGCATTTGTTGATTAGCACAGATGCCCGGGACTGAACACAGGGCCCATGTCTGCCCTTCTCCATGGTGGTGGGGGAAGATTCAAACTCCAGAGAGGAAGTCTGAGCTGCCAAAAGTGCGGATGAAATTAGTGGGAAGCAGAGTGAGAACTCCAGATGTTTAGAATTAGGATGACTATAAACAAATTCATTTCCCCAGATCCCCCAAGCTTGCTTTTTAAAATTATTTTTATATCTGGTAAACAAATCAATACTCTCTTTTCTTGGCTGCAAATGGACTAATTCTTTAGGGAAGTATGATACTCAAACTGGTTCACAGTTTGCTCTTCTTTCTCCAGAAATTGTATAATTCACACATCAATGTAATTCTTTCAATTGGTAGTTTTGAAAACTTGGGGATGAAGTATAAACACCGCCATATGCAATTACCCTTCCAGACTGGTTTTATGTACCCTGTCACCTAATTATTATTTTCCTTTGTTTTACCAGCTTTGGCTTCCAAATATTACTTTAGCCATAAACACTCTTCACTATGTCACATCATGACATCAGATTTGATACTCCTGTCATGGGAGGAACTCCTGTCATGAGGGCAAGGCAGGTATATAGAGTGACAGCTTTTGTGTAGCAAAGTAATCACTTGCAGATGATTATCTGAGCTCAAGCCTGAGAATTTCATCTATGTGTATATCACCAAGAAATGTCCACCCCTGCACACTATTGCCTCTTCATCCATAAGCTGAAAGAAAGAATGTCTTCAGCTAATCTGGAACACACATTTAAAATTCTTATTACTCTCTACTCCACAAATTTGTTACATAATTATTCATATTTGGACATCACTCTAGCATGTACAGACAACTGTATAGCAAGTTCAAAGACTCCTTCTGATAGCCCACAATAGATATGCCCTTCTGATTACCTTCCATACTGTGTAGGGGAAGGACCTTTCCTTTCTCTCAGCAGTCACACTTCTTTGGAATCTTTTGTCAGGGTTTAGAATCTGAAAGGAAGAAAGGAAAGAAAGAAAGAAAAGAAAGAAAGAAGGAAGGAAGGAAGGGAGGGAGGGAGGGAGGGAAAGAAAGAGAAAGAGAGAAAGAGAGAGAGGGAGGGAGGGAGGGAAAAATCCTCAGGAAGCTTCTCTACTTAACATGTTCTTAAGATTAGCAACCTTGATAATCATGTAATGTTTGATTCACTTTTCCCCAACAAACACATGAGCATGCGCGCGCACACCCACACACACACACACACACACACACACAGGATCCTTGCTTTTGTGCATAAGAAGTGATTGTTCAGTGGTTGACTTTGGAGTTGCAAGCTACTTAAAATAGTCCTAAAACCAACACTTGTTTTTACAGGGCCGTTGTTCGAGAGAGAACTGCAAGTATCTTCACCCTCCGACACACTTAAAAACTCAACTAGAAATTAATGGAAGGAACAATTTGATTCAGCAAAAAACTGCAGCAGCAATGCTTGCCCAGCAGATGCAATTTATGTTTCCAGGAACACCACTTCATCCAGTGGTGAGTACATCTTTATTCAGTGATGAGTTGGATGGTTACAGTGTTGGTATGGATGATGCCACGTTGACCTAGGGTGGCCTCTCTCCACTTTGTCACTTTGGTTACAATTAAAGCAAATAGCTTTAAAGCTCAATAGATGAAGGAAAATAGGCTTTTAAAAAAATTAATAGAAAAATATTTGTGGAAATAGGAGGCAAAGACAATTTCTAATCAATATCTGGGAAATCTGTATCACTCCAACTCTTTTCACCAGTAACTCTCTATCTCAGCCATCTTAGAACGGAAATAGTTTTAACATGTTCATTTACAGTGTGAATTAATAATCTATGTATCAATGAGTTTGTGATGCCTAAAAATATTTTGAGCCATGTAGTTCTATGGCACCATTTAAAGGATGAGGAAATTGAGAAACCAGAGAAGTTCAATGATTTTCCGCAATGTCATGCAGCTAATAAATCTTGGAGCTGGGACTTAACTCAGACATGTTAGCAGAGCGCTTTCTGCAGTGTGTTCCAGGAAGATCCTAGTAACAGCCCCCAAAGAAGGATGTCAAATGCAGCAACACCAAGGAAGACCCTACCTGAGTGACTTAGGTCTCAACCTGCCTTTCAGAGGCCTGCAAAAGCTGTGACAGTTCTGACCATTGTCACAAGACCAAATGCCGGAGGGACTTAGCATATAAATATGTATTGCACAAGATTTTTTTCCCTGATTTCACCCTGTCTGAAAGTACTTCCTTAAAGGTCTGGAAATTGTTTTAGGAATGATATCCTTGGGGAAAAGGAGTGCATTTAATTTTAGTAGGTTTCATTTACATTTGTGAATTATTTGTCAGAAACAAGCTCTTTTTTTTTTTTTTAAAGAAAGGCAGTGAGTGAAATGTGTTTGTTTCTAAAAAGTATGTGCACAAAAGGCTTTTGTATAAAAATCCCTTTATTGTAGGAAAAGTCTGCATGACTGAAACCTACTAAATTAGGAGGGATGGCTACCAGCAAATTTGATTTTCTTGTTGTGTTCCCTGTGAGATGGGGTGTGGAGGGCAGGGCCTGCCCAAAGGAGAGTAGAGAATTCCGGCAGGTTGTCAGCCATTCTGCTTGTCTCCAGGCTTCTGTACAGAGTAGCCAGGAACCAGCTCTGCCCAGAGTAAAAGAAATGCCAGGTGCAGAGGGCTCCAAGATAAATAAGATACAGTGTTTTGGGGATAGACAGACACAAGAAAAGGGCAAAGTAAGATTCAAGCACAGGAAATGACGAGACTGGACAAGGAAAGCCTGCCTGGAGGAAGTCTCAAATAAGCCTCTTGTAAAGGGTGAGTAAGAATTCGCCCAGATTAAGGACTAGACGCAGATAGAGTTCTGAATATATTTAATCCCCAAAATAGGCATTTAAGTGGTTCTGTTTAAACTACACACATGTATAATTTATGGTTCTCTCTTTATTGATGCTCACATATAAACTATTTTATTAAATTACCTAAATGCTAAAATAATTTAGTTATACATATTAAATAATGTCTATAGCAATAAATTTAGAGCCAGCAAAGTCAACATAATACCACCACATTATGTGTCTCACTTATTTGACTCATACACATCCTATCTATTTAGAATTAATAAAGACTGACCCTGGTACTCACTGGTGGCCGTGTTAACGAGAGAATCCCATCCCTGCTGTTAACTATTAGTTGAACTTTTTTTGAAAGTTATGGTTATTATTGTCTCAAATATTAATTAGAAGCTCATAATCACCATTTCTCTATGAAAAATGAATATTACACTTAAATATTTTAATAGAGGTTTTTAAATCACTGGAAGTATTAGAATAAAAACTGTGACATGTTTAAAAATTACCAACTCTACAAACAAATTAATTCAGTCTCAGAAATGAATTAGTGACCTAGTAGAGTATACGTGGCTGAATAATGGCTCTCGGAGGTACCTGGAACCTATAAATGTCACCTTATAAGGAATCAGGGGCTTGACAGATGGGATTAAATTAAGAATCTTGAGATGGGGAGACCCTCCTGGATTGAATGCAGTTGCAAGCGTCCTTATAAGAGACGCTCATATAAGAGAGAGGGAGAGTTAGCACTGACAGAAGAGGAGCAAGGCAGTGTGACCACAGAGGCAGATTGGATTGATGTGGCCACAGCAGAGGAATGCCAGCAACCACCAGAAGATGGAAGAGTCAAGAAATGGATTCTCCCCTAGAGCCTCTGGAGGGAGGGCAGTCCTACCAACACCTTGATTTTGGCCCAGTGAAACCGATTTGGAACTTCTGGCCTCCAGGACTATAAAGGGATAAATGTGTGTTATTCTAAGCCAATGGGTTTATAGTAATTTATAGCTGTTTACAGCAGTTACCGGAAACTAATAGATGCAAAAACTGCATAAGACAAGTCAATTGATAAAGAGAGTCAAGTATCATTCCATTTTAGGTCTCATAAACTAAACTTCTTTACAGTACTGTGGATATTTCTTCATTCCCTCCTTCTTCTGTCCACTCCTGAACCCATTCCCCTGCAGTCTCTCACCAGTGTCCTCCATATTACCAAACCAACGGTCACTTTTTGCCTTTATTGTTGCTGTGGTCTGAATGTTTGTGTCCCACCAAAATTCACGTTGAGTCCTAACCTCTAAGGGCCTATGGGGAGGCGACTAGATCCTGAGGGTGGAGCCCTCATGAATGGAATCAGTGCCCTTATAAGAAAAGACATGGGAGAGACCCCTCACCCTCCTGCCATGTGCGGACACAGCAAGAAGGCACTGTCTATGAACCAGGGAGCTGGTCCTCATCAGACATCAAATCTGCGGGCACCTTGATTTGGGGGGTTCCAGCTTCCAAAACTGTGAGAAATTCAATTCAGTTGTTTGTAAGCCACCCAGCTTATGATATTTTATTATAAGCAGCCAGAATGGACTAAGACAATTTCTTCTACCTCTCAGCGGTGCTCAAGTCATGTGATGAATCTCTCCTTTGTTAAACACTCCTTCCTCCGTCTCCTTTGCCCACCATTTTCCTCTTCCATATGTTGAGGTTCCAAGAGCTGGATATTTCTTTCCATCTGTCCTCTCCCTTGTGGTCTCATCCATTCCTGTGTCTGTCAATCATCTATAGACTGAGGACCCCCAAAAGTATGCATCCAGCCCAACCTCTCCTCTGAGCCCCAGGCTCACATATCCACCTTTCTACTGGCCTCACCTTTAAATTTCTTAAAGGAACTTGACCCGTTCAAAATCAAATTCTTCCCATTTTAATAAATGGTACTATCAACTGGCAATCGAAAACCAAAACCTAGCAGACTCTTTCCTGAAATCACTGGAAGTATTAGAATAAAAATTGTGACATGTTTAAAAATTATCAACTCTAGAAACAAATTAATTCAGTCTCAGAAATGAATCAGTGACCTAGTAGAGTATAGGTGGCTCACTGACATCCAGTTCAACAGCAAGTCCTGTCATATCTGCCCTGAACCCCATCCACTCCCCTGTTTCTCAGCTCCCTCATCTAAGCCACCATCAACCTTTTATCAAAATATCATAAAAGCATTTACTTCCTAATCTATCAATATCCACTCTTGCTTTACTCCATTATATCCCACAGACAACAACCAGAGGAATCTTTTTAAAACATAAATAGCATCCTGTCACTCCCTTATGTGCCCCTCCATGCTTTTCCATCTTACTGGGACAAAGCCGAAACTCTGACCTTGATCATGACCTATGGCTTCTGTGATCTGGTCACGACCCTGCCTACATTGCTGGGTGAACACACACAGCTCGTGTGTGTCCCAGCCTCTGCCTCTGCTGGCCTGTCCATGTCTTAGTGCTTTTCACACATTAACTCACCTCATTCATAAGGACTCCAGGTCCACCCCTGTAACCCACATGCAACCCCCAGCATTCTCTACCAGCGAGCCCTCCTCCTTCTTTGCTTATCCATACAAATGAACTGTAATTTTGTTTGTTTTCTTCTTTCTCATTAGGGCTTCAGTTCAATCAATGTACACAGTGTTCTGGCACCATGTCTGCACCAATAAATATTTATTAAGGGAATGAAAATTCAAGCCTTTCTCTCCCCTGACAACCCTTCTGTCTCAAATTCACAGTGTTTGAAAAGTCCCCTTCATTTATTCCTCCTAGCAGCTTTTCTCTCCCCAATTCCTGATAGAATAGGACAGGAATTCTTCCCTCCTTCCCTTCCCAGAGCGCGCACCGCCTTCATATGTGCACTCAAGATAAAGAAGCAAGTGTGAGCGACCTTTAGGAGGATGGAGGTGGAAGAACCACGAGGGACAAGTCTTGCATGAGTCTTGTGCCCTCCGGAGCTGCTTCTGGCAGTAGAGGGAGGAGGCTTAGGAGACGCCGTGTGTCAGCCTTTTAGCGTGAGTGCCAGGCACGTACCCTTTAAAGCAGACGCATTCTAAACGAGTGGGACGACGGCATTCTCGCCTACTGACTGCACTTTTGAGCCATGAAATACCTCGGGCCACTTGGCCATTACCCTTGGCTAAGCCCCCTTGCTGCTACAAAATAGCAAAGAATGTGCATGTTTGCGTGAGAGTGTGTTGAGTACGTAAGTATGAATGTGTAGTTAGTGTATATGTGCAAGTGTGTATATGTGTGCATGCAGGTGTGTAGTGAGTGTATATATGTGTGCTAGTGTGTATATGAGTGTGTTGTGTGTGAGTGTACGTGTGTTGAGTGTATGGGAGTGTGCTGTGAATGTGTATGAGTATGTATTGTGTATATGAGTGTGTTGTGTGTGTGAGTGTATGGGAGTGTGTTGTGAATGTGTATGAGTATGTGTTGTGTATATGAGTGTGTTGTGTGTGTGAGTGTGTGTGGGTGTGTTTGTCATCTTTGAACCTGGACCTGATGTCCTGGGAGGGAAAGCAGGGCATGGAAGACTGCGGAGAGGAACACGGGAAGGTGGAGTAGAGAACAGGGGCAGGAAATCGCAAGACCAGCATTTCAGAAGCGATTTTCTTCAAGAAGGCTTCCCGCGAATCTTGTCCTCTGGCCTTTTTAGCTGTGGCTTTGAGCTGAGAGATGACGTGGACCAAATGGATCCTGTCTCAGACAGCCTGGCAACAGCACTTCTGCAGAAACTGTAGGGCTAATTCTCCCAAGCTGTAGTTGGTGCGCTTCCAGGAACAGAATCATTGGAAGGTGCTGCCCTTCTCTTTTCTCAGCCGCCAGCTGAGAACCAAACTCAGACACCGGGATCCGTTGTTGGCCGAGATTCTACCTCGGGAGTTTAATTTGAATTCAGGATCTGAGAACCACTTTTCCAAGGCAGCAGGCCCCACACCTCACACCTCCTGTCTGTAGAAGGCCCAGGCTGGCTGTGGGTCGTGTTCCTGTGCAACTCTCCACCAAACGCTCTCTGCATTCTCTCCAGAAACATACGGGCAACTGATTTGTGTGTGGGCGGGGGGGGCGTTGTTTTTCCTCTTTTGTTTTAAGAAATAACCAACAAAATCTAGTAATCGCAGAAGAGTGGACATGGCCTCAGACTAGGAGCCAGGAGTCCCGGGTGTTCTGCCTTGACTTTGCCTTGCAGCATTGACCTTGGGTTATCCATTTAGTGGCTCTCCTCTAAATTGTTTTCACCTGGAAGGCTGAGCAATTCTTGCTGCCGCACTTGCTTCTCATGGATTTGAGAAGATTAAAGAAGACAAGTGTGAGAATGCCTTGAGAACTACCAGAACCTTTCACAGATGTAAAGCATTATTATCCACAATAATATTAACACGGAGTGAGCCTCTCTGCAAATCACCGTAACTGTATTTTTTAACTAATCAACTTCAATGAAAAACATGCTACATCAAAAAGGAACATATCCAACTGCGTCTGTCTTCGTAAGGCCTATGAACTTGCAACTTTCAGTTTCACGTGACAGAAAATATTTTTTTCAGTCCACATTTCAAAAGGAAAGGGAAATTTGTTGCTATATTTTTACTCACTTTTATACCCTTACTATACTGCTATGCTCATTACATCCCTGTTGCAGAACTGTTAGATAATTTGAGGCCAAAAAAACCTTGATGGACATTGATTTTTACAGTATTAATGAGAGCTGCTTTTTACTGAGTTCTGACCATGGGAAATGGGAGTGCAATAGCGCCTTGTTCTGCCCAACCCTTTCAGCTAAGTAGTTTCACTTACTCATTGCAGATAAGAAAATTAAAGCCCAGGGAGGTTAATTTCCTCCCCAGGTTAATGAGTAGTAAGTGTCAGAGTGCTAGGTTTGAATTCAGGCCTCTCTGAGTCTAAAATCTATGGTTTTACTTTAAAATATTACTATTTCTCTGTGAACTGTGTTATTGCCATCATCAATAAAACATACTGGGACATTGATTTTAGACTATGAAATCAGATGAACAAGTGACATATATTTTTGAAGACAAAAGTTACCTAATTGGAATAGATTTGTCGATATCCAAAATGGTTTTGGGAAATGAGTTTTGAGGTTCTCAATCCTATCGACAAAGCAAAGTACAACCCGTATTTATGGTACCACACTAACCCTAGCTTCAAATGATCTAGCATCAAATGATCTGTGGGCTGGGAGGGTTGAGAATTTGCTTCCAGAGAAAATAAAAATGGCAGTATGGGGGAGGGCTCTTTTATCTAAATGTTTACGTTGATAGTCTCTGGGTTAAATTACACATTTAGTGCAAGTTTTTTAATACTATTTTTACTCCTCACATATGACAATGCTCCCCAAATTTGGCCATGCATCAGATCATTTAGTAAAATTTCTAAAATTCAAGTATCAAGGTCTCAGCCTAGATCTACTGGGTCAGAATTTAATCACTATTTGTAAAATCTCCCCCAGGCATTTCTGACAGAGCTAGTCCACTGAATCACTGATGTGCTGTGATTTATGACCTTTCAGAATTGATTCTTTTTAAAAATCCTAACATTACATAGTCCGTAAACCATTTAAATCACTTGGCTTTTTCTCCAGTAGTACTAAATTATAAAAGCTACAGTTACTGAAAATCATAACTTTCTATAATTATGACTCAGTGAGTAACATACACATATAAACATTTGTTGACAGTAGAGGAAGAAAAAAATTCTAACTGCCATCTATTTCCCACATTCAGACCTCATATTGCAACTTTCTCCCAAAGTGGATTTTACGTCTGAGCCATAGAGATCTAACAGCATCTTGTGGGAGTACTGAGCCAGGACCCCTCTAAGACCATTAGAACCACCCCTTCTAGCCACTTTGAAAATAGGCTTTCCTGCCTGTCTGATAACTGCCTGCACAAACTATCAATAATTTACTCTTTTCTATAATGACTTTTCATAAGAGATATTTTTCTGTTACTGCTATAAAGAAAAAGTATGTTTATTAAACATAGGTTGTCATTTTTCCCATATGTTAAATAATCCATCCAGGGTCATAAATAGACAAGAAGAATGTCACCCACAATGTAGAAACAGAGAACAAGCATGACACAGCATAGTTCAATGTTAAAAGTGTGACAAGCAACAGTTAAGTTCAGTGTTAAAAGACTGCATTAATATGTAATTGCAAATTGAAATCAAATAGGTTAAAAATCATCTATAATTAACAACCAACCAAACAAATGAAAAGAAGCATTCAGGTCCAATTTGGTGTACAATTTATTCTAAGAAAAATCTTTAGAATTTTAAATTACTTAACAAGGTTTGTTCTCTTAAATGTACATTATTTACTTTCTAAAAGGCAGAATTATTTACATATTATTAGGTGGAGCTTTTAAAAATAATCATCACCTCAACCCACTAGCATATTTCTTCTTATTCCTAGATGAGGAATATAGGGACAGAGAACAAATTTAATAAGATTCTGTATGCTCTTGTCACTGCTGTGTTGATTTTGTGACCTAGGAAACCAAACCAACTTTTAATGGCCAATCACAATATTGTTTGATTAAAAAGCTCTTCCAGAAAACCTTTCAGGAAGGGAAGACTGACTGGATCTAGATGTAGTTGAACTACAGCAAAAAATCGTAGGTTTATTTGAAAACTACATTTGAATTTTGGGAATATACATGCTAGTGATGGAATACGGAAACATACTGGTGAGTCTGGACAAAATAAAATTCCAAGTAACCCCACTGTTTGAGAATGCATAGACTTGGCCAACTTGAAAATCAGGCTGTAATCAAAGGGTTTTGTGACTCCTCTCCCTTTGAGAAACATGTAGAATAAATCAAAGATTATTAGTCAGTATTCTATAGCTTTTACTACCTTAGTGTTATAACATTTAATAGTTTGGAATGTTGAGTAATTAGAGTTGAAATTATTTTCTTTTGTTGAGAACACTTTCATAGGGACAAAAGCTTAATCTAGTTCCTGTAACTAGAGGTTTTTTATGATGTTCTCTCATATTTCTGTATGGTTTGGGGAAGAGAGGGTCTACATGGATGTCATTTTTATTATAGGTCAGCATTGAGCTATACAATTAACACAGAGTATATGATGAATACATTTTGCTCAAATGACATTTGCTGGTAATTTTTTAAAGTTTTATTCTAAATAACTCTTTCTCCTGTGTTGTCTTCCTTTAACAGCCCACTTTCCCTGTAGGTCCCGCGATAGGGACAAATACGGCTATTAGCTTTGCTCCTTACCTAGCACCTGTAACCCCTGGAGTTGGGTTGGTCCCAACGGAAATTCTGCCCACCACGCCTGTTATTGTTCCCGGAAGTCCACCGGTCACTGTCCCGGGCTCAACTGCAACTCAGAAACTTCTCAGGACTGACAAACTGGAGGTACTTCAATTCTACTTGTGTTTTGACATGCATTTGTGGTAGAAATATACTTCTGTGTAAGTGATTGCTTGTAAGATATTAATTCAGTCTTGCAAAACAGCCATGTAAACACACACACACAAACTCACCTAAAACCCATGTATTCATAACTCTGTGGTTTGAAGTTAAGGCCAAGTATAAAGGAAATTAGTCTATGGAAAAGACTAGTTTTAACACAAAAATCAGCTGCATGGAATATGCGTTTAAGGGAAAAATATTAAACAATCAATGGAACAGTGACTCAATCATGATGCAGCCCATAGAGATGGCTCCAGGTCCTGAAGGCCTCCTCATGTCAAGGTGTAATCCTTGCAAGACCCTGGAAAGTTCTGGAAACTGGTGGATCAGGAGCCCAGCAACCAGGGCAGCCGAGGACACTCAGGGACACTGGTGGGAGTAAGTGGGACTACAACTATTTACCAATTGGTATGATCATATTTCAATGTCTCAAGAACAAGCATGGCTGCTCTAGTGTGTTCTGGCATATTAGTTCTGATTGTGTTGTTGCTAAACAGGGGAAATTGGAGGATGAGTAAATTTAGTTTTTTGTTTTGTTTGGTTTGGTTTTGAGACGTAGTTTCGCTCTTGTTGCCCAGGCTGGAGTGCAATGGTGCAATCTTGGCTCACCACAACCTCCTCTGCCCGGGTTCAAGTGATTCTCCTGCCTCAGCCTCCCAAGTAGCTGGGATTATAGGCATGCGCCACCACGCCTGGCCAATTTTGTATTTTTAGTAGAGACAGGGTTTCTCCATGTTGGTCAGGCTGGTCTCGAACTCCCAACCTCAGGTGATCCGCCAGCCTCGGCCTCCCAAAGTGCTGGGATTACAGGCGTGAGCCACCGCGCCCAGCCCGTAAATTTAGTTATTAATTGAGATATTTTCTTTAACTTCAATTGTTCTATAACATTCAAGAAAACAAGTTCCTATATATAAAAAACATCGT
The DNA here is from genome assembly GCF_000001405.40 of Homo sapiens. NCBI lineage: Eukaryota > Metazoa > Chordata > Mammalia > Primates > Hominidae > Homo > Homo sapiens. The sequence continues at coordinate 97,344,198 of NC_000013.11, forward strand.
TCTTAAGTTATGAATCAAACCAAACCTCCTGTACTTTGTTGGGTAAAATTTCTCTTTAATCAGAGCTGTAGAACTCATCTATGTATCTTACTGCTATATCCCTATGATATTCACTACAGCATTTCATAAGGGTGTATAAAGATTCTCATAGATTTTTCAGAGAGCTCCTTTAATTCCATTACTGATTAAAGGTGTTAGGTGATGCATCTGGTTAGGACGTACACAGTGCTTTCTGTTAGTGGGATTATTAGAGAATGTTCTTTCAATGTGCATTTGTTTAAATATTAACCCAATAAACCTTGAAGGCAATAAAATGTGGCTGCCTAATAACCTGTGCAAGTTTTAAAACTCAGAATTTCAAACTGCAAATATTTTAGAAGATATTTATTTTTTCACTTAGTTTCAATCTGGATGCCCAGATGAAGAGAATGGAAACTCTAATTGTTACTATTTTGAAAAGATCCAGCCTACCCTTGTCAATTACTGAATAGACCTTTCACAGGACTGGAAAAGTGTTTTGGGCTCCACCTGCTGGACCCACGGAGCTTTTGTGTTCAGTATGTGACTGTACTTTAGAAAACAAATTAAATCAGTGGAATTGGGAACAAATTGTCCTTCTCAACAGGGCTGGTAGACAAAGACATGTAAAAATGAATCACAATGATTTTAGCAGAGCGGCTTTTGGTTCATTTCAAACCAGGAATGAAGTCAGCTGCACACAAAGCACCTTGGTAGGAGCCTGATGGCTGGTCCACACCTATGATGCTATCAGACAGAAGTCATTCCATTGATGGAGGAAGGCTTGCTCAGAATCCGTGGGAACATCTTAGTGATTTATTTTGCGCATTTTATGAACTAAAGTTAGAATGTTGGCTAATATCCAAAGTAGGAGGAAACAATTAACAATCTGGTGATTTATGCTATCTACCTTCAAGCTGGCCTGGTCACTGGTCAGTGAAACAGTATTTCCTAAGTATGTCTGACTTCCACAATACTTGAATTTCATGTCAGGGGCCCTTCATATAACATCACTAATGATCAGCGTGATGATCATTTACATATCCACTTTGGAATTGGAGCCTAAAAATAAATAACTTACGATTCTACTCATAATTATTTCCTGCTAATATTTATGAGCAGAGAAGAATTATATAAGCAACATGCATATGTTATTTATGCTATTTTATGTTATCTATATGCAGGGCATAATTAAGAATACTCTTCAAATTCTAAAGAAATATTTTTTCATACAGTAAAATCTTGATCCACCAGAATTCTCAGGGGATAGAGAATCCTAGTTACTTGAGATTTCAGGATAATTTAGCATTAAAGAATTTTTAAAATAAACTATTTCCCTCCATTTTTCTTTCTCTATATCTCTTGCCGTATTTCTCTCCTTTTGTCTTTTTTTTCTTTTCTGTGCTGTCAAAAATAGTATAGTGACCTTAAAAATGAAAATTTTGGTGTCTTAGATATTGTTCTTCTGATTTATGATTATGTTATCTTTGTAGAGCAGGAGAGAAGGAGTGGGAAACAGGAGTGTTCAGATTCCCCCCACCCCACCCCACCCCACCCCCTTAGAGAGAGGAGGAACAAGTTTGTCGTCATTTTCTCTGATTCTTTTTGTACAGCTATGACCTGGTAGCTTGATATAGGTGAAATTATCCCTCCACACACACAAAAAAAAACCTATAGCATTGTCAGAATTGTCATACAAGTAGGTGATTGAAGATATAGAGAGAGGTAGATAGATTATAGGTGATTGACAGATTAAATAGATAGATTATAGGTAGGTAAGCAGGTATATAGATAGGTAGGTAACTAGATTAGATAGATGATTAATTAATTGATAGATTTTAGATAGATCAGTAGATGATAGATGATGGATGGCTGGATGGATAGATGATAGATGGATGAATGAATGGCTGGCTGGATGGACGGATAGATAGATGGTAGGTAGGTAGATAGATGATAGATAATATTAGGTTGGTGCAAAAGTAATTGCAGTTTTTACCATTAAAAATAATGATAGATTAACAGATAATAGATGGATGGATGGATGGATGGATGGATGGATAGATGGATGGGTGGATGGATAGATAGATGGATAATAGATAATAGAGGGATAGATTGATAGATGATAGATAATAGATGATGGATGAATGAACAGGTGGATAGATGATTGGATAGATTGATTGATGGTAGATGATAGATGAAGGAATGGATGCATGGATAAATAGATAGATGATAGATATATGGATGGATGGATAGACAGACAGACAGATCGATAGACAGCTGCATAATATGCTACCCAGGGACAATGGAGGCCTTGTTGCTTTTCCTTTGTTATTTTAGCTGAACTGCAGATTTCGTATTATTTTCTCAATATAGATTTTCACCCTAGAAAAGGCGGTAAAACAAAACTCAAATGACTGTGTCAGAGATTGTGGTTACCTGGGCTCCGCATAATCAATCTTTTCTTGTCAGTGGTACATGAGCCACCATTGAAAGCGAGGCAGCCTCCGCTCCTCCCGCGGTGGCCGGGGCCGCAGGGGCGCCTGGGCTCAGGCTTGCCTCTGCAGCGCGGCTCTTCTTCCCTGTCTTAGGTATGCAGGGAGTTCCAGCGAGGAAACTGTGCCCGGGGAGAGACCGACTGCCGCTTTGCACACCCCGCAGACAGCACCATGATCGACACAAGTGACAACACCGTAACCGTTTGTATGGATTACATAAAGGGGCGTTGCATGAGGGAGAAATGCAAATATTTTCACCCTCCTGCACACTTGCAGGCCAAAATCAAAGCTGCGCAGCACCAAGCCAACCAAGCTGCGGTGGCCGCCCAGGCAGCCGCGGCCGCGGCCACAGTCATGGTAAGTGCGGCCGCCCGCCGCCCCTGCACCCCGGCGCCTCTGCGGAGGCCGCTCCGGGCTGGGACTTGGATGTTCTTCCAAACACTCGGGAAACATGGAAGGCTGCTATTCCTGCTGCTCCGCTGCCTAAGTTTTGCTGTTGTTTTCCCCCTTTTTGTTTTGTTTTGTTTTCCCCTCCTGCCCCCCTTCAGCACAATAAGTAAATCCCTCAGGTGCAGGGAAAGTCCTGGGGTCCCTGAGCTCCGTTCCCCCTCCTAGGGTGGCGGAGATTGAGTGTGCTCACTTAGGGTCTTTTTAAGAGAGGCTCAGGGGCCTTGTAATGAACATGAAGGTGGGCACCGCTTCGGAGAGGGGAAAGAAAGGTGCATTTCTGCACCTGAGCACGAGGAGGCACCCAGCTCCTTGGAGCAGCCACGGAGGACATCTGTGGCCTAAGAGAAGCCCAGAGAGTGATTTGGCTTTTCGCTACTCCCATTTTCTCCTCTTCTTTCACTTATTACAAGGGCAATGCTGGTCAGATTCCCCATCTCAATGAGGTTTTATGCAGAATAGCAATGCATGAAACAGATGAAAGTGGAGCCATCCTGGCTGGTGCAGAAAGAAAAAAAGACCTGTGACCTAGGCTTGCTTCCCTGAGTCACCCTACTGTCATTAGAGACCAGCAGTACATCATCATTATCATCGCCTGGGAGCCTGCTCAGAATCTCGGAGAGCCTAACTGTCCCTTAGAGACCAGATGCACCATTATTAGGATCACCTAGAAGCCTGTGGAGCCTCCAGAATCCTCAGCCTCACCCCAGACCTCAGGGAATCAGAATTTAAGTTGTAAAACATCTCCCAGGTGTTTTGTATGCACATTAACATTTGAGAAGCACCTGCCTAGACATTGCTTATCAAACTTGGCTACATTTTGGAACAACCTGAAGGGTCTGACCTGACATCTGTCCCTTTCCCTGAAGTTTCTTATTTTCTTATTTAGTTGGTCTGGTGTGGTCTGGGCAGTGGGATTTTTTTTTTTTTTTTTTTTTTAAGACAAGGTCTCTGTCACCCAGGCTGGAGTGCAGTGGAATGATCATGGGTCACTGTAGCTTTAAACTCCTGGGCTCAAGTGATCCTCCCACCTCAGCCTCCTGAGTAGCTGGGAACATGCCCATCTAAGTTCTAATTTTTTTTGTAGAGACAGGGTCTCACCATGTTGTCCAGGCTAGTCTCAAAACTCCTGGGATCAAGCAATTCTCACACCTTTACCTCCCAATGTGTTGGGATTACAGGTGCGAGCTACCATACCTGGCGACAGTGGCAGTTTTTAAAAGCTCCCAGGTGATTCCAATGCATCGCAAAGCTTGAGAACTTCTGCATTAGGTTGCAGAAGTTTCTAATTAATTTGTTTTCATGTGAGCTCTCTGGCTTATCAGAAGTCTATGTTAATATGTGATAGGCACTATGCATTCATTCTTTCAAAAAATTTTATGAGACCATGCATCAGGCACTTGCTGGGTAGAATAAATAAATCAGTCAGGTTTCCTTGCCCTCAAGGAGTTTGGAGTTAGTAACTGAGAGCAATAACATGCTCCTCAGTGACATGATAGAAATAGTTAATCGGGTCCAGAGGGCATGAAGGACTCAGTGGCCAGTCCTCCCTCAAGAAGGAGAGCTATGACTGCAGAGATGAAAAGTACAGTTTGAAAACACTTTGTTCTAGTTAGCAGCCATCACCTCAGCCATCACCTCATACACTGATTACTGATTAAAATGGAAGGGTAGCTGTCACACAAACAAGTTCACAATTACTCAACATTGTTTGCGCAAATGTTTATTAAGGCATGGACCTGTGATCAGTGATAGGGATACAGCGAGAAAGGCACCATCTGCCCTGAGGTAATCACCACCAGGTGCGGAGTGTGTGGTTCTAGAGACCTTTCCAATTTGAGCTGCTTATTTCCATACACCTTGAGCACTGGCCTCGTCATCTAAATCACTGTTTTTGTTTTTGTTTAATCTCTGAGTCCTTTTCTTGTCCCTTTAGTGTCCTTTCCTCTCGTCCTTCTCATTCATATGTTATTGGACCTAATATTTTTTTATTTTGCTGAGTGTGAATTCCTATATATGTGGAGATGTATGTATCCACACAAGAGGGTCAATAAAATAGAGAAATTCTCCCTTTTTTTCTTCTAGTAAAAGAGTAGTTTCCGAAACTCATTATAATTGGGAATGGGAGGAGGAGAGTAAACTGATCACTTAAGGCTGATAAAAAAGGAATTCTTTCAGAGCACAAATGAGATCTTTTACACATTTTGCCAATGCGACATCCATTCTACTATCAACCTGGTGAGGATCTCATCCCATAGGAAGCAAATTTTTTTTTCATTGTAATCATTATTTTAGGCCAGCTCCAACTTATCCTAATTGGTGTGTTGATTGATGGGCACTAAGAACACATTTTTCCACAAAATTTGTTTATTTATTTGTTTTTTGAGACAGAGTCTTGCTCTGTCAGTCACCCAGGTTGGAGTGCAGTGGTGCGATCTTGGCTCACTGGAGCCTCCGCCTCCCAGGTTCAAGTGATTCTTATGCGCCAGCCTCCCGAGGAGCTGGGACCACAGGTGCATGCCACCATGTCTAGCTAATTTTATATTTTTAGTAGAGATGGACTCAGGAACGCCTGGGTTCAGAAACTTCAGAACCAACAGGTCACTCTCTTCTTTCCCCTGCCTGCTTCTCTTACTATGGCCACACCATTCTCTAAGGTCAGCTTCTCTACAAGACCCAGGACCAAGGCTTTGGACCTCTATAGGGATGTATTCTTACATCTTTTGACAAGAGAGAGAATGGTGTCTTTTATACCAGCTCTAATTAGGTATTGGGGCAGGGGAAGAAGTTAAAGGTCATTTTGGTGGCTGTCCCTGTGGTCAGTGACAGGATGCTGTGATTGACTCAGCCTGGGTCCCAGTGGCTATCCTTGGTCACTGAGGTATGGAATGAGGCCCTGATAATGGAAATATTAGTCCTTCAAGTAAAAGTTCAGTTCCAGACCACTGCAATGAAGCGAGTATCACAATAGAACAAATCACATGAATTTTTTGGTTTCCCAGTGCATATAAAAGTTATGTTTACACTACACTGTGGTCTATTAAATGTGCAAGAACATTATGTCTGAAGAATATATACACACCTTAATTTTAAAATGTTGCTTAAAAGATGCTAACCAATAGTCAGAGCTTTTAGTGAGTCGTATCTTTTTGCTGGTGGAAGGTCTTGCCTCGATGTTGATGGCTGGTGACTGATTAGGGTGGTGACTGGTGAAAGTTGTGATGGCTGTGGTAATTTCTTAAAAATACAATTTCTTAAAACACAATGAACATTGCCACATTGATTGACTCTTCCTTTTATGAAAGATTTCTCTGTAGCCTGCAATGTTATTTGATAGCATTTTGCTCAGAGTAGAACTTCTTTCAAAATGGGAGACAGTCCTCTAAAACCCTGCTGCTACTTTATCAACTAAGTTTATATAGTTTGCTAAATCCTTTGGTATCATTTCAACAATGTTCAGAGCATCTTAGCCAAGAGTAGAACCCATCTCAAGAAACTACTTTCTTTGCTGCTCCATAAAGCGACTCCTCAACCATTAAAGTTTTATCATGAAATTGCAGCAATTCAGTCACATCTTCAGGCTCGACTTCTATTAAGAATTCTAGTTCTCTTGCTATTTCCATTACATCTGGAGTTACTTACTTTTTCCATTTAAGTCTTGAACCCCTCAAAGTCATCCATGAGGATTGGAATTAACTTCTTCCAAACTCCTGTTCATGTTGATATTTTGATCTTCCATGAATCATGAATATTCTTAATGGCATCTAGAATGGTGAATCCTTTACAGGTTTTCAATTTACTTTGCCCAGCTTCATCAGAGGAATCACTATCTGTGGCAGCTACAGCCTTACAAAATGTATTTCTCGATTAATAAGACTTGATAGTTGAAATAACTCCTTGATCCATGGGCTGCAGAACAGCTGTTGTGTTAGCATGCATGAAAACAACATTAATCTCCTTGTACATCTCCACTGGAGCCCTTGGGTGATCAGGTGCATTGTCAATGAGCAGTAATATTTTGAAACAAATCTTTTTTTCTGAGCAGTAGGTCTCAACTGTGGGCTTAAAACATTCAGTAAACCATGTTGTAAATACATATACTGTCATCCAGGCTTTGTTGTTTCATTTCTAGAGCATAGGCAGAGTAGATTTAGCATAATTCATAAGGGCCCTAGAATTTTCAGAATGGTAAATGAGCATTGGCTTCAATTTAAATTCACCAGCTGCATTAGCTTCTAGCAAGAGTCAGCTGCTGTACTTTGAAGGTTTGAAGCTAGTCCTCCTCTGTAGCTCTGAAAGTCCTAGTTGACATCTTCCAATATCTGGCTTGTCTACGTTGACATCTGTTGTTTACTGTGGCCACCTTCATCAGTGATCTTAGCTAGATCTTCTGAATAACTTGCTGCTGCTTCTCCATCAGCCCTTGCTGCTCACCATGCTCTTTTATGTTATGGAGATGGCTTCTTTTCTTCAACCTTGTGAACCAATCTCTGCTAGCTTCCAACTTTTCTTTTGTAGCTTCCTGTCTCCTTTCAGCCTTCATAGAATTGAGGAGAGTCAGGACCTTGCTCTAAATTAGGTTTTCGGCCAGCGTGGTAGCTCATGCCTATAATCCCAGCACTTTGCGGGGCAGAGGTGGGTGGATCACTGGAAGCCAGGAGTTTGAGACCAGCCTGGCCAACATGGTGAAACCCCGTCTCTACTAAAAATACAAAAATTAGCTGGGCATGGTGGTGCACGCTATAATTCCAGCTACTCGAAGAGCTGAGGCATGAGAATCGCTTGAACCTTGGAAGGCAGAGGTTGCAGTAAACTGAGGTCATGCCACTGCACTCTAGCCTGGGTCACAGAGTGAGACTGTCTCAGAAAAATAAAAATATAAATAAATAAATAAATAAATAAATAATAAATAAATAAATAAGGTAGGCATTGGCTTAAGGGAATGCTGTGGCTGGTTAGATCTGTCCAGCCCAATAAAATTTTTCCCACACTGGCAATAAGGCTGTTTTGCTTTCTTATCATTTGTATGTTCACTGGAGTAGCACTTTTAATTTCCTTCAAGAACTTTCCCTTTGCAGTCACAACATGGATAACCTTGGCACAGGAAGCCTAGCTTTTAGCCTATCTTGGCTTTCGACATGCCTTCCTCACTAAGCTTAATCATTTCTAGCTTTTGATTTTAAGTAATAATCTGTGACTCTTTCTTTCACTTGAACACTTAGAGGCCATTTAAAGTTATTAATTGGCCTAATTTCAATATAATTTTGTCTCAGGGAATAGGGAGGCCTGAGGAAGGAGAGAGAGGGGTGATAGCCAGTGAGTGCAGCAGTCAGACCAGGCATGACGTTTATCGATTAAGTTTGTGGCATGGTTCATGGTGCCCCAAAACAATTAAAATAGTACATCAAACATCACTGATCACAAATCATCATGAGAGATATAATAACAATAAATTTTAAAATATTGTGAGAATTACCAAAATGTGACAAAGACACAAAGTTAGCACATGCTGTTGGAAAAATGACTCTGATAGACTCAACATAGGGTTGCCACAAACCTTCAATTTTAAAAAACTGAAGTATCTGCAAAGTACCATACAACAAAGTGCAATAAAACAACCTATGCCTGTACTTATTAACACAACATATCAAAGTACTAATAGTGACCTTAGGGCTGAGCCCTGATTTCATCTGCCTGTTTCCTCAATGGACCAGTTTTAACATCTGCAACCAATATATACTTCAGTCATTAAAGGAACAATACACCTAGTATATATCAGTGGTAGATGACCTGGGCTGATGGGGATAAGAGGGAAAATGGCCATTTACACAAACAGGTCATTTCCCTGCTGCATTTCTTCAAGTCAAAGCTGTACTCTTCTGTGTACCCTTCTACACATTTTCACATTACATTCATGGTTACATTCATCAAGCTGCATAAAGATTATTGCAGTGGATGCCAACAGTGTTAGTTACCATAGTTTCTTGGATTGTTACACTGTGCCCAAATTTGGAGTTCTGATAAGTCAGAGGATCTTGCAGCATTGTCAAAGACAACCCAAAGGAATGTAGTTTCAGAACAAAAGCCAGGTTCTTTCTGACAATGACATGAAAATTACTGAATCTGTCATGTGTTTTTAGTTGAAGTGAGAGGCTCATTTGAAACCAGCCTAGGTGCTGTTGGATAAAGTCAAAGTATTGCTACTCTAATAGCAAAATTACTCAGTACACAGAAGAAAAACTATTACTTTATTTCCTTATTTAAAAGGACAAACAGGAGTGATGAATAGAGTTAGAAGATATTAATATTCCATTCGCCTGACTTCCATATAGAAACCCCAAGCATTTCCAGGGTGAAATTTTTATTATTGTCTGGAGATTTCCTGCTTATTTTGATTCATTAGATCCTTAAAAGGAATGGAAAGCTTTGACTCCAGAATAAAAGACATTTATTTCCTTTGGAGTCTTATTCTTTTAAGTACTTCTTAAAACATAACCATCACCATCACCAGAATTTTTTAAACATGAGAATAAGACAGACAGAACTTTTCTTTGGTAGTGTTAACACAAAAGGTGTCTGATCTTCATACAAGCAATCTTTGCTCACATACATCAAAATGGAATGACACAAGGAAAGAACCATTTTGCAAAAGGAAACAAGACAAGCTGCCGTCAGCTAGATACGTTTCGATTGTTCAGGAAAGTCTGTACAGGAACTTTGATTGGCATCCTGCTTGTCTACCTTCTTTCCTACTTTAAAGTGGTAGCTCTGATCATTGTTGTCAGTGTTTTCTGACCCCTCAGATCTGGTCTTTGCCTATCATGTCTGATGTAGGCACTTGGTTCGATTACCTTGATTTGCAGGTGAATTGGTCCTCAATCCAAAAAAAAAAAAAAAAAGCCTAGCTGCCCATAGGACCTCTTCTGACTCATCACTCATGCACACCAAGCTGGAGAGGCCCAGAGAAGCAAAGCCTCAGAATGTTGGTGAGGCCAGTCAGATGGATTTCCAAGTGGCTGATACATAGTGAGGGCTCAATTACCTGTCTTGGTGCTTAAGGAGGATCTTAGGATACACTAGGCTTGGTGACCTGTGAGATCTGTTCTAAGCCTGAAGATCTTTCAATGTAGGTAAACATATGCAGCAGTCAAAATCACCAAAAACTGAGCATCTGTATATGAAAATGCTACATTATAACATGATTATTCATCCACATGGATTTTTAAAATACATTCTACACATACCTGCTTCACAATGCGAGATGAACAACATGTTAATATGCACACCCCGCCCTCCAAGACCTCAGTGTTTACTTTAAAAGGAGAGATCTGCCTCTAATAAAGAAAACTCCCACCACAGAGTGGTAGAAAGAGATACACGTCACTGTCCTGCTCACTCTAGAGATCTCAGTTTTTTTACATTCCTAGATTATTCTAAATTCTATGGAAATTAAGTTTCATCACACTAAGACAGGAAGAAGAAGAATATTAACCTTCCAGGTGACAATCCTAAAGGGAAATATTTATTATTTTTCATTGTACTTGGAGATTTCATTAAATGATTCTTTGTTAAGTCAAAATTTTGTTCATGAATATCAGCCTTTAGAGACATAATCGCTCATCTAGTTAACATGTCAGAAAAGATCAACCCATTAGTGGATTCATTCTGTAAATACTTAGGACTGCAAATGGGAAGGGGAAAAATTGAGTCCAGAAAGTTAAGGCCAAAATGATTTTGAGTTTAACGATCCAGTTCATGTTCTCAATGTGCTCTATGAGAATAGGCTTTGTAACCTTCTTTAGCTGATGCAGATTAATTGAAGCTCAAAAAACAAAACAAAAGAAAACCCTGCACTACTTAACAATGCAAAGCTGTGCAAGGATGGAAGATTCGAAACAAAAATGGCATTATGGAAGTTACATGATGTCAAAGTTACATGCAAGGAAAGAATATCCAGTACACAGATGTTTTGTCAGCTCATTGTTTTTAACGTTCACAATTGTACTTTCACAACATTGATTTCATGTTATTCGATGACTCCGATCAAAACTACCTTCCCAAACATTTTCTTCTCCATTGGCCGTTCTAAATCTCTTCTCTGCCTGTAGTCCTTTCTACTTGATTTCTAGTCTCTTCCCCTCCATAGCTCTCCCCTTATCCCCTATTATCTCCATACTTTTTATCCTGAATTATAAAACAATAATAAACATCCTTTATTTATCCAGGAAAATGTCATTAACTGTTTCCCATTTTAAAGGTTTAGTACTGTCTCATGTCAAATGACAAAGTTCTATTTCAGAACTTTAGAATATAATATTTGTATTTATTAGAGAAACCTTAGGGACTTACCTATTGTGCTAAGCATAGAAAAGGGTATTTCATTTTTTATTTGCATTGGAGCAATTCCTTTGAATTATTTTATTTGCAAAGAATTCCATCATAGAATTTTTAGTTTTTTTTTTACAACAATTAACAAAGAATAGGAAAATTTTTCATTGTGGTCTAAATCAATCCATATTTGTTTTTATTTCAGTTGTTTAAATGAAACTGTCTTCCCAAAATTATGGTTCAAAGTTAAAGATAGTATTTTACTTCTAATCTTTCAAGCAGTTCTTTGCTATTATTTTTAGCTGTTTGCTATTTTTAGCTGTTGTATTTGTTCTTTCCAAGAGTTCCACTTTTCATTAATGGGGTTGCTCACTGATTGTAGCTAAAAGTACAAATAGAATTACTAAATAGAAATTATTTTGATAGCTGGGGACACTACATACCTTTTAAAGGTTATTTTCTTAGTATAATCCGGTAAGTTTTTTGAGATAAATGAAATGAACATTTCAAATGTAGTAGAAAACAGAATGGATGATAAGTTGGTTGTTAGAAACAAGATGATGGAATACAAGTGGGGAATTCTGGAAACTCACTATTTAAATTCAAGGCACTAAATTTGGAACTTTAGTCCACATTACAAGACTCGCACTAGCAGAGTGAAGACAAGAATTGAGACAATTATCCACATGATTCAGACAAAAAATAAAGATCCAAACCCAACAGTTTCGCCTAAATAATCTTGTGTTTGAATATTTTTTTGCCTGAATTTTTTGTCTCAGTTCGCCACTTCATTTTGTTAGGCCAGCTATGAATTTTAAATTATTTTTATGAAAAATTTCAACTTGGGTCATATCCTTACTCGATGGACTCATTATTTCATATTTGAAAACTAACTTATCAGAAGTTCTTCGATCCTATGGCCCTTACAAATTTTGCATTTTTTTTTCTGAAGCAATATAAAAAATGCTTATGGTGTGTATGCAAGCTGCTGTTTTAATTAACTTTCCTGAATTTCAAACATCTATATTTTACTCTCTTATATGCTTTTAACTAAGGTATAGTAGATGCATTTTTGCTTCAATACTAATTTAAGGTGTAATATTCATTTCTTTAGAGAACATTTTTGTTGTTGTGCATGCCTAGTGTTTTGTACGTTGTATATTGCATTCAGAATATTTTTTTCCTTCTCACCTATCCACAATGCAATGCCGTTCCCATGATGCACCTCTGCTTGCTGTTTACCTGTATGTTAATTCGCTTGAATCCCATTGGCCCACTGCCATCATGTGCTCGCTGCCTGTTATTAAAAGACTCAGTCGACTGCCAAAGCAATGAAGCGACCTCTCGAAGCAACTGTAGACCTGGTACTTTGACCTTTCACCTTTCGCTTTGCATGTAGCTTTTCAGAGAACCATCTGAGATTTGTATTACTTGTAAAATACTGGTTGCAAACAATCATTATTATTAATTTATGGAAAAAATCCAATAAGGTGTTTAGCCATCTCATTCTCATATGTAATCTGTGAAATAAATTAATCCTAACAAATTTTAATACCTTTTCCAAAAGAGTGAAGCAAATTTAAATTATTTGACTCAGAAAATGTTCATTATAATTCGTATTAACCTTTAAATTCAAGAAATTGCCATTTAGTTAAAGAAAAGAATAGGTATTAATAATAACACCAATGCTTCGTCCCCCCTTAGAATAGTTTAACTCATTTTAAAAGCTGAAGCCATTTTTTTTGTTGTTGTTGCTTGATAGTTTTTCTTTTCCTTAGTTGAGATGCTACCGTTTTGGGTTACAGAAATCATGCTTTCGCTCTCAATAACAAATTCTCACTCATTCGACATTGCCGCTGTTTAAATTAAGGTGCATGGCAGAGGCATCTCCTTAGCTGTCATTTTTAAAAAGAATGTTGCAATTGATGATCTCTGTGAACATGGAAGGTGTGTTTGCTTTAAGTTAGACATATCTTATCGAATTCTTCATTTCTAGGCCTTTCCCCCTGGTGCTCTTCATCCTTTACCAAAGAGACAAGCACTTGAAAAAAGCAATGGTACCAGCGCGGTCTTTAACCCCAGCGTCTTGCACTACCAGCAGGCTCTCACCAGCGCACAGTTGCAGCAACACGCCGCGTTCATTCCAACAGGTATGTGCCCTTACTGCCCTACGTCCTGTGCCCTTCTGGTCATGTGCTTTCTTCTCATTTCTCTAAGCTGTTTGGTGGCATCTAGTTTGCTTTTGAAGGTATAATACAGTTTGAAATTCATCGTTGTCCTAGCTATCTAAATGTATTTACCTTACTTTGAATGATAGCTAAAGACTGTTAGGATTCTAAAGCCAAATATTTGATAGATTGAAGAGACAGATTTAACCCATGAGAAACAGCAGTTAGGGCTTTTGGTTTCTTGTATTTGCACAAGCCCTGTAAAATTGTTTATGTAAATAAGACCTTTTATGTGTGACAATTGAAATTTGTCCTTAACTCTGAATGACCTAAAAATAGCAATTCCAGTAAATACTAACCATTTTTTTCTATTTCTATTCAGAGCACTAAAACAATGAGGCTATTCAAATTAAAGCAATTCTCTACTCATATTTTTATATTCATTCTATCTCTTTCTCCATCCTTCTCAACTTTCACCAAGTTCACAAGTATATAGAGCTCTTATCCTCAGTGTCTAAGCCAATGCCTGATACTATTACGTACGATGTGCATTAACTATGATTCCACTAAAAGATCCATTGTAATAGTCATAGAATCTTAGAGTTTAAAGGACTCTTAGTGATCTCCTCATCCAGCTGATTGTTTTACAGATGAGAAAACTGAGGCCCCCTAAATGAGAAGTGACTTTCCAAGGTGCCACAACTAATGAGAAAAAGAACTGAGTTTCCCTGTGACCAAACCCATTTACATCACATTCTACCACCTGGGCCCGCCTATATATACACATTCCACAGAGTTCTCCTGAAAAAAGAAAAAAGCAGATAAAAGTGAATTTTTAAATAACTGACCCCAAAAAGTCAGATAAAAGTAAAAAAACAAAAGTATAAATCATGTCATCCCTCCCCCATTTGCACCGACATCTCTAACCACAGACACACACACGCACACCATACGCAAAGATAGTCACCATAATTGACCATGTTTTTCACCTTTTAGTCAATGTTAGAAGCAAGGGGTAACTTAAGTCCTGGTGGGAAGACCATCCATTGAGTTCTTTGAAAGTCAACATTTTTCAGCCCACGATAGTGAAATGAAAGTAAATATAAATGAATAACAATTCTAACAAAAAGAGTTTTTTGATTCAAATCCATTAGTTTGAACTTTTCGAGCTTATTATCCATTTCCTTAAATCCCATAGCTTATCAGAGTTAACATCAGAGGGAGGTAAAATATTTCTGTGATATTCTTTGTATAAAATCTACACTTTGAAATGGATTAGTAACCTGTGAACAATACATATTTTAGTTAACATATAAATTATGTGAGCAAAGTGGTTTTCAGTGTTTTTTTCTTATTTTAGTTTTGAACCTGTCTTAAACTCACAGACTTGTAGAAGAAATCTCTAATTCAGTATTTATTAGGAGTTCACTTTTGCCCTATTACAGCCTTAATTAGTGACATCCCAGTGCTGTTACAGCATAGCAGTGTCTTAATATGTAATCTAATTGAAATAACACATTTGTAAAATAATTACTAGAAGGTAAACTTACGTTAATGTCCTGTGTGGTTTCTACAAAGTGTGTCATTGTAGACCTCTTGGCCACTAGATATTTTAAGATAAAAAAAAAAAAATTAAGGAAGAATATACTGAGGGGAAAAACGTAAAAGGAGAAGCCTGTTTCTGAAGAATGGATGTTACTGCCATTACCATGTCCTGGGAATACCTATGAAGCTCTGGTGCTAAGCCTGCCAAAAGAATCTGAAGCCCTCCAGCACATGTTTAACTCTCAAACCCAACAATGACTGATTTGTTAAATCACTGAAAGAATCATCACTTTAAAATGTTTCACCTTTTAAACATTTTAAAGCAAGGATAAACATTTCCAAAGCAAGGATAAACAACATCCCTTACGCAACGACCTGATTTTTGTTGATGAAATGTATCTCATGAAGGACCCATACGGCTACATTGGCTGCTGTGGTTGTGTACTTCCGCCCTCTGGTGGATTCTTTAAGAACAGCTTAAGTGTGTCTGGCAACCCTCAATACAGTGGGCTTTGGAAGCCAAAAAGTGGGTCCTAGCGCACCAATACAGTGACTAGAAGGGTTTCCATTTCTTACATGACATGAATATCAGAGTGAACAAGCATGTGGATCTAGTGTTCTGAAATGGTATTTCAACTGCTAAGAATTTTCACATTTCTCTTAAATGAGGAAAGAGAAAATAATTTTATTAAAAGGAAATTAAAATAATCTTTCTCCCGCTTAAACCCATACCAGGAATTTTATTGTTCATTTTAGCTTAAGTTTTTGCTTCTGATTTTCTTTCTTATAAACCCATTTTCAACTTTATTTCTAAAATGATAATGGTAATAATCAATCATTGTTCATCATTGTTGGTTTGAAACCTCTGCAAATCAAGTGAAGATGTTCAAAAATAATTATTATAACTTGGTACATAGAGGACCCATTACTTTTAAATGAACAGATTTTGATTTTTCTATAAATGTTTTACGTAAACATAAATATGAAACAAAAATAGCATTTTTGTTTTAACCATTCATAGTTAAAGCTTTTGATATGATACTAAAATTCTCCCATTGACACAATGTGAATTTGGATTTTAGGAATTCTGCCTCCAGGTTGCAAAGATATTAATATAAAATTTTATGCAAAATATGAGAGTCTTCTCCCAAACTATGCTAAGATAATTATTGCCCTGCTTGATGGCCTAGCACATTTGCCATGGGTGGGAGTTTTCTTTTTTTTTCTTTTTTCATTGGGATTATTTTAACCAAGTAGTTAGACTTTTTCTTTTCTATGTTAGGAAAGTGGCAAAACCACACACACTTACAAAAATAGCAGCATAATAATTCTTGGCATTTCTCTGACAGGTTTATTCTAAGTTACTGTAAGTGTTCTTATAGACATTATCTCATTATTCTTCAAGATGTTGCAGTTCTGTTAGTGGCAGGCACGGTTATTTGCATTTTGCAGATGGAAAAACTGAGGCTGTGTCTACACCGCAAAGTGGAACTACCCAGATAATTCTGGCTCACAGATACGACAGCTGAAATATTTGTGCAACTGAAGCAGAAAACATTTGAGAAGTCTTTGTTCATAGAATTGGTGCCTAGTGAAGTGCTTCAGCTGATCAGAACAAAGGCAACCCACAGAAGCCTTCCTTGATTTATTTCATTATACTGGAAGTACAGAATAAGTAGAACAGGGGACAGTGCCCAGATACAGCCTAATTATGAGAAACGTGTAAATGTTACATCAGATTATCACATGACTTGGTGAAAGATTGATCAGTGTTTAGTGGCATCTGTATCTGCATAAGCACAACAAAATTTATTCCATTCAATTCATTAAAACATACCTTGAACCCGTGGTATGTTCTGGGTTCCAGAGCCAGTAATGAGAATACAAAAGAGTTCATAAAGAGGTGAAAACCAAATATTATACAGAGGATGAAGGAGTACCTGAGGGTCTGGGCAAAGCTATTCGAGAGTGAAGGAGAGGAGACAATGAATTCTGCCTTCAGCATGTGCACCAGGTGGTGGTTACGAAGGATATGGAGAAACAAGACTTTCTGAAGTAGGAGAAATTTGCCTAGGAGTTTGAAGAGAAGCAAGATTTTATCAGTGGGGGAAAAGCATCCCAGTTGGGACATGGGAAGAGTGTACTTGAAGAATAGAAAATTGTCCATTGTAGCTATAACATGAAGTACATACAGGGTATATGCAGAGAGTAGAGGATGGGAGTGTTGTACAAAGGCAGAGATGGGGCTTGCTAAGAAGATCAGGACCAGAATCTGGCATTAAGGGAGCCACACATGCATAAGTTATGCATTTCCAATATCACATCACTATTAGGCCACTTAGAGAGAGAGGCTCATGGAATTAATTTGGTTAAGGATTTCAGCCACATCCAGGACTGAAGCCAAAGTAACATGACTGATCCTAGCCCAGTGTGGCTACAGGAGCTGTGGATTATTTGCAATCCCAATGATATTCACATGCATGGCACAGCAAAGCTCTCCAAGACACCCCCCTCCACACTGGAATGAAAGAAAAATAAGAGCGGATTTTTATAGGCGTAATTTTTTTTTTTTTTTTTTTTTTTTTTTTTGAGACAGAGTCTCGCTCTGTCACCCAGGCTGGAGTGCAGTGGCATGATCTTGGCTCACTGCAACCTCCGCCTCCCGGGTTCAAGAGGTTCTCTTGCCTCAGCCTTCCAAGTAGCTGGGGTTACAAGCGTCTGCCATCACACCTGGCTAATTTTTTTTGTATTTTTCGTAGAGACAGGATTTTACCATCTTGGCCAGAC
This sequence comes from Homo sapiens, assembly GCF_000001405.40. Taxonomy (NCBI): domain Eukaryota; kingdom Metazoa; phylum Chordata; class Mammalia; order Primates; family Hominidae; genus Homo; species Homo sapiens. The sequence goes on from NC_000013.11 coordinate 97,361,986, forward strand.
TGGTCTTGATCTCCTTGACCTTGTGATCCACCCACCTCAGCCTCCCAAAGTGCTGGGATTACAGGCGTGAGCCACTGTGCCCAGCCATTTTTTTATGAGTACAAGTTGAGTGCCCCTTGATCCAAAATGCTTGGGACCAGAAATATTTCAGATTTTGGATTTTTTTTTCAGATTTTGGAATATTTGGATTACATTAACAGTTGAGCATCCCATATTTGAAAATCTGAAATCTGAAATGCTCCAAGAAGGATTTTCTTTGAGGGGTATGTCAGCACTCAAAAAGTTTTGGATTTTAGAGCATTTTGGATTTGGATTTTCAGACCTGGAATGCTCAACCTGTACTATGAATGAAAAAGTAGAGTTCAGTGAGATTAAAAATAGAAACTGACTTGATGGCATGGGGAGGTAGGTAAAATAACAATTGAGCATTTTCTAAAGAAGTGACATATACCCTGAGATCTGGAAGATGAAAAGAGTGGGGTGAAGATTATTCTAGGCCAAGGGGACAGCTTGTGGGAAGTTCAAAAATAGGGCAAATGTGTAATGTGTTCAGTTCAAAGAAAAGAAAAATTAATCTGTCTGGAGCATGGTGCCAGGGAGGTGTAAGATGGCCTGGGGAGGTAGTCAGAGACTAGACCACACGGGACCTTTATCCTAAAAGCAATGAGAAACCACTGAATGGTTTCCAGCAGAGGAGTGGCCAGGCCTGCATTTGGAAAGATCTACTCTGCCAGAAGCTGGAGAATGAACTAAGGAGGGACGAGAATGGAAGCAGGAAGACCACTTAGGATGTTATCACATAGCCAGCCTAGAGATAATAGTGACCAGGACTTCAGATGTGGCAGTAGTGATGGATGAACAGATGAATGCAAGCTGCATGCTAGAAGCAGGATTGCTTTGGCTGATTGGTCAGCTGGACCCAGGAAGTTCACAAGGGGAAGGGGTGTGAGGCATAACTTTCAGTTCGGTCTAGAGTTCTAGTTAGATGGTGATGCCCATCAGGCATCTTCTGAGGTGTAGAAAGTTTCTCCCATCCAAGTACTAACCAGGCCCAACCCTGCTTAGCTTCCGAGATCAGACAAGATCTGGCGCCTTCAGGGTAGTATGGCCATAGACCGAGGTGTAGAAAGTTTCTGTGAGAAAGATCAAAGTTTGTCCCTGTTACATTTGAGACACTTATGAGACATCCAAGCAGAGAGGTGAGGAGGGCAGTTAGAGGAAAGGACCTGGAACTCTGAGAAGAGATCTGCGTGGGATACACAAACATGGAAGCTCCTGGAATCCAAACCCATGAAGTGAATGATACACCACAGGAAATGTAGCGTAGATGAAAAGGACCCAAGACTGAGTCCTGAGGAACTCCAGCATAGAGAGGGTGAGGGAAGGAAGATCGTTCAGCAAAGTAGACAAAGGGAGTTGCCAGAAAGAAAAACTGTGTGTGTGTGTGTGTGTGTGTGTGTGTGTGTGTGTGTGTGTGTGATCAAAAATCTAAGGGAAGAAAGTGGCTTCCGATGGAGGGAAGGGCGGAGTGCTGAATGCTGCTGAGAATTAGGAACAGTGAGATGAGGACAGGAGAGTTCCTGCTGGCTGCAGCAATATGGGATTTTTCTGTGGATTGGCATTCACAATTTAAGTGCAAAGGTCAAATGAAAGCCAAATTGAAGAGGAATGAAGACTCAGTAGGGATAGGGAAGTAAACATTTATGTGTAGGTAGATTTCCAGAAGTTTGATTGTGAAGATGAGAGAATAGGGCTGGAGAAAGGTTTAAGTTGGATGTATTGGCACACATTTGTTGAAGAATCTGGCAGTAGCCCAGTTAAATAGCCCCCTCCTGACTAGGTCATGTTAGCTTGATCGAAATGTAGTTCAGGCAAAAAGTCGCCCTCCAGCGTGAACAGCTCCACAGAGAGAATAAAGACCTACACATCTCAAATTCTCCAACTAATATCTCAGAAGTCAGTTCTGAAACTCTAAGAGGGCACTCCTACATTTACGAGAAACTACTTCTCAGGCACCTACATGACACCCAGTCTTCAGTGATCTAAATCCATGTATTACCTTGTTTTTCATGGAACTGAACCAGTAGCAGATAATTCCTCAAAGCTTTCAATACAGCTTTCTTTCAGTTCTCCACAACATGCCTGAATATAATATTCATGGTCAGAGTCATGATGCGTGTATGTTATTATGACCACCACAAGTAAGACAGCTATTTCTAAGAAAGGGTTGAAATTGCCCCTCCCACCTCCTACCTCCCCACTCAGATGCCAACTTGAGATTTCCTAGGAGTTTTGCCAGAAATCCCCCTCAGGGATCACTTTGTAGTAGTCATGACCAAATTCCTTAGCCCTGGTCCTAACTCAGCCCCAACTCTGCACTATTTTGCTCTACAGTGTTTAAGCTTTATTGCCAGGCACTACTCCTTTATCATAATGAATCTTACAACAGAGAGAAGACCACGTACTCATACAGGTCATTCCCTGTAAGAACCTCAGTCTTCTTAGGTTATTGGGCTTTCAAGCAGCAATCTAAAATTCACCCATCCTGCCCTGCAAGCTTCTGATTTGGAGAATATCTTAAATCTTAAACACTGTTATTTTCATACCGTTGGTGACACAAAACATTTACAGTCAAACAAACAAGTAAACGTTTAATGCAGTAAGTTCAGTGTATTCTAGTGAATATAAAAGTTGACCTGGATTTACGAAGAGAATTCTATTTCTAGCCTTCCCCTTGACCCACACCATGCATGGCCTTGGAGGAGTTACTATGCCTCAGATTTTTCATCTGTAAAATACCTACTTCCTACCTTGGAGGATTAACTTGATAATGTCTGTAAAATACTTTGAGGTCTTAGAGGAAGGACACCACGGCATTATCACATGTCATTCTTATTAGAATCATGTCGATGCATATGAATAGAAAGTGTGAACAGTGGTCTAAGGAGTGAGCTTGGAATAATACTGGCTTAAAATAAGTCAGATATATTTGTGTCTGTACTGACAATGTGAATGGCCCTAAAAGACTGTGTTAACTAACCCTACTTATTTCTGGTTGTGCTTCAATCTCACTTTGAATGTTAACTCTAAACCGCTAACCTGTTTCTTTCCCTTTATTCACTTTTTCCACCCACCATTGCATGACATCAGGGTCAGTTTTGTGCATGACACCCGCTACCAGTATTGGTAGGTTTCAACCTTTTTTATTTGTCTTTTATATGATGTACAATACCTTCACTTGCTTGAAATTTATTTCAGAGATGGTAGAAATGCTATAGGAAATAGTAGATTTGAAGGCTTATTTGGCTTTAGAGTTAACATATAGGTTTTTAAAAATGTACTTGTATATTTAAGAAAATGACGGTTTTAATGTGACCTCTTGTGCTAGAACAATCACTACAAAAACATAAAGCCACAAGTACGAGTCTGCTTTTTAATGATTTGTGTTTTGTTTCTCTTTATAGTTTATATGGTATAGCGTAAGGAACAGAGCTTACTCTATCAGCGAGGCAGGCTAATTTCATCAATGTTTGAAAGTTTCATAGTGGTGTGCCTTTATCTCCTCTTTGCTGTGTGTTAGAGCGATCAGAGTTTCCCAGAAGTATTCATTTTTTACAAATTATAAATGGATGTATTTTGAAACCGCATGTCTGAGCTTCCTAACTTAATTATCTTTTCTAATTTTAAGTGCTGATTTATTTGGGATGATTTTTCTGCACCTCAGCATTCCCTTAGCCGTTCAATTTTAATAGCAGATAGTTGTCCTCACACACATGAATGCCTTGGTACAAACGTCTGTCTTTAGGACATATGGATTAGATCTATTTAGAGTCAAGAAAAAGAAACATTGCAAATTTTGCCTGGCTATTTCAGAGTAACTGTATTAGAATTTGCATCAAGGCTATGATGTTTGCTCCATCATTTATTGATTCAAATAAACCACAACCCACAGCAGTTGCATTTCATATAAGCAGTCCTAAATTGAAAAAAAAAATTCAATTTAACCATAATTCCAAAGAACATCCTATCCCAAATTAGGTCTCCATATGGAGACTTGGATGTCTCAGAGTTTATGATTAAAAGTGATGATCACATATTCTTACTTCACTGGACATCACCTTTCACAATTTTAGAAACAACCATTATTGCATACACTGTATACACTGAATTGGGAATGGATCTATTGTTAGAAATAAAATGTTTATAAATACATCAACCAAAGTAATCTGCTTTGGCCTTTCTGGGAATCACTGATTATGTTTTAAAACTTCCTTTAATTGTACTTGTAATAAGCTATTTTCCCTTTTTTATTTCTCTCCCATGCTTCCTTGCTTTGCATTGTGATTGCATGCCATCTGCTGGTTTAACCCATGATGGCTTGCTGCTCTGATATTCACCATGCCAAAATACCACTTCTATTACCATAATGCTACACCCTCCTGTTCATTGCTCCCATGGTTCCCCTCCTGAAAGTACCCATGATGCACAGCGCTACGTCCGCCACTGTCTCTGCAGCAACAACTCCTGCAACAAGTGTCCCCTTCGCAGCAACAGCCACAGCCAATCAGGTTTGCTCCTTTTAAAGCTTTCTTTCACAAATCCCAAACTCTAAATGAGTGCTGATATTTAAAAAAAAAATTCTCGGTGAGAATTTTTTTTTCATGTTTATCCATCAAATTTTATTTTTTTAATTAGTTTATAGCAAGCATTTACAGACAGGTTGCACTTATTTAGAGTTAACATTTACTGCAAATAATGATGTAGCTATGTTTTGTGTTGCACTGTTTGTTTTCGTACCTAATATTGTGTAATTAACCTGACAGGCTTAAATTCCTTTTAGTACAGCATTACCTATCCAGTGGTTTGTGAATGGCCACATAAAAATTGTAGACGCGCACCCATGGGTGCTTCAAAACTGGCTATATTTTAATTCGGTTCATTCAGACCCTATCATCTGTGTGGAGGAAAAAAATCTCCTCTTAGAAAGAGTCATATTTGAGGCCTAAGTGTCATATTTGAGGTCTGAATAATTCTTATGATCATTTGACCTCAGTCTTAGGTTCTGCCAAACTCACTTGGTTCCCACCTTACAATCTGCTCCAATACTGGCCTAAGAGCCAAACCATCCGGAATGAAGAGTCATGGGTGCCGCTGAACTCACAAAGGCTGGATATAACTGATGAGGAGCATTTAACTCTGTTGGTTTAATGCATGTGCCAGTGAGACCATGGATGTACTATTTCGTAGTGACAGCCAGCTGCTATTTCCTACTCTGTGGTCACAAGCTGATTGTATCCGTGACCCTAGCCTCCCAACTTGCAAACATGTGCTCCTAGCCACAAGGAGACAGCGTGAGGGTGAGTGAGCAGAAACTCTCACCTCGCCTGGAAGAATACTTCATTGCGCATGCCCTCCCTTCACAGAAGAACAATTTTGGTTTGGTTTTTAGTTTCATGGGTTTTTAAAAATAAAATCAGCTCTGCTAATAAAAGATGACAAGGGATAAAAGAAATTAGGGGAAATCGTGTTGGGGGATCACGGCAGTCCCAACCCGCATTCTGCAGGCTGGGAGGGCTGAGTCATGCTGCTTTCCACATTCAAGTGAATCCACGATTCCAGCTCTGCAGATTTCATCCCTACAAAGAGAGGCGTGAGTGGACAGGAATGCAGGAATAAAAGTTAAACCCCGTGACAGTGCTGACTGTGGCCTCAGCATTGTGACAGAGCAGGAGAGAGCAGAGAGTGGGGGAGGGAGGGGAGGCCGAACAGCAGTGCAGAGGCAGGTGTCAATCAACTGAGGACGATTCTTCAGCAATTCACTCCCACCTCTAAAATGCCAACCGGTCCTCTAAGGAAAACCAACCCAGCTTCGAAACAAACAGAACAAAGAACAGGCAAGGATTAGTTCCTTAGCTGGGAAGATGATGATGATGATTATTATTTAATGTGGGATGGGAGAAGGGAGTGAGACTGTTTGCATCTTTCCATTATTAGGTCCAAAGCTCTTCTCAATCACTCATTCTTAATAGGGAAGCTGGATACCTGTTTCTTTCAAGTCTGAAGTCCTGCCTCCTTGAACTATGTTTATGTGATTTTTGACCCAATTTTTATTACAAAGTCCTTTTATAAGAAAACAAGTTTGGACTGAGTGCAGTGCCTCATGCTTGTAATCCCAGCATTTTGGGAAGCCGAGGGAGGAGCATCACTTGAGCCCAGGAGTTGGAGACCAGCCTGAGCAACATGGTAAAATCTGGTCTCTACAAAAATATGAAAAAAATTAGCCAGGCACGGGGTGCCATACACTGTAGTCCCAGCTACTTGGGAGGCTGAGGTGGGAGGATCGCCTGAGCCTGGGGAGGTCGAGGCTGCAGTGAGCCATGATCATGCCACTGCACTCTAGCCTGGGTGACAGAGTGACACCCTGTCTTAAAATAAAATAAAATAAAATAAAATACAAGTTTGAAGTATAATATAGCAGTATTTGTTACAGTGAAATTCTATATGATAAGTTTAGCCTTTTGGGCACTTAGAGATCTTTTTTAAGAAAGGAAAAGAAGCCAAGATAAAGAAATAGTTTGGAGTTGTAGGATAAATTATTTTAGCATAATAAATATTTGACCATGTGTCATATATATTGTTCAAGCCTAGTGATTCTTTGGCTCCATTTAGTAGAAAAAAAACTTTGAGAGAGAGATTCCATAGGTATATTCAAGTTTGTGTGTGTGTGTGTGTGTGTGTGTGTTCGTGTCTGTGTATGTGTGTGTGTAGGGAGGCAGAGGTTGGAAGCATGGAATATTCAGAAGCTAAAATATATCACTTTCAGGAAGGGTGCGAGTGGAAAAGGAAATAAGTTGAGGTTTCAACTTCTTTAATTGCAAGCATAGCTGAACTCTGATTTCAATTTAATCCAAAGAAATGTAATTAAAGGAGTACCTGACAGTAGCTTCAAGAATCCTATATTCAGTGTTTTGCAGTTTATCAGATGTAATAGTTGCTGCTGGATTGCACTTAAATGATGAAGAAGAGAAATCCTTTAGCAGCTCTTGATGCAGGTCTGCTTGCAGATAAAAACCATGGAAAAATAAATAATAGTGAACACAAATTTCCAGATATGATATTCTTTATGTATTTTCAATAAGTTTCAAAGAGCAAAGCATCAGCAAAAGACCTTGGCAATTATTTTAGCATCCAGTCATAGGAAACCCAGGGCTTGGTAATGACTGAAATAACAAGTTATCATCTTGTTAAGATTTCACTCTTTAAACTCAAATAGAATCATACCCACGTGGATTATGTAAGTCATTTAAACATAATGAATCTCAGTTTCCTCATTTGTGAAAGGAGGAGTAGAACTAGATGCCCCTGGAGTCCCTCTCAGCTCTGAGATTCAGTGAACCAAAGGTTCAGTGACTATTATTTTAGGCCCAAAGCATGAGATTACAAAGATAAACACAAACAGAATGAAAGTGAAACTAATGATTCCAGAGTTCGATGACCGATAAGCACCCTGCCTTCTTTTCTGTCTTTAACACAAAATATAGTGGGATTTTGACAGATTTTTTGTTAATTTGATCAATTCAGACTGTCAGTTCAAATATTTAAAATCTCACAGGCATTTGTAATTAGATACAAGTCATTGATTGAAGAAAGAGGATAGATGAAAACATCCCATGACAGCTTCTTAGGTCTAGTGCTATTTACACATTACCCCACGGGGAGCCAAGCTGAACAAGCCACTCTATCCTCAGGCTGAATCAAGGTGCCACCAATAAAAGTTTTCACTGAATTTAGACTGGTGGTTTGAGATTAAATAAAGACAGAATCCAAATATGTTTGGGAAATATAAAATGTTTTTTGATTATTTAGCTTTGGGAGCAGATAAGGAAACAAAAATACAACAAACAGATTTACTAAGCACTATTTTCTGTTTCAGTTAAGGTATTTGGGCCTTAATAGACAAATTATACCTAATAGTAATAATATTATTATTATAAACCTCTTATTATGTGCCAGGTATGATTCTAAATGGTCTCTCTCATGTAATATATTACATATCATCATATATTCTATTATATACTATGTAAGACAGGATAGTTACGTATAGATGTAGACACTCAATTCTTAACAATAGTTTTATGACATGGGTACAATGATCATCATCCCATTTGATAGATGGTAAAACTGAAACAAAAGTTAGCTACCTCAGCCAAAGTCAGACAGCTTCTAAATGGTCTTGCTGGAGTTGAAACTTGGCTCCAGAAGACTTGCTTTAACCATGATGGTATACTGCCTTAGCAGCTCAAGCTAAGATGAATCTTACACTGGAGAGATGAGCTGGATTTGAACAGAGCTTTGAGCTAGTTATGTAAAGTAGCCAGGTCATCTTTAGAAACCATATAATGGGCCAGGCGCAGTGGCTCATGTCTGTAATCCCAGCACTTTGGAAGGCCGAGGTGGGCAGATCACCTGAGGTTGGGAGTTCGAGACCAACCTGACCAATGTGGAGAAACCCTGTCTCTACTAAAAATACAAAATTAGCCAGGCATGGTGGCGCATGCCTGTAATCCCAGCTACTCGAGAGGGTGAGGCAGGAGAATTGCTTGAACCCAGGAGGCAGAGGTTGCAGTGAGCTGAGATCGCGCAATTGTACTCCAGCCTGGCCAACAAGAGGGAAACTCCGTCAAAAAAAAAAAAGAAAGAAAGAAAGAAAGAAACCATATAATGGACCTTATTATTTCAGTGTAATAAAATAACCAGTGAAAATTATCAATAATTTTTATAGAAGTAAGATAACCTAAGAAAAAGTTAGTCCTTTGTCTTAGGGAAACAGGTTCATGGGTTTCTTTTGTCATAGACTTTGTTCCTAACCTCTACTAATCATCTCACAAATAGCTTGTTAACAAAAAAAATTGGTTGGGGGGGAAATGATAGGTAGCATGTAAATTAGTCAATCTGAGTCCATTGACCAAGGACCAGAATATGTAAATCTGTCAAAGATGCCTATATTGAAACAAATTTAATCTTAGAGTGTACATTAGAAGAGGTAAAGCTTAGTAATGGATTACCTGCTTTTTCATATGAAAATAAATTTTAATAAAATGAGAGTGCAGAGTAAAATTCCTGAACTTGAATTATTATAATATTCTAAGTTGTAATTTGTTTAGTATTTTTTATTTCAAAGTTACATTCTATTTCAAAGGGAGAGAAAATAATTTTCAAATAAATATACTTTAAGTTTCTTCATTTATAAACAGATCATTTAATTTACTTAATCACATTCTTAAAGGCACAATTAAAATACAATTTATACTCCGAATCTTTCCCTGAACATCTCTCTCCTCCTCCCCCAGCAAGAAGTACTTTCCCTGTCCTCTGAATTCTACAAGGACTTTGCACATTCCTTAAGGCACCATCATTAAATAGAAAGAAAGACAAATGCAAGTCTACAAAGAAAGCTGGGGAAGTATCAAGTTCAGCTGGAGAATAACTCCCATTCAGATTGATCAGAGCATCCGTTTGTGGGAGCGGCTGCAGCGTAGGTTTGATTCTGATTGATTGTGTGGTACCTTGATGCCAAGTTAAAGGGTTCGGCCCTGACTTGGCCACTGAAGGATTTTCAAGCAGAATAGTGATGGAAACAGTACTCTAGGAAGAGTGAGCAGATGGATTCGAGGCGGGAGAGTCTGTAGAGGCCATTAAGAGGTTTTAACAAGAGCCTAAACTGGGACAATGGCAGCTGGCAAGTGGCCTACTTTGTCTTGCCTTTGCCCATTACAAAGGGAGGTTACTTTTAGCAAAAGAGAAACATAAAAATGATTTTGTACTATGGCAAAACCTGTCTAAATAAATGTCACATGGTAGAAAGAGAGATTGAGGCTGATGTGAAACTCAGTCCCTGCCAGCACAGCAGTTGTGTGGCCTCGCTGTTTGGACACATGCAATGTGCTCACCTTTCACATGGGCCTTCCCATTTCCTACCTAAATGAGACTCAGAGCCACAAAAGCTCACCCTACCTCCAACCACAGGCTTCTGCTTAAAGGAAAGAGTCCCCTCAGGTGTAGAGTCAATGCATATTGTCCATGTCTCCAAATCAGAGCTCTATGGACAGTGAACAGATTATCCATCTAATTCATTCTGGCCCGTGAGTCCCTGCTAGGGAAAGAGATTCTTACATATTAATATTGGGAATCTTTTTACGGAGCATCACAAGAAGTGCCTTAGAAGCTAACGAAATCAGATTATATTCTGGGCAATATGTTAACCAACACTTAATCACATCTCCAAAAATGATCATTCATGTTTAATATTATGACCTCAAAGTCTTACCACATCTTCTGAACTCTCCTCCAAAGATTAAGTACATTCAACAGAGAGTTGGCCTTAGGAAGAATTTATTGGAAATTAGTTGATAATATGTCATAAAGGTCTTACCACATCTTCTGAACTCTCCTCCAAAGATTAAGTACATTAAACTTAATGTACTTAATTGGCCTTAGGAAGGCCTTACAAAGTTGGCCTTAGGAAGAATTTATTGGAAATTAGTTGATAATATGTCATATACATACAGCCCTCTATTTATATTTGATAAATTAGAAAATCTCATTTTCTAGACTTACCTGACATAGTTTTATTATATATGATCATCAATTTCAATGATATCTTATCAGAAAGATAACATGTAACCAGACATATATTATGTTTTATCTGGCCAGCTATAAAGTATTGAAGAGGGAAGAGAAAAGCTTGTTTCTCACCTATAAACATGAACATAACTTTAAAGTTATTTGTATATGGGTTCTTGGATATATAAATTAACCTATACTAACCAAGAAGTCTAGAAAGGTAAGATCGTGTTTTATTTCATCTCTCATCTCAGAGTTTTATAAAACATCTATTATTCAATGCCATCTGTCTGGACTATATTCAGACAAATGTAGGAGGCATTAAACATTCCCCACTATTCACCACTTGACCCATTTTGGGGCCTGCATTTTGTTTCACAAGAAAAATCTTGGTTCAGCAAGGCCCCAGTGTGGGAGGAGTAGGATCCTGTCCTCTCTCTCTCCTGAAATACATGGTAAAGTGGCCAGCCTCTATGGATGGCTGATCAAACTGTGAAATACTCCTTTCTCGCAGTTTGCTTGTGCCTGGGAACAGATTACAGAAAGCAGCTGGGCCCCACGTATGTTGTTCTCCAAAAAAGCAGAGACAGCAACTGTCAGAATCCAGCCCTTGTAAACAGTAATCAGGGCCGAGACATCTCTCTCTGCCTTATGCTGCCTAAGTCGTTTAGCCACCTCTAACTTTTTGCTTACATTCTAACTGTAGAGGGGGGATTCAGGTTGGAGAATGGATGTGGTTACTTCAGATGAGGGAGAATTGCCATATCAAACATTTTGTAGAGAAGGCAGGAGAGAGAGAGAGAGTAGAGAGAGAGAGTGGAAGGATTGAGATTGAAACCTGCACAATTTCTTTGTGTAAAAAAAAAAAAACTATAAAAATTGCAGCATTTGCATTCAGTTAACACTATTCGTTAAAGCTCCTTGGCAGTTTGAGGCTGAATTCCACTGTATGCATGGCTAAGGATAGCACAATCCAGACTTACTTAGTATGCTAAAAATATATATATATATATATATTAAGGGTAGGAGGAGGTTGGGGGATACTCTGTCTATCTTAGGTGGTCTTGGATCTATGAGAACAATATAGATGCACATTAATTTTTCTCTTCAAGAAATTAGAAAATAAGTAGACAATAGACTTTTTATTTTCCTGCCTCAGCAGCAGCTGCTTTGCAGGCCTACCCTGAAGTTTAATTAATAAATGCATCTGCAGATTCTCTAAGAAAAGGCTCAGTTATGTAAGTGTTGTAATCTAGTACATTTTCATTTTTCATGAATAATTTACACCTCTTGGTGAGAAACTTGGGTAGAATTCTTTTGTATATAGCACATAAAGACATCATATCAGCTCCAATTCTGTGCAGCTGAAGAGAAAATGTCAAGAGTCCTTATGCGGCACATTCCTGCCTGTGGACGGTCCTTTGCATAACACCTCAAATCCCATCCTCCTTTGCATTTTTTTTTTTTTTTTTTTTTTTTTTTTTGAGATGGAGCCTCGCCCTGTCACCTACGCTGGAGTGCAATGGTGCAATCTTTTTATTTTATTTTTATTTTTTTGAAACGGAGTCTCGCTCTGTCGCCCAGGCTGGAGTGCAGTGGCGCGATCTCGGCTCACTGCCAGCTCCGCCTCCCGGGTTCACGCCATTCTCCTGCCTCAGCCTCCCGAGTAGCTGGGACTACAGGCGCCCGCCACTACGCCCAGCTAATTTTTTGTATTTTTAGTAGAGACGGGGTTTCACCGTGTTAGCCAGGATGGTCTCGATCTCCTGACCTCGTGATCCGCCCGCCTCAGCCTCCCAAAGTGCTGGGATTACAGACGTGAGCCACCGCGCCCGGCCGCAGTGGTGCAATCTTGGCTCACTGCAACCTGCGCCTCCCAGGTTCAAATGATTCTTCTGCCTCAGCCTCCTGAGTAGCTGGGATTATAGTCGCCCGCCACCACGCTCAGCTCATTTTTGTATTTTTAGTAGAGACGGGGTTTACCATGTTGGCCAGGCTGGTCTCAAACTCCTGACCTCATGATCCACCCACCTCGGCCTCCCAAAGTGCTGGGATTATAGACATGAGCCCCTGTGCCCGACCTCCTTTGCAGTTTGATGGGACTGGAGGGGGTCTTTTATAGGCTGAAAAGTCATATTCCCAGTCGTATTTTGGCTTTTGTTGATGGTAGTAAAATCATGTTCCATTTCTCCAATTTTAGGTTTTCTCATTGGAGCAAAATGAATATATAGTTCATCCTATATGGGTGTTTATTTCCAGCTCTAGATTTGTAAGGAAAGAGAGACTAGCTACAGTGAAGGAATTCAGGTCCATTTTCAAGGGATGAACAACGGGCAGGGTTTTCTTCTCTATAAGAGTTGCTGTGAGCGGAATGGAATTCCTACTCATGGGCACTTATCTACCCAAGCTCTGCCCCCGATGCCTACCTTCTCACACGTCTGCCTGCGCATTTGGGGAAGTTGACAGCTTTTCTGTGCAGGTGGATGTGGAGGACGGACAAACCCAAGACTGAGGCTCCACTTACCAAACACATAAGATGCTGCCACACGTCAAAGACACACTGGCATTTGCTCTGGTCTCTCAGCCCCTTCTGGCATTCCTCTGGGGTGACATTGCTGGAGGCAGTGACTCCCAAGGTCAGACTGGACTGGGTCTGCTGACCACTCTAGAGGCCACCAGGTTGGGGAAATGCTAACGATACTTAAGAGCTCACTGCCTAGTCAAAGAGATCTGAAACAAGCAGAGAATGTCATAAAACACCAAGTCCAGCTGGCAAACGTTGCTGCTGGGAAAGTAAGCGCCATGGCATGGCCTCATCCCTGAAGTGTCATAGGTCTGAGGGGTGTGTAGGAATGAGACAGAGAAGGGACAGGTGAGGTTATTCCTGACACCATGACCAGCTGGAAATTGAAGAGGTGGAGATGAGGTAGGGCAAAGAGAAAAGGGAACCCATGCTTACCCATGCACCAGCCATCTGCTTTCCACACGCCATTATGTTAAACCCACCGGGACTCTGTTTCCCTGTTTTACATGTGAAGACGTCACATGTTTGGTCACAGCTCCAGTAGGTAGCAGAGCCTGCCTTTGGCCTCACATCTGTCTGACTTTGAAGTCAATGCTTTTCCCCTTGTTTAACATTCTTCCTCGATAGCATGTGTGGTTTAGAAAGGAACTTCAGAATCCATCTCAGACTTTATATCTCATGATAGAAGAAGAGAGAACAGCTGTGATTGTGTCAGATCTAAAGAAGAGGGGACACTGTGGCTTATGTGAGCCAGCGAGTGGGGTGAGTGGGAGACACCAGGGAGCGTGAAGAGGAGGATATGGTGGGGCAGTCCTAGAAATTGCAGCTGAGTGGATCAGAAGGTCGGGTTATGGAGGGCCTTAAAGTGCAGGATGAGAACAGGACAGGACAGGTTCCATGAGAGGCTTGGAAACTCAAACCAACTGAAAGTGAATGGGTAGAGGTGTGCAGGGACAGCCAGCCCAAGTCAAGCTAACTGGTGAGAAAGCTGCTTCATCGACAAAGTGATGAAACTGGGATAGAGAGAAAAGAGAACATTTGAGGGGAAAAGGGTGAATCATTCTGAAGCAGGGAAATTCAGAGAGGCTCCATGATCCCTGGCTTGCCTTTGCTCACCCAGAGGCTGTTCTCTGACTTCTGTGGTGTCTGTGGATTTCACTGCCTTTCTCCTCTCTGTCACATAACGCTCCTATGAGACCTCTCTCCCATTGACCATAAAAAGGATGGTTCTCATCTATACCCCTTCATTTTGATTTGTACTATAAAGGACAAATTTGTTGACTGGCATTTTCTAACACCAGTTTATGACAAACTATAGCTAATCTAGCAGTTAGAATTCATCATGCTTTAGCATCAAGAACAAAATGTAAGAGCTTTTGGTCTCTTTGTTTTACTTTCGATAATCAAATTATATTATTCCTATCATTGCTCCCCTTGCTCTGGAGTATTCAAAGATCTCAGAGCACATGTCAATGAACTTCCTATAATCTTTACTGCTTGCTGCAATGCATTTCTGGAAGCAGCATCTTTAAGGCGATCATTGTAGAATGTTGCCCATTTTCCCCTGATCACAGGCACATCAGGCATTGTAGGTCTGACTTGAGACCAGCATCAATTACATCATAGATATGAAAGGCAGTAAGTCTTAAGAGCAGATTTTCCACCATCATACCATACCTCTACAAAACATAAAAAAGAAAAATTATGATGCAAATTACATTATAAATTGGAATAGGAGCCCAGATGGGCAAAGTGGCTTACCCAATTCACACACATAGCAAGAGAGCCAGGCCCAGGACCTGATCACCCATGTCCTGCCTAGAACAATATTATTTCCCTTCCCAACACTGCCTTCCTGAGAAAGTGCTTTAACGGATCGTGTAAGGGGCCTTGAACTGCTCCAGGGCATACAGACAGCGACAACATAACTCAGCTACCCTCACAAAGAACCCACCACGTGCCAGACACTGGGTTAAGCCTTTTGTATGAATTATGTCATTGAAACCCAACACGTCCTGTAAGGGACCATTATGATCCCCTCTCTAGCGATGAGGAAACTCCAGTTTAGAGAAGCTGAAGAAATTGCTCAAGATCATACTATAACATTAAGTGGCAAAGCCAGACTTAGAACTTTCCAGAAGCTCCTAATATTTCATATTTCCAATGAGGAAAAGGACCTAGAGTGGTTAACTGACCTTAGTCAAGTTTACATAAGGGATTAGGATAAAACTCAGTCTCCTAATATGCTTAGTCCTCTTTCCCCTCCATCAAGCCGCAATTCAGCTTGAATATGCAGGTTCTACATTTATTTGAACTTTGTTCAATAAAATAAATTTGCTTCCTCCCTACAATTTAGAACAGTTTTTGAGGAATCAAAAAGATACTTGAAGAAGTCAAACCTAATTCCCTCCTTTTCTCCAAGTATTTTTTCCTAGTAATAATTTCATAACAGTTCCATTCATCATTCTTTCAATATTTGTCATTGTTATACTGAAATATGCAAAAGGTCCAGAGAACCGCTTTAGCTTAGAGGATTTAGGACAGAAGGAATTGTTTAAATCGATTCCTATTGTTCATATTCTTTTCTTTGCTTTTCTCTGAACCTCGTAACGTGAAGAATGGCTTTGCACAAGGAAAAAAGTTAAAATAGGGAAAGCGAAGAAGTGTGTAAAGAATGAGAAGAAAAATTCCATTGTATTCCTTTGCCTTGGACAAAGGTATTTAAGAGTTGTTGGGTTGGAGTTTTTGATCAGTTGGTTGAATGGTTTAACGTGAACTAGAAAGCGCCCTCCATCTTTCCGCTGCTTATGTGGAACTTATGTGGGGAGAGGTGAAGGCTTGGAGCTTGAAAGACAGATGTTTATTAGATGAGACTGGATGCACAGAGGTGTCCGTAGAGAGTCATTTACTCTCAGCACACTGATCTAAGAATTATTAATAAACACTGTGCCTTTTCAACATATTCACATTTTGTGGCTTAGACCAGGAAATGAAAATAATTGAAATATTACTATATAATATTACTTAATTGAAACATTACTTGAAAATAATTGAAATGTTATTATGTAATAACACTGGCATTTATCATATGCTTACTATCCCCAAGCACTTGTTAAATACATTATCTGATCCTCACACCAACCCTGTAAGTTAGAAACAATTTTTAATTCCCACTCCAGAGATGAGTAATACTAAGAATAAAATATGTTTACTAACTTATGTATGGTAACATATCTGTTAAGCCTAGAAGCCGGGTTTGAACCAAGTTTAACTTTAAAGAGTGGGAAATCCTGCCCTTCATGGGATGTCAACTTCCTACTGCAGTGGACACTGATTATCATGAGCTGGTGGCTGTTGATGCTTTCATAATAAAATATTTTAGTTTGAAAAATGATTAACATGAATTGACAGTCAATACTTTCAGGAAAAATCAGAGAAATTCGGTTTATACTTTATCATCAGTGACAGTTCAGGAGATACACATACAGAAAAGGAATTAAGTGCTCATATTTAAGAATCTTAATCTCTTCAAAACCAAGTTTATTTCCAACATACGGGGTGCCATACAGATCGTATAATATTTAAGTTAACCATAGTATTATTTGAATGTCTATTTAAATAGAAACTGAAAAAAAATTATTTAGGATTATGAATCCTAAAATAATAGCCTAAGGAAAGAGAAGCAACATTTATCAAAAACCACTATTACATATCAGATGTGTATATACATTATTTCTCTTACTACTCAACATAACTCTGTGAAGTTTCTTATCTATTTTATATAAGTGAGCACATCTTAGAGAATAATTTGCTTAAGATTCAAGCAGGTAGGAAGCAACTGGATCTGTGTAGACCTCAGGCTTGCATGCCTGCAAATCCTGTTCTTTTGTGAACCCACCTTGTTTGAATTAGATTGGAATCTATGGTCAGTGTAGGCTTGGGATGAACCTCTTCATATGACTCCCCTTAAAAACTCCGAACTACTGAGTTTATTGCTTTGAAAAGTTTTGACTAGTTGAGAAGAAAGTTTAGTAGAAGCGAAAACTTTTTAAAGTCCAAGCTCAATATCAGAAATGGTGTGAAAATATTGTTGCTTGGTGAGAATAGCAAGAGAATCCAAATTTCAGTCCAGTGAACCAGAGCTAGAAAGCACTGAGAAAAGGCACCATTCACTCTTCCCAGGGTGGGAAAACTGGCACACAACTTCTGCCTGAAAAGAGTCTATCAAAAAGAGTCCTCTCAATCGAGACTCACTTTTTAATTTTTAACAATAATAATTTAAAAATAAAGATACTATTTTTCTTCACCATCCCCACAGAACCTCACTTTCAAATTGATCTCAGGTAAACGTAACAACACTAGTTGAGGATGAATATTTTAGGCAGCCTGCAGGAGCGACTGTAAAGGGAACAACTAGAAGTTTAATTCAGTTGTAAGTGAAACCACAGAGCTAAATGAGGAAGCAAACGGGGATCTTAATGATGATTCAGATGTACAAGCAGAAAGAGCCAGGGGTCTCACTGCGAAGCCCCAAATGGGAAGGAGAACAGAAAGGGTGGGAGGGTGGGAAAGAAGGAATGGAAGGAGAAAGGGATTCAGGATTGGCAGGAAAGGGGGATGTGGAGTTATTCTCTAACGGGGGCAGGTTTCATTTGGAATGAGGAGACATTCTGGAGATGGAGGGTGGTGATGGTGGCACAACCAGGTGAATGGAGTTAATGCCACTGAACTGTACGCTTCAAAATGGTGAAAATTGTGAGTTTTATGCTATGTCTATTTTGCCACAATTTTAAAAAATAGACAAAAGATCTGAGTGGTCATTTCTCCAAAGAAAGGATTAAGGAGTGACAAGGACAATGTCTGATTGGACCTAGGTTTTCATTTAATAAAATCTTATAGTATAAAATGGTTCTTCTTGCATTAAAAATTCTTTATGGCTGCCACATTTCCCTTTAAGAATTCTGTTTTCATAAGGTAAGGAACTGAGTGCAAAGACGTATTCTTTCTAAATGAAACCATGTCTGTGGCAACATATCTTTATATCTTCTCTCAACAAATGTACGCTAAGAACCCACCTTGAGCTGGGCGCAGTGGCTCATGCCTATAATTCCAACACTTTGGGAGGCTGAGGTGGGCGGATCACATGAGATCAGGAATTTGAGACCAGCCTGGCCAACATGGTGAAACCCCATCTCTACTAAAAATACAAAAATTAGCCAGGTGTGGTGGTGGGCATCTGTAATCCCAGCTACTCGGGAGGCTGAGACAGGACAATCGCTTGGACCTGGGAGGCAGAGGTTGCAGTGAGCCAAGATTGCGCCTTTGCACTCCAGCCTGGGCAACAGAGCAAGACTCTAGCAAAACCAAACAAACAAACAAAAAAAAACCACACCCACCTTGAGCCATGTACAGTTCAGAATTGTGGGAATACAGCAATGAAAACAGTAGTTCCTGCTCTCATGGGTCTTACATGGTGAGGGGGACAGGCGATACACAAATGTACAAATAATTACAGTCAGAGTCCTTATCATATGAGAAGGGTCATCTCAGAAAGTAAATGGTGATGCTGAAAGAATGGGCCTCACCACCGAGCTTTAATGGGGGATGGTTAGTAATAAAGAAATACAAGATAATGTGGGAGCTCTCCTCCTCCTCTAAACATTTTCCTCCTTTGGTTTCCATTTTGCCGACGATTGGCTATTTTGGCACTTCCTGAGGGCTTACTGGGGAGGGCAGATGGTGACCTGGCTTAACTACTTACCGCACTGCAGAGGTGCCAGCGTGATACAAGCCAAGTGAGGAACTAAGGCTCGAAAGGGCACAAATCTGACTGGTGGCACAGACAAGCCTCCTGAAATTCCCCTCCAGTACTCTTTTTGATTTTTCCTTTGCACCTAGATTTTACACACAATTGAGTGGTTTTTGTTAACCTCTCTCTCTATCTCTCCCTCTCTGTCCCTCTCTTTCTCTCTCCCTCTCTCTGACACACACACACACACACACACCACACACAGGCAAAGAACTAAAAAGAAAAAAACACTAATTTTTTTGCTGGAAAATTTGTTATATGGCAGCAGCATCCCACCAGTTTGAGAAATGTGTAAGATGATGACGATACACAAAGACACATGTCCAAGTCCAGTACCTTACATTAATCTTACTGTTCCTTTTACTGCATTTTAGCATTTGGTTGCTTTTCTCCCTTTGATGCCTTGAAAGCCAATTCTTAGCAGGCTAAATTACACATTCTACTCCACTGTTAAAATGGGTACTGTGGCCAAAATGTGCCCAGGATTCTAAGTCCAACATAATGGTAATGGATACAAAAGCAGGGCATTGAGCAGGATTGGACATTTTATGTTAAATCCAACAAGATCTTGTTTCTGTGATTTTTCTTGACCTGAATCTTCAATTTATTACTGGGAGCAAAATCTCATTTTGAAAAAAACCCATATCATATATGAATGCTTTTGAAATTTCTTTTCTGTTGCTGCATAAATGAATTTTTTTGGAATTCCCTTGTTGCTTTAATTTTTTTAACTTTCACGTTTATTAAATTTTTATTTTTCACTCCTGAGTTGCCAGTTCCTGTTCTTTAAAATATTCCAGATATACTTATATCAACAATAACCATGAACAAAAATAGATATATTAGGAAAATATTTTCAATGTATACAACAAGGTAGGTCTTAATATTATGTTACATATTATATTAATTAATATTATGTAACATATTGTCTGCATATTACATATATTACATATTATGTTACATAATATTAAGACCTACCTTGGGAATACAGCAGTGAATACAGTGCTGATTTTTAAAGGTATAAAAATGTTTTCTCAGATTCTACTTTATGTCCAGGAGTCATCTTCAGTGAAGCAGCCTATTTAATCTCAGAGAGCCTCACTTCCTACACAACTTACTGTAAATATTTTAAACACTTTCAAATATTTTCTTAGTGTGTCCCACATATTATATATTTTTTCTTGATTTAGTAGAGGAATTTATCCTGCTTTAGTACACATACAGTCCCTAATTTTAAACATATTCAAAATTACCTTTGTCATTTGGTTTGAAATTCAGTTCTCCTACAGAGACAGCCATGGCCTTGGTGGTTAGATCTCTGGGCTGGCCTACAACCATTTTATTTAGTTTGTGGCATTTTTATAAGTAACACAGTGCTAAAGCATGGCCCAGGCCAAATGCCACTCATGTCTATGATGTTGCTATATCTTTGGGATTCAAGAAACATATCACCAAACCCCCAGATGTCCATGCAACAGAAAATAGAAAATTCCGTCACCTCCTCCACCTGCTGGAGCTGTGGAGGCGCCATAATCCCTGGTGAATTCCATGACTAGAATGTCATCCGGGGAAAGCCTGTGGAGTCGGAATGGGAAGTATGGTGTGGAATCACAAATGTTGGGTAAGGAATAGGAAGATAAAATCTCGGGCCTGCTTCTGGGTAGCCACCAGACCCATTCACACCACCTTCTTCCCCATTTCTCTTGATGCCATGGTTTCATCTGCCAACTATTTTTTTTTTTTTTTTTTTGAAAAGGGTGTCTCACTCTGTCACCGAGGCTGGAGTGCAGTGGCGCCATCTTGGCTCACCACAACCTCCAACCTCCGCCTCCCGGGTTCAAGTGATTCTCCTGCCTTAGCCTCACTTGGGCCATGCCTGGCTAATTTTTTTGTAGAGACAGGGTTTCACTTTTTTTTTCCTGGCTATCATGCAGTCCTTCCAATCTAGGGTTTTGTTTTGATTTTACCTTTTCTGGCACCTGCTGAGGAAACACAGTCGCATAACTCCCCTCCTTCTGAATAAATACACAGTGCTCTTGAATATGTCTTTGCTTAAAACACTTCTAGAACGCCAGCGGAAAGGGCCAGGAAAGAAAAGTCTCCTTCTCATGCCTCTTTACCTTCATCCTCATTTATATCATATAGGAGAAGAAAAGTGTTCACCCTTGGATGACATATGGGTTGTTAGATGGTCTGAGGACAAGATTCCCATCTCAGCATGAGAGCCACAGAAATGATCCTCAGAATTCCCCCAGGGGAGCTAGGATTGAAGGAGACTGTCTGGAGTCAGGGAGGGGATTATAATCAAAGCCTAACTGCAATACTCATAAGAACCTAGATGTTTTTACATGTGACATGGACTCATGCAAAGAGCAGAATCTTATTCAAAGTTGAGCATTCCCGTTTATGAATTTTATCCAGATACTCTAAGTTGTCAATGTGAACCCTGGTCAGTAATCTTCAGCGAGGACAGTATTATTGCTTTTCATGTAAAACGTCAATTATTAATAGTTTTAAATGACAATTT
Organism: Homo sapiens; assembly: GCF_000001405.40. Classification (NCBI taxonomy): domain Eukaryota; kingdom Metazoa; phylum Chordata; class Mammalia; order Primates; family Hominidae; genus Homo; species Homo sapiens. The sequence goes on from NC_000013.11 coordinate 97,383,469, forward strand.
TTCTTTAGTATATCTAAAAATATTTTGTTCAAATATAATCAAGTGGAAAATATTGGACAGAAATGAGTCATCCACAAAAAGTATCATTGAAACTAGGGGAATTAGAGCTTTGAATATAAACTTTCTACTAAACAGCAGAGGACAAAACAATAATTCTGGCAAAACTCCTCTTGAAGGTGCTATGAAATATTACGGACATTACAACCTCAGTGTGCTCTTCTCCAGAGTAAAGCTGATTGTCATATTTGATAATTTTTCCCCAGGACCTCAGTGTATGCCTTTTCTGTGCAAATAAAACTACATTTTGAAAATAAGTCAAATATGGCATGACACTGCCCAACCTCCGAACAATATTCCCCCAGAATAATGAATCAGACTATTTTTAAGTGTCTTTTCATATACTACTGATGATCTCTGAGCTTTTTATATAATTAATTTTTTTTTTTTTTGAGCGGGAGTCTCGTCCTGTTGCCCAGGCTGGAGTGTGGTGGCGCAATCTTGGCTCACTGCAACCTCCACCTCCCAGGTTCAAGTGATTCTCCTGCCTCAACCTCCCAAGTAGCTGGGATTACAGGCGTGCACCACCACACCCAACTAATTTTTGTATTTTTAGTAGAGACAGGGTTTCAACCACGTTGGCCAGGCTGGTCTCGAACTCCTGACCTCAAGTGATCTGTCCACCTAGGCCTCCCAAAGTGCTGGGATTACAAGCATGAGCCACTGCACCCGGCCTATATTTAAAATTTTATAGTCATGAAATAGGCCAAAGAAAGTTCTTGAAAGTGTACATTTGTTAACATGTATAATTATAATTGCTTTAATTACTTTTTTATCTGATACCATATATTCACTAAGAGACTAAGACACTTCTTTTGACTTCAGTAATCCATACTGTGATTAAGTACTGAATTATACTGGAGTCAAAATGTACACATGTCCCTTTGCCTCTGTGCAGTTTGCTTCAACTGAAAGATCTCACAAGTGTAGCCTCTCAGGCAAGATCAGGGCATTTCAGACAGTCATGGCTGCTGTGGAGAAGAGGTGTGGGGCAGTGGGGAAAAGGTGGAGAGAATATTAAATGGTGCACAGACTAAAGGAGGAAGCAATGCTAACAGAGAGTGGGAAGAAGGAACTTGTGAGACAGAATCAGAAGAAAACACTGGATGAAGAAACACAGACTGGGAGGGTGAGCAACGTGCGAGCCTCCTTAGCTTAGCCCTATTTTTAGGAAATGCCAATTAATTGCCTATTTTTAAATTAATAATAAATTTTGTTTAAAGAGGCAGTGAAATATTATTAATATCTTTAACTGCCTTCTGGGGAAACAGGGCCTTGTAACCATGGCAAAAGATTTCTAAGAAACCTACCAAGTCTAGAAGGTTACTTTAGGTGAATTTTTATCTGCTGTATTTCCCTTCTCTGTGAGTGATTCTGCCCCCAGCCTGGAATATTTTCCCCTTTATCTATAATGGGGAGTAGGGAGAATGGGAGAATGGGGAGGGAATGTTTATTTCTCTTAGATATTTCTGAGTCCTTAACTACCCTAACAAGGTGCACAGATGACACATCTTGTGCAAAGGGTTCTTTTTCTGCCCCATTCCTGTTTCTCCCATGAATGGTCTGGTGGTCTTCTGTTGATGCCAGCATTGTGGCACTGTGTCTTCAATGACTTCAATTTATTTAGCCATCCATGCAAGCAACAATTAATAAATTCCCAGCCCTATCCTAGATACTGGGGCTATAAAGATGAATGAGACAGTCCCCCTGTCCTTAAAGAGCTTGGTTTGGCTGTGGACCCAGTTAGTGCACCAGCCCTGCTTGGAAGTACCCACTTGAGATTCCATGTTAGTGACATCAAGATGCATTGAGATTCCTTAGTAGTTTAGCAAGGCTGCACAAATATGTTATAAGGTATTTTTTATCTATGCCATCCAAACTCAACATTACAAAGACAGTCCTAATGGCTATTCACAGGAAGACTGAACCAAAACATCCATTATTTCTCTTTTCTAATTGCTTGATGACTTGCATATATGGAAATTCTTGGCATTTTCACTGGAATGTTTTCCTATCAATTAAGCAGAGCAGGAACAGTTCTTACCAAATTTAATATTGAGCTATCATTTTAAAAAATAACTCATCTGACATCCTTGAATCTTTGAAATGAGCACTTTTACATAAGAAGTATAAACACTTCTAGAAGTCACCTAGAAGCCCACAGTTTCCAAAGTTATACATACGTACAATTCCTGGAGATCAACCTCAAGGTAGAAAACCCAGAATGTATTAATACTTGGTACCTCTGAAATACTAAGGAAATTCTACGTTGATTTGTCTTCTCTTGCACCATTCTGCATGAGGACTGGTTAGTTCAGCTGTTAAGTTCATGGTGCTGATTAGTTCAAGTTCAGTGTTTCAGTCTCTGCAGAGACTATTTTGCTTTGAACCAAGTGTGTTTCTCACCCTGTTCAGCTCTTTTTTGAGCGCACATCATGAGTGACAGGTATGGATGGCTCAGCCTAAATCCATCATCACATGGCAGAGACAAGAAAACATGCATGTTTCATAACTGATGACTCAGTCAAGGGAGGGTTGGTATTTTCTTTTTAGGTAGAGGGTGCCTTGTTGGTCACATACTCTCTTTCTTTGGGCGAAAGCCAAATGTCTGAAAGTTGTAGGACTAACTCTCCTGTAAACCTGCTCTCCTGGTCTCACTCTTACCACTGCTGCCTGCCATGATGTTGCCTGTAGCGTTGGCTGATGCCAGCTCAGGAAGCCATCCAGACTTAGTGAATATAGTGGATATTGCCTTCAAGAAAGTAAAGCTGATGAGGACACAAACCAGCAGCTCTTAGCTGAATTTAGCCCAAAGATATATATGATCCTTCTGTGATGTGAATTCATTGCTGAATTTCCAGCTTCTTTTGGCAAATGAAAAGGTCAAGTAATATGGAGCCCATGTTTCCGCAGGTAGCACTTGGCTGGGGCTGAGTGGCTGTTGCCACACCCTCGACCTGGCCTATTCACTTACATATCTTTCCTGCCTGGCCCCAGGAGGCTTAGTATTAGACAGTACCTAATCTGGTCCACTTTTTAGTAAGGTTGGCTACCACTGCACTGTGAGTCAATGGCAGGCAATTCACTGAGGACACTATAATTATTAAATGGCTGCTCATAACATATTTGATAGAAAAATAACCCATTTGATGCTTTTGAAGCCATTCATGCTTTGTCTTCAACAAGTAAATATGAAACTAATCAGGTACTGGATTCACATTGGGGTAACTTGAGAACGTATATTGAGCAGAATCATCAGATTCTTAAATCCAACCACCTAGGGGAGACAGTTTAATTCACTTAATGTGATTTCCTTTCCTTATTGATAAGCAGACTCCATTGTAGCCAGCTGATATTTTTGCATCAGAGATACTCTTGTTCCACCCAGAGGGGCCACTGAAGATTTAGAAAAGTACTCATGATTTGAGATCAAGTGTATCTTTGCCTTAAAAACAGAATCACAGATACTGTGGGCATCAGCTATTCCTATTTTTGTCTGTTCTCCTTTTAGTGGAAAAAGGAATTGAAAATAATGCTTGCAGTTCAGAATTTTGATTTACCATACTAGATTAGCTAGAATCTTATTTAATAATTTAACTTCCTTCTCCTGTCATGGTGCTTTGTTATATAAAACACTACTTACTTGAGGCAATAGTCTCCCAGGGAGACAAATAGAAATATAGCTTGTTGAATATCTTTGATTTCTTTCCTACCGTCATAGTTTGCCAAGATTTCTCAGCAGCTGAGGCAGCGGCACTGTGGTGCGGTAGGGTGTTCTGATGCTATAAGCAGACACGTTTGCAACATCCATCTGGAGGAGCCCTGGGGCAGGATGTGGTTGACCACCCAGGCAAGGATGCCCTGAATGAGAGGCCCAGCAGCCTCACAGTCCCCCAGCAATTTCCACCCATCTAGCCCCTCCAAACAGTCTCACTGTCTCCCCTCTAAAGCTCCAAGTGCATTTGCTGTAGGTTCCACCCCAGGGCCTCGCCTTCCCCTGATTCCCAAGCTCACAGGGGTTCTTCTAAGCACCCTCTGAAGCAGGCTCCATGAGGCACAGCCATGCTCTTTGGAACCTCTGTGTCCCGTCGCCCTATCTCAGACCGTCCCCATGCCCTGGAGGGGATGCCTTCACCAATGAGCAGAGTGACATCTCCAAACTCATGCTGGTTTGTGCAAGCACTTTGTACATTGTGCAAGCCAGTTAAAATTATGCACGTCATCTTTTCCATGTCTGCAAAATATGATCACAATACTGACCTAGCTTGTAAGACTCTAGCTTGTAAATTCTCAGAGCCTCCTGAAAATCAAGGGGATATATCTTAAAATTCAAACAAAAACAAGGGTGCTTCAGAGAGGAGACTGGCAGGAGACCCCCAATGTGGTGGCTGTTTCTCTGACTTACGCATACCCTGGCAGACCCTATGAGTTTTCCACTTCCCTTTCAAGACAGCATGGGGTGCTGTGCCTTGGAGGTTGAGTAGGGAACTTTGGGCACCAGCTTTGACCAAATGCAGGACAGGAAAGAAGTGATGGACAGTTGGTCTGTTGAGCTCACTTTGGTGAACTGTATTTTAATTAGCATTTTAAGAAATGGAGAAGTTCAAAATTAAGGTTGATCCACATCAGATGAGTAGCCCATGTGCCAGGGCCACATATAAGCCTGGTATTTTAAGAAGGTATGTTTCTTATCTGTAATGAAATATTCAGGCACCCCATGAAGGTTTTGATCCTCCTGGCCACAAAACTACAATAAAGATGGAAAAAGTTTATACATATACATACATACATATATATATATATATATATATCATTGGTATGGGAGAAAATCTCTGAAAAGAGGTAACAGGAAAGCACACAAAATGTATCTATTCATCAAACATTAAATTATGTTTGTTTAGTGCTAAATCAACATATAATCTGAATAAAGAAAAGCCATGTTAAAAACTAGACAAGAGGTTCCTCTTTCTCTCAAAGCAGCTTCTCCTCTCCCTCCCGCCAGTCCCCACAAGCACACACACTTGGCTTTCCACTTTCCTCCTGTCCTGTGGGTGGTCTTCCGGCTAGATCTGTCCCACACTCCCCTGGGACTCTCGGGCCTGTAAGGTCCTGTGCCTCCTAACAACAGAAGTGCAATCAGATGGGTGCTAGTGATATGACAGGCCCTCAGTTGATAACTGTTCTTGATCTGTATCCCTGTTCTGTCTATATCTCCAGGGCATATTTCACCCCAGAGTACAGATAATACAGACTGTATCAGCAAGCTGTATTTCTCAGGAAAAAAAAATTTAATAATCAGAAGATATTTCCAAGAAAAATGCTGCCACCCAAAAATGGAACCTATAAGGAAAAACACCCAAAGCTTTCCCACCTTCTAAGATTAAATCTGTTGAACCTCTTGAAGTTCACAGATGCCAAGAGTGTGATTCGTTTTTTATACCAAATGACAGCCAAAGACAAAGACCAGGGGATGGCCAGAGTTTTCTGGCCTAGATGCCAGGCAGCAGTCACAGCTGAGAGTTCAATAGTCCCAGGGCTCATTTTTATTGATGTCTTTATTCATATAATAGCTCATCGGTAGACTGGGGCAGAGGGGAAGTGCAGTCTGGGTGAGACTAGTTTATGCTTTAGTTAGCTCCAAGACTGATTTACAGTCCAATTAAATTTCAGTGGTCATTTATGTCTGTTCGTCAAATACAAGTTCAAAGCCTTGCCATAGGTAACTTCCATAACCCACGTTTGCCCATTCTAATTTGCCATTGCTATGCTTTTCATAGAATACTTCTTTTCCAGATGGTTAGGAATTTCATTCTTTATAGCATTTCAATTTCAGCAAATAAGCAAGAATCTAAATGCATTCTAAAATACATATTATTATATATCAATTTAAGAAACTGGCTGGGTACAGTGGCTCACGCCTATAATCCAGCACTTTGGGAGTCTGAGGTGGAAGGATTTCTTGAGCCTAGGAGTTTGAGACAAGCCAGGGCAACACAGGAAGACCCCATCTCTACAAAAATAAAAATGGAAATTAGGCAGGCATGGTGGTGCGTGGTTGTAGTCCCAGCTACTCAGGAGGCTAAAGTGGGAGGATTGCTTGAGGCCAGGAATTCAAGGCTTCAGTGAGCTGTGATTACACCACTGCATTCCTAACTGGGCAACAGAGGGAGACCCTGTCTCAAAAAAAAAAGAAAGAAAGAAAGAAAGAAAGAAACTGCAATTTTTTTTCCAGAGTTATTTTAGAAACTTTTTTTTTAAAAGTAAAAGAAAAAGAAAAATCAGACATGATTTGATGGACTAGGGTGCGTTCTTATTTGGAAAACTTACAGATAGGCTTGAAACTAAGGGATGAAATCAAAACATTTCTATTTAATATCTAAATCTAGAAAATTTGAATATTACCTATTGGCAATGATAATATTCAAAGATAATAGTATTCAAATACTAGATGCTGTGTTTACATATAAAATAATATCTTATTAATTTTATTCATGTCTGTTAGTACACAAGACAAGGAATGCTATTTTTCCCAGTTAATTTTACATTCCTAGGAATATTTAAGAATCAAAGAATGACCTTATCTGAAGTTTTAAGTTTCCATTTACTATAAATATTTAATGTAAATTAGTTCTTTCTCTATTTTTATGAATTCTCTACACATCTGTCTGTTTCAATAAAATAAAGAATACTCATGTTTATTTCATGGGAGGAACATATACTAAAATTGTTGCATATAAAGTACAGGAGCACTCACTTAAAGGGAAAAAATATCCACGTGGAGAAATTATACATAACAGGATAATACAGTATGCTTAGGAAAATAAGGCTTTTGTTGGGAATTGAATCCTAGTGTGCAGAAGTATTAGCTGACTCTCATTATAAACAAATTTTACCAGTTATTTCCTAACAGACTCTTGTTTAATGAATAAACGCTTTGCTTATTAATTACACAAAATTTGGTCAAAGCATTAGAAAAGATTAAATAGTTTTGTTACGGTGTGTTAAAAACTTGGCTTTTAACCTTGACATTTAATGGATTGGACCACACGGGCCAAGTTCCTTCTCCTTTGCAAAGGTATGGAGCTGGAAATGAACTTAGAGATCAGACTCAAGGGACCACAGCTTGCACTTAATAGTTTACCTTTATCTGTGCTTTAGCTGTGCTTTTGGATGTATTAAGAACTTTTTAACTGCCTTAATAGACTGTTATCCCTTTTACTCTTTGATATGTGACATTTAAATATACCTTGAATTTGAACTGGTTGTCGTTATGTGTTGGGAACAAAATTACTTTTGATGGGAATACATTTTTGAATTAAAAATGCAAGTTAATAGATAAATAATATCTGATTATTATAGATTTTGAAATATTTATATTTAAGCCTTACAAATGACTTTTCAGTACAAACAAATTCTCTGATTAGACTTTCTGATCACCGTAGCAAATATGAATTGGACAATAATGTGAATGTATAATAAAGAGCTATAAAGCAAAAATTTTAAAAAGAAATTGTGGTCTAAACATGCATGCCTCTCTATATGCTGCCACAGTTTTCCAGAAAGTACTGTGCATTTGAATCATCTTTCTTTATAGTGGCCACATAGCAGAAGTGGTTAAGTGTAAAGTTTTTCAGCATGAAGGGCGGGTATTGTGCAAATTTATAATTGCATCAAAATAATGAGAGATTGAAGAAAACTCTGATTTTCAAATGTCTATTTTTGAAGAGTAAAACTTAAACTCATTATTTTTCCTCCCAGAAGGATACCTAAATCATGCTTGTCTTTCTCTTTAACAGATAATTCTGAAATAATCAGCAGAAACGGAATGGAATGCCAAGAATCTGCATTGAGAATAACTAAACATTGTTACTGTACATACTATCCTGTTTCCTCCTCAATAGAATTGCCACAAACTGCATGCTAAATAAAGATGTAGTTCTTCTGGACAGACCACAACTCTAAGAAGCTAGTGCTGCTATCTCATATATGAGTATTAAATATGGTATGCTTAGTATATTCCAACCTAAGATAGTTAACTACCTGAGACCAGCTGTGATGTTTAAAGACATAAAGGATAAAGTTTACTTTTAAAGGGTTTCTAAACATAGTTTCTGTCCTAGGAATATTGTCTTATCTCCATAACTATAGCTGATGCAGAAAGTCCAGCCAGTTTACTCATTTCGATTCAGAATATTTCAAATTTAGCAATAAACAATTAGCATTAGTTAAAAAAGAAACATATTCCAAGGGCAGGTTCGATTCTAGCTCTAATTACTGTCATGTCATTTACCCACTGGATCAAAGGGTATGTTTCACTTCTTGACAATATAAATGCTGCAGCAAAGATGAGAGGTGAAGTAAAACCGATACCTGTCCTGCAGGTCTAAAATTTGAATGGAAATTCAAGCACAAGTACTGGGGACACATCAAAGTGTGGTGTTTGGTTTGCCTGGAGATGCCACGTTGAATCATGTGATTCTAGATTAACATTAAATAGATTGAAAAAGAAACTTTGCACGGTATGAGCTTCATACCCCACCAAACAAAGTCTTGAAGGTATTATTTTACAAGTATATTTTTAAAGTTGTTTTATAAGAGAGACTTTGTAGAAGTGCCTAGATTTTGCCAGACTTCATCCAGCTTGACAAGATTGAGAGGCCCATGCCAACAGTCTAATCTAAGAGATTAGTCTTTCAAACTCACCATCCAGTTGCCTGTTACAGAATAACTCTTCTTAACTAAAAACCTAGTCAAACAAGGAAGCTGTAGGTGAGGAGATCTGTATAATATTCTAATTTAAGTAAGTTTGAGTTTAGTCACTGCAAATTTGACTGTGACTTTAATCTAAATTACTATGTAAACAAAAAGTAGATAGTTTCACTTTTTAAAAAATCCATTACTGTTTTGCATTTCAAAAGTTGGATTAAAGGGTTGTAACTGACTACAGCATGGAAAAAAATAGTTCTTTTAATTCTTTCACCTTAAAGCATATTTTATGTCTCAAAAGTATAAAAAACTTTAATACAAGTACATACATATTATATATACACATACATATATATACTATATATGGATGAAACATATTTTAATGTTGTTTACTTTTTTAAATACTTGGTTGATCTTCAAGGTAATAGCGATACAATTAAATTTTGTTCAGAAAGTTTGTTTTAAAGTTTATTTTAAGCACTATCGTACCAAATATTTCATATTTCACATTTTATATGTTGCACATAGCCTATACAGTACCTACATAGTTTTTAAATTATTGTTTAAAAAACAAAACAGCTGTTATAAATGAATATTATGTGTAATTGTTTCAAACATCCATTTTCTTTGTGAACATATTAGTGATTGAAGTATTTTGACTTTTGAGATTGAATGTAAAATATTTTAAATTTGGGATCATCGCCTGTTCTGAAAACTAGATGCACCAACCGTATCATTATTTGTTTGAGGAAAAAAAGAAATCTGCATTTTAATTCATGTTGGTCAAAGTCGAATTACTATCTATTTATCTTATATCGTAGATCTGATAACCCTATCTAAAAGAAAGTCACACGCTAAATGTATTCTTACATAGTGCTTGTATCGTTGCATTTGTTTTAATTTGTGGAAAAGTATTGTATCTAACTTGTATTACTTTGGTAGTTTCATCTTTATGTATTATTGATATTTGTAATTTTCTCAACTATAACAATGTAGTTACGCTACAACTTGCCTAAAACATTCAAACTTGTTTTCTTTTTTCTGTTTTTTTCTTTGTTAATTCATTTAAACTCATTGAAAACATAGTATACATTACTAAAAGGTAAATTATGGGAATCACTGAAATATTTTTGTAGATTAATTGTTGTAACATTGTCTTTCTTTTTTTTCTTTTGTTTCATGATTTTGATTTTTAAAATTATTAGCACACAACTATTTTCAGCCCTTTAATAATGGAGCATCAAAAACATCACCTGTAACCCCAAGCAAATATAGAAGACTGTATTTTTTACTATGATATCCATTTTCCAGAATTGTGATTACAATATGCAAAGAGTCATAAATATGCCATTTACAATAAGGAGGAGGCAAGGCAAATGCATAGATGTACAAATATATGTACAACAGATTTTGCTTTTTATTTATTTATAATGTAATTTTATAGAATAATTCTGGGATTTGAGAGGATCTAAAACTATTTTTCTGTATAAATATTATTTGCCAAAAGTTTGTTTATATTCAGAAGTCTGACTATGATGAATAAATCTTAAATGCTTTGTTTAATTAAAAAACAAAAATCACCAATATCCAAGACATGAAGATATCAGTTCAACAAATACTGTAGTTAAGAGACTAACTCTCCACTTGTATGGGAACTACATTTCACTCTTGGTTTTCAGGATATAACAGCACTTCACCGAAATATTCTTTCAGCCATACCACTGGTAACATTTCTACTAAATCTTTCTGTAACACTTAAAGAATTCCCTCATTCATTACCTTACAGTGTAAACAGGAGTCTAATTTGTATCAATACTATGTTTTGGTTGTAATATTCAGTTCACTCACCCAATGTACAACCAATGAAATAAAAGAAGCATTTAAAAGGATTGTATAGTCTTCCTTCTTTTTGTGTTGAGACAGATTGATAATTCACCAAACAAAATAGTTTTCACCTTCACACATACAGTATTTGTTAACTTCAAAGAAGACCAAACTCGGGTCTTCGAATGGAAAACTGATAGTTTTTGCTTTTGGCTTTGGCTTTTTAGCAGCAAGAAAAACAATTAAAAATGGTAATTTGAGAAGTATTTTTAGTATTCTTTAAAATTAGAAGTGAAAATAAAGCCCACCACTCAGCCCTCTTCTTCACATCTCAGACTGATAATGAAAAGATATGGGATCAATGGCATCAGTAACTAAATGGGAAACAAAATGTCAGTTTCATGAATAGATTAGATTTTAAAAAGGACCCATTAAGGTATAATAGAGGCTTCTGTAAGAGCTTGATGGGATAACATGAATCAGACCTGAGGCTGCAGAAAGAGATAGAATGGTGAGTTCTATTCTATGCAGAGGTCCTAGCTAGGTGGCTCAAGAATAGAACAGGAATTCAGCAAAGAGAGGGTGATGAGGGTCCCTGCTATTCTGTCAGTAAGCAGTCTCCTCCTAAGAGGTGGTGTGTGGGCAGAAGGAGCAACAGAAGCTCCTTCTTCAGCCTTTTGAGACCCACCATATTTGTCAAGGAAGGTGCTATTGGCCTTTTGGGTGGGAACACTCCTTGTCACACTGAGATTAGCAGAAATTGCCTTCTCTGTGGGCCAAGGCAGAAACATGAGTTTTCTCCATGGCAGATTTAAAGCTTCAGGCCTCCTGAGTGGTTATGATATAGCATAGAAAACACCCATATTCAGCAGATACAAATAAAGCTGCTTGTATTTTTTAACTATCCCATCAGGATTTCCAAGGCTAAAAATACTTTTAACACCTCTGTGGATATTTGAAAAAATGGCTATATATTTGGATGAGTGATTTTTGTACTGTAATGCAAAGGAAAACCTATCTCATCAGTCACTCCCTGCAAAAATCATTCTGTTAATAGTAAGTTCAAGATGTCAACTTCAGAGAGCAAGTTATTATTTTAAGTGAAAAATCTAAAACTGTAGTTCATGAAGTATAATTTCTATCAGTAGACTGGCTATTTATGGTACTACATCAAAATCAAAAACAAAACTTAAACCTCTCAGGATAAAAAACTATCTCTTCAGCATAGAAAATATTTGGGTATAAAATATCAATTATCTTATAATTATCTGACAAAAGAGAAGTGTCATTTCAGTTTTGGGCTCTCCAAATTTAAAATGATGTTTCAAATCAGAAATATACTCTTTATGATTAAAGTTCTATTGCAATGCCACAGATTTTAGGGGCAGCTAGGAAAACCAAAATAAAGTTCAATGTTCTGATATTTACAAAAAGACGGTAGTGGTTCCCTGCAGAATGATTTCTGCAGGGGCAACCCCCACCCCCTCTCCCCACCTCCAAAATATCCTAGGGTGTCTCTGAAATATTAGGCAATTTTTGCTGGACTGATTTATCTCCATAGAAATGACTGAGTCACTGTGAATAAGTATGATTCACACAGAATGAAACATAGTAATGATTCCCTCTATGCTCTTAGTTGGGGAGATAGATGGCAAGGATGGGAATGGGTGGAATTGAGAATGTTCACCAGGGACCTACTTATGTGCCAAGTTCTATGCTAAATATTCTATATATGTTTCTAACAAGCCCACCCTGTGTTGGAGAGAATTACTAACAACTGATAAGTGAATTCTGACTGATACAGAGATTCCTCTTCAACGTACATAGAGACTCTGCTGTGAGAAGCAACTTGCTTCTAGATCAACACTACTAGTGTCTGCCCTTAGGGTGACTAGCTGCCCGGCTCAGCTGAAAACCTCTGTCCAGTACGTGTCAAAGCTTTCACCAACTGGCTTGTGACTTCAGTTTCCTCCACTGTCAGCTACTTTGAAAAATGTCCACCCATTTGAGGTGTCCCTGTGGCACCCACCATGTAAATTGTATAAATGCTACTTGGCCTAAATTATAATGAAACAATTTCAGATATCCCATCAAATCTGGTGAAAACCCATATAGTTGTTCACATGAAATAAGGCATAAACAGAGAGTAACTGGTTTTGTTCACATACATTTTACGTAATCCTTAGGGTTACAAAGAATCTATTATACCTATAATGTAGATGAAAAAAATCAAGACTCATAAAAATTAAATAACTCTCGAAATCACATAGAGCAAACCCTGGCTTGCCCCAACTCTACAGCCAAGTTGAAATGAGCTTTATTTGTGGTAGCCTTCCAGTCAAAATTTCACTAAAAAATTCAGAGTGAAGCATTTATCCAGGTTTAAGTTGAAGTTATAAGAATCCTTTACTTGGTTACTTAAGATAAAGATATTCTTCCCTATCCCAAGAATATGATTTAGGAAATATTTTGAAACTATGGGCTACAAAGTACTCTGCCAGATTTAGGACATGGCCCAATTCTTTATTCGGACCGGAGGCAATAGAAGAAATGTTACATTGTACCATTACTCCAGTGTTACCCAGAGTTTTTTTGTTTGTTTGCTTGTTTGTTTATCGAGCTTCTATGTGGTTCTCCTGAAATAAAATATATAATGATGGTCATTGAATTTCTCCTAATAATAATGTGGCATCAAGTCATGATGCAGTTAGTCACGTGGAGGCAGCACGTGAAAAGATAGAACTTGAAAGTCTAGGGAAAAGAGACAGAGAGAATAAATTTCTGCATAAAGGCCACACATGAATGTGTACCCCTAAAATCCAACTGCATCCAGAGAGGCTGAGAAATTGAATGTTACTATTGTTGATCCCTTTCTCTCATAACTTTTCTGTGGGTTTTTCCAATTCTTTGTTTTATATAAATGAAGGAAGAGATTTATATTTGTCCTTGTGTGTAAACTAAAATGATCTAAATCAGAGCAGTCTAACTTTTCTTTTGCTAGAGAACATCTCCTTCCAACAAAAGGTCACCCTACAAAAGTCCACAAGCCAAATCGTAGCAAAGTGCTCCTGTTGCAAGGAGGTCTCTTTCCTGAGATCCGTGAATAAGCTCTGCAGTCCAGAGATGGAAACCCATGCATTTAATGTAAAATGTGTGGCTTTACAGAGGGAGAGAAATGTATTCAAAGTAGCGTGACAGCTTAGAAAAGCTGCCTCTTAAGCTCTAAATATGTCTGAGCAAATTGATCAGATATATACGGAAGTAACAAACGTACTACAGAATAAATATATTTTCAACACTCTCACACGCATATATTTATATAGAGAGCAATCTAAACGCATTAGCATTCATAAACACAAAGTCGAATGTTTTTCAGAGCTACAGAATGGAAAGATCAGTGTCTGCATTCCACAGTAGTTTAAGAGCTGGTTAAGAGCTAAGTTTCTGGTCATGCTGCCCAAGTTTAACTCTCAACTGTACTTTTTAACAGCTCCTAAGCATCAAGGTTTTTTCGCCAATAAGCCGAGTCTCACAACCGAATGTACCTTGCTGGGACATAATGAAGATTAAGTGAGATAATATATGCTAACCAGATAGAGCGGGACCCGACACTTAGCAAGATTTCAGTGAATATCAATTATTATTCTTAAAATAATATTAAAATGAGCTCTTGTGTTTCCCTGTAAGTATTTATTTCCTTTTTCTGTCCAAACATCTCTTGGCAACTAAGAGGCGCCTCTTCTATTTCCTCAATGACAATTAATGCCAAAAACTGATGGGCAAATTATAGAAAATTCATAATAACAAATAATGAGCCAGATTATTTTTGTGGAAACCTATAATTACTTCAATTCAACAACTGTTCACTGAGCACCATCTAAGCCCTGCTAAGCCATTAAAGGGATGTGAACATGGCCAAAGTCCAATGCTCTGCCCTCAAGAAGCTTATCATGTGGCAGAACAGAACCTGTTAAAAATAGAGAAAGGAGGAAGAGGATTGTATCAGTTTCCTAGGGCTCCCATAACAAACCACAAAAAGGGTGACTTAAAACAATAGAAATTTTAGGCTAGGTGCAGTGGCTCACACCTGTAATCCCAGCCTTTTGGGGGACTGAGTGGGCATATCACCTGAGGTCAGGAGTTCAAGACCAGCTTGGTGAAACCCTGTCTCTACTAAAAATACAAAAATTAGCTAGGCATGGTGGTGCGCACCTGTAATCCCAACTACTTGGGAGGCTGAGGAAGGAGAATCACTTGAACCCAGGAGGTGGAGGTTGCAGTAAGCTGAGACCGAGCCACTGCACGCCAGCCTAGGCAACAAGAACAATAACAACAACAAAAACAATAGAAATTTATTCTCTTACAACTCTGGAGGCTGGAAGTTGGAAATCAATGTGTCAACAGGGCTGTGTTCCTCCTGAGATTCCAGTAGAATCCTTTCTTGACTCTTCTAGCTTCTGCTGGTGGCTCTCAGTCCTTGGCATTTTTTGGTTTGCAGCTGCATGGCTCCACTCTGTCTCTGTCATTACATGGCCTTCCCCTTGTATGTCTCTACCTTCATGTCTCTACCTTCACATCATCTTATGAACACACTTGTCATATTAGATTAGAGCCCACCCTAATGTCTTCTTCTTAGCTCTATTATATCTGCAAAGTCCCTATTTCCAAAAAAAAAACCACATTCACAGGTATGGAGTTAGGACTTAAAACGTATGTTTTTGGGAGGACACAATTTAACCCATAGCTATAATAAGGGGGGTTGAATAAAGATTGCTTTCTATAGATTGCAAAGAATTAATAAAATATTTCGATCATGGTTTCTGTTGCTTTTCAGTTAGGAGACATGACCCACAGGGAATGTGATGGCCAAAGCCACAATGCCTCAGGGAGAGCCTTATGTTTGTTTGTTTGTTTCTGTTTTGTCTGCAGAATGAAGCAATTGGAATACAAGATCTTTTAACTTCCATTCTGGATACAACAATCTGTGATTTATCAACATCTAGCACATTTCTGACTGAACTCAACATTTATTGTACTTGGTAATTTTGATTTGCAAATATATTTCATTGTTTATAAGTTTGCATTGACCAGACTAATTTTACTTAGCCTGTGTTGTAGGGGTAGGCCCTTGCTTTCTTTCAATACACATAAGAAACTTCAGTAACCCTTCCTAAGACGTCATAGTCAAGTTTGGCCCAAAAGGCCAAGTGGGCTGTCTGCAGCTAGAACAAATATATCTAGCATTTTTTGTACCCTTATATTGTGATAACCTCTTAACATGAAGTGTCTCATTTAATCTTTACAATAAATTGAATGATTGATTCTATTATGAGCATCCCTATTTATAGATGAGAAAACTGAGGACTAGAAACTTTAGATAACTTAACAAGTCACAAAGTTTGTAGTGAAGTGAAGATTCAAACACAGCCAGTCTGCCTCTAGATCCCTAGTGTTTTGCTACCTTATTACTCCAAATGTGGTCCTTGAGCCAGCCACAGGACTACCTGAAGACTTGCTAGAAATGCAGAATCCCAGGCTGCACCCCAGACCTACTCCCAAGGGACCCATATGCACATTAAAGTCTGAGAAGTGGTGCTGTGGTACTCAGGACCAATCCCCCTTCAGATACTCTATTGACTCTGCAAAGCAGTGAATGAAGACCAATGACAACACTGGACCATTTTGATGTTCCTTGTTAGTAACAATTCAAAAGAATTGTCATTGGATGCAAAGACATCCAAAGACATCATATGTCTCTAATTTTACTCTTGTTCCTTCTTGATCTGCTCTCCCTCCACATGGCAGCCAGCACTTTCATAAAATAGAAATCAGATCACGGCATCATTCCCATCAGAGATGGATCCAGGCTTTGTGAGGCTGGAAACTTATAAAACTGGGGAAGGGAGTTCTTAAAGAAAAAGAACCCCCAAATAAATATAAAGTTAAATACAAAACTAAATATATAGAAAAGCCATTTTTATAAATTATCCATTGGACACACTACTATGATACGTTTAATTTAAATTTCTCACGGCATCGCCTTTGATTACATCCTCATATAACACTTTTTTGTAATATCATTTCCTATACAGATAACAAAAAGGTAATTCAATCTTACTTGTAGTGTGGTTGGAAGAAATTTGCTTTTTAATGTAGATGTTTTTGTATTGATAATTTAACATGCAACTTCACACATATACATACGCACACGTATCCTCACTGCTTATCATACAAACACAAGAATTCTAAGTTCTATTTTACACAATTCTTATTTGAAAAGGAAAAAAATTGGCATTTATAATTGTGCTTTGTTATCCTAAAAGATAAGTATAAATAAAGAATAAATCCTCTGCTTAGAATTGTAGGCATCTGATGACTAGAATGTCCCATGGACTAGCATTCACCACATATACCTCAAATCGTTTCCTTTCCACTACCTGCTTACTCCCAGGGCTGAGTGCTGTAAGACACACTCACATTGCGATGAAAACCAATGGTCGTACACTGTACTTCATGTCATAGTACTGGGTAAGCAGCACCTATA
Source organism: Homo sapiens (assembly GCF_000001405.40). Classification (NCBI taxonomy): domain Eukaryota; kingdom Metazoa; phylum Chordata; class Mammalia; order Primates; family Hominidae; genus Homo; species Homo sapiens. The sequence goes on from NC_000013.11 coordinate 97,400,600, forward strand.
CTGAGATGGCTAACAACATTAGCCAAACACAGAAATGGCTATGAGCCATGTAACTGTATTTCACCAAGCCCAAGCTAGATGTATACCAGTCAACTTCTTTGGAGCCAAAGATCAAAAATGACTATGGCCAGTCCAATGCCACTCCACAAAAGGGAGTGTGATGGAACAGATGTCAGTATGGAAAAAGAGAGTGGTCCTAAACAATTGCCAATTTTATAAAACCATGACCTTGCATGACCTTGAACACATACAAAGCTACAAAAGCTACAGTTCCTCCCAGGTTTGGTTTTCTTTTCGTTTTCTTTCTGTTTTTTTTTTTTTTTTTTTTTTTTTGAGACGCGGTCTTGCTCTGTTGCCCAGGCTGGAGTGCAGTGGCATGATCTCAGCTTACTGCAACCTACTCCTCCAGGGTTCAAGCGATTCTCCTGCCTCAGCCTCCTGAGTATCCGGGATTACAAGAGCATGCCACCACACCTGGCTAATTTTTGTATTTGTAATACAGACTGGATTTTACCATGTTGGTCAGGGTGGTCTCAAACTCCTGACCTCATGATCTGCCCACCTCAGCCTCCCAAAGTGCTGAGATTACAGGTGTGAGCCACCTCCCAGGTTCTTAAAAGGACTCACACAAGTGGTAGGTCCTGAAGCTTAAGCTTCATTAGTTTCATGGCAAATCTGCCTCTATCCTCTATTTTAAACAAACAAGTAACAATGACAAGAAACTTTCACTCTTCTCTGACTTCCCACTGCTCTTAGGATAAAATTCAACCACTTTGCCCTGACCGACACCTTCTCCAACCTCATCCATTACCATGTTCCCCTGAGCAAACTACCATCTAACCCCTCTGAATGCTTCCATTTCTCAAAGGACACAGAGTTCTTTCTGCCTCCTGAATTCCCTTCCTTCTGCCTGAAATGCTTGTCTTCTCTCTTGGGTCGTAGCAAAATCATTTTCTTCTGAAGGCGATATGACCTCATCCCAGACCTCAGGTGGCATATTTCATCTCTGCACTATGTTTATTGCTGCCATAGCAGCTATCACATTGTGTAACCATCTTGCTCATCTCTGTATCAGTTGCATTATCTGCCTCTCATTGGAATTTAATCTCTGTGATGGTAGGTCCCTTGCTTTGTTCACCACCTTTATTAGTCAGTTTTCATGCTGCTGATAAAGATGTACCTGAGACTAGGTAATTTATAAAGAAGAAGAGGTTTAACGGACTCACAGTTCCACTTGGCTGGAGAGGCCTTACAATCGTGGTGGAAGGTGAAAGGCACATCTTACATGGTGGCAGGCAAGAAAGAATGAGAGCCAAGCGAAAGGGGAAACCCATTATAAAATCATCAGATCTCATGAGACTTATTCACTACCATGAGAACAGTATGGGGGAAACTGCCTCCATGATTCAATTATCTCCTACTGGTTCCCTCCCATAACATGTGGAAATTATGGGAGCTACAATTCAAGATGAGATTTGGGTGGGGACACAGTCAAGCTACATCACCACCATATCCCCTTTGCTCACAACGGTGTCAGAACACAGCAGACTTCAATTCGTATTTGTTGAGTGAATCATTAGTAAATCTGGGATGTCAGAAGAGATAGGCATAAATAAAAAATCTAAAACTATGAAATTAAAATAGTGATTCAATACATTTGCTACACCCACTCTACATTCTTGGCTAAGGAGCTAAGCAGAGATCCACTTATTTAACAAGTATTTTTGAGCCTCTAATGCGTGTATTACAAAATGCTAGAAAACATGAAAAACAAAGGGCTTATTTCCTTATTAGATTGTAAACAATCTGAAACCATCATAGTCTTGCTATAATTTACAGAAAGAAAAAAACAAACAAATGGAAACAAAATACATGATACATATTGAGATATCTCATGACGAGTTCCAAATTATTAAATAGTGAATGTCATGGGCGATTGGTGAGAGCTGGAGATGTGATGGAAGTCTCCCTAGAGAAGTCTCTTGAAATGGATCTGGAGAAGTGGTAAATACAGAAATTGGCCAAGCGAGAAGCCTGAGAAGCAATAGGAATAAAAATGCACAGGTGGGTGATTAGAATGGATGGGGGTTCTATGCTCAAAGGAGGGAGTGGCACACAAAAAACGGGGGGGGGGGGGACATTGGCTTTTGCAAGACAGCCAGAACCGAAAAAGTGAATAGCAGAGTGGAGCTGCAGTGTGCTGTCAGATCCTCCTGCAGACTGAAGTACTTACTCTGCAGGGTCCAGGAGTGCTGCAGCAGTCAGTTCTTCTGGAATTGCATTAACTAAAGAGAAATGCCTGATCCAAAGTCTCACTCCGTCTCCTCGCATGCCCCTTGTCCAGTTGGTTGAAGGAAGAGGATGAAGGCCCACAACCTTGCCCCAAATCAGAGTAACTCTGAAGAGTCATCCTCAGGTGTTCATGGGGCCAGCTGAGGCCTTTTTGAGACTGCAACAGAGCCCAGCTTCTCCTTCTGCCTCACTGTGCTTCCTGCCCTCCCTTCCACATGGGTTGGTCCCAGGTGTCTTCCCTAAAAATCTTCATGCCCACTGGTCCCCACCTCAGAGATGACTTCCCAGGGAATCCAAACTGCTATCAATAGGTAAATCCATCATTTGTCAATTCCATTATTGAAGCACTTGATTTTCTTTCAACTGATGCAAGAAATAGATTTTAAATTCATAATTCGATTCTTTTTTGACAAAGAAAATAATTTGCCTGTAAATGTATCTTGCCTAAGATAGTACTAAATTAATCACAAAGAAGAAAAAGGAGAATGATGAAAAGAAAGAACTCAAAGCTGAAATATTTTTTATTATGATTTCAAAAAGTAGCAAATTTTCACACATTTTAAGGAGAAATATAGCCTTTAAAAAAAAAAGGCACTAGTAAAAGTCATGTTTCACTTGGTCCAATTTTTTTTTAGTCTTTTACATTCCTGAGCCCTGTGGCAATACTTCTTTCAAAAGAAACCAGAAAAAATAACCAAATTAATTCTATGTAAGCCAGGTATCATCATATAAGATGAAAGTTTGTATTTGTTCAATACAATTCTGGAACTAAATTCAATTGTAGAACACAAGGGATATAAAACTCTAGAATCTGGTCTACCCAACCCATCAAAGCCATTTCACAGCTAACTGAAGTGATTTGTCTATGTTGTTACATATTGTCTGCAAGCTTGAGTGGGGCACACTTGGGAATTAATACAGTTGATGGGTACTATTGATAAAAGCAACCCTTAAGAAAGCAACGAGTAATTAAAGAAACACATATCAGTGTTCAGATAATCCCAACTCCTTCAAGAGTCATCAATATGTTTTGAAAGCAAACGATATATGAGGCGGTTTTACTCTGGTAAAAATCCTTACAGAGGTCAATTAACATATTTAGGGCATGAGCTGATTGCTAGCTGTGGACACAGGGACTATAACTTTTACATGTTCTACTCACAGGAGCCACTGCAGGAGACAGGAAACTGGGTTAATATGAGAACCCTTTGTTGATCATTGGTCTGTGCTACCACTCACTAACCACACTTCATTCTGCGATCCTAAAAGGCAATAGGTATAGTGTTTACAACCATAGAATTGGAAGCAAAGCTAGCTCAAATCCTGGCTGTCCACTTTCTGCCCATGTGAACACAGGCAAGTGAGTGAACTTCCAGTCCTGTCTTCCTTCTCTGCAAAAGGGAGCCAATCCTAATGGTATCTATCATATAGGATGGTTGTGAGAATTTAATGAGTTACCATATAAAAACTCTTGGAACTGTGCCTGGATTATAAAGGCATTAGCTGTCCTTGAAAAACAAATCCAATTTTTAACAGTTTGCCATTTGAAATGAATTTCTGTGTTTGTGTCATTTCCCAAGCAGGATGACCTCTCAGCATTATTCCTGGTAAAGTTAACTGGGACAGTCTGGTTGCCTCACAGTGGAATCAAGTAACCCAGGAGCCAGCCATCAGGCACTGGCTTGGCTCAGCAGACAACTCAGGTTTTTATATCTTACAGTAATAAACATTCCAGAGTATCATTTCTGGAGGCACAATGGGATAAATACATTGAATGAGCCTCTGGAGGAGAATAACAAAGACAGCTGGATAAAATATTAAAACTGTCTCTTTAAAAGCACTTTGGAGCTATCAAGAAAGGAAGAAATGCTCAGAGGCTTAATAAAAAACAAGAACACTTTAACAGGAGCTAGGACAAAATCTATCCTCTGCCTGGTGGCATCTGCCCAGCTCCAGTACATCGGAGCCTCCACAGGCACAGGAGACCAAGAAAAAGACTTGGCCTGGACCAAGCTGTCTCCAGGGCTGGATCACCACTTACTCACCTGTCTCAGGTATAGTAATTAAGGGAGCACCAACAAACCCAGAACTTGAGATAAAGAATATTTTAATGTAATATTTTTAAAAATCAAAACTAATACAAAAAAATGCCATGATGAACAAAATAGCAAAACTATAAACAAAGATAAACTGTTGCTGTTTATTTGATTTGCAACCCAGCCAAGGACAGTAAAGTTATGATTCAATGTAATTCATGAAACAAATATATCCACACATTATCAATTTCATGGAGAAAAAACATCTTTCCAAAGATGCAAACACATCGTTAAATAACATCCATTTATGATAAAATCTCTTTACAAACTAGTAATAAGAGAACTTTCATATTATTGTAAAGAATATATACAAAATACCTACACCAAGAACAGCAGCTAATGGTAAAATGTTAAATAACTCCCTTCCTTATCAAGACCAAGGCAAATGGTACACCATAGCTGGTTTTATTCAACATTGCACAGGAGACATCAGCTAGTACTGTAGTATAAGAAAAAGAAATAAAATGTGTAAAATATAGAAAAGAATATAAGCAAAGCTCATTATTACCAGGTAATATCATTTGCATGCAGAAAATAAAGAATCAACAGGTAAATATTAAGATTAATAAATGTTTATCAGATTTCCAAGATTAAAATTAATATGCATTAATTAAGATAATCTTATTTGTTGTAATAGATACATCTCAGTGGCTTAACAAAAGAATTTGTTTCTTAGCAGGTAAAGCTAATTTAATGGGAAATAGGTGAGAGATGGGGCTCTACTCCACCAAGTCACTTGTGGGCCCACTGATGGAGATGCCATCCTGTTCAACTTGTGACTTCCAAAGTTATTGTGAGCATCCAACAACATACAGGGAAAGAAAGACTGGGGAGCTGTAAATGAGGTTTTTATGAACCAGATGACATACCTAGGAATTAATATGACAAAATATGTGCAAGTGCTTTTTGAGAAAATTTTCAGCTTTTTTGTAAGATCTTAATAAGCAGAGAGATATTCCATGTGCACAAATGGGAAATAAAACAATATCATTAAGATATCACATCTTCCCATATTAATCTATAGCTTTAATGCAATTGAATCAAAATATTAACAGCATTATTTATGGTACCTGGAAAACTGATTCTAAAATGTATACAGAAAAGCAAAGAACTAGGAACAGCCAAAACACTCTTGAAGGAGAATAAGGTAAAGAGCTCTCCCAACCCCTACCAGGGCTAATTCAAAAACTGTAGTAACTAAGGCAGTGTGGAACTGATATAGTGTTAGACAAGGAAGACCAATGGAATAAAACAGAAAAGCCAGAAACAGCCCACATTTTAAAAAAAAAAACAAAAACAAAAAAACAAAACAAAAAAAACCTTGGCTCATGACAGAGTGACAGGCATTGAAGATCAGTAGGGACAGGGGAATTATGCAATAAATGCTACTAGGGAATTTGGTTATGCAATGGATTAAAAAAAAATTTAGGTTGAACCCTTACCTCCCACCATTCATAAAAATCATCTATTCAAATTAGATAGAAGGTTTCATTGTGAAGGGAAAAATTATACATTTTTGAGAAGATAGTGCATAAGAATATGTTTCCCATCTTGGGGGGAGGGGAAGATACATGAAATGTTTTTATAAAGTTTAGAATCTTCGGGGAAAAATTAATAAATTCAACTCCTTTGAAATTAAGAAATTCTACTTGTCTAAGGGCTCTAAAGGAAGACAAGAAAATGAACTAAAAGAAGATACTTGATACACACACAGGAGATAAAAATTAATATTTGAATATGTTAAGGACTCCTACAAAACAATACAAAAAGGGATAAACAACCCAATATAAAAATAAGCAAAAGACATGAACAGGCATTTCATAGAAGAGGAAACATAAATGGCCCCGAAACATGAAAAATTCTCCATTAAAAATCGGGGAAATGCAATTAAAACCATAACGAGGTACCATTTCATATATATCAGGTCAGCAAAAAATTTAAACATTCAACAAAAGGTACTCTTATGTAGTGTTTGGAGTTTAAATTGGTATCACTTTAGAAAACTATTATGTGTTACCTAGTAAAACTGAGAATGTGCATCAGTGAAAGGCTGAGGTAGAGATCTAAGCCGCAACTTACCAGTGATAACAGCAGCCAGGGATGTGACAGAATCTGTCTATATCAGTCACTCACGCCAATGTCCCAGTTTAATGTCTTCAAATATGGGAAGAGAAGTGGCTTTGAGGTCAGATTGCCTAGGCACCAATCTTGTCTCCCACTAGTTACTAACTGTGAGCCTTTGGCCAGACCTTTAACCTCTCTGTGTCTCAGTTTTACCATCTACAAATGAGGACAAGAAGATTGAACACTTAGCGAGTGCTGTCATGATGATGAATCCTGTGAGAATTTCACTGGAGATGAGGATGAAAGTACAAGGAGCTGGGGTCCCCGCTAGAACATCACCAACTCAGGACACTTAGTTGATATCCCTTAATATCTTGGCTCACCATCGCCTTAGGACTGTTCCGTAGGCAGTGGGTGATGTCTCAGGTGAAAGCCGAGTTTGGTACATCTTTATTTCTTAGCTAGAATATGGCGTGTCCCTAACAATTTCACAAAAGTCAGAAAAATTCCCCACAAATTCCATGTCCAGCTTCCAAGCATAAATGAAGAACATGAAGTCACTTGCTATTTTAAAAGCTAATTACTAGTAAAATACTTTCAGATTCACATTTCCTGTGAAATAAAATTCTGCCTTTGAAATGAAAGTCTCTGGCAGAACTACTCAGCAACACCTTTGTTCCAAGCAGGGGTTTTCCTTTAGTACAGAACACACTGTTCCCTAGTCAGAAAAAGATTTATTTAATTTTAAAGGGGAGACAATGAAAGCATATAACTGTTAACACACATTTAAAAATATATGTGCCACATCACCAGCGAGACATAGATGTTGGTGAGCTCTTTTGTTTTTGTAAGTTTTATGGCGAAGACATGAAATAAGATATGTAAAGATATCCAGCTTAGTGTCTGAAATTGAAAATAATAATGAAGTATTTGACTACTTTATCATTTTCCAAACAATCTACCTTTGGACTACAAATCGTAGGAGACCTTCATGTCATCAAATTTCAGCTTCTTTGGAAAAATACTCCTTATAAATAGGTTCAATGACTGAATATTTTTAACATTGATACTTTTTCTATATGTATACTATTGATTCTTCTCACAAAGCTAGATTAGTTAGAGAATAATAAGGAATATGAAGAAAAAAAATCACCTCCAGCTTGTACAGACCAAATAATAAACATTATTTCACTAAGTTAAATATATTGAGTTTAAGCACATAATTCTACAGCTTCAAATGTTGGTTTCCCTAAAAAATTGTACAGACTGTTAAATTCTTCCAAATCATTTGGTGTCAAGAAATATTTTAAAAATCATTCTCTTCTTTTCTTCCCTTCCACTGAAAAAAAGGTGGAAAGAATAGTCCTCTCCTGCCCTCTCCATTTCCTCATCTCTAGTTCACTCTTTTCATTTTGGAAAAGCATTATGCAATGTTTCAGATCTAAAAAGGTATAAAGTCCAGGTGTGGTAGCTCACGCCTGTAATCCCAGCAGTTTGGGAGGCTGAGGCAGGTGGATCCTTGAGGTCAGGAGTTCAAGACCAGCCTGGCCAACATGGTGAAACACTGTCTGTACTAAAACTTCAAAAATTAGCCAGGACTGGTGGCGGTGTCTGTCATCCCAGCTACTTGGGAGGCTGAGGCAGGAGAATCACTTGAACCCAGGAGGTGGAGGTTGCAGTGAGCCGAGATCATGCCACTGCAACCTGGGTGAGAGAATGAGACTCCATCTCAAAAAAAAAAAAAAACCTAAAAATATAAAATAAAAATAAAAAGATATAGAGAATACAGCAACAAATGCCCATCTACCTACCTCCAAGCTTAATAAGCAACCTATTTACAACACAGTTGAAACTTTCTGTGAATGCTTCCAGATCAGATAACTCTCCCTCTTGAATTTGGTTTATACCATTCCCAAGCCTCTCTTCATAATCTTATTACTTATGTATCCTAAACCACATGAAATATTGCTTGAATTTTAAATTTGATATGAATGATGTCATAGATTATGTATTCTTCTGCAACTTACTTGACTCACTCAGCATTATGTGTGTGAGAATCATCCATGCACATCCCGAGAGTTAATGTTCATTCATTTTCACTGCTGTATAGCATTCCACTGCATGAAGATGCCATAACATGGTCTAGATTAGTGACTACTATAAATACTAACTCACTTCTGTGAATGGACACTAGTTATCTCCAGATTATGAAACCCTAAGTAGGTTTCATAATCCCGCTTACTATTTCCAGATTTTTATGCCACATTCTCTCCAATGTTTGATATAGTCTACTTACCTTTTTGCCAGGTCATTTAATTTACATATCTCTGATTACTGGTATAATTAAGCCTCTTTTTTTGTAATAAGTTTTTGGTTATTTAAGTTTTATCTCCTGAAAATTGTTCTACATGTCAATCTTTTTGGGGGAGAGGTTTTTTGTTTTGTTTTGTTTTTTACTTTTAACATTGTCAAATTTATCAAGCCTTTCATTTATGGTTTAATAAATTCTTCTTTATCCTAAGGTCATAAAGATATCTTCTTATATTTTTCTTCTATAGCAATTTTGCCTTTCAAATTATTCCACTAAGGATTGATTTTTGTATATAAAGTGCAGCAGGGATCCAATATCATTTTGTTTTTCCCTGGAGGACAGTGAAATGCCCTAGCACCATTTATTGAATAATGTATCTTTTGTCCACTGCTCTGCAATACCCTTTCAGACATAAATCAGTTTTCCATATATGTGTGGACTTCCTACTCCTTCCTTCTGGAAGGAAATTTCTCATTTTTTTTTAATTGAAGTGAATCCCTTAGCAGTTGTTGCTAGAAGGGTCAGTGGGTAGTAATCTTTCTTAGAAATGTATGAAAATGTTTGCCTTTTCTTAAATGACATATAAGTGGATATACAAAATCTAGATTCCCCCAGCATCTTGAAGATATTGCATTGTCTTCTGATATCTATGATCACAGAGATGGTACATGAGAAGTCAACCCTTGATTTGGCTTGTTCCTTTATACATGATCTCTCCTCTAGCTTTGTTCTTTTTCCTCTTTATCTTAGGTGTTCTGCAATTTTAATATAAGGTTTCTAGAAGCAGATTTTTAAAATTTCTTTTGCTTGGGGTTCTGCATGACTTTTCCAACTAAGGATTCTTTTTTGAACTCTTAAAGAGTTGTAATCATTCTTTTTATTATTGCTTCCCACCAGGCTCTTTATTTTCTCCTTCCAAACATTCTATTAGCTGTATATTGACTCTTCTCAAGTAGTTCCCATGTCTCTTCTTTCTGCTTTTCATATTTTCCCCCTCTTTGTCTCTCTGTGATGCATTCTGTATAGTTTCATCAGCTATACTTTACATTTCACTAATTTTCTCTTCATCTGCATCCACTCTTGTTTAATCTATCTTGATCTTTAATTACTATGTCTTTCATTGTTTAAAATGTCTGTATGCTTCATTTTTATAAGTCTGTGTGCTCCTTTTCCCCAAAAATAAGTCCCACTATTGAATTAGGAATCTTACTCCTTATTTTCTCCCTTTGAACAATTTAAATGTTTATTTTAAAGTCTCTGAGATACTGCACTATTCTGTTTTAAAGTGTCTTTCCCATACAAGTAAGTCTCCTCAGTCCTTTGAGTTTTTTCCTCTAAGCTTCTCTCAGCACCACTGTCTACTGTGGCATCTCTGGGTTCTGCATTCAGGAGATTCGATTCCTGCCCAGCGTCCAGGGCAGATGGAGCAAATCTCGCATCTTTTTCAGGCCAGTCAGTGAAGTTTTTCTGGGCCACTGACTAGATAGCCCATTTGTTGGTCCTGGCTCCCCACTAAACAGGGAAACTATAGACTTGACTCTGGCCCTAAGTGGGTTTCATAATCCCACTTACTAAGATATGTTTCCTGTCCTGGAAGCTGAGTATACATTCTTGACTCCCTTATATTCACATCTGATATGCTCATCCTTGGGAAATCCATTCACTTCTTTGGGATAAATAGTAATATGCAACTGTGTCAACTTCTGTTCACTACTTTAGCTGAATTCCTTCCTCAATTCTGGAAACCAGAGAGAATACCTTAGAATTCTGCTAAGTATTTGGTAAAATTTGTAGTTCAGCCACGATTTCCATATGTCTACATGGAGAGTTAACATTTGTCAATCCAGCTCATTCAACCATTCGTAAATGGGAACTCTCCCTCCTTCCTTCCTTCTTTCCCGCCACTTCCTCCCTCCCTCCCTTCCTCCCTTCACCGGTCACCATCTTCTATCTCTGTCTCATTCTCATGGCCTTTCCTTCTCATTTTTTGGTGCTATCTTTTTTCTCTGTTCACAACACAACACATGGTCTCTAAGCTTCTGACCTTGGCCCTCTTATCTTCATTTTCTACAGGTACACTCTTGAGAAATTTGTTCAGTTCCTTGGCATAAATTCATTCAATTCTTTGGCAGAGTAACATCCTAGTGACCAACAAATCCAGGACAGATAGACCCACTGAGCTCTAATGCCATGCATTTACTTCCTACAGCATATATAGGCACTGCAAACCTCCCAGGCACTCCCATCTCAACATACCCAAAACAAAGTCATGATTAGCCTTGTGAAAATCTTTATATTTACTCTTTTTTTTTTTTTTTTTTTTTTTAGCAGAGACGGGGTTTCACCATGTTAGTCAGGATGGTCTCGATCTCCTGACATTGTGATTCACCCACCTCAGCCTCCCAAAATGCTAGGATTACAGGCGTGAGCCACCGTGCCTGGCCTATATTTACTCTTACATTTCCCTTCCCTTTGAGTGACACTTTCATCTATCTGCTCAGTCACCAAAGCCAGAAACCTGGGTAATACAGCAAATGTACCCTTCCTCTCAGTAGCTATATCCAATCGACAATAAACTTCTACATATTCTACCCATTTGGCAACTCTCATGTCTATCCTCTCTTCTCCATTTCCACGTGATGGCCTGAGTCCTGGTCCTGAGTCCCTCTCTCTTGGGCTGCTGTTACAGTGGCCCAGATGATCTTCCAACTTCCCTTCAGTCTCACCTGACTTCTGTAAATAATCACAGGCAAGAAATATATCGTGCAATTTTCTTATTTCCATTGTAACAGGAAATCACCAAAAGGAACTTCAAAATATCATGTGCTCATTTGTGGTCCAAGATGACATCTGGATAACAGTTCAAGATTCAGCCTTTCTCAACTTTACACTGAAACGTACATGACACACACACAAAAGAATGAAATGACAAAAAAAGAATGAAAACAAAGACTGTCAGAACTGTCAGGCATCCTACTACCGCCAGGCTATGGGAGGAAATTTCACAAACGAAATTTACGAAGCCGAAATGAACATCAAAATCCATGATGACACTGAGTCACACTTTGAGTCCTGAAGAAGAGCACATGCAGGACTGCAAGGTAGCAGAGAAAAGCATTGTTTGTCCTCCATCACCTTCCTTGGGGCTCAAGGGCCCAGCGTCTTTATGAACCAGGCCACCAGGTAACCAGCCTCTTCTGCAGATAGTAAGTTTTAATACAACCTGAGCAGGATTTGCCCCGCTTCCAGCCAACAAAACCCTTGTCCCCACCTCAAATAGATCCAAGCCAAAAACCTCTAGAGAATAAGAGGACCAGACTAAAAAGAATACTAAGAACTGAGCTGGCCTCCCTGTTAATCTCTCACCACCTCTTCAGAGTAGAATTCCAGCTGTCTTACTAAACCACACTAAACAAAAACTTACTAAAACTCAGATCAAGGTAAATTCCCTAATATATCCTATTACAGAATAAAGCCCAAATTGCCTTATATAGCGTTTGAGGCTTACTCTATACATAGGCTCCATCTACCTTTATCATCTACTCATTATCTCCAAACATTGCAAAGTCCAGCCACACAGTATTATTCAACGTTTTTTAAAGCATCCTTCATGCTTTCCTACCTTCTTGTCTAGGTTTCCCATGTTCCTTCTGCCTAGAAGACCCTCTTCTTCCTCTTTAAGCTCCCTGAAATCTTCTCTATTATTATTATTTGAGATGCAGTCTCACTCTGTTGCCTAGGCTGAAATGCTGTGGCACGATCTCAGATCACTGTAACCTCCGCCTCCTGGGTTCAAGTAATTCTCTTGCCTCAGCCTCCTGAGTAGCTGGGATTACAGGTGCATGACACAACACCCAGCTAATTTTTGTATTTTTAGTAGAGACGGGGTTTCCCCATGTTGGCCAGGCTGGTCTTGAACTCCTGACTTCAGATGATCTATCCACCTCAGCCTCCCAAAGTGCAGCTTCTCCATTATTAAAGATCCACATTTCAAGGTCCAAATCCTTCCTCAAATCTTCCAAAATCCCTAAATTGGTATTAGTATCCCCTTCCCCTGTGCTTCTATAACATTTTATTTGTACTTCTATTTTAATACTTATCATTGTCTGTCTTAGATTGATAACTGCAACTTTGCTCCTCCCACTAGACTGTGAATGTTTTCATTTTATTAGCTAACACATACTATAGTGCCTTCTGTATCAAAGATATGCAATGGACATGTGTTGCATCAATTGGAGATGAGATGAAAATAAACTACAGAAAATTTCTTGCTCAGGTCTCAATTTTTACTATTTCATATTATATTTACATTTAAAACAAATGCTGGGTTTTGTCACTAGGCCAAGCAGCAGGCTGAAAAGGAATGAAACCTTGAATTTCCTTTGCAATTTTGAAGAGGAAATCCATAGGTGACACCTTCCCTGACAAAGGAAAGAGGAACTAAAGGCCATAAGGGGTGGGGAGGAGGGGGCATTGAGGTCATAGAACAAAAGGAAATCCCATTTTCTAATCTCTACAAGATAGTCGTGTTGCTGATCTCTCCTGCTGCAATAGAGCAATAAAACATGTCCTGGAAGGTCAGCAGATATTACAGCAGTGGGAAAAGCAGGATATAATTATCAATGATCAAGGCACTCAGTGGGTCCATCTCAATTTTCTCCTCTTTCATTCTTCCAACCAAATGATAGAAAATTGATATCAATTCCAAAGCCACTTATGTATTTGTGGCACGATAACGAATCATCCATTCAAACATCTTTCATAGTTATTTCCTAATGAGCTGACACTCTATGTGAAGGTTGCTGTTCATTTGTATAGTCATCCCTGTGCTTAAAATACTAAGGAAAACTTGTCCCTTCTTATTGGCCTCAAGGATACTGATTCCATAATGGTTATAAAAGGCACAGAAGTTGTGTTTTGCATTCCTTTTTCCACCAAACTCAAATGCATAATTGCTCTTGCTTTTCAGTCACTGATTCAACAAATGGTAATGGAGTTCTTACTCCACTGCAATCACCACGCTAAGAACTAGAGGTAAAATAATGAGACACCTGACTTCACGGAACTTACTTTCCCTTTGGAGAGACAGGCACCAATAAAATAATACCATGGATAAGTGAAAATTTTACGGAAATCAAAAGAAGTTTTGTGGAAAGGATATGAGAATCTATAACAAAGGGATCTTTGTTCATCTGGAACGTTAGAAGGCTTCCCTAGAAAATCTTGTATACTGAGATTAGAAGGTTGAGTGTGAGTTAAATAGGGAATGAGGAAAGAGAATGTTCCAGGCAGGAGGGAAACAGCACACATAAAGACTTTGCTGCCTGAGAAAAGATGTTTATGAACACAGGAAAAACCAATCATTATGACCTCAGCATACTGAGCTCTCTATCTGCAATGCTATTTTGCGGCCAAGTCCCTGGGATTCTACAATAGTATTCTATTTAATAAAAGTTCATATTTAGCTGTTTGGAAACCTTAAAAAATGAAGACAATTTTATGAAATTGGGTGACAAACGTAAGTCTTAATATGAGGCGAGGCAAAAAAATGATGTGAATAGCCGAGTGTGGCCTGAAATTTTTGAGCTCGGGTTCTTAATTTGTAACCCATCTTTGTCCCTCCTCTGTCCTCCCCAAGTCCAGATGCATAGTCCAGGGCCTAAATCTTCCTTTACTATGCACTTTCAAGTGAAGGCAGCAGACAAAACACCACTCAAAAAGGATTTCATTAGCAGTTTTCTGAGCATTTTGTCACTGGACTTACTGATTAAGCTTATTGAACATTTTGCTTGGGGATCTTAGGACAGAAACCAATATTATTTTTTTAAATGATCAGCTAAAGCCAGGCCTGGTGGCTCACACCTGTAACCCAAGCACTTTGGGAGGCTGAGGCAGGTGGATCACCTGAGGTCAGGAGTTCGAGACCAGCCTTGCTAATATGGTAAAACCCCATCTCTACTAAAAATACAAAAAATTAGCTGAGTGTGGTGGCACATGCCTGTAATCCCAGCTACCTGGGAGGCTGAGGCAGGAGAATCACTTGGACTTGAGAGGTGGAGGTTGCAGTGAGCCGAGATCATGCCACTGCACTCCAGCCTGGGCGACAAGAGCAAAACTCTGTCTCAAAAAAAAAAAAATAAACAAAATAAATAAATAAATCAGCTAAGCAGAGGCTGGTGGGTTTTCACACCTGAGAGTTCCTTTCTTAAAATTTCCAAAGTTTGTTTCACTGATTCAGAATGACTTTTGAAACCATTATTTAATTAATTTTTTTTTAACTGCTGTCCAGCATGTTCTAATTTCTGTCTTGGCAGGAACAAAACATTAATCTCCCCCCATAATCCTGACATGCAGGATTGGCACAGCATTTATTAATTCACCTTTCACTTAAATTGGTTTTCTTTTTAGCTGCACTCCATCCAACATCTTGGACTAACCATATCTATATTTTTAGCATAATATAAGATGGGGTCAAACCTCTACTTCTTGAGCTGGGTTTAATAAATAAAACTAATAGCTGAGATTGATTACCCGTGTAGACAGCAAACTACAAAACCCAAGATGAATTGTGTAATTTGCAGCTCTGTGACATGTATTAAATTTTGAGACATAAGATAAATAATTCATGTAAATAAGCAAGTGAGGACACCCAAGAATGAAGTCTGTGGTTACTCTTTTACAGCAGGTGAAATAAACAACAAATTTCGTTACCTTTTGACTTAGGCCTTTTAAATACATTTTTACTAACCACTGCCTAATTGAGACTGCTGTATAAAGAAATTCTGTTATCTGCCCTTAACTAGAGACATTTTAAATTCAATATCTAGACCCCTCAAAAAGTGGTCACTACATTTACATCTTACTTATGCTAAAGTCAGCCTACCACCTTCAGATTTAGAGAATTAAAGTCCCTCAGATAACTGGGGGAGGTTAAAAAACAAAAACAAAAAACAGGAGGCATAAATGATAAGGTGCTAAATTTTTCTTCTTTGGTACCTGCCAAGTAGAACCCAGTGGATAAAATATGGAGCAAGTGTTGAATGTTGCTTGCACTTCTTATATGCCTAAATTAGTATGCCTGACATAATAATTTAACCAAACAAGTTTTTCAACTTGCAAGATAGGGATGAAAAGGTCCACTAATTCATAGGGTGGCTTCATGGTTTAATTAGATTTGAAGAAGCCAAGATAATCCTGAGATCCTCCAAGGAGGATGTATAAGAAATGATATGGTTGTTTTTCAGAGCATTTAATGAAGAACTGTGCTCATCTCCTCTGCCACTGGGATATTCCTGCCTGGGATCAGAGAGTGGTAAGATTTCTAAGCCATCAAGAACGGGACCTGTGACCAGGTGGCGTAGTTTTATGGCCCCAGGGATACAAAGAGGAGACCTTCCAAGTCTTCCATAGCTCAGAGTACTGGTACTAAGTGCTCAGCTGTGGACACGATTCTTTGGTCAGTTAAGTACTTCCTCCCTGAGTGTCTACAAGGCAGCAGACTAGGTTTTTCTGAAATGTTCTAAAGGCAAAAGGAGTCCCTGCTTTCCAAGATTTACAGTTTGTGATGAGAACTGTGAGTAGTGGCCGGGCGCGGTGGCTCACGCCTGTAATCCCAGCACTTTGGGAGGCCGAGGCGGGCGGATCACGAGGTCAGGAGATCGAGACCATCCTGGCTAACACGGTGAAACCCCGTCTCTACTAAAAATACAAAAAATTAGCCGGGCGTGGTAGCGGGCGCCTGTAGTCCCAGCTACTCGGGAGGCTGAGGCAGGAGAATGGCGTGAACCTGGGAGGCGGAGCTTGCAGTGAGCCGAGATCGCGCCACTGCACTCCAGCCTGGGCGACAGAGCGAGACTCCGTCTCAAAAAAAAAAAAAAAAAAAAAAAAAAAGAGAACTGTGAGTAGCTAACATGATGTTTTCTAATCTTTAGAAGAATTTTTATTATTATCCCCATTTTACAGATGAGAAAACAAAGGAACAGAAACAAGAGTTTGGTGATTTGTCAGGTGCAGCCTTCACCTCATTCTCCACCCTGCTGTTTACAGAGCTGTAAAGAGACTTGCAACTGAAGATTTCTTTGGGGCTAAATGTTGTCTTCTCATAGGATTAAAGGTTAGCTAAACTTTACCAGGTTTGAATTTTAGAAATTCTCAGGTATTTGTTTAAAAGTGCTGGAATAATGCCAGTTCTGGGTATAATTTCTCCTGAGTAACCATACTTACTTGGGATAGAATCACCTGAGCTGGCTCGGTTTCTGCAGACACTGTATTAAGCTGCAATAACCAAGGCGTCCCTCGCTACATACTGTATCAAACCAGTCTTTGAAATTTTTTGTGAAGATTGGAAATGAGGCAACGTTTTGTGTACAAATGTACTATTTAACCTGAATAGAGTAAAACAAAAGTTTTACATAATCTGAATAAAGGAAAAATTTAGGGGAGTCAATGGGTGTCTTTGAGATCCTTCCAGCAAGTTTGCATCCACAGTGATCTGGGGGCTACTCCCTAGGCCTAGAGATCGAGTCACCCTATTGTAGCTCCACCTCCTCCCCTCCCTCAACAAATAAGAAACCAGCACCTTCAATGTCAAGCCTTTTACTCAGGGCCTTTTTTTTTTTTTTGCCTGCAATTATTGGTGTGTTTCCAAGCGGGAGACTTCTGCAGCACGCAGTCTGGGTTATATGAAGCAAAAAGAAAACCGAGGAAACTCACATTTGTGTCATTTATTGGATCTCAAGGTCCCTGGAGGCTTTGTTTTCTTTTCTCCACCTTTTAGACTCTTCTGTTTGTTCTACATATCATGCATGTCCAGGGGTTTTAGCTGTGCTCAGTGAGAAATAGAGAAAAGTGAATCCACTCCATCTTTCCAGAAGTGGTAATCCCCTCAACTTGCCTTTTTAAGAACTGTGGTTTTACAGACAGAAGCCACTTTAAGTGGCTTTAAGTTCAGCAGCATTAAATACATTCACAATGCTGTGCAACCATCACCATCATCCCTCTCCTGATCTTTTTCATCAACTCAAGCAGAATCCTTATACCCATTCAACAACAATTCCGCATTCCCTTCTCCCCCTAGCCCCTGGTGTCTTCTACTTTCTATATTTATGAATTTGCCTGTTCTAGATATTTTATATAAGTGGAATCATACAGTATTTGTTTGTTTGTGATGAGTTTATTTCACCATAGCATAATGTCCTCAAGGTTCATCCATGTTGTAGCATGTGTCAGAATTGCCTTCCTCTCTAGGGCTGAAACTCGGCTATGTGGATATAGTACATTCTGTTCATCCATTTAGTCTGTTGATGGACACTTGTGTTGTTTCCTAACTTGCCTCTTTGGTGCTGAGAGCTGATGTGAGGGGGAAAGTGGAGGTTCGTGAAACTCTACCTTGGTTTCCCCTACTCCTTTCCCTCAGTAGTAAAGGCAGAAGAATACAAAGAGCCTGACTTTTAGGATGCAAGTCCTGGCATCCTGGATCAATCTTCAGGCCGCTTTCCTTTAAGCAGCCTGCTAGAGGCTACTATACAGCTTATGTGGTTGGCAGACTGGTGCTTAATGACTTAAATAACCTTCCAATATGGATTTATTCACAATGTAATCTGATGCTTTTTAAATGCCAAAAAGGAAAAAGAAAAAAGATATTGTGAGTCGTGCACATCCCTGCTCCTCCAGGCCTCATCAGTCCCTGCCAGAGCACAGCCTTACTCTGACTGCCTGGTGTCATCACTGATCCCAAGAGAACCAGCCATCCAAAACTGCAAAGGAAAACAAATCCAGGAAAACCCTACACAGGTCAGTGAATGCCTCTACACCAATCACATCTTGACTGAAGCTACCGTGAAGGTACCCAGTCCTATAGTTCAGGGTACCAAATAAAAAACGTGCTAAAACACTGTGGACACTGAGGATCTGAGAACAGTGTGGCTCACTGATAGGAACTTGCACACCATAAAGGCAAGCATACATCTGCATCCTGATGCATGCTCCATGTCCTTCAAGGGTTGAGTTGATGTGGACAGAACTTCTTGTGGTGACCCCCGTACTCCTACTCAAAAGTGAACCCTCCACAAATACTACCTGACCCGTTGTGATTATTCCCAGTAAAACAAATAACCCCAGCTCCTTGGCAAAGTTTAAAATTCGCAGTTTCACTGCCATCAGGGTTTAAGGTTGGTGGTTTTAATTCAAGATACTAAGTATTTTAGGGTAGGAGACTGTTTTATTTTGTTTTCCCAAAATATTGTGATGGACTATATCACAATATATAATGGACTCTGAGATTTTTAGATCCTGGCGCTGCTATATAGTGATGGACTTTGAGATTTTAGATACTGGCTCTGGTTTCCTCTGTTAATTCTGTTCATGAAAAAAATTAGAAATGGCATTCTGAAAGATGTGAAGATCAGGAGAAGTCTAATCTTCACTTATACCAAAATCTGGAGACTAAACTGCTGAGAAAGGGCCCTTGGCCCCATTCCAAACACTTGTAATTATTGAACAACATATAGCAAATATAATTACATTAAAGCCGGGATTGGAAGATAGAATGGGAACTCACTAGATACAGAAACAGAGAAGAAATTCAAACCTGGAGTGGAAATTAGGTAGTGAGGTTAAGGCTATCCACAGGGCCAGAGGACCCCAATTTAAGTCCAGGGCTTGAGGAATGGAGGCAAGTTGGGATTTTAACACCAACATGCTTCCGATAGGTCCCATCTCAGTCAGGGAGCTGGAGGGCTGGGCTATAGCCAGAAACTTTAAGGAGCTGTCAAATACATGAAGGAGAGACTAGAAGTTGGCAAAATAATAATAATAATAATACTCTACTAAATCTAGACCCCTCTCCTCTGGAAGAATTGGATGGCAAACTTTGGATTCAATTGGAAAAGGCCTCAGAAAAGGATCTCTTGGCATGAGAAAATTCCAAATCTTTACTAAGCAAAGACCCTTGTCTGGGTCTTGCATTTGTCTGTTTTCTAAAAATTAGGATTAATTGAAACAAAGCAGGTAGAAAAATCAAGTTGTGATTTTTTTTTTTCTGATGCACATGAATTGGATCGTCATCATCCACATTGTCAGTCTTCATTAATATCACAGTTATAATTCTCTAAATGTGATCACCAATACTCCATGCTAGACTTCTTATAAACAAATTGTAGGAGTGGCTTTCTCCAAAATAACATTTACAAAACAGATAAGTGAGGCTCAGATAAAACTGTTGTATTACTAATCAACCTGTTGTACTTCATCAATAAAACGATTAAGAGCAACTTAACATTGTGATATGATTTGGCTGTGTCCCCGCCCAAATCTCATCTCGAATTATAGTTCCCACAATTCCCTCATGTTGTGGGAGGGACACAGTGAGAGATAATTGAATCATGGGGGTGGTTTCCCCCATACTGTTCTCGTGGTAGTGAATAAGTCTCATGAGACCTAATGGTTTTATAAGAGGAAACCCCTTTTACTTGGCTCTCACTTTTCTCATCTGCCACCTGTGAGACGTGCCTTTCACCTTCCACCATAATTGTGAGGCCTCCCCAGCCAAGTGGAACAGTGGGTCCATTAAACTTCTCTCCTTTGTAAATTGCCCAGTTTTGGGTATGTCTTTATCACCAGTGTGAAAACGGACTAATACACATTGTTCGCAGAGTTTATCAATCCAAGCCTTTGATTTCACTGTCAGGAGCCCTGGATGGGTAAAACACATCTGCAGCCCTACTGTGAATCTGAAGGTGTTAGAATTCTCAGGAGTCATAGTATCATGACCAGTCCATAATCGTTCCACAATGTCCATGAAAGACATTATTCTCAGTGGGAATAGCACAATGCTGCTGTTTAGCATAATGCTAAACCCACGACATGCTCATGGGTTTGCTTTCTCAACTATTATTCTTCACTTATAGTCACTTCTGAAGTCCACATGCACTATAAGCTCTTCTTATGGAAACATCTCTCTCACCTTTAAATGGAGACTTTTAATTTCTCTTCTCCCATATTAACAATAATGAGTAACAATAATGCATATTATTGAATATACACTAGGACCTGTGCCACGTGATCTATACACATTATCTCATTCATTGTTGCAGATAAGGGAAGAGAGACTCTGTAAGCCTAAGTAACCTCCCAATGTCATATATCTAAAAGAAGAAAGAGGGCTTTTGGGTCCAGGTGTGTTTGACTTTGATGATGCCTGTAATCATGGATGTGCTTCCATCCGACGTAATTGCTCTCTGTGTCAATAAAAGCCAATATTGGGAATAGAGAAACTCATTGGCAATATTCTTACTTTAGTTATAAGAAGGTGCAGTGCACATTTATGACCTAAATATTCAATAATGACACTAACCTTCTAATAGGAAGAGGAACTAGTATTTAATGATCATATACATCTATTTATGTGGTATATATTTGATACCTTCACACACTACATATCACTTAATTCTCATAACATTACTAAAAAGTTGTTATTCTTACGCCCATTTTACAGTTGAAAGTATTCCAGTTTAGGCATCCAGGATGGTTTGGAAACCTCGGCAAATTCACAGAGGAAATAAGTGGCTAGATTCCAGTCCAGGTGTTTGTTGCTACGCCATGCTGCCCAGTATGATTTTATAATGTGTACAAACCTTATTCATAATATTCTTTTATGGATATTCATATTCTGTATCTTATATTGAATATGAATCAAAATAATACAAATTTCTCCAAAAAGTAAAACTCTTTCATAGATGTGTCATTGATTACGGACTATTCAGTGCTGAAAGGGATTTGGAGTTACCCATTCAATTGTAAAGGTGAAGAAGCTGAAGCCCTAGAGAAGCTCATTTCTATAGCTAGTGACTCGTGGTGGGATCGTGGGCCATACTCCAAAATGGCGGCTAAAATTTGATTTGGTCAAAAACCGTGCCAAAAATTGTTGGGCTTCCCAATATGTGAGTTACTCACAAACCAAGAATGCAAAACCTAAGAATAGGGTAATACTATCATCCAGTTTGCCTGGGTCAGTTCCAAGGCCTGCTTTCATTTTATTATTAATAGCATCCCGTTTTACTCTCAAAAGTGTCCAAATTTAGTAGGTAAATTATATGGTCTAGCAGTTTCATTTTCAAGTTAATTTAAAATATAAATACAGCTATTTTAGACATTATGTCAAGTTTTAAAATGTGACCGAGGCTATGATCCAGAAGCCCTGAATGCCCCTCCCTGCAGGTAGGACAATAAGGAAATCCTTGCATTCACAGGATCCCAAGTACTGTCTTAAAGAGGAACTAGATGATTTCATATTACTTTTCAGTTTCTCCAGATGACAACTGGAGAATTGTTGTTGCATAAGGACAACAATAAATAACTATTTATTGTTATTGAAGCAAACCACCTCTCTGTATTTGTTGAATAGCTGAGGAAATACTCAAATCCTCCTGGATTGTCCACTTGTTGTGGGGCTGGCACGGGGTTCTATGTCTGGGTTTGTGAGATAAGCTGATCCCAAGCCTCATGTCACATGACCTGGCTAGTGCCTGGAGCTTTTGCACTGCATCTTGTTATTAAACCTGCACGAGAGACATTATTTCCAACATTACAGAAAGGACAAACTATCTCCTCCAGGGAATCTGGCAGGACTCTCTAACTAACACTATCATAAAACAGCTCCAGAAGCCACTGTCATCAGCTATATGCAATTAGGTTCTGAAAAATTATTGGGCCATACTTTATAATTAATGCTGACAAACTGACAATAGAATGCTGTTCATTTCCAATGTACTTCTAACAGAGATATAAGAGAACATGATCTAACAGGATAATTTTGTCTTTTTCAGGAACCTTCTGGTTGTAATAGAAAACCAGAAAACCACTGATACTAACTTAAAGGAAAATTTAGTGTAATGTTGGGGTAGAGGCGGGGATCTCAATGCCAATGGTAGAAAATGCAATTGGATCTCCTCATGAGTAGGAAAGCTCTCAGGAACTAAGTGAGCCATCACTACTTCTCTAAGAATCGACTTTATTCTTTGACATTTCTCTGTATATTGGCATTTCCGCTGAGTTGTACACACAGCCCATCAAAGGCTTTCCCAGTGTGGCTTTCCTTACTTCCTAGTTCAAATGCCCAGCCCCACCCTCTGGACTCCAGTTCTAAATTCCTAGGAGGAAACAAATCTTACTGGCTCATGAGCTAGGCACCGTGTGCCAATGACCACATCAACGATCTACGACCAGAGAACTCATGTGCTACAAACATGGGTCCCCTGGAGCCTGATAAAACTCCCAAGAAACCTACAAATGGATAGAGTCATGCGCATTTTTATTGTATGTCTCTAGTACTAAGAATGCCTATTTTCTATTTTTCTCAAATACATTTGAAAATAAGTTGGGCATATGGGCACACAGAAGCATCATGTTCTGAGTAGGTAGTAATGCCATTTTAGCACACTCAACTGTGCCTCTAAAATCTTCTGTACAGAAGTAGATTAGATTGTGTAATTCATGAGAACCATGCCAAAAGCTCCCGACCAAGGCAGCCACTGTGAACTCACAATGAGGCGGCTGGCATCTTTCATTCTCTCTCCTGTCTTCTGGATATTCTTGCCTCAGCCCCTATGAAGGTTCTGTGCCTCCCACCATCTGTAAGCTTTCCTATCCTGCCTATACCAGCCCTCAGCTGGAATGTAAAAGGGGGTCTTTAATATGGGGACTGAAAACATCATAGTTTCCTTTAGGCAGCTTGTCAAAGTCCTGCCAATCAGATGTCCTTGATTTCTAAGCAACAAGAAAAGCTACTGAAATTTTAAGGGGACACAAGACAAAACTATATCAAGGACATGTGTAAGTTTTTATATATTTTTCTAATTTTTTTTAACCTTGATGACTCATATCTTTTAAAACTCGTTTGCCTTGGTGATTTGTTTTATTCTCGTTGGTTTTTTTTTTTTTTTTAACCAGTTAGAATTGCCCTATTGGCTATTTTTGATTCAAATAGAAGTGGAAGTGATTCTTTTTAAGAATGATTTCACACACAATGAGATAGAGAAAATGGGAGTTTTTCTATATTTTCCATTACTTTATCACATTCAGCAGTTGTTTCTGTTTTAGTATAAGGATTTGGTTAGAACATTAAAAATGACTGCTTAAAGGATGAGACCCCATTGCAGTTCTTGTGAATTAAAGCCTATATTACTGTTTTATGAAGAATAATACTGTTTAAAATTTCACATTGTTATGATTTCATATAGTTTAGAGTTTCAGTTCAAAGTTGAAAAACACCATTGATTTCCCTTCAATAGAGAGAATCATTTGATAATTTGAAAATTAAGCATACTTTTCATAACATTTAATGTTTTATATTTAATCCAATTCATTCAGCATTTATTGAATATATACTATTGACTAAAGCATAATAAAGATTAGAAAGATGAAAAAACTTATAGATTCTCCACCCTCCTCCCCATCAGACATCCATGAGTCCATATACTAGCTGAAATCACAAAGATAAATACAATGCAAGACAAATTGCAGTACATATGAGAAGAAAAGTATAACATTTTTGGAAAATATGGTGAGAGATTAGTTTAAGGAAAACAGGGGGAGGTGGAATTTAAGTTAAATTCTGGATTTGGGGTAGGCCATCTCATTAGTCAGTATCCTTGGTAAAAATTTCCAAGATCACCAGTTACTTTAAGTGTGACTTTTACTTCAGAAAACACATAGTATTGTTAAATTGATTTTCAACCCAGAGGCAAGTCAGAATCATTTAGAGGATTTTGTTCAATATACACATTCCCAACCCTCCTTCCCCCAGACTATTCACTGATGAGACTTGGGAAGGATTTGGGCATTAACAATGCTCCCCCTACCCCAACCCTAACACACACAGAGCCAGA
Organism: Homo sapiens; assembly: GCF_000001405.40. NCBI lineage: Eukaryota > Metazoa > Chordata > Mammalia > Primates > Hominidae > Homo > Homo sapiens. The sequence goes on from NC_000013.11 coordinate 97,425,247, forward strand.
CAAAGTGTGAATGCCAAGGTGAAATCTATTTAAAGAGATGTACACCAATGTGCAACACAGTTTCTGAAAAAACTTATTTTGAATAGATAATGTTAAGGTTTCTTGAAACAATCTATTTGACCCTAAAACTGGAAATGTATTAATATAGATCATTTTTATTGAAGGTTTTCTTATTTTTATTTATCTTGTATGTATTTATGAAATGTACTTTAGTCCTTCTGGAATCAAGTGGAGGAAAAAAACAAAATAGATATGTTAAAATAGAGATCATAAGACTAATGGAACAGACTCCTTGTGGCAATAAAGTACCAAATAATAAATGAGACCTAAGGCCATGCCAGAAAAAGCTGAAGTCACGTACCCCTACCCTTATAGAATAAACTATGCTCTAATTGCCACAGGTTTTTCTTATTCTCTAGCAGCTAAACAAGCACTGGCCTCAAGATAAGCAGTATTGAAACAATCGTAGCTCACTGAGCACCAGATGCTGACTAACTGACCCCTCTGTTCCACAAGCCACAGCTACAGCTTTGATTGGATAAAAGACTGATTTCAGTAACTTTCTCCTGATAAGAGACCACTGACCATCTTCTGGTTCTGTCTGGTTTACAGAGGCTGAGCACTGAGTGCCTTCCTGTCCCTGCTTCACCTTTTGACATATAGGGCTTAATTGGAATGCATTTAAATGTGAAGTCTGCACCCCAAAGTGAACAAGGGATGCATGTAACATCCATGTTTGCTTACTATTCATGCACATGCCCCCTCTTCATGGATATGTATAGCTCCTCCTACAATCTGTTAAATAAATATACTTGGCCAATCCATTCAGCATAAATTCCTATCTCATCCTCCCTTGAATAACTTGCTTTTGGTCTCTGCCTGAGGTTACACTTCCCAGCCAGTTAGGATGGCCACCCTGCTGGCTGCAACTCTTGGTAAGAAATAAAGCTCTCCTCTCCAAATTTATAGATTTCATGATTTTAAGTTGACAGGTAGATGGTAGACATTGAAACAGAGAGCTAGTTAATGTTCGCTATTTCTATGTTTGTGAGAGCCAACATTTAAGGAGTATTATACAAAGCATGGTTAAATGTCTTACTAAGCCTCAGCCCAGCCTCCACCCTATCAATCACATATCCAGATAGAATCCTCGGGCTTAAGAGAGTCTACAGCCCTAATGTAAAGAGCAGCACTGAGCACTTTGAAACTCTGCAACTTTAATATAAAAATCTTAAGAATCATAACCTTACAGCACCACAATTTGTCCATTTTAGTTCCTTTCACTTTGTCAGTGTGCAGTATAGAACTGACTTAATCCATTCCAGCTTTGAAACTAATTGTTGCTTATATAATTTAATTACATTGACAGATTAATATTTCTTAGGTAATTTACATGCAATGTTGTATCTTTTCATTGGAAACATTAGTTTGCATGGAAAATGGCCAAAATCTTTATTAAAAACCTAACACCAGAGACCAGTCCCCAAAAGAATGTAATCAAGACAAAGTATAAAAAAATACTTTAACTTTCCTTGACTACCTGGTACACCAAGGAAATAAAAAGGCTTACTATTTCTGAAATGTCTCCCTCAGCTTCTCTCATTCAAACGTAGACTCTGATCAATTTCACCATCAATGCCATTGCACAGAGACAGCGCTTTGACTAAGTAAACAAGACATCTTTTTCAACTAGTGCAGCCCAATGAATGTGGTTAATAATTAAGTGACTAATATTTTGTAAGGCTGTGTGAGAAGCATTAATTAGGATAATAGTAAAAGATGGTGTACTGTTCTGTGAAAAGCAGGAAACCGATTTTTGAGGAGATAATTCTAGAGAGCAGGATGAGTAACTTCCCTTGACAAGATAACTGGATGGCTGCTGAGAAGAGTTGGATGGTCCTTACACCATAACTCTGCTCTGTCTTCCCCAAGATGCCTCCAAACCATTGCTGAACACAATAATGTGAGAAGCAGAAGAGAAATGGAAGGAATCAGACAAGGCATGCAGCTTCAAAGTTTAAAAAATTCTTATAATCTCATAAAAATTAAAAAGTATTTGAAATAAGTTTAAGAATCTAGTAATTGTAAAGGCTGTTATTTTTCTTGTTACACCATGTGGAGTGATTAACCTTATTGAAACAAATTAATAAGTGTATGACAAAAATACAGTGGATTTCCATGGCCTTCTTATACTCGCTCTGGGCACATACTCATGCCATGACTTATCCCCCAATTTAAACTACGTTCTTCTATTTTACTTTCTTCATTTTCTTTTTCATCCAGGTAAGCATAGTTGCATGCCCCGAAGTTGACAGACTGATGGTACAATTTAACTGTATATCTCCTACTTACATTTTAATTGGAAAAAAATAACTTTTACATCAAAAGACTAAAACCTAAGTGCAGAATTTCAGACAACAGTCAGTTGATAGAAGACATGATTTTTCAGATCTTTCCTGGCACTCCTAAATTCCAGGTCTACAAACTGCCATTGACTTTGCCTGTTGGAGACTTACTGTTTTTGAGATACAAGCTTCTTTGGAGATTAGACCAACTTTGGAGGACATTTACATCAACCTCACCTTGATTTGGGGAAAATCCTTATTCCTTTCCTTTTATTCTCATCTTCTCTGTGTTCAAAACCCAGGGTTTTTAGAAGCAACATTATAGTCCACTCAATTGCTCATTTATTTACAAACATTTTATGAATTCCCACAATTGTTTTTAGGCGATGTGCTGAATGCTGGTAAAGCAAAAATGAACAAAGCACTGTCCCTTTCCCCAGTCACTGGAGAAGACAGTGCAATCATGTGTTATTGGTGTTAAGACAGAAGTCTGTTCAGGGTTACACTTGGGGTCACAAAAAGTGAGTGGTAAATCCTACCTCCAGTAATATCAAGATGTGTTCATATACCTACCATAGCTTAATTTAAAAAATTCTTATATTTGTACAGAAAATAGCATTAGAAAAATTAGTACAACCATATTTGACCAGAAACCACATAATGCCTAACAAGTTCTGATTTTTATTACAAATATTTATTATTGTTGCTCTACTATTACATTTGGCACATCTATGGGTTTTTTTTTATTTCAAAAATGCTTTGCTAATCTGTAACTTATTATGACTTACAGCTTTTTTTGTTGAAAAGATTTTCCTACAGGAAGGTACAAAAAGGCATTCTAGTGAAAACATTTTAAATTACACTATTTACCAAAAAGCCTACCTTTATGTATTACTGCTCTATTGAAATTTTTCTTTTCAAACAAATTCCATTCATTTCTACATAATGCATGTCAATAACAGCTATCATGGAAAAATAACAAGCAAAAACTGTTTTTCTACCTGTCTTCATTTTTTGCCACTCCTCATGTTTCCTTCTATTTCTATTTGTGAAAGTTTGAATCCCTCCTTCTTGATGCCCTTAAATCCATAATTACTTCTTATGACAACTCTTTTGACGCCCACATTATAAATTATTCATTATTTTGAATGACGCCTTAATTTCAAATGCACTCTTGTACTCCTACTTTGTCTTCTGTATTTTTCTCCTATATTATTTTTATACCTTTAAATAATCTTGCTTTGAGACTTCTGGCATCTTTCTGTCTTTTTCTCTGAGAGATGCCCCTAGAATGCTGTTGCTACAGGGAATTTAAAAAATCAAGTGATTCTGGTATTTCCCTCATTCACTCTTACTTCATTCCTGCTTTCTTCCTTTGCTCTTCTGGTTCCTTACATCTAGAGTGCTCTCTTCTGCCCCATCTAGCCTGTCCTTTCGCCACTTCCTTCAAAACCTGATACAATATTAATTTGCTTCAGACAACTCTCCTGGACTAACCTACTCCAATTTACTGTTTCTCTCGACCTCTGGGAATGTCAGTAAAAACTATACATTTCATTCTCATTTACTTGGAAAGTGTTTGTTTTTGTAATTTCATTCAGTTATTTAGTTATATATTTTGTAATATTTTATTATTTATATAATTACTATATACCCTTTCTAATTCCTGATTTTTCCTTATTAGTTTTAAGCATAACCATTATTTTATAATATAAACATGTAATTGGTTGCTTAATATCTGTCTCTCCTGCTAGAATACAAGCTCTTTTGGCTAATTGCTTATTGTTTTATCCCCAGAGCCTAAAAAATATACACAGTAATTACTCAATTAATATTATAGTATCTTTGAACTATCGTTCAGATATTAGTGAAATGAAAGTGCTCACAAATGCTTGCTGATTTTTTAAAGCCCGATTTTGGCTGGAATCCCTCATACTTTTTGTTAACAGGTGGGATGTATTTTGCTGTAAGATGCAGAAAACCTTACCAACACACACTTAAATTGAAAGACACCAGCTGTTTACTTAGCCATAAGTCCAAATGTGGGCAGTTCTAATGTTGGTTTGACTGTCCAATGTTGTCATGCAGGACCTAGGTTCTTCCCATCCTCCTCCCTGGCCATCCGAAGTTGCTGGCTTTCTACAGTATTGCACCATAATGTCATAATGCATCATAGCCCCCAAATGGAGGCCACATTCTCATATTTCAATGTGTAAAGCAGGAAGCAAAGAGAGCGACATCAGAAAACGGGGATATTTCCTCACTCTTGTCAATATCCTAGAAATCCCTCCAGCCCTAGCAGCCTTCTCCCCATTCCAATGACAAGAACTGAGTCACGTGCCTACTTTTGGACTAACCGTGGGCAGAGGGAAAGCAATGCTATTAAAGTCCAATCCTGATTCATCCCAGCTTCTTTGGCAAAAATAAAGGGAAACTGCTGGGTACGCAAGCAACACTGTGCCTGCTCTTCTGCTTTGTTAAATGAACCACACTGAAGCTCTGTTTTCCGCAGAATCCTCTAGCTCTTAAGATTCTTCAGGCTTTTTCTTTTTTCTGCCTACATTTTAATCATTACGTCTTTTCTTTCAGATTTTTTTTCTGATTAAAATGGCCTTTTGAAACATCTACTCTCTCCACCCATACGTTTCTTTTATTGAGTTGTTTCCATACTCTTAATTTCTGCATTCTAATTCCTTTTCTTTTCAAAAGCACTGAGACATATCACATTTTTTAAAGGAAGAACAAAGTTTATTTTGCCCCTTCCTTTCCACTCCACATATATACTGCAGATTCTCAACTGTATTAGGAGCCTCACAGGTCAAGAAACCATCGTCTGCTCTCCTTATACTTGCCAGCAGCGTTTCACAGGTGCTAAATGTACTTGACATGCCCTTCCCCTTTATGTTTAATCAGAGGCATGCAGGCTTTAATAAGAAGCATTAGGAATCAGGGTTTTACAGTCGAAAAGTACCCCTCGCATTACAAACATCCTCTACTAATTTGTTTCTATTAAATTATCTGCATATTTGCTTCTTGCTGGTGTCAGGAAGTCCCAGAATACAGTACCTTTCCCACTTCATACCACCTTTTCCAACACCTTTTACAGAAAGAAAGGATGGACTTGGGTTTCCACGGTAACACAAGTGCGATAATTGAAGGTATCTGGCTATAGGTGAGATAACTCCCTTTCAGATTTAGTGGAGAGAGGAGAAATGAAGATTTTCTTTCTTTTTATTCTCCTGGCAATGCACTTTGGAAACTAAAGGGATCCTGCAGTGTCAGTTACTGCGTTAAGTTTTCACTATCTTACAGATTTACAGCTCTTGGGAATAATTCAAATTTCTTTTATATCATTTTTATTTTTTATTTCCCACAAACAAATGAAGATATAAGTTATTTCTATAATCATCTCAAAATAGAGTTTATGCTGGCATCGGAATGAACATGACTAAGGGGTTAGAAAATAGACATCCATCTCCCACCCAAGTCCTCTAAATTCTCTACACGTCCTGACATCCTTTTTATAGCAGCTAATCTTTCACCCAACATTTCACCTACAACCACAAATCAGGTAAGTACCATCATTTAAGCCAGAATAGGTGAGAAAATATGCTCCGACCTGTCATGTTTCTTTTGCCTCTTGGTGGTTAAAAATCAACCTTTATGGTACTGAGCATGAAATCTGAGGCCTGTCAATATAAGGCCTGTAAATAAATGAACTGTAACCACCCCAAGGGCTGCAGTCTCTATACCCCTTCTTATCAAAAACGTCAGCATTGATGAGAGGTCAGGGGAAATAGCCTGAGAAATGTCACAAAGCTGTCCTACTCTGTATTATGCTAAATGGAGTGACTACGGAGCCCACTCACTATTTTTGTGACAGCTTCAATCCAGAGCTTCTCAACATCTAGGGACCTAGGAGTCATGAAAACAGTTACTTAAGGCAACCTTCTGGACCCCACAATCCCAATACAAATTTCTCAAAAACATTAATCACTGGAACTTCATTCCTTGCAAAGTAAATGGACTTAGAGCTCCTTTGTAATGCAAGGTACTAGATGAGTTGTCATGATCTAGAGAGAAAGCTTCACGCTTCCTGGCTCTATTTAACAACCCTAAGAACTTCTTATCACCAAGATGCACAGTTAGAATCTTAAGACAGTCTGTCTTTCCTTGGAAAAGAAGTATAGCTTCTACTAACCCAAAGTAACCATGAATAAGCATACCAATTTTACACAAAATATGAGACTTCTGGAAAGCTAGGTGAACACCATACTTACCTACATCCTCTTGAAACATCCCTGCCAAAGTAGCTCAGATATGAAGCATCCATGTAAGCTCTTTCAATTTTAATTCACTATTTCATGTTAACTAGCCTAGGATGAAATAGTAGATCCTCTTCGGTTCCAGTTCCCTTAAAACAGTCCTGATTCTTAGTCCTTTTTATTAATATAATACCTTCACTGCTGATTCTGGTGGCTCAGATAGTACCATTCATATTTTAATGATATGTAATCAAGAAATGCTGAGTTATATTTTACTACATACACATTTTTAAATTCAGAGGACATTTGTCCTTGATAATTTTAAATGAAAACTTGGTGTGTGTTCATTACAGCAAGGTAATGCAAATATAAGTTATCCATTCTAATATAACGAAGCTATAGGGAAATAAGAAACTACTAAATTTGAGTAGTCTTTGTAGTAGTTTGACTATCGACAGAAAAGATGGTGAAAGAATACCTGGCTTTTAACTCAGACCAAAATCCCCTCTGCATGATGACCTTGTGGGAAAGAGGAACGGGGAGAGGTATGCCAGGCTCTAACAACAGAACTACAGAAACGTGTTATTCGCAGGAAATGTGCGACAGTAACGAACAGGTGAGACTAGTTTGAGAAGGACATAGTTTAAAGAAAGTAAACTGAATAACCAGTTACTGCAAAAAATAATGCAGGAAAGCTTGGGGATGTATCGTCTCCTAAATTTGACGTTATGGGTGGGAGAGGATGTGTAACTAAGATGCAATGCTAGCGACAGAACGCTAAGTTTTAAAACTCAATAGTGAAAGAAAAAAAATAATGTTTTGGGAGGAACGCCTGGAAGACCCATGCAACTGCTGCACGATGTTTCCTTAAGGACCGGAACATTTCTCACCCTGAAGACAAAAGTCCCTGTGTTCTCGATTCAGCCCACATCCCTCAGCACCATTTCCATGCCCATCATTTAGGCAGAATGCCACGGAGGCGACGTGAAAAGTGGAATTCATCATTCTGGCTTGCAACGCATCTTGTTCTTTTGCCAGAACAGGGCACAGCAACTGGCTCCTCAATCTCTGCCCCTCCCAAACCCCAGCAGCCGGTCCCTGTCTCCATCCCGCCGGCCTCGGTGGCAAGGGGCTCGCGAGCTCTGGTTGGCTTGGCCGAAGCTTCCGTCACTCGCCAGCTCACCTACGATTGGTTGGCAGAGCGTGCGCGAAGAGCCCCGCCTGGCAAGGCACTGGGAGGTGGGCTTGCGGATCCTACGACTAGCGTTTTTCTCGATTGGTTGAAGGAGTAAAGGCACGTGGTATGGGGGCGCTCTCTTATTGGTCGTGAATGGTACCTTGTGGTACAGAGACGTGATGTGGTTGGCTAGAATGAATCCCAGCTTCCCACTAGATGCCCCTAGCTGGCTGTTGCTATGAGGAGTCCAGGGCCTTCCGGCTGCCGTTCGGGATTCCGCTCTCCAGGTTTTCAACTCACCCGTGGCTGACAGGGCGTGGGAAGAGCTCGACTTCAGTTCGGCACCGAAAGGGGCGGGTCTAGAAGAAATGTGGGCGGGTCCAGAGGGTTGGTGGGCGGGACCCCGGCGACGTCAGCGGGCTTGGACCCGACTTCCGTGGTGTGTGGCCGCCTCTGACTCGCCCCTCTGGCGCGCTGCTAGAGGGGGGCGTCACCCTCCCATCAATGTCCTAACGCTCCAAAGCTTCATTTTGTTGCGTTTACACAACTTCAGTCAGAAGCCTGTAGGTGCCCCCCCCTTAAAGCTTCACATGCTAATACAAGATAAAACCAAAGCTCTAGGAGTGCTGACAGACTGGGTGGCATCGGACAAAGGCCCTCGCGGCCCCTCTTGGGCCTTGGGCATCTCTCCTTCACTCCCCGCCTCAGGATAAAGCTTGGAGGTAGCTCTAGCCCCTCTACCATCTCATCCCTTCCGAATTCTTAATGTCTCGGGAGTCTCAGGTTGACGCTGCTCCTGGCTTGGGCGGGAACTGCGCATGCTCGGTACACAGGCCCTGGGGTCTGACTGGGCGCGCTGGGTTCGGCGCTGCTCGGCGGTCGCGGTGCTTGTTTATCTCCGCGCGGGCAGAAGCTTCCGAGCCCCGCAAAGCCTCTCGGGAGCGCTCGCGGCCCGTCGCCTAGGGGGCGGGGGCGGGGCTGCGCCGCGGGCTCCGCCCCGGCCGCCGGACCCCGCCCCTGGCCGCGCTGCGGCTGGGGCTCGGGCGCGCGCTCGAGCGCTGGGGGTAGCGGCGGCGGCGGCGGCGGCGGCGGGCGGGGATCTGGGCGTGGAGGCGCGAGGGGCGGGGCGGGCGGCACTGCGGGCCCGCGGCTCGGGCGGCACCAGCGGCTCCCGGTCTCTCTCTCTGCTCGCCCTCAGTCCCACCCGGTGCCTACGGGGCCGCATCGCCGCCCGGCTCGGCCCGGCCCATGCCCAGGGCCGCTGCTCCCTCAGTTGCCGCCGCCGCCGCCGGCGCCCAGGGGGCCGCCGCGGCTGTGAGGTGGGGGCGGCAGCGGGAGGCGGCGGGGCGGGCCGCCGGGGCCGGGGCTGGGGGCGCAGCGCGGCCGGCGTAGGTCTATGTCGCGGGCGGCGGCGGCGGCGGCGGCCGCGGAGGGACGATGCGCGAGTACAAAGTGGTGGTGCTGGGCTCGGGCGGGGTAGGCAAATCCGCCCTGACCGTGCAGTTCGTGACCGGCACCTTCATCGAGAAATACGACCCCACCATCGAGGACTTCTACCGCAAGGAGATCGAGGTGGATTCGTCGCCGTCGGTGCTGGAGATCCTGGACACGGCGGGCACCGAGCAGTTCGCGTCCATGCGGGACCTGTACATCAAGAACGGCCAGGGCTTCATCCTCGTCTACAGCCTCGTCAACCAGCAGAGCTTCCAGGACATCAAGCCCATGCGGGACCAGATCATCCGCGTGAAGCGGTGAGCGAGGGCACACGGGGGCTTGGCGGCTGCACCCCGGAGTCACCGTCCCGGGGCTGGAACTCCCCGCGCGGGGCTCCGGGGAAGGGGCTTTCTGGGGGGTGGCTCCAAGCTGGAGGCTTTACTATTGTCATTCTGCTCCTCCTCCTCAATCTCAAATTTGAGTGCTTTGTTTCACAACTAAAATTTGGCATCGTGTTAGCCCACAGAACAGCTCTTTGTCTCTTGGACGTTGTTAGCATTGCTTGTTACAGAGCCCCCAAGGAAACAAAGTTTAAAACTTGCAGGGGGGAAAGGGGTGGATAGATTTGTCTTGGGAAGAGAGGAACTGTGCAGGTATAGTCGAGACATTTGCAGACTGAACAACAACAATCTGCCTTGGCAATGTTTGACAGTAAAAATCGCTCACACACCTATACAGTAAAGTCAAGTCCAGAGGAAGGAGACCTTTCTCATCTCGTTAAAGGTTTATGGTTCCAAGGCGTTTTACAAAAATTAAGTCTCTAATTTAGTGCAAAACTTTAAAGACAGATTATTAAATTATTTGAAGACATCATAAGCTAAATGGGGTTTCGAGAATATTAACAGAGGAGTACAAATAAGCCATTCACAGGAAAAGAATGCAGCTTAACTGTTTGTTTTTGTTTTTTTGTTTTTAATATAGCCGCCTTAACCCCTTCCAAAAAAAAAAAAAAAAAAAAAACACCACCACACCACCACCACCAGTTCCTGGAAACAAAACAGAAGCTTCTTCAAAAGTGTGACACAAGTATTAGCTAATTTAAAGTTAATGTTAATAAGCCTTTATATATATATATAAATTCTTTTCTAAAGTATACATTTTGGAAATATGGCTGATAAATGATTTAAAATGTTTGTTTTCTCTTAAATTCACTGAATATATTTTTCCGTGTAATTTTAAGCATTAGAAATGTGATAATATCTTAGTTCAAAGTTTTGGCAAATTTTTCTAATTATCATTTAATTACACATTACTGTTTCATCTAGTTCTTGTTAGTTAATGCCTGCTGATAATTTTGGTGTCCTTTTTTTCCTGCCTTATTCTACCTAGAGCCTAAATCTGAAGACCTTTACTGAAAGATGGTTGTAAGTGCACCGTAGACACAGTCACATTGTAAGTCAGTTTGAGTCCACTCATTTTGAAAGAGCAAGGACCAAGTTATGTGTACCCAGGGGATGATCAAAAATTCATTACGAGTAGTGAGTTTTTAATGCAACCTATGAGATCAAAGAGAAGGCTCTCTCTCTATTGCTCCACCCCCCCTTAACTGAGTATGCACTTTAATCGCTGAACTAAAATCGTGCATGTTATTCATCCTTGTGTTAAATTCCAAACTAGAATAAAGCAGATATTTTCGTGGTCTCTGCTGCTAAGATTTGTAAATTTGATAGCTTTGTACTTCTCCAGTATCATTTTCCTAAAGTTAAATGTTTATAGTTAAGAGATGAACAATTCTGGTGTTAAACTTAGTATGAGGATGGCATTTAAGGGGCTACATTTAAGTTACTTAAATTCTTATTACCCCCTCCCCCAACCACTCAATTAAAAAGAAACAAACCAAACCAACTGCAGGGTAGTCTGATACATTGCCACATGTCAATGTTAGGCCAAATGCATACATCAAAAAATAATCTAAGTAAATGCCCCAACAGCCTCACCCTTCACATTTAGATATATATGCTTAAAGATATGAAGATGCACATATACACTGATAAAGCCACATACCCATGGCTAACTTCTTGACACAAGCCTAGGGAACAAATATGGCAAAATATTATTGGATAATATGGTCCACATAATTTTGTAGTTTCTTGTAATTTAGTGCAGATTACTTTTCTCAGTTATAATAATAGGTTAGTCTAAACTCAGCATATTGGAGCAATTTGTTTATTTTCACTATGACCCAGAGGAAAAACATAGAGTAAAATTCTGCATGCCCAGTATCATTTTACTCACTAGTCTCAGTTCTTGATATAAAAAGATCATTGATCAGCTGAAGTAGAGTTCATAAATTCTCTTCACCAGAATTCAACCGTTGTATACATAAGAACCTCTTGGACCCTCACTTGTGTGTCTTTGTAATATGGTAGTAGTAAGGTATTTTACACCTCATCCTAACCCCAGCGTCTGGCTTCCCATCATTGATGGAGAGGACATGTGAATGCAGGTGGCCTCTTCTTTACCAGTCTTTCAGTATTTGATATCTACTGTCAAATTCAGTATTCAGCTTTAGGTCTAGGTCAGCACTTTTCAATAGAGATATAACGTGAGCCACATATGTAATTTTAACATTCCTAGTAGCTGATTTTTTAAAAATAACATAAATATATGGAATTAATTTTAATGTATTTTATTTAACCCACCATATTTAAAATAGAATCATTTTGACATGTCAGTATTCAAAAATTATTAATAAGGTACTTTACTTCTTTATACTGTGTCTTCAAAGTTTGGTATGTGTTTGACCTACCACATCTCAATTCAAACAAGTCACATTTCAAGTGCTCAGTAGCCGTATGTGGCCACAGGCTGCCATATTGGACAACAGAGGTCTAAGGTGTATATGATTTGGGGAAATGCTTGCTTATTTCTCTAAGCTTCAGTTTCCTTATCTGTGAAATAGAGATTAGCATGCACCTTCCAGAGTCCTTGTTAGAATTAAATGAGATAATGTATTTTAACATTCCCAAAACAATACCAGTACACAGAAATTGCTCAAAAAATTCTAGCTGTCATTCTTACTTTAATAACTTTGTCATTTATCTTCCTTAAATGTTACCCTTGATATAAATGTAATTTTAGAAGAAATAAATTTGTAATTGCATTTTGGAATTCATTACTTAGTATATTCAAGATGAGACTAAAAAGCAATGAGGTTAAAATAATCCTTGGAAGAATTGTGTTGGTATTCTCTTGAAATTATTTCCCCTTATGAAGGATCTGATGGAAAAGGGCATGAGAATGAACATTTAACTTCAAGTACAGTATAGCAATAATGCATAGCACTAATGCATAGCCAAACAACGAATGGAGCTTTTCATTTTTCATTTTCATTTCAAATAATAGCAGTCATTTTCAAGGATTGCTATTACTTGAAATGTTTCACTTTTAAGAAATGTGAAACTGACCCATACTCCCTTAAGTGTCTGTAAGTGTACATACCTCCGTATACATACATGACCTCTTGTCAAAGCCAAGTGGACCAACTGAAAATGGCTATATTTGTAAATTCATATGCTTTCTTTTCTTAACTTGATTTTGGGTGAGATGACACACACAAAGAAGAGTAACAGGGATATAGGAAATGTTTTTCAGTTGAAATAAAACTAGAATTTTTTTCTGATTTTGTAATTGCTTTTTTCATTGTTACCCATGCCAGGATCAGCCATGGTCCTGACATGAAGTTCTTGGAACATGATATACAAGGCCTCTTTGCTGTTAGGAAAAAGTCCAGAAATCTTCAACATGACCTTTCACAGTCCAGCTTGCTCTTATCCCTCCCTGCCTGTGCAGCCTCACCTCTTGCACCCATCCTTTTATTCTAGCACCCAGACCTTAAGTCCTTGAAAGTACCTTTCTCTGGGCTCTCCTTTGGCCTGTGGAAATCTACCTTTTTGCAGAGTTAATTCCTACTCCGTCTTTCACCCTCACCCCTGCTTAACCCATTTATACCGGAGGTTGCAAATGTTTTTTGTGAAATATCAGACCTTAGCAATGACCTTGAACAGTAGGATATAAATAACTCCCACAAGCTTAGTGTTCCAATAATGGAACACTAGGCATAGATGAGTTAAAAGATTTTTCCCCACTGAGGGAAGATGTCCTCTCAAACCAAAGTAACCCCTTTCCTGTCTTCCCTTACTAAACTTTATGCCTCACCTCTTTGCTCAATCACACATACCCTGTCCTTTCCCTTTTCTTTGAAGCACTCATCCAAATTTAATTATTTGTGTGATAATTTATGGGTAGCCAGCCTTTCTCACAAAACTCCAAGCCCACGTAGGTGACACAGCTCCTACTAGCACATAGGAAACAAGAAAAAATGTTGAAAAAATGAATGTTCAGAAAGAAAAGTATTTGTATTGTTGTTTGGCCTCAGTTTCCCTAAACATTTTGATTTCATAGATGGAGGAGATGATCTTTTAAAGTTCATTTTGCAGATGGAGATGATCTTCCTTCAGCTCGAACTTTCTGTGAGAACACTTCCAGTTGGGGCAGTGTTTAATACGAACCTCAAAGAATCAGAAACATGATGTATTCCAGATGGAGGAAATGGCACAGGAAATGCATAGAATATGTTTTTTGGATGTTAAATAGAGCAGACTGGCCAAATGGGGAATGTATATAGAAGTGTGAGGGGAGGTAAGGTGAAAATTTTTAAAGCTAAATTACTGAAGGTTAAAGACTTAGGAGTTGATCATGTAGTCAAGGACCATAATCACAATTGTCATAGGTATAGCAATATGTAGTGATATGGTAGATGTCTTAGTGGTAATAGACTACTCTGTTTCATAACAGGAAGAATAGTCATAAATGTTGTGATAATCCAGTTTTTACGTGAAGTGTGAAAATCCTGAATTAGCATGGTGTCTGTAGTAACAGGAGAGAAAGGATGCAAGGAATGTTGTAAAGAATGAAGTAATCAAACTCAGTGGTAGAGGAAGAGGAAAAGGTCAGAAGTAACCTTGACATTTTGAAATGAACAAATAGGATTATGGAGGAATAGCTGGGGGAGATTATTTTCAGTTTTGGAGATGGTAATTATCCAGATAGCCAGCCTAATAAGTAATTAGAACATTTGAATAAAGCCTGAAAGGTCAGGTTATGTATGAATATGAAGACTCAGGATCATCTGCGTAGTTCAGATTGGGAGAGTAGATGAAACCTACTGGGTAGAGTATAGAGACAGAAATGAATGGATATGGCTAACAATAGAAATGAGGAATGAATGAATATAGCCAAGGATAGAACTCGAGAGTTGTAAGATACACAGTGGAGACTTCCTATATTGCAGTAGGCGAGAAGGCGTGGGGTGTTTTAAGATTGGGAAAAAGATAGTTGACTAGCACTACCCAAGGTGAGTAAGTTGTTTTTTTTTAAGATTATTATTAATTTTCTATATCACTTAAGTGGTCACTTTCAAGTGAGCTGGCTGATTGTTTACACTTTCCCCCTTACCATAAGTAGCTATTAAAGCCTACTCTAAAACAGAAGCATATTACCAATTGTTACACATAGATCTTTGGCCCATGACAGTTTGGTGCTGGAGAGCCGAAACGAGAGTATACATCAAAAGATGTCTGTCCCAAGTAAGTGAAACTTCTGGAGCTCTGCTACCGTTTTTCCCTCTAAAAATACCTGCTTCCCCAGTACCAAAACTTAATTCAAAGCTGGACCTCCCAGGTACAGAGCCTAATAGCTGTGGGTCACTTTTTTTTTGTTTTGTTTTGGTACTGGTGAATTAGTAGGAAAAATTTTTAATAATAAATATATATAACATGAAGAATTGATGACTAAATCCTGAAAGTCAGACATAAATCCAAACAAAGAATTTGGGTATGAAGATAAGGACTGATGGTGAAACCTCTATCCACTTAAATACAAAACTAAGATAAAAGAATTGTGAGAATTATGGCTGCCAAACAGAATATTAAAGTTAAAAAGACTGACAATATGAAACAAACAATATAACTAGTAAGTCAGGATGAGAGGAGGGAAATAGTTATGAGTGCTCACTTCATCTTTCATGAGAGGGATTTAAATGGTCAAAAAATTGAAATTTGTTTTGAAAATGACTCGAAGAGCTCAGTGTTTTTCATGATCTTTTTTTCTTTAAAAACCACTTTATTGAGGTATGATTGATGTACAAAAAGCCAGACATATTTAATGTGTACAACTCAGTGAGTTTAGAGATAAGCATACACTTGTGAAATCACCACAATCAATGCTGTAAAACTATCCATCACCTCCAAAAGTTTCCCCCTGCTTTATTTATCTATCCATTCATTCATTCATTCATTCATTTTTTTTGTAGTAAGAACACAACATAAGTTCTGTCTTCTTAGCAAATGTTTATACAATACAGTATTGTTAACTAGAAGTACTATTACCATACAGATGTCTGGGACTTACTTATCTTGCATAACTGAACTTCATACAGTGAATCACTTTATGTGGCCCAGAAGTTTTTCCTGAAAAGGAAACTTTTGTTTTGGCTGCATTGTAAAATTACAGGTTACAGTATATAGTTTTCTTTTTGCCACTCCAGGATTGTAATTTTTAAAGCTCAATTTGGAGTTGGAGGAGATGATGTCTCTTCCTCTCTAACATTCTGTGAGAGCACTTTTGTCTGGCCGGGGTGATGAGGGAAGGGGTCAAGTTTAATATGAACCTTAAAGAATCAGCAGCCTGTGACCCACAATTTTGTCTAGTTAAGATTTGATAATTGTATCAATAAAATCTACAATAAGGAATAATTATACTAATACTTATTTTTTAATGGAGGGCAAAAATAATTTAAATTATTAAACATTAAGGAAGAGGTAGAGGAACTAAGAAAAATCACTGGATTTCACAGCCAACAGGAAGAGCCAACAAAGTTGGAATCTATTTGCTAAAGTTTCAGTAGCAATATACTTGAGTGATTTAATTTCTGTGTGTGAAGTTCTGGGAAATTACATATGGCACAATAAGGTGCATATATTATGCATGTATATGTACATATTTTTAAGCAAGGATCTTTACATAAAACCAAGTACACTGTACTTAAGGGAATTTTTTTTCAGGGGTATTTTTTTCTTTTCAGTTCTCTTTTAGTCATTGTCTTTAGAACCTTACTGCCTAGGGGAGCATGTATGCCTTACTCTGGGGTTTTCTTTGCTTCTGTTTTGATTTTTCCCTGTTTTCTGTTTCTCTCCATCTATTCTTACCTACTGTTTTTTTACACACTTATATTTTTCAGGCCTATGTTGTAAAAAGAGTTTTAAGTACTCTAAGTTTTTTTGGAGTAATAAGAGTTTGAATACGAGCAGACTTTCAAACAAGGTAAAACTGATGGTGACTGAATAGTTACTAAAGGAAATGTATAGATATTGTGTTTATGTAGGAAATTTATCTTGAAATTTTAATGGTGTGCAGAAATATGCCATATATTATATATTGCCATTTCATTTGTTACTTTGACACTTGTGGTTCATATCATTAAAAATTATTCTCAGCCTGACAGAGAGAAGTTTAATTTCTTAAACATCCTTTCTGCTTTACCAGATCAAACTCAGCCTTTTAGTAGAGTAATATCAATAATAGTAATGCTGTAATTGTGGACATCTGCATTTCAGTCAAGTATGTTAAATAAAGCATAAATATATTAGTAAAATTTAAAGTAATCAAAATAACTAAAAACAATATTTGAAGATTCTAATACATAATCTAGCTAAGATTTTGTCATGGTATGTATTAAATTCTTTCTCTGGCATAATTGTATAGATGGGGATTTGTTTTTGTTTTTTATTTCTCTAATACATTTAAGATTTTAAAACATACCAAAATTTATATTTAGGGAGAAATAAGGTGACTTATAATTTTTATTTTTAAATTGTTATCTGTCAAAAAGCCAAATATTGGAAAAAATTAATAACTATCTCTATTTTTATAGATCCACTCAGCAGGGGATTTCACATTTTCTTAACCAGGGCCCTCAGTAAGAAGTACATTTTATATTGTGACTTAGTGCACACATAGGAATAAATACATCTAGCCGAAATCAACATTTCATAAGACAGTAAACTTGCTATGTTGCTTGTATTACTTTTTCTATTTATTTTTTTCTATTTTATTTCGTTGTTTTTAAGTGCTTTTCATGACCCACCAAATTGATTTTATCACACATAGCTTGGAAACTGCTATCCTAGGACATTTTTACTCTAAGAAAACTAAATGTAACTATCTGTTTAATATTTCATCTTCTCTCTCCTGCTTTTCTGGTTCCCAGCAATGCTGTGTAAGATTACGAAAATGAAGTACTTCCCAATGTGAGTTAGTAAATACTACCTGTAATTCAGAGAAAGATAGCATTTAGTCACTGAACAAAAAGATATAGCATATCTTTTGAGAAAGCATTTATCTCTGTTGTGCATATTAGAAATATGAGAATGTATTTCTCATGTAATGTTGTTCATTCTAGTAATTCAAGATAACTTTTGCCTTGTGAAAACTTAGAACAGAGAAAGGGAGGTTGTGGTAGTATTCAGACTTGAATACATGAGTGCGGGATTATCTATTTCAAGAACAGTTGCTGAGGAGGTTCAGAAAACTCAAAATAGAGGTCTGCTGCATCTATCCAGGATAACACTGATTCACCTCTCCCTGTAAGACAGTAAAACTATAAATATCTTAAAATCACTTAGTAAAGTTACCCAAGAGAAACATTGAAAAACCTTTATTTAAAACATTTAGGAGTGTTCTCATGCTTTCCTGACCCTTAGAAATTAATAATTCAAATGTGGAAATACTATATTAATAATTCAATGCATATTAGTATTTTCTCTACTAAGTATCTTTACAGCTCTCTCTCTGTAAATGAAATCTTAGAGTATTTTAAGAGACAGGGTCTTGTTCTGTTGCCCAGGCTGGAGTGCAGCGGCGCCATCAGAGCTTACTGCAGCCTCTAACTCCTGGGCTCAAGCAACCCTTCTGCCTCAGCCATCTGAATAGCTAGGACTACAGAGCAGGCACCACCGCATCCAAGTAATTCTTTAAAAATTTTTTCTAGAGATGGGATCTTGTTATTTTGCCCAGGCTGGTCTCAAACTCCTGGCCTCAAGTGTTCCGACTACCTCAACTGCCCAAAGCACTGGGATTACAGGCCTGAGCCACTGCCCCTGGTCCTAAATTAATTCATCTTTAGGTTTCCAATGAACATTATGAATACTGTATGTATTATAATTCTCGAATGGAGTATTTTATTGTATATACTTATCTTCTCATCCATGAAGACAGCGAATGTTAATCTCATTAAAGCTGAGATCCAGCACTTATTAGTTATGTAATTAGGAGCAAGTTGACATTCCTTGCATTTTAATTTCCTCATTTGTAATATGAGTATGATGTAGTAACTCGTGAGATAACGAACGTAAAGTGTTTCTTTACATAGTGAACCTAAAATATTAATAATAAAGTTTCACCAAGAATCACAGAAATAGGAATGAAACCCAGCCTTTTATCTGTATACTGCCACGTGACTTCTTAGGAATTAGGCTCAATTGTCTTACTATATTGAGATGAATTATATACCTAGTATAGTATAACATTTCTGTTTTTCCCATTGCTTTCTCCTCTGTGTTTTAAGTGCTCTAACACTACGTTATAGAACTTATAGCATAGACCTTGAGTGCTTTGTGTTTTTGCCTTCCCCTAGAGACCTAAATATATTGGCTATAAATGGTGGCGGTAAATTTTTTGACTCATGAGGAATTGTGATGATTTTTAGTACACATATTTTAAATATTAATATGTGACATAAAAAGCAATCAGCATATTAGTATTTGTTAACACTTCTCTTTTTAAAAAAGTTAATAATGACAGTAGACCTCTTTATGAATACCAAATATGCATGGGGTGAAGATAATTTTAACAGTCTTTATGGCTAGTTATATATAGTAACATGCTGGCATAGCTTTTTAATAATCAAATTGAGAAAAGTTTTGTCTTTGTATAAAAGTCATCACTATCAACTAATATCATTTAAGCCACCTCATTTGCATAGCATTGCCTTGGGCATTATACAGAATAAGAACAAGATACTATCTTTGTCCTTCTGGTGTGCCAAAATGTCCTATAAATGGGTATATATTTTGCAGTATTGAGTTATACAGAAATATATTTTTAAAGACACTTTCATTTCTAAGTTTCAAAATATTTTTGCACCAAAAACATTGCTCTTATTAGGCCACCTTTTCTAAGGAAGTTTTTATTCATTTTATGGAAATTCAGAATTTTGTCTACAAGACTAATGACAACAATTGTATATTTATATATAATCGCCTTTTTGTATATGTCTTAGTCTCTTCAGGCTGCTATAACAAAATTCCTTCGACTGTGTAATTTATAAACAATAGAAATGTATTGCTGACAGTTCTAGATGCCAGGAAATCCAAAGTCAAGACACCAGCAAAATTCGTGTCACAAATGGTGCCTCTTGCTGCATCTTCATATGGTGTAAAGGGCAAAATGGCTCCCACAAACCTCCTTTATAAGGGCACTAATCCCATTCATGAGGGTGGAGCCATCATGACCGAATCACTTCCTAAAGTCCCCACCTCTTCATTCTATCACATTGGGGATTAAATTTCAACATATGAATTTTAGGGAGACAAGCATTCAGACCACAGCAGTATATTTAGTACATTTTTATCCTCCCTATCTAAAATATAATTTCTCCTTCCCTCAATGATCCACTTACACTCCACTGCTTTCTTTTTCTACTTCGTGAACCAACAGTCCCAACAAACTTTGACAATCAGTAATGTTGACTGGTAAAGTGAAGCACTGAAATCCTATTGTTAAGTAGCCACATACATACATACATGCATACATACATAGATACATGAAAGCTAACCAGAAAATGAACTAAACTTAATTATTTTTAGTTTATTTTTTATGAGCAAGTGATGAGAAAATAATTTCTAATGGTTAATCCAGTTTATGCATAATACCAATGATATAAAACTTTTTTACAATGGTCTAGCATTAAGGAACTATAATGTTTGCATAAACCCTATGTCTGTTCTTGCTGGATGGTCAACTAGTTTTGGAGTGCTGTTACCTTTATTGAAGAAGGATGTAAACAGAGCATTATCTCAATAGGTGCAGCTGCTGTGTGGAGCTCTGTGCAGGGAGAGTCCCCCAGCTGTGTGTGAGCTCAGTCATGGGAATACTGTGATCCACCAGCAGCATTTGTCCTGAGAGAGGCAGCCAGGATGTTGTATGTTTACCATCCCTGCTGAACAAATCAGTATCTTAATTATGGTAGGATGCCTCCCAGAGGTATATACATTTTAAAAGGCTACTCTTGATGACAGAAAATGTTTATTCCTAAGGCCACCCTGAGCACATCATCTGGTTTTATTGAAGGAAATACTTGTACATTTATGGAGGGAAGGAAATTTATTTTATTGCTTGCATCAGCATATCCTACTAAGTAATGAGTCCTGAAGCTTTTCTTTATAGGCCACAGTGAGTGGCTTCTTAACAATCACATATCTATTTTCCTTTGAATAAGTACCATTGCTTCAATCTATTCCCTTTTCTCCAAAGGTGACTGTATGTCTCTTTTATCTGGGACAGTTCAGGTCTATGCTTGTTGTTCTCTACATTTATTTACAGTACCCCTTTCCATCTTGAAAGTATCTCAGTGTGGGCAATAAATTTTATGGTCACTATAGACTGTTACCTCAAACTCTCTCTTTTTTTTTAAATCATGACAATTCAAATCCCATTTGTGCATATATTTTTGAGATACCTTGTTTAAATAAACAGTATCTTTCTTTGACCTGGCCAGCTTCCTTTTTTAAAGCTTTTGTTAATTTGGGTAAACAAATCCTCATGAACTGGAAATGTTGCTCAGTTTTGAAAGATGACATCTTTTTTACTAAATGCTCTTGATTAAAGATGGCTGCAGATTCTTTGACACAACTTCCATTGAGAAGTAGGATCTGTTTCCTCTCCCTTTGAGTCTGTGCTGCCTGTTAAGACTGTGTTGATCCATAGAGTATGCTGGAAGTGATAACCAAGCCAGTTTGGGGCCTAATCTCTGAGAAGACTAACAGCTTCCGCCTTACTTTCTTGAAGCCCTGAGCTACCACATAGGAAGTCCAGCTATGCTGCTGGAAAATTCACGGAGAGGCCCGGAGGCTAGATAGAGAGGAGGAGGGAGCTCCCTTCCAGCCATTCCTACCAACGTGCCAGGCCTCAAGTGAGGCCATCTTTGACTCGCCAGCCCAGCCTTGCTCACTATAACTAAAGACCTCTGAGTGGCCCCAGTCAATATGATGTAGAACAGAAGAACTGCCCAACTGAGTTCTGCCCAAATTGTTGACCCACAGCATCATGCAATATAGTAAAATGGCTATTTTAAGCCCCTAAGTTTTGGGATAGTTTTATGCAGCAGTAGTTATCTGGAACAATAACACATTTTTAGATAAACATGTTATTTTAGAAATTATTTTGGTAAGAGTACTATTGATCCTTTTGGTTTCTTTGTGAAGATCTTTAAAAAAAATTTATTGAAGATGATTGAATAAATTTTAACTCTTAAAATAACAGCAAATTTATGGAGCACCTACCAACTGCCCTTGCAATTGATCTACCCGATGTCATTTGACCACTCTCACCCATGCATGATTAACTGTACTTTGAAGATCACATTTAATCGTATTAAGAATGTAGTGTATTATGGCTTAATTTCAGCAGAAAATTCAAATGTATGTATGTGCCCTTTGCAACTGTTTATACTCATAGTCTGAACTGCCGTCTCCCCCTTCACTCTACCCACAGGGTGTACTGTTTATAAAAGTAATTGATGTAAACCATCTAATTTCTGTTGATGAAGAAAGAGTCTATTATTTGGTGGTGCTCTGCCTCAATTTTGATATCTAGCACCTGACACATAGAAAATATCTAGTAAATATTTGTTGAATTTATAAGTAAAGATCCCTGCATTCTGTATTTTGACAGTTTCCCTCCAGATCCCAGATCTCTGGAGACCCCTTATGCATCAAATCAATTTAAGCATTTCAGTGTCTAACACAAGGCATGATAAAGAAAAATAATAAAGCATTTTAGATAGTGTACATCCAAAAATGCGTTTTTAGCCTGGTGGCCATGGACATGTTTGCATTGATTTTGTGACATTTTTGTTACTCCAGACACCATGGACTACTTAAGGAAAGTGTCAGATTTGAAGACCATCACTTCATTATCTCATTCTACTTTGTGTGTCTATAAGTGTCAAGAACTGATTCCAGCACTGGGGATACAGCTGCATATAAAACATTCATTGCCCTTGCCTTCCTCAGGTCCCAGATGTAACTTTAAAGGTAGCACACCTGGCTTCAGGCAGAAACAAGACTTTAGCTCAAAACTCCTTATACTACTCAGAGTTCTTGGGTTTTTTTTTTTTTTCTTTTTTCTTTTTTTATTAACCCACCTTGTCTTAGCTAGGCCTTCAGAGCCATGGTTCACAGCTAGTGACTTGACTTAGTATTTACTGCAGGAAGATGAACAGAATAAGGAAAGCTACTTCTGTTTGGAAAAGATGGTATTAGATATTAGAGGGAAAGGTATCTATCCTGTTTTTCTCAAATCTTTTCCACAAGAATAATGGTTTTCAGACTAGATGGTTAGTTTTGGCCATCCTTGGCCAGAGGAATGGAAGCCAGAGATAGGAGATAAAACATAAATAACAGTTTTGGTACATTTTTACAGCTATATCACCATTAAGATTCTAGAACTGCCTTACTAACAGACGATTTGAGAGAACTTAGAGAAGGATAATTCTCATTTCTGTAGTATTTTACAATATCCACAGTACTTATTAATTCACGTATGGCTGTAGGGCGGGAGGCTGTAAAACAGGCTGATTGCCCAAGTGTGGTGTGTAACACCACACTAAGCTGTTAGTAAAGTCATCATCATCATCTTCCTTAACATTACACCTAAGTATCAATTAATGTTTGTTTCACAAATAAGGAACCTGAGGCTCAGAAAGCTCATGACGTATCCAAGGAGGCAGAGCTGGGACTTATTTCTAGGTCCTCTAACTCTAGATCCAGCTCTCTCTTGTGGTACACTTCATCTTAATTTTCCCCAGTGACCAAATTGTGGTTGGCCTGGACTGTTAATCTAGAAATAATTTACCCAGAAAAAAACTCAGGTTCGCTCACTTGATGAGTAACAAAGAACTCCCCATGAGAATGTGGGTTTTGATCAATAGGAGTTTTATTACTTGGTGCTAGGAAGTAGGACACTGTAAGGATTCTTCAAGGCACTGCCTCCCTAAGGAAAAGCAACAGGAGGGCTTTATGGGGCAATGGAGAGGAGAGAAGGGTGCAGCCTTGAATATGGAGGAGGGATCCCAGGTGCACAGATGCAGTGAGCCATCATGCCAGCACATAGGTCGCATGTTATGGTAATGAAGCTGTTGCCTCTCCCACAGTGGAGACTTTAGCATAGTAAGTTGCAGGGGTCTGTCAGGAGCTAGTTTAAGCCAACAAAGTGACCGCATTCCACACAGGCTGTAGGGCAGGAGGTTGTAAAACAGGCTGATTGCCCAAGTTGATGAAATTCCTATAAACCCTGGAAACCTCCTTGTCTGCTTACAGATAGGCTTTTAGCTAGTCGCTGTAGATCTGCTACATATTTTTATGGGATAGTTGGTTGGGGGAATCACTGAAAAAGCAATGTTTTAAGGTAATTATTACGGAAGTAGCATAGGATAGAGTAGAAGAGTGAGAAATTGGAGGCAAGACCAGTTAGGAGACTGTTGCAGTGTCTTAGGTATGAGTTACTTTGGAAATGAAAGCGTTTTTGTAGTGGGAGTGAAAATGATGGGACAGATTTCCTCACATCCAGTAATTCCTGTTCTGTCCATCCCTGTAATCACTACTGGACTAGACCTGTTGTTGCGGCCTCTCATTACACCTGATCATGCTTAGAGACTATTGGACACTCTGTTGCTTACCATCCACTCTCCCTTGCCCCACAGTGAATTCTTAAAACTATCTTTCTGACTTCTTTCATTTCAGTGTTGGCTTGAACCCTGTCAAAATGTAACTCTTCATTCTCCATTGGCTGCTGTTGAGGGCCATAACCTCTGCCAACAATGATAGTTTTCAGCTCCTTTCTTCATTGTGCATTTGTTTTATTTTTTTTTTCCATGTCATCTGTTACTTCTCCTGGTTCAAGTGAAAAGACCTTTTTAATAGGCATCGCCAATAAATCTCATGCCAGTTGAACCAACCAGTTACAACAAGCCATGAATAATGAAGGTACTCCTCTTCCTCTTCTGAGTTGTTTATTGCTGGGCAGAAGAAATGCTAATTCTGTTGGCCTCATAACCTGAGTTTTCTAGAAAGCTGTATTATAGAGATTCAGTGTTTGGGGTTTTTTTTTTTTAAGTTTTATTTAGTGTTATGTGTACTGAGTGATTTAGAAATGATAAATATTCTAAGATCTTACTACAACAATAGAAAAATCTTGCAGGATAAATACTCTTCTGTTCATAATTTAAAAGTTCCTAAAAATCTTAGCTCTTCATAGCTTTCAAGCTTCTTTATTTAAATCTTCTTCATTCAGAGGTAGCTTTAAAAAAGTAGTGTAATTGAACTTTGTGTACTGAATTTTCATTCAAAACATTTTGCCAAAGATGCTGAAAATGAAGAGGTGTTGAAAAGATATATACTATAATTTAATCCAGATGTAAATTTAGGTAGCAGTTTCAAATAACTTGCCTATTCCTGAGTAACTGACTCAATTTAATCTTTTCAAGTACAATAGTCAGGCCTGTTTTTTAATGCACAGGTTTCAGATTTCAGTTCTCAAAAAGATAAAATGGATGTTGTATGTCCGAATACCTCTTCCCCTTCGAGAGATGAAAGCTGTGTGTTCTCCATATATGTGCCCGAGCTTCAGTTTTCCTTACTATTTAAATTATGTAAAAAAGCATGCTTTGTTGACAGATTTTTAAATGACATATTTTTTATTAAAATGTACACTCTAGCTACACATTCAAGTATCAAATACAGATCAATGACCACTTTCGTCCACCTTATTTTGAATGACTTAGATATTACGCTTAAAAAAAAAAAAGAATCAATTAGTTTATTCAGATAGGTTTTTTACATTTGGTTTCTAAATGATAAGGTTTGGGGCTTCTATTTGCAAACACTTCCTCACAGATAACACATTACTGGCACTTTACAGTGGAAAATCTCCATTTCTAATTAAAAAAACAGATTAAATGTAGTTTTATTATATTCCTTTTTCTTAACATGGATTTTTGAGGTACTGTGACATCTTGATATGCCTGAAGAGCACTGTGGTCAATTGGATGCAATATATAGATCTAATAGTGAAGGAAATGTTTAGAACTATTGTTTTTATTTCCAATAACATGTTGTACTTCAGTGTTAATATTCATTATGCTTTCAGTCTTTAGCCAGTTTTGGATATAAATTAAACAGTACTGCATTGTACAGAAGTTTAAAATTGGTTAGTGATATTCTGCTGAGTAAGAAACTGACTGTGATCAGCTTAATCATGTGCCTTCCGTGATGTAAACACACAGCCAACAGGCATGTGCATGCAATTTGTCTTGAAGGTTATATTACTTTTCCTGTTTTAATGAAGAAATTGTTTATAATCTTACTGATTTTTTTTGTTTTTTTTTATTGAGGTAGAAATTTTATGCAGTAAAGTGCACAAATTGTAGGTTTACAGCTGGGATGTGTACACCTGTAACCAAATCCCAAATGAAGATGGACAGACATTTCAGGCAACAAAGCAGGCTGCCTCATGTTCCATTTCAGCCACTTCCATACTCAGAGACCACCATAAATGAGTCATGCCTAGTAATGAACTTCTGGCTTCCATCATTCAGCATCCTCTATGGGATTCATCCGTGTTGTTGCATGGACCAGTAGTTAATTCTTTTTAATGGAGGTGCAGGATGCCCCTTGCATGAATATACCAGGATTTCATTAATTGTTCTGTCGATGGGGCATCTGGATAGTTTCTAGGTAGGGGTTATGAATGATGCTACTAAGAACATTCTAGTACATATCTTTTGGTGAATGAATATGTGTATACTTTCTTTTGGTGTAGCATTATTGGATCATAAGTACATGTGTTCAGTACTAATGTATACTGCCAAGTGATTTTTCAAAGTAGTTGTAAACAGCAAGAGTAACAATTATTCCACATCCTAACCAACATTTGATCAAGTCAGTCTTTTTAATTTTAATCAATCCGATAGGATTCTAGGAACCTCAGTGTGATTTTTATCTTTGTTTTCTTGGTGTATAATGATGTGGAGTACCTTTTCATATGCTTTATGACCATTTGGGTATTTTCTTTGGAGAAATACCCATTCAGGTCTTTTGTCCATTTTAAAAATTGGATTATCTTTTTTTATAATTTGTAGAAATTCTTTATACATTCTGGACACAAGTTCTTTATTAGATGTATGTATTGCACATACCTTTCCCCAATCTTTGGCTTACCTTTTCACTCACTTAATAGTTTCCTTGAGTGAGCATAAATTCTTAATTTTATTGAAGTCAAATTTTAAATTCTTTTTATGGTTAGTTCCTTTTTGTGTCCTGTTTAATATATCTTTTTCTACCTCAAGGTTCTGAGGATCCATTCTGCATATTTACTTCTAGAAGTATTATAACCTAACTTTAGTTTCTATGATCCATCTCTAATTTGTACGGGTGGTGTGAGATAGGGGGTCAGGGGATTTGTTTGTTTTGTTTTGCATATGGCTATTCAGTTGACCCAACATCATTTATATAAAGGACCATCTCCCCAGTAAATTGTAGCCGTACCTTTGTCATAAATCAGGCAAATCTATCTGTGTGAGTCTGTTTCTAGGCTATTTTCTCTTTTGCATTTCTCCCTTCTTATGCCTAAACCACAATCTTAATTTTTGTAACTTTATAGTAAGTATTGATATCTGGTGTCTAATCCTCCAGCTTTGTTTTTCAGATTTGCTTTGGCTCTTCTAGGTATTTTGCATTTCTGTAGAATCCTTTGCATTTTCAAGAATCAGTCACACACACACACACGCACACACACACACACACACAACCAACGGAACCTTCTGGCATTTTGATTGGGATTGCATAGAATCCATAAGTCAATTAGTAGAGAAATTATGTGTTAATAATATTGCATCTTCCAGTAAGTAAATGTTATATATCTTTCATTTTATTTAGATATTTTTACATTTCTGTAAGCATTGGTTTGTAATTCTTGTTGTGAAGGTCTTTTACATCTTTAACTAGATTATTTTCAGTATTTGCTGTTCTTTGGTGCTACTGTAAATGGTTCATTTTAAATGGATTTTCTAATTGTTTTCTAATTCTAATATGTTTGAATTCTAAGTGTAGATTAACCTGGTATCCACAACCCTTACTTTTTAAAACACTTTATAAGTTATGTTTATAGTTTTTGTTTGTGTCTTTTTTTTCTTTGCCTTTTTGCACTGTCTGGGAACTTAATTGTACATAACATTTCCTTTTTTATACTTAAATATTCTTTTAATCATTTTGATTATAAAGCATAAATTACATATGTAATTACCTTTTTAAATTAAGTGTTTATAATTACATGCAGTTTTATGAAATAATCAATTCCATGTACTCTTTACCCAGTTTTTCCCAGTGAGGTAACATCTTGCAAAACTGTAGTACAATATCACAAACAGAATATTGGCCTTGATACAGAACATTTCTATCACCACAGGATCTCTCGGGTTGCCCTTATAGTCACACTTACTCCCCTCCTTCCTTCCATTCCCCTTCCCCATCCTTAGTCCCTGCCAACCATTGGTCTGTTCTCCTTTTCTATAATTTTGCCATTTCAAGAAAGTTATGTAAGTGAAGTCATACAGAATGTAACCTGTTCGGATTGGCCCTTTTTACTCAGCTAAATTCCCTGGAGATTCATCCAAGGTGTTGTGTGTATCCATAGGTCATTCCTTATTATTGCTGAGTAGTGTATCTGATATAGATTTACTGCCGTTTGTTTACCCATTCACTTGAAGAAGGACATCTTGGTTGTTTCTGATTTTTACCTGTAAACATTTGTGTACAGGTTTTTATGTGATCATAAGTCTTTATTTTTCTGGGTTAAATGCCCAAGGGTGCAATTTTTCACTCGTGATGATTATCATGGTTAATTTTATGCTGCCATACTCTTCTCTAAAGTAGTTGTCTAATTTTACATTCCATCAGCAATGTATCTAGTTTGCGTCCTCGCCAGCATTTTAGTGTTGTCACTATTTTTTATTTTAGCCATTATGATAAATGGCAAATGATGTTGCACATCTTTTCAAGTTCTTATTTGCCATCTACATCCTCTTCAGTGAAATGTCTATTCATGGCTTTTGCCCATTTTCTAATTGGATAGTTTGTTTTTACTATTGAGTTTTGAGAGATCTTTCTATGTTCTAGATATTAGTCTTGTCGGATCGATGTTTTGAAAAGTTTCTCCAAGTCTGTAGTTTGTCCTTTTATCCTCTCAGGTCTTTCACAGAGCAAAAATTTTAATTTTGATGAAATCTAATTTGGTTAGTGTTTATATGATATATCTTTTTCTATCCTTTTATCTTTAACTTATCTATTATATTTAAAGTGGATTTCTTCTTGATAGCATGGATGTAGGTCTTTTTAAAAAAATTAAGTCTGAAAATCTTTTTATTCATGTGTTTAAACCTGCGTTTAATGTAATTGCTAATATGCTTCAATTAGGCCCACCATTTTACTGCTTGTTTTCAATTTTTTCACCTGCTTATTTTTTTCTTCTCCCTCTTCTGCCTTCTTTCTGGTTATGTCTAATTTTTTATATTTTATCTGTTGTCTTTTATGTTTTTTAAATGGTTGTTGTAGGTATTACATTATAAATACCTAACCGTTCACAGTCTACTTAGAGTTTGTATTGTACCACTTAGAGTAAAATGTAAAGAGCTTACAACCATGTAGGTCTCTGCTTTCCAGAGTTTTTGTATGCGTTACATCCACCTATATCAAAATCCTCAAAAAGGACTATAATTTTTTGTACGTTTATACATATTGTAAAGAACTTGAGGAAAAAATAATCTTATATTTACATAGTATTTACTATTTTTCTTTCCTCATTTTTAAAATTGCAAGATTGCTTTGATACTATTTTCCTTCAGCCCAAGGAATTTTCTTTAGTATTTCTTTTACAACAGATTTGCTAGTGATAAATTTTCTTAGATTTCCTTCACTTGAGAATATTATTTTCCTTTAGTTCTGAAGGATATTTTTGCTGATACAGTATTCTGTGTTGACAGGGTTTTTTGTTTTTTCATTTAGTATTGTAAAGATTGTTCTACTGTCTTCTGGCATCTGTGGTTTCTGATGAGAAATTTTCAGTCCTTTTGTTTGTTCTATATGTAATGCATTTGTTTCTTTGGCTGCTTTCAAGATTTTATCTTTGTCTGTAGTTTCAAATGATTTGATTATACTGTGCTTTGACATAGTTCTGCTCATTTATTTTTTCAATCTTTTTTCTCTCATTTATTCAAATTAGATCATTTTTGTTGATCTGTTAAGTTTACTGAATCTTTTGTCATGTACAGTCTTCTCATCCGTGAATGTTTTATCTCAGATATTACAGTTTTCAGTTCTAAAATTTTCATGTGGTTTATTGTATTTTATGAGAGCATTTTATTTTTCTGTTTATTTATAGAGTGTTTACCTCATAGAGCATGGTTATAATTGCTTCTTTAAAGTCTGATAATTTCAGCATCTAGGTCATATGACATCTATTGATAGTTTTTACCCTTGAGAATTAGTTTTTCTGGTTCTTTGCATGTTTGGTTATTTTAGATTGTGTTGGACATTTTTAGTATTATGTTGCTTAGTCTCTGGGGCCCTGTTACAGTCCTCTGTAGAATGTAGATTTCTTTTTTCCTTTTAGCCAATAACCAACCCACTGAGGTTCAAACTGCAAACTTTCTCCTTGTTTGGAAGATGATTCCGATGTCAGTTCAATTTTCAAAGCCTTTACTATGCTGTCTTGTGTATACACCACTCAGTGGCTAGTCTGAGACATAGGAGTGGTTTAAATTGTAGTTCAGTTCTTTAACCTTTGTTATACTGCTTTGAGTCTTCCCACTCATACACAGCTCATATTAGCTTATGTTGATTCATACACAGAATTAGGGAATCTTTTTCTCTACTTTTCTCCTCTCTGGAGGGATCTCTGGGATTCCTCCTGTTCTCTTTAGACCACAAGAGCCCATTTTTGGTCTGGCCAGAAACATGGTGTTTCAGAGTTTTAGCTTTCTGCACTGCCACACAGTTCTTGCAATTGGGGTCATCCTTCTGGTAAAATGGGAAGAGAAAAAGAGGAGGAAGTATACTGGGGATTTCTCCCACTCTCTTCGGGACTGAGGGCCCATTTCCCAGTTCTCTAGCCAGAAAGACAGATTTCTAATGAAGTTTTAGCTACTGGCACTGTCTACTGCCCCAGCTCTGCTATCACTTACTCTAGGTGAACTGTGAAATAAGAAGGAAAAAAGTGAGGGTTTTCAGCCCACACACATACTCACGCTCAAAGGGCCCCCTTTACCCTGATCTTCTGGTTAAAGACAGTCTCCCAGAGTTCTAATTGTCTGTGTGCACCAGGAAGTGCCCACCCTCAGCTCAAGGCCACAAGAAAAAAAAAAACGGGAAAACCAGGAAACTCACTTGCATGTAGGTCTCTTTCTTCTTCAGGCGTTGGTTCTCTTCCACAAACTGCTTTTTTCTCTTTACTTTTCAGAGTTCTTTGGTAATTGTTTTTTGTGTTTTGTCCTGAGTTTTTATTTGTAATCAGCAGGAGATAGGCACTTTAATGGGCTTATGCTATCCTGGCCACAATAGAAGTTCTCAAGTGGTTTTTAAATAAAACATTTAAAATGGCTGTGAGTTGCATCTCCATCATCAGTTGGTCCATTGTGGACCAGTGGTCCACAATCCAGTGGTCCAATGATTGTGATAATCAAAGCATTAGAAATCTGTTCTGATATAATGTCAACACTCAGTTTCTATGAAAGCAGATTATTTTATTGGTTGAGATACTCCTAATAGCTTTGAATATCTTCTGGGTATCATTACTCTCCTTACTTTTTACATTACATTTACACATTTCTCTCTGTTCATCTTCAGTATGCATTCTGAAACCAACAGGACATCAGAGCTGGACTGTGGTTTTCTTTAATTATTCAAGCTAAATTACCAGAAATGCCCTTTTAAGATGAAATATTTAGTCGCTTCAAAACAAGTCAGGTTGGAGGAAGAGGGCAGGTTTACTTAGCTCATGTTTTTCATCCTTACAAGCAGTATTGATGTTTCATGCTAGCAAACTGTGGTAGAAGCCTTCGAGTCCTAACCAAAAACAATTCTTTCTTCAAAACTCCCGTAACACTTTATCAAAACTCCCATAACACTTTATTAAAAGATTAAAAATGTAAATCCTAAGGATAGGGTAACAAGCACTCTTAAGCACTATTGGTTTTAGTATAAATTTCTAGATGTTCACTGAAACTTTGTGTGTGTCTGTGTTTACATGGCAATTTGATGAACTAAGCTAGGAATATGATTTTTCTGGCTCAAAAGGTATGCAAAAGATTATAGGTATAAACACGTGAGAGATATATATATATACATATATATATATAATGCATACCCTTTGAGGCAGAAATCACACTTCTAGGTGTAGTTCATCAGATTGGCTGCTTATTTTAGCCAAAAAATGGGGGTGGGGGCCTTCATATGCATTAATGGAGTACAGATAATTAAATTACGGTACAGTTATAGTTTCTATAAAATGGAATGCTACCTAGCCATTAATACGATACATATTATTAAAGTGGAAAGCTCTATAATATTAAATGGAAATTGAGGCTACTAAATATAATACATCTTCATATACGCTAATGGAGGACAGATAATTAAATTATGGCACAGTTATAGATTCTATAAAATGGAGTACTACCTAGCCATTAATATGATACATATTATTTATTAAAATGGAAAGCTCTGTAATAGTGGAAATTGAAGCTACCAAATATAATTGGTATAATCTCTTTTTATAAAAGCTATAGGTATACTTATATTGATATATGGAGGAAAATAATTTGGAAGGATAGATATCAAAATAGTTATAGTGATCATTCTCACAGAGCCAAGATTAAGAATTAAAAAAATGTTTTTTTGTTTCCTATTAAGTATTGCCAGGTATTTTTTTAAAATCATGACTTATTTAATTTGAGCAAGAGTAGGAGGGACCTATATCATGTTGGAGAAAAGATTTCTACATTCTAAAGGGTAAAAGAACTAGAATCTATGAGAAGAAGGGGCAGGGTGTTACAGATCACAGTTCCTTATATACAAGTAAACTTTTAAACTGTGACTTTTTAACACTAACATTTAACAGACCTGACAGTACAAAATGGGTTGCCTGTAGGTATGAGTTCCACGTCACTAAAAATGTTCAGACGTAAGCTCCAAAGCCATTTGGTAAGTTTATCATGGAAGTAATTGAAGCATCAGTTTTTTTGACGTTTTGCCTTGGGACTCTCTTGGTAGATGATTTTAACTGTGTGAAAAGATGAATGAGGGGACTTAGAAAAGCCTTTCTGATTCTCATTTCCAAATTCAAAGAGAATTATATTTCAACCTGCTTATCACTAAGAAGATACCAGCATGTTAAAATTCACATGAAGTATGACCTTCTTTAAATACGCTACGATGCAGCACCCTCAAAAGTAAAGTACAGAAACTGACAGTAGTGGTATCTGTCTACAGTTTATCATTGGTGAATAAATGAAGGGAAGAAGGAATTGAGTCTGGACTTGCCGCATATGGAACCATGAACTATACACATAGAATGTTGTTTGGGGTCACAAAGTAGTAGATTAGGCCAGTGATTCCTAAACCCTGCTGAACTTCAGAATCCATCTTCAGAGCTTATAGATATAGACATATTACATATTTTAATAGACTCTTGGGTCCTGATCCCACAGATTTAGATTAACTAGCTCTGGAATAGGGCCCAGAAATCACTATCTTTAAAAGAATTCTCAAGTTGTGTTGATGATCAGCCAAGTTCAGACACGACCAGAATAAAATATATATACGTATACATACCTACATATCAGGACAGTTACAAGAAAGGAGAAAGCAAAATAAAGTATTTTGATAAACACATCAAGTTCTTTTGAGTTACTGATATTTTAAAAAGCTGTCTCGGTGAGAAGCCCATTAACATTCTACAGCTAAGTGATGCTACAGCCAGTATTTCTGATGTTT
The DNA here is from genome assembly GCF_000001405.40 of Homo sapiens. Taxonomy (NCBI): domain Eukaryota; kingdom Metazoa; phylum Chordata; class Mammalia; order Primates; family Hominidae; genus Homo; species Homo sapiens. The sequence goes on from NC_000013.11 coordinate 97,458,908, forward strand.
CATTCAGTCCATTAAGCAGAGCTGCTTAAAAGAACTAGTTTTATTTATTTATACATTTATAATCAGGTTCATGAATACAGTCAACACTATGGAAATTCTTGTCAATAAAAAAGTGTTTGTCCACAGACTACACACAGAAATAAAATTATTAGACCTGCATCAGTCACCGTCTGAGCTGGTCATGCCCTTAAAGGAAATTTCAAGGAAGATGGGCTGAAGTTGGTGAGATATCTGCTGATGTTTAAGATGTAAGCAAGGTGGTATCTTACTCATGATCAGGTTAACAATAACACATACATTGAACAGTTTGAGAATTTTGCATCTTTAGCTTTATGTCCAAATGATGAAAAGGGGGTAAGGAAGAAATGATGAAAAGGGGGAAATGATGAAAAGGGGGAAAATGAAGGCAACCTGCAAAACTGATAATGAAAATAGAACATGAAAGTAACTGTCATCACCCACTAACAAAGCACCTCATCTTCCTAAATAACAGAGTCAGCCCTCTAAGTCAGTCTGTCATAAGTGCCAGATTTGTTTTCTGAGGCCACTTTTGGCACCCGAATTCCTGAGGTCTAGCTTCAAATGAGCATTTCCTCCACTGCCAGAGTCCTGCAGGAGGCTGTAGAGATGGATCCCACAGCTGGTCCCTGCACTGACAGGCATGCTGTCGCCGGCTCAGGCATTGTCTAGGGCATGTCCTGCTTAGAATGCTCTTCCCCTAGAACCTGCACGGTAGGGAGCAGATTCCCAGAAACCCTTCCCATCTTTGTTCACAGCCACTTTCCCAACAAGGCCTGGGATCATCTTATTTAAAACTGTGGCACCTGTGCTCCCCACCCACCACCTGATCCACATCTTTTTTTCCATTGCACTTAACACTTTTATTGTAAACCCAGAATTGACTTGTTATGTTTATTGTTGATGTCTGCGCCCTCTGCTAATTACAGAGCTTTATTTGCTTTGTCCATTGATGTAAGTGTCTAGAATAGTGGCTAGCACTTAGTATATAAATATGTGTTGAGTGGATGGATAAGTACATGATGTATTGATTGTTCGATTGTTCATTACTAGCTATTTATGCCACATCAGGCAGTTTTCAGTATAGCCTTCAGTATTCACGTAGTTAAAACCATCCCAAATATTTGTGTTTGAACAACGTTGTCTGTGAAATGGAACTGCCTAGGTCATGAGTGCATTTTGGAGTTCTGCTGTTGAGTCAGAGCATGCTGGCAGTAGTGGCTCCGCTTGTAGAAGTGAAACCTCCTGCTTATGTTTTGGCCCCATGAGATCTCATAAGATTTCCCCCAACATTTTTGGCTTTACTCCTGATGCACACTTTCATATCTCTTAAAGATCAGCCTGTTGGACGTTATTCTTAGAACAGTGCTAAGCACTCAGCAATTAACCTAGTCAATGATATGTGTTGACTGTGGGTGTGACCCACCATGTCTGTTGTGATTTTTAACTTCAGAGTATCTTAGGAATTATCCAGTCCAGCTCATTTTATACTTCAAGAAACTCAGGAAACCAAGATTAGGTTAATCTTCTAAATTCACAGTACTAGCTAGAGGCAGCCCCTTCTGGGACAGGAGTCCTAGTCTGTTTGGTTTCTTTTTTTTTTAAACCCACCATATTGCTAAAACAGATAGCAACACCAGCTTCCTCATGCAGTGCAGTCATCTACTGTCAACACAGGTCTTGGCTTCTTTCCCTTCAGCGTCTCACCCATCTTTCTTAAGGAGGATCCAGATTTCTCCAAATGTTACCTTCATATGGGACCCTATTCTGTCACCCCAATCCAGAGCCTTCTTAGAATGCCTTTCCCACAGGGGCCAGTATATTCTCTCGAGTGCCCGCTGTTTGGGAATGCTTGCTTTTCTGCTTTCCTAGGCCCCCATCACCATGGATGTTCAGCACAGGGACTCTGGAGAAGCACCTGGTTAGTGTCTGGTGGCTGCTTTGTTGTTTTTGACTCCCATCTTTTTTGCCTGTCTCTTCCTCCAGCTTCACCCTCAACTCGGTTTGCCCTCAGGAGTTCTTTACCTCCTTTGATCAGTTTCTCCGGCTCCTTCTTCACCCTTTGTGGCTTCTCAAGGCCACATCACTAGAGTTAGGAGGGGAAAGAAGCAAGCACCCTCCTTTTATCTAGTACTTCATTTTTTTCAGCATTATCTCATTTGCCCTTTACAGCAACCCTGTGTTAAGTGGGAACAGATACTCTTACTCCCTTTTTACTATCAAAGAAATGAAATACAGATATGTAAAGGAAATGATCTCATTGGCAGAACTGGAAGCAGAGCCTCCAAATCTGGGTGTAGAATCTTTTCTACTGTCCCAAATTTTAACAGAGAGACAAAATTTATCACCGTCTGGTATTCTGAAATGTACATAATTTTTCTCAACATCGTACTCAGTTTAAAAATCTTCTGAGGATATTAATGTGGATTTCTCTAGTGTCTTTAGAAACTTGATTTTAGAAAAGGCCACTGACAAGTTAGTGATATAATAAACAGGTCCTCTGATACTGACTGCATTTTCATCTACATTTACCAGTTATTAAATGCTGTTATATGTGGAACTGTGTTTGCAATATTTTATTTACTGTTTTGAGAATTAGGTTGATGGTAAGATTTATTCAAATTCTTGATTTTAATAATGTATCAATACAACTTAATAATTTGATTTATTTGCAAGTTTTGAAAATCCACATATTCTAGTAGATCCTGAACTTAACTAAAAGTGTAAGAAATATTTCACATATAAAACATGATACAGGCTGGGTGCGGTGGCTCACGCCTGTAATCCCAGCACTTTGGGAGGCTGAGGCGGGCGGATCACGAGGTCAGGAGATCGAGACCATCCTAGCTAACACGATGAAACCCTGTCTCTACTAAATATACAAAAAATTAGTCGGGCGTGGTGGTGGGCGCCTGTAGTCCCAGGTACTCAGGAGACTGAGGCAAGAGAATGGCGTGAACCCGGGAGGCGGAGCTTGCAGTGAGCAAAGATCATGCCACTGCACTCCAGCCTGGGAGACAGAGCGAGACTCCGTCTCAAAAAAAAAATATATATATATATATATTTATATATTTATATTTATATATTTATATAGATATTTATATATTTATATATATTTATATATATATTTATATATATATTTATATATTATATATATTGTATTTAAACATTCTTTAAAATATTTATCATTTATCTCAACTAATAGAAAGTGATCTTATCACTTTTTATTATTCATAGACAGACTGAAATTTGTTTTAACTTAAATTCAACCAATGTTTTACTTAATTTTATTAATGTTTTTAAGTTACTCCACTGTCAAGCAAAGCATTTTAAAGTACACTGTGATGTATATACTTTCATAAGAAAAACGAAATGTAATTACATTTTGCAAGTAACACAAATTGGAAGCTGACATTGTCCTGACATGGCTGGCAGTGTCTGCTCCCTGCCAAGCTTCTCTGTATAGCCAATCAAGAGAGTTTATATGCAAAGTAGCAAATACATGGTGTTTTGTAATGCAGCTTTATTCTCACTGCCACTTGCCCTCCTAGAGGCCATGGGATGCACAAATTGTTTGTATGTAAGAGTCCTAGAAGATGTTAAAAACCCTTGTGTCTTATGTTCAGAGCTGTCAGCATGATCTAAGGCCCGAAATCGTAAGGTACAGTAGTGTACAGTAAATTTATATAAAGTCCTTTGATATAAATTGAAGTTGTCCAAATTCATTTCCTATAAAATGATAATATCCAAATTCTAGGTTTGCCTTTGATGTTGTTCCTTCCACTCATTTTTAAGTTGTTTTCATGTTTCACATTGCCAAATGGCACACTACCTGGAGTATGCCCTCTTGTTGAGACCATTCTTAGTTTGATATAGTGTCAAAGAAAAAAAGTGAGAATGTTGGGAATTTGGTTTGCTTTACAAGTTAGGATGAGTGGAGAGAACCCTCTTGACAGGATGAAGAAATCTGTGGAAGTATCATAGCGAACAATAACCACCTGCCTATTATCCAGTTTCCTGAATGATAAAAATTGTCTATGCATCCTGCCTCAAAGGCTTGACCATGGGGTGGTTTTCTCTTCTGACAGATTTAGCTGTTTCCAGTCACATTTGTTATCACTTTTGTGCGATCTTGCTGTTTAGCTCCTTTAAATCAGAAATACATTCTGCTTATGGGAAGACACACACACACAAACACACACACACACAGATTTATACTAAAATCACAAAAACCTTTTAAAATGTCTTGTGAAAATATATTAGCTATCTTTCTTAGAACAAACATAAAGAAGAATAGTAAATAAATGTGCAGTCCAGCACCAGTGTTGACATCTGTTGTGAAATGTGCTACATGGAGTAACCATTGTAGAGACAATCATCTTAGGCACCAAAATGACTTAGGAGCTTCTTTCTTTGTTCTTTCTTATCACTTACTATTTTTATTAGTTTAGCTTTTTCCAAACGTGTTTACTCAGAGATACCTATTTTAGTTAGGAAGAAAAAGAGAAATAACACCAATTAAAGCTAATTGAGGCTGAATTCTTGTCAGTCTTAAAAGAATCCTAATTGTTTCTCTTTGAACTGACTAATCCATAAAAGTTTTCTGAAGGGATGGGGTGTGGTTGTATTTGATAGCTTCCATTTGGATGATTTCTACTACCTTTTTTCTTGTTTGAGAACTATTAGAACGAACATGATCATTTTTTCAAGCTGGAGTGCGGTGGCACGATCTCAGCTCACTGCAACCTCTGCCTCCCAGGTTCAAGCGATTCTCCTGTCTCAGCCTCCCGAGTAGCTGGAACTACAGGCACCTGCCACCACACCCAGCTGATTTTTGTATGAACATGATCAATTTTATACACATAGAACATAGTAAAATGCTGATAATTATAAGTTGTTTGTTTACTCATTGTAGCTATTTACTGTGTGATCAACTGTGAAATTTTGTGCAACCCTCTCTCAGAATGGAAAAAAAAGAGGATTTAGTCTGAGTTTCTGAGAATAATTTTCCAAGTATATCTGGAAAGGTAAATTGATTTTAAAGGATATATAATTGATTAATTAAAACATCATTTCATAAAACTCATTTTATCATCCACTGTGAGAGCAGCTTCAAATGCCCTCAGATCTAAGTATCAAGCCAAGTGGTACAAATCATTTTCATGCAACTGAAGATACCATTTATGTTGGAATAGCCCCCAAAAACGAAAATACACGTGACCTGTTTAACTTTGTGCTAACTGTTACAATGTATGTGTGTTTTGTTTATTCTCTCATAGGTATGAGAAAGTGCCAGTCATCTTGGTTGGGAACAAAGTGGACCTGGAAAGTGAGAGAGAAGTATCGTCCAGCGAAGGCAGAGCCCTTGCTGAAGAGTGGGGCTGCCCCTTTATGGAAACTTCCGCTAAGAGTAAAACAATGGTGGACGAACTCTTTGCAGAAATTGTGAGGCAGATGAACTATGCTGCTCAGCCTGACAAAGATGACCCATGCTGTTCTGCATGTAACATACAATAGCATCCAAATATGGCTGTCCTGGATGGGATTTGCCCAATGTCGTAGGTGATAGAAAACTCGCCTACTCCACTGCAGAACTTGCAGAATGCGTGGTGTTAATCTACAGAGAACTGCAGCCCTTATTCAGAATTGAGCAGTGATTGTCAGTTGATATCTCTGAGTAACATTTGGGTTCAGTAACTACAGTTTTCACCATTTGTCCTCAGTCTCCTTTATGCATCTGCAACTTTAAGGCATAGTCCATCGATCTACAGGGTGATCTCATTTGAAAGCTATGATGGCATTGTCGCTGAGTTGACAGAAGCAACTATTGTACAAATTAAAAATAACCATAAGGGAGAAACCAGAAGAATTCCTCTGACCACTTACAATTAAAATATTTTGTCTTCTTTAAAAAAATAAGTAAAGGAGAAATATTTTCCTACAAGAGTACTGAATTTCAGGAAATGGGATAGAGCTTCTAACCAATGTATTCCGTCAAGTAAGATAATAACAGCTGACCTGCCAACAGCATTACAGGGAGATTCTTTGCTCAGCTAACACATTTCTGTTTTTCAAAATTGATGCTTAATTGTAGCTGTTATTCTAATTTGTGACATGGAACTAACTCATGCTTCAATCCTTGATAGAGCAAAACTCAGAACAGGTTATGTAAAAATATAGTCTGGCTTTAGAATTTGTTAATTCACCTGCTTTGCCACAGAAAATGGAGGCTTTCACAAGGGTTTGATCAGAATTAAAACCCCAAACCCGCCCTCTGTTAGGGGTGGTCTTTATAACTTTACTGAACAAGAGGGAAGCAACTGTGATGGGAAGAGATTACCTAGCCTTACTAACAAGAAGCATTCTAATAGATAAACTAGTACCATCATGTAAGGAAGATGAAGCCATGTTGCATCCACATGTTCCCGTTTGCAGAAACCTCACAGGACAGTACGAATATCTGGCATTTTTAAGTTCATTAAAGCAGCAAATTCCTTCTCGCCTTTAAGGGCTATGGTTGTAGTGTGACCCGTGGCTAACCTGCTTTCAAAATCAAGTATTTGCTGTAGCAGAGCTTTATTGCAGGCATTTTAAAAATTGAATAACCATGTGAAATAATTTGGGCTTAAAAGTGAACATAAATTATAGAGTGGAAGGTAAGGGACAAAAGCCTTTTACCTTTAATTTTCCTGGAGAATTATATAAAGGTTTTCTTAGAACAATTTTGCCCTGATTACTGAAGCGTCAAATAAAGCTGGAGTGAAAATTTTGTTTTGAAAAGGTGCTCAAGCTCTGACATTTTTGGTTTTCATAGTCGTGAAGTATTTATCATTTGCATGACTAATGGCACAGGAAAAACCTATTCATAAGTTTTACAATCAAGTATAGAGGGGTCTTCAGCTAACTTAGTTATACATAAATGCTGAAAAGATTATCTTGAGCTGGGCCTTGGGAGAAGAATTTGGCCTTCAGAACTGCAATATCACTGAGCCTGCGATCTATACACCACCCCACATTTTGTTGGTTTCACAGTCTTGTGCAAGTAACCTCTGGTCTTACGTGTGTAACTGAGAGAAGAGTGTGTGTTTGTGTGTGCATGTGTGTTTATTGTTCCTAAGAATTTGGCACAAGTCAGAGATAATTGCCTATACTAAGAATCTATACTGCAGAATATAGTGTATCAAAAACTTTTTTCTTTTAAATTATTAAAGTGTCTTTTATACTTTTATGAAATCATTGGTAGCCCCCCAAGTGTTTAATAACTGGCATTAAGCTTAGAGGGTGAAAAAAAAAAAAAAGATTGATAGTATTTTTCATAATGAAAAAACTGAAGAGATACGTGAATGAAACCAGGCCATAGCTGTCATAAATCTTTGACTTTTGAATATTTACATTCTTCAGTATAATTTTTTATAATCCTCAATTATGAACCACCTTGTTTATAGGACAAAAAAATTTAACCAATTTTATTGAAACGAATTTCACTGTGTAAAAGTTGGTTTGATTCAAACATGTAGAGAAGTTGTAGATTCAAGATATATGATTTCTCTATGGAAATAAAAATATTTGTTAGTGAATTGGTTGAGTTTTGATTCCTCTAACTTCTCAGAATGATTCTTTAGAATTCTATAATTCATAGCAATTTTTGACAAGTAAGATTGCAAAATAGAAATATCTATAAAGATTCCACAGTTTGACATTATGGCTTGCTATGCAGATGTGAAAATAGGTTAAATAATATGAAAGATATGGCAGAATGTAAAGTGGAAAAGATGACCTAAAATTTTGAGTTGTATTAATAGTTAAAAACATTTGTGTCAGATGACAGGGTGGGCTTTTACTGTCAAGACATGAATAAGAACTGATCTGGCTGCCTGATGAGTGTTTCCACGCAGCCCTGCATATTTAGTGACCAAGGCATCAAGGACATCCCGAAACTGGAAATTCATATCCATCTGGTATGAATATATAACTCAGCTGGCAAATGAATGTGTTTGTTGAGATATTACAGTAATAAAACACTTAAGAACAGGAAGATTACATTTGTTGGCATACGAAACCTTAGTGGCTACAGAAGAAAGTTGACCTTGTGTCACTATTTATTTTATGCCCTGATCAGACTAGCAACTTAGATAAGTGAAAGTTTTTCTAACATGCCTTAAAAATATTATGGTTTGATCCAAAGACCCACTTTTTCTTTAGCTCTTGTGATAAGATTTTCTTTTTTTTACTTTTATACAAAGGCAGCATCTTTGAATTTTTTTTTCTTTTGATGTTGCAACTTTTGGGTTCTTTTAAACTGTGATAGTGATGGTAACTGATGCCTTTCATTTTGTTCAACTTATACAAAACAAGCCAGCATCTGATCAAAAGTATTACATAAAATATTTTCTTAAACTATTGAAAGGTGCTTTGATGATTTTCTCCTTTGGTTTGTAGAATTAGGACTGAACTTTTGACTCAAATTGCTACAGTTGCCATCACCTTTCTGTGGTAATACTACTGATATTTGCTTTTCTATATAAAGAAATGTTGCCTAAGGCTGTCTGGTATTTCTTTTCAAGGGTTTTCCAGTATGAATGTTAATGTTGTCAGTGTATGTATGAATATGAAAGTGCTTTGTTTTGTTTGTTGCTGTTTTTTGTTTATGTGTGTGTTTTTAATTTTTTTGTTCTTATCAGCAGTCTTGTGTTAGCACTGGGTAAGCTTTAATTGTCCCTTAGCCAATCAAACATTAAGGACTATGGAGGTCTTTTTTTTTTTATTTAACATGTCATTGTTCATCTATTAAATCTTGATCAGGGTTTCAAGAATGACTGCAGTGGGTTTTGGAAACAGACTTATCATTATTGATTTGAGGTTTCCCAGAGATATAGTTCACAGTTAATTGTTGCGCTCTAATACAACTGACCATTTAAAATTGAACAAGTTTATTGTTTTGTAACAATGTCAGTTGTTAAACCTTGACATTTCAATTAAAACATGAATTGTAGTTATAACTCAATGCAAATTCAACAGTTGTATTTGGAGTTAAATTATTTTAACAAATAAATTTATTTAATGAAACTCTGGATTTGCTTTGTTTTGTACATGCTCATGAGAGAAATGTATTATATACAAAAACAATTAAAAATTGCCATATAATGAATTTAGTACTCTTCATACAAAAATATTTTAGCTGATTTGAGAGTTCATCATATAAAAAGGCAGGTAGGTAGATAATTTTCATAGTCTTTAAAAATAAAAATAACATGTAAGAGACTGTAAAATCAGTTATTATAAATATAAACTTATCTCTACAAATGATTTTATATTTTGAATGGTAGCTGGTTAATTTAAAGCCTGATGCTAAGGTTAACAGAATTGTTCAAATAATTAACATTAATTAGCAATATCACTAAAATGATTCAGAGGCCTTCTAGTGATGGCTTGAAGCCGTCTTTCTGTTTTCAGGTCATGTGGATCCGAAGGTGCCAGAAGCTGAAGGTTGCCGCCAGGCTGTAGGGCCTGCTTGTTCTATATGGGGCCCTATGAAAGTTGACAGATGCTGTTAATTGTATACAGCCTTCAGCTGCTCTGATAAGGAGCCCATTCATTTCCTAAGCCAATTTAAACTATGCCTTTTGGTTATGTTGCCTTCAAACTCTGTTGAAATCCTCTGGCAGCATTCCACCAGTTGAGAAGCTTCATTGTTTTAGATTATAAGAATAATTTGAATGAATATAACAGAGGCACTGTAGATAGAATCCCAGATATTTAAAGGAAAACATGCCTATATTTTAGGAATATCTTCTGAAGAACTTCATAATTTTATTTGAAGTGTTTGTAAATTTTTTAATAAATTATTTAAATGTATCAATAGTGGATAGTTGGAAGAACGTCTTTGAGGCTAAAAAGTAGTACTCTGAAATTCTCTCAAGTTATATTATTTGTCTGTTAGAGGTCCACGAATGAAAATATATGTAGCTAAAGGAGTAAGGTGCTGCCCAATTTGGAACCCAACTGACCTCTAGGATCTATGAAGCAGAGAATATTACCACAAACTTCTGAAAGAAGCTGTTGACCTCGTTTCTTAATTTAAAATATGTTGCCACATAAATACTAATAAAACATAGTTGCTCTTCATCTCTTAAATGGATCATTCCAACTGGTTTTACATCGTTGAATATTATCTAGTATTTTTAATAAATATTTTCATAAATAGTTTTTGTGGTTTTTTTGTTTGTTTTTGAGACAGTCTCGCTCTGTCACCCAGGCTGGAGTGCAGTGGTGTGATCTTTGCTCACTGCAAGCTCCCTCCCGGGTTCACACCACTCTCCTGCCTCAGCCTCCCAAGTAGCTGGGACCACAGGTGCCCATCACCATGCCTGGCTAATTTTTTGTATTTTTTAGTAGAGACGGGGTTTCACCATGTTAGCCAGGATGGTCTCGATCTCCTGACCTTGTGATCCTCCCACCTTGGCCTCCCAAAGTGCTGGGATCACAGGCGTGAGCCACCATGCCTGGCCTATAAATAGTTTTTAGATAATATTCAACATCCCCAACATCGAGGTATTGAGTTTTAAAAGATTTGCTGCTATTCTAGGTAAGACGCTGTGTTATTTCTTTCTATATTTTCTTAGTAGTCTTCATGTTAGCCTCTAAGGATTCCTCCAAGATTTCTCAGCAGAGAAAAAGGTAGAGGACTAGCTGCTTGAAAGAGTAAATACGAAGACCTATTTAGTATGTATGAGTTGGGAATAAAACTGAAGGAAAGATTCTTGGTTTAGCTTATGGGGATTTTTTAGTATAAGATCCTCCCATTTTAAAAACTTCAGTATCAATGATTCATATTTACAGTTTTACACTATTTTGAGTGTGATGTGCTTTTATACCTTTAAAAACATCAGGATTAGTGAAGGGAAGAAAAGGTCACCCCAAGAGGATCATGAGGTCAGGAGATTGAGACCATCCTGGCTAACACGGTGAAACCCTGTCTCTACTAAAAATACAAAAAATTAGCCAGGCGTGGTGGCACACACCTGTAATCCCAGCTACTCGGGAGGCTGAGGGAGGAGAATCACCTGAACCTGGGAGGCAGAGGTTGCCATGAGCCGAGATCGCACCACTGCACTCCAGCGTGGGTGACAGAGGGAGACTCCTTCTTAAAAAAAAAAAAAAAAAAGTCACCCCAACTTTCAGTTCCCCAAAACAGCCATGTTAACAATGGATGTAAATCATTCCCAGCATCTTCCTATGCACATATACATATGCAAGTACGTGAACATAGGTAGAAGGATAAATAACTCGATGTTACTTTTGAGAAACTGGCTCTAAGTACTAAAAATGAATCACTGAAAGTCACACAGCTAATAAAGTGGCAGAGTTGAGTTTCTAACTCTGCCACTTAATTTCTAATTCTTCTAACAAGCTCCTAACTCTAAATGACCTTTTCCCCACTGTTAATCCTTTCACTTAAATTGAATCCACTCATTCCATGCTCATTCAGCTATTATTTATTGAGAGGTTACACTTGCATCTGGCACTGCCACAATACAGAGATGGTCATCTACACATAAACCCTGATGTCAAAGACATCCTAGTCCTGTCTTCTTGCCATTCCTTTTTCTCTTAAGGCAGATACAGTTTAGTTTACTAGCAAGAAATAATTTGTACCTTCCCTACTTTCACATGTCAGCATCCCAGTAAACCCAGGCTGAGCCGAAATTCCAGACACAGCCCCAGAGACTGCTGCTGGCTCTGTTCACTTTTCAAGATCGGTGCATCAGCCTGAGCTAGTCCCTCCCGGGATCTTGAGGTGTCTGTGGGACACAGTAGACGGGGATGGCAATACAGCAGGGCTTCAAGGCTCTACTGTTACAGGCTGGGTCTACTTCTCAGGAAGAATTCAGAGTAAAAATAGGATTAGTGAGGGGCAGTGGGGATACAGAGGCAGGTTGGGGACAGCAGGGCAAAGGGTTCTATGTATCAGATACTACACTGAAGAATAAATGCTGGGTCCATGCCTATAGTTAAATACCAGGTGTTTTTAGGTTTCAGTGAGTTTTTTTAGTTTAAAATGTTGGTTTGTTCACAGCACAGCTCTGTAGTGTGTTCTGAAGAGGTCTTATACCATGAGAGGGTTTGCTGAAAACGATGATAGAGTCAAGCAAGTTTGGGAAACCCCACATAACACATCTCACATCTTGGAAAAAACTCAAATTCCACTCATGTCTCAAAAATAACTAGACCCCAGGACACTTTCTTTCAATTATACATAGTAGCACTCTCTGGAGCACAATTTGGAAAATGCTGCTATTAGATATTTGGCCTCCAAATGCTGATGTGGGAACTCTGTCCAGGTGAGGGGACCTGGATCGGTTGTGAGCGTGAGAATTCCTCTGACCCCTGTAGTCTCTAGAGGGATGGCAGAGAAAGGGAGAGGGTTGGGTGCAATAGCTCATGCCTGTAATCCCAGCACTGTGGGAGGCCAAGGTGAGTGGATCATTTGAGGTCAGAAGTTCAAGACCAGCCTGGCCAACATGGTGAAACCCTGTCTCTACTTAAAGTACAAAAATTAGCCAAGCGTGGTGGTACATGCCTGTAGTCCCAGCTACTCTAGAGGGTGAGGCAGAAGAATTGCTTGAACCTGGGAGGCAGAGGTTGTAGTGAGCCGAGATCAGGCCACTGCCCTCCAGCCTGGGTGGCAGAGGGAGACCCCATCCTAAAAAAAAAAAAGAAAAGAAAAGAGAGAGGGAGAAGAGGAGAGGAGGCAATCTACAGTTGATGGACATTGGAGTCATTCCCAGTTTGAGTCTATCATGAATAAAGCTGCTATGAACATCTGTGTACATGACTTTTGGTGGATAGACACAATACTCACTCCTAGGTCACTATCTAGGAGGGGAATTGCTGAACTACAAGACTTGATTGTCAACTTTGGTAAACATTGATAGTTTTATCAAGTGGTTGTACCAGTTTACATAAACAAGCAACGTGTGAGTACTCCAGTTGCACCATGTCACAGGATGGATTGCCTGGGAAGAGGGCTGTGATACAGAGCTTAGTGTGCAGGATGCTTATTACCAAATGTCCTTGGGATTAACTCCTGTGGAAGGGAGTAGAGGAAGTAAGATTGGCCAGAGGGAGAAGTTGTGTGATGCAGGGCCAACAACCCCCAGACAGAGGGAGTTAGAATGGGGCCCTTAGAATTGTCCTGAGTTGGGCTCAGATGGTTTAGTCCTCTGTACCCTCTGCCTGTCAGTCACTGTGACCTTGAACAAGATGCAGAGGCAATCCCTGAAGGATCAGAGAGTGAAGGTTGTCAGCATTCTCAGCAGCAGGGCAGCAGTTACTTGACTGAAAGGAGGTCCAGGTGGTGCCTCATGGCATCTACCAACTCCACCTTCCACACACATACCTGGCACTGTCAGGCTTTGTCATTTTTCATTTCATTATTCTGGTGGGAGCGTGGTGGTATGGCATTGTGGATTTCACTTCATGTTTCTCTAAGGCCAATATATTTATATGCTTATTGGTCATTGGTTACCCTCTTTTGTGAAATGGCTATTTATGTTTTTTGCCCATTGAGTAAATGTTTTGTTTACTGTTTCATGAAGTGACTCAAAAAAGATTTATTTAATCTTTTACTTACATATTTGTAGGAGTTCTTTACATTTTCTGGACACGTGTTTATAAGTACAGTGTACTATCCCAGTCTGAAGCTTGCCTTTTCACACTCTTGTTGATATCTCCTGATAAACAGAAGTCCTCACTTTTAATGAAGTCAATGCACCAATCTTTTATTTGATGGTTAACTGTTTTTGTGTTCTTTTAAAGAAATCTTTGCCTACTTTAGGGTTGTTCTTGACCTCCAGCCCCTCAGGGGTATGCTGAGTTGACCTTATGAATATGATAATAGGAAAATAACCATTGTAATCATACAGTTTATTGAACAGTGATACACCAACCATCATCATCAGTCTTTGTTTCATATTATTGATGAAATATTTAAACATTAATAGAGCTGGCTCTTGGCCAGTGTTTCTGCAAATGTGTTCCATCAAGTACTAATGTTGAATAGGAAAAAGATTTCCATGGTCGAATAAGTTTGAGAAACACCTGCTTAAACAAAGTTAAATAGGCTCTTGTGGTTTTCAATATCCTAATGTGGATTATGTAACATTGTGAGATATAAATACATTATGTTCTGCAAACTATTTAACCATAGGATGCTAGCTTTTCTTAGAACATGTCACAGGACTAGTATTTCATAGTTTGGTAAATACTTCGCAAGGCAAAGGGTATGATGTCCAACAAAAAACAGCTTAATAAAAAACTGAATCTGAGAGTTCATAGTGAAATTAAAAAATAATAATAAGGATGAGCCATTTATAGGATACTAGCTAATAGATATGGAAAACAGAACCAAGAAGTCATCCCTTCCAATCCTCCACATCAAAGTAGATTCAGGGAAGGATCAGCAATCAGCAATGCTGAGGCCATTGGGTGGAAGGGTTAGAGGGAAACATATATTCACAAATTACTTCTTACTTGCCAAGGGAAAGAGGTAGCCTTTCAGTGATAAGAACTGGCGGACACCACATGAACCAGGTGATCAAACCAAGCACTACCAACAAAGGGACAAAAGTCTATCATGGGCCCCTCTATGACACAAAAGGAAGCACCCAATGTCACCTATGTGGTATCTTCACCTGGATCGAATCATGGAGAAACAATCAGACAAATCCACATCATGAGACACGCCACAAAAATAGGTTTGGATGCTTCCAAACTGTCAATGTCTTGAAAGACAAAAATAATGGGATGGGGGGTTAAGGGGCTGTGCTAGATATAAGGAGACTAAAGAGATTTTTTTTAAAGAAAATAATGCATCCTAACATTTTTCCAACCTCCATCTTTCAAATGTGCAACATAGCTCCATCAAATTCTACTGTGTATAGAGACTCTCAAAAGAAGGAAAATGTGGCCCTCCCCTTAACAGGATGCATCAGAATCCATGTGGCGGCCAGGCGTGGTGGCTCACGCCTGTAATCCCAGCACTTTGGGAGGCTGAGGCGGGTGGATCACGAGGTCAGGAGATCGAGGCCATCCTGGCTAACAACATGGTGAAATCCTGTCTCTACTAAAAATACAAAAAATTAGCCGGGTGTGGTGGTGGGCGCCTATAGTCTCAGCTACTCAGGAGGCTGAGGCAGGAGAATGGCGTGAACCCAGAAGGCGGAGCCTGCAGTGAGCCAAGATGGCACCACTACACTCCAGTATGGGTGACAGAGTGAGACTCCGTCTCAAAAAAACAAACAAACAAACAAAAAATACATGTGGCTCACTGTAGAAAAAGCCAGTCTTTCCCCTGCCCTGGAAATCTGGGAACCTCCTTCCATTGCAGATTGAGCTCTACTCCTTTCCCACTGAGAATCCCTGGATTAAGCTAGGTGTTCCTTGTAACATAAGTGAGACTCTCAATACTCACTGCCCAGAGAGCCCGACTGCTGATCTTTTGCTGCCTTTATGGTTGACCAAGGCACTGCTGTCCTGGGGCAACAGCAAGAGCAAACCAGTAATTGCAGAGTTTATGCCATGAAAGCTGAATGGAAGAGGTGGGGCTAGACATGTATGGGCCCCTTAAACCAATTCAGCTGTGTCTACTCTTCCTTCCCTGCTCCTTCCCTCTTTTCATTCCTTCTTTTGCCTCATGTGCCACGAGGACCTTTCTGTAGCCCCGTGTCAGTGGATTTTCTCCACATCCTAAACATAGACAATTGCTAATTAAGTCATTCACATTATTTCCGTTTGAGAATGATTTTGGCCTGTTGATTGTTTTTCTAGCAATAAACATCTTTCTGGAAGAGGAATTAGCTCACTTGAGCAGCTGGTTTCAACAACTCCCTGCATTTTCCTTCAGCACCCAGGGACATGTGATTTGTAACTAAAACAAAATAAAAATGCACAAACTCTTCTCATTCACTCATACCAATAGTATTCGCTGTGTAATTTTTTCAAATGACCGACTTCTTTCCAAATATACACAACAAAACTGGTCAGCATTAAAACTGCGAGGACAGTGGTTGTCACTGTTTGCCATTAGATCTGTCAACTCCTTTGTGGAGCCTCTCAAAGCTGCCCATGGCCATAGCCTTGGGCCTGGGGTTGGAGTGGAGAAGAGCTGGCAGAAATGGCTGCGGACTGGAACCCGGCTGGAGAACCAGGGCAGGTACTTCTTGGGAAGGACCAAGGGAGAGTCCTTAAAGGGTAACCTGACAGCGTCCTCAGGGAGGAAATGTGATCCTAAGTGGAAAACCATAAATAATGACTCCTCTGCTCACGACTCAAAGGAATTCCAAATAGTAGCAACAGAATACATCTTTCCTTTTCATCTTATCTGAAGAGTTGCTAATGTTTCTTTAAGATGACTGTGTCCTCTTTTTCTTCATACAATGACTTGTCACTTCAGTCCTGAACAAATATTGTCTGATATATTAGCATATCAGTGGCTTAGAAAAATATAAAGGTAAAATGTACTAGAGCTGAACAATATAGATCCCCTAGTCACTCACTTTTAATTACATTTGGATGGATTATTCATTGCCATGGAAACTCTCTACCCTTACCAAAATTTTTAGGCAAGGATCTCCTCCAAGTTTCACAGTTCTGTGTCTTAAAGACATTTCTTGTTCTATTTATGAGTTTAGAAGCTATGCGGCAATTTCCCATTGGGATAGCATGCAACTGTAGCTGCTGTCAGTTGCTCAAGACAGTTAATATAAAAGATATTGCACCAGAGATTGTGAGTGAAGTAGTGGGTGTACCAACACATTCCATGATTCCAGCACTGGTTTTGACCGCCACCTTATAATTTTTTCACCCAAGGTCCAGCTCTACCAAGTACAATATGCTTTTAAGGCTATTAACCAGGGTGGCCTTACATCAGTAGCTGTCAGAAAGAAAGATTGTGCAGTAATTGTCACACACAAGATAGTACCTGACAAATTATTGGATTCCAGGACTCACTTATTCAAGATGACCAAAAACACTGGCCGTGTGATCACAGGAGTGACAGCTGACAGCAGATCCCGGGAACAGAGGGCGCAATATAAGGCAGCTAATTGCAAATACAAGTATGGCTATTAGATTCCTGTGGACATGCTGTGTAAAAGGAATTGCTGATATTACTCGGGTCTATACACAGAATGCTGAAATGAGGCCTCTTGGTTGTTGTATGATTTTAATTAGTATATTTGAAGAACTAGGCCCTCGGGTGTACAAGTGTGATGCTGCAGGTTACTACTGTGGGTTTAAAGCCACTGCAGCAGGAGTTAAACAAGCCGAGTCAACCAGCTTCCTTGAAGTGAAGAAGAAATTTGCCTGGACATTTGAACACAGTGGCAACCGCAATTACATGCCTTTCTACTGTGCTATCAATGATCTAAAATCTTCAGAGACAGAAATTCGAGTAGTTACAGTTGAAATTCCTGAATTCAGGATTCTTACATGAGCAGAGACTGACTGCACCTTGTTGTTTCAGCAGAGACTAAACATTGTCCTTAGTTTACCAAATCCGTGATGTCACTTCCTCTGTGTTTGGTAACAACAAACCAACTTTATGGAGGTCTCTGGATTGAAAAAGGAGGCTCTCCCGCTCCTCCTACCACTGAAGAGGTTAGGACTCTGTATTAGTAAAAACAATGCTTTTTGGGAAAAATGTAAAAACTAAAAAACGATCGTTTGCTTTCTATTGCTACAGATTCTTTCTATATGAAACTACTTCCTTTATTGTCTTTGGTTCAGTTGATTCATTAAATGGCTCTTTCCAATATGGTAGCCATTGGCCACATCCATGTATGGCTATTTAAATGTATATTATTAAACTTAAATAAAATTAAAATACAGTTATTCAGTAGCACTAGCCACATTTCAAGTCACATTAGCCACATTCTAAGAGTTCAATAGCCATAGGTAGGTAGTGGCTACACATTAGTGTGATATACAGCATTTCCATCATTGCAGAACATTCTATTAAACAGTATTACAAATAAAAGTTTGCTTATATCAGAACTACTCAATTTTATTTGTTCAAAAACAATAAGGGACTAGAAACATATATGCAGAGCTAGCTTTATGTGTAAACAACCCTACACTTAGAAGAAATCAAAGCTCGGTTCAGTGCTCTGTTGTAGTCCTGAAATTTTTAATAATTTTGAACAAGGCTCTGAGTTCATGCACAAGGCTCTTCAAATTAAGCAGCCAGTCTTGCACTATATAAGATGAAGCTTGGCTGTTGAATTCTTAGTTTTCACTTCCCCTGCAATTGGTTCTTTTCCAGCTGCCTTTTTTTTTAGAGCAAGGAAGAACAGTTGACACATGAGATAAAATTCAGGTGCCTGGAATCCTTTAGACCACCTCAACAGTCTTATCAGGGATCCAGCTTTAAATAACACCTCTTAGGAATGATAAAAGCCTAAAACAATGTTTTGGCAATTCCAATACTAAGAAAAAGTTTAGCTTCTCTTAGTAACAGGTGTTTTCTACCAAGAAATCTGAGTTGCCCACAATGGAATCCCTTTCTCTTATACAGCCTTGCCAGAGCTCTTTTTTTTTTTTTTTTTTTTTTTTTTTTTTTCAGACAGAGTCTCGCTCTGTCGCCAGACTGGAGTGCAGTGGCACAATCTCGACTCACTGCAATCTCCACCTCCCGGGTTCAAGCAATTCCCCTGCCTCAGCCTCCGAGTAGCTGGGACTACAGGCGCGCACCACCACACCTGGCTAATTTTTTTTATTTTAGTAGAGATGGGGTTTCACCACGTTGGCCAGGATGGTCTCGATCTCCTGACCTTGCAATCCGACTGCCTCGGCCTCCCAAAGTGCTGGGATTACAGGCATGAGCCACCGTGCCTGGCCTGCCAGAGCTCATTTTTAAGATTTAGCCTGACTTGTTTTATTCTTCATCCACTCATTCCTTTATTCTTATAACCCTTCATTCAACAAATATGAAGCATCTATTATGTATGAGACACTGTTACAGGTCTGAATAAAAAATTATGTGGCACATACCTACTGTTGCTATCTGGTAAATTATGTGCTGCAATTAACCCAACATTAATAACAGAAACAGGAGGACAGTAAAATCAAAGGCAGCCTGAGTATCATCAAGGATTTATTAGCTACTCTCCATGTTTCCATGGTCACATTAAAACAACAAAACAGAAAGAATGAACAATTCCTACTGATTCATGTACTATGTTATAAAGAGGAAAATTTCCCAAACAAATTTTGGTTAGTTTTTTTTTTTAAATATACCAACCAGATGAAGAAAAAATAGCACAGATAATAATAATATTAGTGATAATTTTGCAATTAATACTAAAGTCACTTTCACTTGTATTAGGAACTCATTGCATGATGTACCTTTCTGAAAAATTTGATTCCCAATTATGTTTGAATTAAACTAACATTTGCATTGGTGCTGCCTTCCTGGGCTCATATGGTTCAGGTATGTATCGAATGTCAAAGGAAAGACAGCATGTGACTACACAGGCCAATGAAAATTTGCAAAGCCAGAGACACTCATGCTGAGAACTGCAATGTCATATAAAAACACTTCTTCTCGCCTTTCAGTATCTTGGGAGGCTTTTAGAAATGCATACTACATAAACTGAATAGGAAATAAGGGCAAAGAGAATATAGTAGAAAAATAAGGAAAAAAAAACCATCACAGGTAAAGTTATTATTCACAGTGCATGACAAATGGTCCTGTATTTAAAAAAAAAAAAAATAGAAATGGAATATTGCTTGTTGCCCAGGCTGGCCTGTACTTTTGAAAGCTGAGTTCTTCATACTTAATTCTGAGTTCCCTGGTAGTCAAAACCAAGAGGAAAACAAAATTACACTATTTATAGTGCTTTTTTTTTTTTTACAGTGTTTTATTTTTCCTTTTTTTTTTTTTTTGAGACAGAGTCTTGCTCTGTTGCCCAGGCTGGAGTGCAGTGGTGCAATCTTGGCTCACTGCAACCTCTGCCTTCCTTGTTCAAGTGATTCTCCTTACTCAGCCTCCCGAGTAACTGGGATCACAGGCGCCCACCACAACGCCTGGCTAATTTTTGTATTTTTAGTAGAGACAGAGTTCATGATGTTGGCCAGGCTGGTCTTGAACTCCTAACCTCAAGTCATCCATCCACCTCGGCCTCCCAAAGTGCTGGGATTACAGGCGTGAGCCACTGCGCCTGGCCTAAGTGTTCTTGAGATAAAAATAAACAACTCTAGAGATCGACACCAATGTTTCCGTGGATCCCCAAAAGAGCACACTGTATGATTGCAGTAAATGACGCCATCAGCCACAAAGTGGGGACTATTTAAGTCTTGTAACCTCTATCATTTGTTTATTCGTTAACATTTATTCTTGTCAATGCTTAATGTTTATAGAATAATTTTGTGGCTTTTCCATAAAGGGATAGATTTTAAAATATTTATTTATAGCATTCCAGGAAGAACACAGGAATAAAAGAAGAAACAAAAGGAGAGGTGGGCAGGAAGACTGATTAGGGAGCAGAGAGCAGTCCTGAGAAATTAGCCCTGTTGGATTTAGATTCCTAAGCAGTGACCTAAGAATGTCCCGTGGGAAGATGCGAGGCATTTAACAGAGGCAGAGATGGAGTCCAGAGAGTCTCTGGGCACGACGTCCAGATAGTATCTGAGGGCTATTTAAACATATATATTTTTAAATACACTTTACTTTTTAGAACAGTTTTAGGTTCACAGAAAAACTGAGCAGAAGTACAGAGAGTTCTCATACACTCCCTTCCCCCACACCCACAGCCTAAGCCACTATCAACATCCTGCACCAGAGTGGTGCATGTGTTACAGTCACTAAACCTGCACTGGCACATCATGTTCGCCCGAAGTCCATAGTTTAGTGTTCACTCTTGGTGGTGTACATTCTATGGATTTTGACAATGCATAATGACGTATCTTCACCATTATAGGCCCATATATTTTTATCCTCAAGAAATTCCAGTTCCTTGTAGTCCTGAGGCTAGACATAAGCATGAGGTTAAGAAAAAGTTTAGGTTCTGTTAGTAACAGGTGTTTTTTACCATGAATTTTGAGTTGCGGGAACAAGAGTGCAGGATATGAGAACAGCAGAACCATGTGGTGGAAATGTTCCTGTTCCGTGGTAGAAATCAACAGGTCTAGGCCAAGAGAGTGGAGTGAGTGGTAGACTTTCAGCTCAGGAGTTTGTTTTTTTATGAACTCCAAGCTTTACTTTCTCTAGTCCTGGTCTGGAAAACTATAAATTCTGGAGGGCGGTGGAAATAGCATGTATAATGGGGAATAATGGAGTGTGGGATAAATCTAATTAGGAAAAGCCAATTATAATCTTACCTCAGAAGACTGAGATGCTTAGGGAAATGGATTAAATTTTAAAGTTAATTAGGCAATAATATATTACACCATTTGTTGAAAATCTTTCTAAAATTTATATGTTCATTTCAGAGTTACAATAGCAGCAAGTTTTGGGGTCATATACCAGTTCCTAATTCCCCATTAAATTGGGTGACAATACTGAAAACTAGACTGAAAAAGCACCAAAGTCAAGGTGGAATTTCCACTGACTGCATTATCCCTGGGTCCACAGTAAATAAACACACACACACACACACACACACACACACACACACACGAAGGTAAAATTCTAGAGATAATCCTAGTATGGCAAAGGACAAAAAAGAATTTCCCATATGATTGCCATGATCAATATTTAACATATTCTATATCAGAGACTTGAGTGCCCTCAAATTTTGGTATCTGAGAGGGGTACTGGAACCAATTCCCCATAGATACCAAGGCCTGATTTCAAATCAAGGCTAACCATAGTCAGCTACAAGATAATTTTAAAAAATCCCACTCATTAATGTTAGAAAAAAAGAAACAGAAAACACCTCACTAAGAAAGGTGAACAAGCTATGGTGAAGAAACCACAAAACTAAATAAGGTTTCTAAGAGCATCTTGACATCATGTTGCTAGAAGACCTGATGCTGTTACGATGTTACTTTTCAAGGATTTAATGTATGCCCTTAATGCAACATCAATTAAAATGCCAATTTTGAAGAAATTGATAAAATGATTATTGTATATAATTCATTCAGAAAATAAGTTGAAAGAAAGAGATTGGAACATTTCAATAATGTATAAAAATGTGAGGGAATCTTGGGTGTCTGATCCTAATGTGTTTGATAAAACTACATTAGTTAAAATGAAAAATAAATACAATTTTACATATGTTTTGGAGTCAGACCTGGTTGGTTCTGTGCCAACTCCTAGCTAGGTTATCTTGGGCAAGTGGTTGAACCTTTCTAAGAAAATGAGTATATTACATGTATTATAAGATTGTGATTTGAACCAAAAGAGATAATCACTTAGCACAATTCCCACTACAATTCTACTGTTGTTTTATGTGATAACAAAATATTTAGGAAAATATGTCCTATGAACCAAAAGGTCACTTTTTAAACCTGATAAAGCAAATAATTTACAATGACATAATATTATGTATCTATTCATGCTGCAATAATACCTATTGCTGGGAGTGGTATGGCAAGGTAGACCCAAGAGTGTTGCAAAAGTCCTGGAGAGTAGCTTAGTAATACTTACCAAGAGCTTCAAACATGTTTCTACCCTTTAATGAAGTAATTTAATTTTAAAAATCTAACCTAATAACAAGTGATATAAGGACTTATATATTAGTTGCTGTATTATATGTAAGTATTTAAATATTCACCAGTGAAACTATTAAGTAAAACATGATATAGCCACAGGAGAATATTTTAGGCTATGTATATTTATGCAAATAAAGAATTATAAATGACATCGTAAAATGTTAGAGCAGAATAAAGAATGGATATACTGTATAATGCCAAATTTGCAAGTTAAAGCCATATAGATATCTATGTATGGCAAAAATAAAATATAACATATGTTATCTCTGAATTATTAAATTTCTTTATGCTTTTCTATATTTTCCAAATGCCACAATAAGCAATTACTTATAGTAGAAAATATGTTACTTAAAATAATGTCAGAATAGACAAGCCACTGTAGACCAAGAAAAAAGAAAAAAAGTATAAGATCTAAGTATTCTTTAAATGAAATAAAATATGTCTACTTCCTGCCTTACTATTAGCTTGGTTCAATTAGCTTAATGGATATTTTTGGTATTGATTTGGGTTATTTTAAAAGGCTTGGGATTATCTCTGAAAATACTAATCTTTCTATAGCATTTACAAAATTAGACTATTAGGCCTAATGTGTGTTTAGGAGAATGACAGAATAGTCACTGGAATCATATATATAAATACTTATATCTTAATTGCTATTAACAGCATTACTGTTATAATTTTTCTTTTTCTCTTAAAAAAGAAAGTTAATGAAAAGAAATTGAGGGTCACAGGTACTTGGATTCTTGTAAATGGAGATTCTCCTCTTTAATGAAAATTACAGAGTACCTATATGTAATAATTCCCTTTCTCATTAAAGAAATGAGCATAGCCCTTGGGATGTGTGAAAATTTGGTGGGAATTCCAATTTACTCACTAACTGCATGACTTTGACCAAAAACTTCACCTCTACCAAACTTGGTTACCTCAACTAAAACATGGGGACAATCCTGAGTTGTTTTGAAGTTATTCCTGATGCACCTGTGGCTAGGATTGGAAAACCCAGGCTTTTCCCCAAGCAACTAAATTTAGGGGACATTTTAAATAGAAAACAATGTGTAATTTTAAAACGTGTTGTATTTAGAAGACGAGAGCAAATCAACATATTCTTTCAGCAGTACAGAAAAACACTGATTTTAGAACAGGGTTAGCAAAAACAAATTGTTATAATTGGAATAACAGACCAGAGGGTGTGTTTGGAGCTGTATTTACTATTTGGCCTCCTTGCGTTTGTAGTAGAAATGCTTAATACATTCCCCAGCCCTCACCCCTGTCTTGGTCCGCCCCTTTCTTCCTTCCAGGATCTTATAAATTGGGTTATCTGGTTTATTAAATACTCTGATTCAAGAGGCCAATGTTGACGTATAATCTGGTAAAGAGAAGACAAGGACATTCTACGTGGTTGGTGGGAAGCAGACAGCAGGAGGGAAGGTGGGTAACAAAACGTGCGCAGTATCCAGTGACCACCTGAAGAGCAGAAGGTTTCTTTCTCCCAATAACTAGCTAATTCTTGGTGGGAATGGTCCACCCTTCAACTTCCCTAATTTTAGAAACATTTTTCTTCTTTTTGTTTACTAGATATGTGTTATAAAATGAATTATGTCCTCCCACCTCAATTCATAGGTTGAAGCTCTAACCCACAATGTGATTACATTTGGAAATAGGGCCAGTAGAAAGGTAAATAGGCACAAATGAGTCATGAGGATGGAGCTCTAATCCAATAGGACTGGTGTCCTTATAAGAGGAGGAGGAGATGCCAGACCTCTTTCTCTCTCCGCTCACACACAGCGAAAAAGGCCATATGAAGACACAGTGAGAAAGCAGCTATCTGCAAGCTAGGAAAAGAGGCCTCAGCAGAAATCAACTCTGCCAGCACCTTGATCTTGAACTTCCAGCCTTCAGAACTGTGAGAAAATAAATTGATGTTGTTTAAGCTATCCAGCCTGTAGTATTTTGTTATAGAAGCTCAAGCTGACTAATAGAATGTGTTGCTCCATTACAAAAAAAAAAAAAATTCTGATTCACTGGTATTACCATAAATGCTGAAACAGCCTACACACTCCCAAATAACTAAAACCTAATAAAATGAACTTCATCTGAAACTACTCTGAATACATTCACAGACTGTGAACCACAGATTGTATCTGAATCTCTGTAGATTAAAACATTAACTCAAGATTTTGCAGGATTGTCAATTTAAGCATTATTTGTATAACGTGATACATAAAATCCTTGTGTTTTAATTTTAACTTTATGGCTTTCTTTGTACTTTTAAAATAAGAGTTTGTGACAACAATGTGATAATCACAGCTATTGGAAAAAAGAAAGGTGAATTACAATACATTGGGAATCTCCTGTATTGGATCAGAAACAAACGGAGTCAGATGTTGCAGAGCCCAGTGATTGTGTGGATATACACAGATGACTTAAAGATTTAAAACGACTTGGCTTTAAACAGTTGCCTTGAAAAGTGAATACAAATCAGGGACTGTGGCATTTTTATTTGTGGGTATTTGTGTTTGTAAATGTACACATCAACTGTTTGAAAATCAGAAATCTCTAGGGCCTGGGCAAATAAGTAGAACATAACAGAACATACTTTATATCTACACCCATTTTCTTTACAGTATTTAAAAAGATGAAAAGTAGCTTAAGTGGGGACCTAAGAGGGGGGAAAAAAAGAAATACTATAAATAAAATATTCAGAACTCTGTAAAGTGATTACTGTAAGAAGGAGAATCAATATGAAAAGCACAGTACTGTTTGGCTCTCGTCTTTCTGACTTTTTTAGCCCTGGACAGAGGGACAGTCTTGATAGAAGAGGAGCTAAAACATTGACTGCTGGCATGCATATGTACATTTTGGTCCAAGGCTGTGTGAGTTAATCACCAAAGGGGAAAATGATAGCATTGGGTTTTGGCAGTAAGAGTTATAGAGTTAGCTAAATGATAGGCCTGGACAATAAAAATATTGGCTCCGTGGAAGAAGGTGGAAACCAACACTAAGGAATCTAAGTATTAAAGGAGGTTAAAGAGACCATCTTGTGTATCCTTGTTAGTAAATGGATGCCAATTAATCAACTATGTGGCCTGTGGCCTCTGTGGCCTGTTCTGGTCTCAGGACCTCTCAGAAGCCATTCCCAATCCCTCTTAGAATCCAGCTACAAGAATTAAAAGAATAACTTCCAGCCCGCATTTTGCAACATGTTGGACAAGTATCTCAAGAGATATCTACCAAAGATAAAGCCATTTGAATTCACTTTCATTTAAATATAAATTGTATGTATCAATTTGAAGAGTGGAAGAAGGTATCAGCAAAGCAAATATTTTAAAAAGCAAACACCCAATTTTGCCTTTTTGCTGACCACAGAGCATTTCCACATTTAAAAACTAATGTGAAATCTTCATAAATTCTACTCTTATTGATCCTTAAATACTATACTTAGCATCATAGAACTTGAAGGTAACCTGGGGATCAGCTTATTCAAGCCCTCAGTTTTATCCCCAAAGCCCAGAAGTTTACAACTGCCCAGGACTCACAGGTGTTCCACAGAGCCACAAATGCTTCAGTCCCAAACTGAGCTCATTGTGATGCACCAAATTTGTTCCTTTTCTTACAACGTTTATGTCAGATAATAGTGGAAGTATATTCCAATTACCTAAAAATTTAGGAAAATTTTAAACTCTTTTCTTAATCCCAAATTATATCATTTCTATTTATTCATTTGTTCATCTATTTATCCATCCATTTATCCATCAAGCATTGACTTGTCATTGACTCCATAAAGACACTCTGCTAGACTCTTCATACTTAGTAATTAAGTAGAATACAGTTTCTGCTGTCCAGAGTTTCAGTGTCTGGATGGAGAAAGTGTATGCAAATAAACAGTGAGTGAACTGCTCTAAAGGAATGCTGTGGTATAACAGAGAATAAAGGTCTGAATTCAGCTTGGGGTAGAGTCAAGAATACTTTAAAAAAGTGCCTTTTCCATTAAGCTTTGAAAGTTCCATAGGATGTCCCCAGGTAGATCGGAGGAGGAAAGGCAGACATCTTTCCACCTGGGTTATGCCAGCAACCTCCTATCACACCTTCAGTCTTGTTCCCCTTAAACCTATTCTCCCTACTATAGCCAGATTGCCTGGGCAGACTTTCTAACTCTCCTTCCCTTTTCCTCTCCCTTCCTTAATTCTTTCTGCTCTTGTCACTTTGTTTTTTGTTAATCAAAACATAACCATAGTTAATACTTTTGTTAGAGTGAAAATAGAAGAATGAAATGTTTGACTCTAAAAAATGCATGTAGACAGAATAAGAAAGCAGGTTGTTCATTCAAAAATGCAAATTAAGTAATGCTTACAACTCTTCCATGGTTCTCTTATCTTACATAGAATAAATTCTATTTTTTTCTTTGAGATAGGGTCTTACTCTGTTGCCAGGCTGGAGTGCAGTGGCACATTCACAGCTTACTACAGCCTTGACCTCCAGGGCTGAAGTGATCCCCTCATTCCCATCTCAACCTCTCTAGCAGATGGGACTACAAGTGTATGCCACCACACCCGGCTAAAATTTTTAAACATTTTTTGTAGAGATAGGGACTCACTATGTTGCCCAGGCTGATCTTGAACTTCTGAGCTCAAGCAATCTTCCTGCCTTGGCTTGCCATAGTGCTGGTATTACAGACTTGAGCCACTGCACCTGGCCTAAAAGCCAAATTCTTAACACAGATGGTAAGTACCTATTGACTGCTCAAATTCCTTTGGGGAAACTGCGTGCCCTCAACTAATGAG
Organism: Homo sapiens; assembly: GCF_000001405.40. Taxonomy (NCBI): domain Eukaryota; kingdom Metazoa; phylum Chordata; class Mammalia; order Primates; family Hominidae; genus Homo; species Homo sapiens. Next base: position 97,486,420 of record NC_000013.11, read on the forward strand.
GAGTTGGCCAGGCATAGGCAACACATACAGGGCCACCACTTCCCAATGCAACTCCTATTTTTGAACCAGAATAAGACACCATCCCTACACAGATAAATTGTAAAAGTCATGAGTTGGCCAGGCATAGGCAACACATACAGGGCCACCACTACCCAATGCAACTCCTGTTTTTAAACCAGAATAAGACGCCATCCCTACACAGATAAATTATAAAAGTCACCCCGTCCATGGGGAAACAGCCCTATGCATACACAGGCAGGCAAGCAGACACCATCTTGTGCAAATGAAAAGCTGCCTTTCCCTCCAAGAAAATGCAGCTCCATGCCAGGATACATAGCCTGGTGAGCAAATGGGCCTGGCTTTTGGCCTCCATTCACTCCCCGTGACCAGATGCCTTTGTGCAGTGCACAAACCATGGACAAATGATCTGGACTGCAAGCAGAGACTGATTCGTTCTAGGTACAGTGATCAACTCAGGAGTAGGTAGGCGACCAAGCAGCCAAAGTTTTTCAAGATTGATAAATAGATGTGAGGACAAAGAAGACCTTCCCCCCTGGGGTTATTAACCTGGGAAACTGTATATTTTAGCCTGTTGTAGCCATTTTTTCACCATGTGGGAAGAGGCTATAATGTAAATAAAGGAAATGCATAGAAAGACATACGCACAGAGAGAGAGAGAGAGAGAGAGAGAGAGCTGATACTACTGCCTGAGCTTTTATCTATATCCAGCTAAGTCTGAGGCCTTGTCTGGCTGTAGGCTGTCTATGTAAGACAATGGATTCCATCTTTTTTTTTTTTTTTTTTTAGACGGAGTCTCGTTCTGTCGCCCAGGATGGAATTGCAATGGTGTGATCTTGGCTCACTGCAACCTCCGCCTCCCAGGTTCAAGCAATTCTCCTGTCTCCGCCTCCAGAGTAGCTGGGATTACAGGCACACACTGCCATGCCCAGAGTTTCACCGTGTTGCCCAGGCTGGTCTCAAACTCCTGAGCTCAGGGAGTCCATCAACCTCAGCCTCCTAAAGTGCTAGGATTACAAGTGTGAGTCACTGCGCCCAGCCAATTCCATCTTTTAAAGTTGGCTTGTTTCACTAAAATATTGTCACTAAAATAGCCCATATACATATAGCTTATCATAGGGTTTGCAAATTCATATGTCTATAAAAATCCTATGCAAAAGAAAATATGATCGAGACAATATGGAGTGTTGGGGACTGTGACAAAATTGGGAACCATTGCCCTATCTTGAAGAACCTTCTCCTGCTTATCTCCAATTGACCTGAAAAATTTATGTCCAGCAGAGCTGAGTCTTGTACTTTTATTTTAAAGGGTGCCCTGGAAACACAGATATTTATGCCAAAATCTCCTAATTTTTTAAATATATCAACTAACTCTAAGTAATGTTAAAACACCATGCAGGTCAAATGTAATATATTTGCAGGCCAGATCAAGTCAGCAGTTTGGAACTGCTGACATATGTTACTGCAGAATGTGTTCTGTTCTTCCTCTCTGCTCCATGTCATTCTACTCCCAATTACTTTCCACCTTACTCTCTCTGCTCCAAACTTTTTTTTTGAGATGGAGTCTCAGTCTGTCACCCAGGCTGGAGTGTAGTGGTGCAATCTCGGGTCACTGTAACCTCTGCCTCCTGGTTTCAAGCGATCCTCGTGCCTCAGCCTCCCGACTAGCTGGGATTACAGGTGCCTGCCACAACGCACAGCTAATTTTTGTATTTTTAGTAAAGACGGGGTTTTGTCATATTGGCCAGGCTGGTCTCAAACTCCTGACCTCAAGTGATCCACCCACCTCGGCCTCCCAAAGTACTGGGATTACAGGTGTAAACCACCCTGCCCGGCCCAAAACTTCTTTTAGCTCCTTGAATACCCCACTCTCTTTGGAACTTCCAAACTCTTGAGAATACTGTTTGTTACCTCTGACTCAAACTCTTTTGTCCGCTCTTCTATCCTTTGATCTCAGCTCAATTGTCACTTCTTCCAAAAAACTTTCTCTGGAATCATAAGTCTGGGTTAGATACAATGCCTCTGTGTATTTTTTGAAAAAAAAAAAAAAAATAGAAGAAACAAACAAACAAAAAAAAAGAGCTAGTTCATTTGAATTCATACAGAACTTTGTATGCCAAGGTAAAGACTGAAATTATTTCTCTGCTAGTGGTTCTCAATCAGGAGGAAGACCTTTGGTCCTTAAGAAAAATGTAAGGCCAGGCGCGGTGGCTCACACCTGTAATCCCAGCACTTTGGGAGGCCAAGGCAGGTGGATCACAAGGTCAGGGGATAGAGACCATCCTGGCCAACATGGTGAAACCTTGTCTCTACTAAAAATACAAAAAAAAAAAAAAAATTAGCTGGGTGTGGTGACACGCACCTGTAGTCCCAGCTACTCAGGAGGCTGAGGCAGAAGAATTGCTTGAACCCGGGAGGCGGAGGTTGCAGTGAGCTGAGATCGCACCACTGCACTCCAGCCTGGGCGACAGAGTGAGACTCTGTCTCAAAAAAAAAAAAAAAAAAAGAGAAAAGAAAGGAAAAATGTAAACATCTGGGTCCCATCCCCAGATATAGGACTAGGCCTGAGGCAAAAAATTTAAGGATACTCCCCAAAACTCAGCAATCAAGATAAATGTTTGGAAGCAACATTTAAAAAAATCAAAATTAATGCAAACAATTCCATAATAAACAAAATACCAAATTTTTAATAAAGACAGAATTGTAGTTACTGATATTTCCCATTAAGTTCCAACATGACTTGGTATAACATTTCTTTAAATTTTGATATTTTGTTAATTATGGATTTTGCATTAAATTTTATATTTTAAAATATTACATTAAATTAATATTTATCTTGAGCAATGAAGTTTTGAAGTACCCTTAAATTTTGTGCCTGAAGGAAGTGCCTCCCTTGCCTTACCCTAGCCCTGGTCCTATTCAAGTGTAGCGTAAGAATTTACAGTAGTACATTTCCACTTCTCCACTCCCGGCCTTTGTGGTAATGTTGTCATTCATTTTATTTAGTTAGTTATTTTTTACATAATTATAAATTCATACTATGCTATCATTATTTTTATTTATACTGGCAATTGTCTTTTAAGGAGATTTATATATTTACCTCTATAGTTACCACTGGTGCTACAGATTCCTTTGTATAGAAACATATTTCCCTCTCATATCATTTTTCTTTTGCCTAAAGTTCGCCCTTTAACATTCTTGTAGTGCAGGACTGCAAAGTATAAATTTTTGCAGCTTTTATGTGTTAAAAATAAATCTTTATAAATAATGATATTTTTTCTGCATATAGAATTATGGATTGACAGGATTTTTTACCCCACTCAATACTTTAAAGATGTCCCACTGTCTTCTCACTTACATTATTTCTGATGAGAAATGTGCTATAAATCTTGTATTTGTTCTACTATACCTAATATCCTTTTTTACTGTGCCTTTATTAAAGATTTTTATTCTTATTACTGATTTAAAGCAATATTTTTATTATGGACCTTGTTATAGTCACCTTCATGATTTTTGCCCATTTTGGGATTAAGATGGGAGAATAAATCTGGTTCCTGTTATTCCATCTTTGCTAGAAACAAAACTTTTTGGGTCATTTATCCTTGGTATAACTCCTAATACATTTAGACAAGCCTACCATCTTATCATTTGCTTTCTACTTGTTCTTTTTTTTTTTTTTTTAGTTTCTTTTTTGTCTCTCAAAGCAAGGAGAGAACATCTTGCTTTCATTTTGATTATTTTTGACTACTCTATTTTTTCCTTCTACTAGTTTGAAAGTTCTGCCTTCCTTTACTATTATTTTAGTGGTTACCTCAGCAACTATCACAAGCAGCCATGGTTTTAAATACTATTTTTATGTGAAATGGTTATGCTTTTCCTTAGCAATGCAATAAATCAAGCATACTTTATCATTATTTAAGCTCTTCTCAACTTACATACCCTTATTTTCCTTTATTTTAATTCTATATATTTATTGACTCCCAAGATATTACTTTTGATATTCCTCATTTAAGTACATCCACATGCTTGACATTTTTATTGCTTCTTAATTTCTTCATGAATATTTGACTTTCTACTGGTATCATTTTCCTTCTCCTTGAAGAGTAATTTAGGTCTGCAGGTGGAAAATTCTCATGATGTTTTATTTCTGCATTAAAATGTTTCTTATATTATCTTTACTCTGTATATTTTCACTGGGCATGAGTTATACAATAGCATTTATTTTCTTTCAGCAGACAGGAGATAGTATTTTATGTCTTCTAATACTCATTATTGTTTTTAAGAAGTCAGCTGAAATCTAGTTATTGCTCCTTTAAAAGCAATCTCTTTTTTTCTGGAAGATTTCAAATTTTTTCTCTGTTCTTTGGTTTTCTGCAATTCCAGTATGATGGATTTGGGTTGTGCATTTCTTTTTATTTATCCAGTTTGAATTTTTGAATATGTAGATGCATGTCTTTAATTAACTTAAGAAAATTTCAGCTTTTATCGCTTCAAATATTGCTTTGGTTTCATTCTTATTTTCTCCTCTTTCTTATTTTAAATTTGCAAAAACATGTTTGGTTATTCTCATCATTACCCCTATTTTTTTTTAATTTCACATTTTTTTTAATCTTGTCCCTCTTGCTTCCTTCTGAGTATTTTGCTTTCATCTATCTTCCAGTTCACAAATTCTCTTTTCAGATGTGTCTAATCTGTTACTAACCATGTCAACTGAGTTGTTAATTTCAGTTATTGTATGCCTTAATTCTAAACTTCTGTTTGGTTCTTTTCTAATCTGCTGCCTATTGCTTTAATGGTTTTAAGTTATCTGTCAACATTTTCAGTCTTTAATTTCCTTGAACATCAAAAGCATAGTTTTTAAACATCTGTGCCTGATAATTCCAATATCGGGAGCTCTTGAGGGTCTGTTTCTGTTGTTGCTTGTTTCTATTTGTCTTTCTTCAAATTTTATTGTCCCTTCATGTGACTGGTTATCTTTCATTGTGTGCCAGTTATTGTATTTGAAAAATAATTAGTCAGGCAACTGATATACTAGCAATCCATAATTTTATTATTCAATTTCAGAATTGAGTTCTTTTTCTTTTTAAATCAGCCAGACCACTTGAAAATGGATTACTGCCCTTGTGGGAGATTATTTACTTCTGGTTTATTTTTTCTTTAAGGTCACAATGCAAAGTAAAGCACTTACTATGACCTCTACCTTTGACAGGCTCTGAACTGCAGTGTTTACTTCCCAACAGTTCAAGGCTGTCTGGTACCAGCCAGAATGTTAGCAGTCTCACTGACATTAGCAAACACCCTCAGGGGAAAAAGAAGTATCAAATGACATTTTCCCTCTGAATTTTTATCTTCCCTTGGATTGTGCCCCAATAAATCTGCTCTAACTTATAAATCCACCAGTGCCTTCAAGAATACAGCCCACTTCACCCCTTGCTGATTTTCTAATTGTCTTCAGTAAAATGATTGGTCTGAATTTAGGTAATTTTAAAAAATTTAATTTCCTTTTTTTCTCACGAATGAGGTTAAGCATTTTTTCTTTAAAAATCATATGCATTTTTCATTTGATTTGTAAGAATATTATCAACATTTCAAACTCATGATTTTTCCTAATCTACTGTCTGGTTTAAAAATTGCCAAAGAAATATTTTGGGGAAACAAAAACTATAAAAATTATAATACGCTTTGATAACATAAATTGTTTCTATTCAACCAAAAGTATAAAAACGCTTTTTATTCATTGAAAATTAGACTTTATCTCTACTTCTTTACTAAATAAACATTTTAAAATATTAATTTGAAGGGCAAACTACTGGCCTTCTCTGGAGTGATCTGCCCTTGACCTCACGGGTGAAGCCTGTGCATATGCAGTTTTAAGAAGTGCTACAGATAATTGAGATCCTGGTTAATATGCTGAAGCAGATGTCATTGAATGACTCAGTCGGCTTCTTCAAACATCCTGTGGTCTACCTTATTGCATGCAAAAAGGTAGAAAACTAAAGGTTATATTTCCCCAACTCCCTTCACATCTTGGGGTTAGTACTTAACCAAATAACCACACCCATACAATATTTGGAAAGGGAAGTGAGGCATAACCTGTGCTTTTGTTTCTGAAGGCCTATTTCCTGTAGTAGCATCATTGGGAGTTCCATTGTCTAATCCTGGCTTTGTGGCTATTGAGTGGTTTGTGTGGATTATCCATTTGTTGGCATTACATGGGGGCTTGGAGCTCAATCATGGTGGTGGCTTCCTGAACTTCAGTTCCTAGTTGCTGTTGTGGCTGTGATGTCCTGATTCCCCAGTTTCCTGACTATTGCAAAAATAGCAGCACCTTTGGTGAGCCAGTTTTGCTATGTTTTGGGTGTCATTCCTAGAAGCTCAGCCTCAAGTACCTACTTTATTATTTTGTAAGCTTTTAGTTACCTGAGGAACTAGATTGGTTACTACTCACTACACCTGAAAAGCAGGCTTCCTGCATGAGTAAAGTCTCAGAGGACTTAAAATGAGATGGGGCATGATCAGAATTATGTTACAGAAACAGAACTCTGGCTTAAAGAGGGCCACCAGAGAGGCAGGGAGGTCAGCTACAGACAATCAAGCCTAGTCAATTTTACTTACCTGGTATTTCTCAAATCTACATTTCCTGTATTGCCAAGGATTGAGACTGCCCCATCTCAACCTGAAACTCTTGACCAACTTGATAAATCATCTCCTTTCTCCTCCGCCCTATTCCTTGCTTCCTCTGTGCCCTTCGTACCATTGCTAGAGGCTCTATGATTCAGACAAAATGGTGTTGCTTCATTGCTCAGTGGTCTTCAGTGCTGCTCTAACATCAACAAATGTTCTAGCATTGGGAAGAAATTTCTTAGTTCCTTTTTTTTGGCCTTATATCCTACCATTTTTCCTGTGTACCTGGTCTCTAGTCATACCTGAATACAAGGCTTCAGGAAATGTAGAATCTTTTTTTTTCTGTCTACCTACCTCTGCATTTGCTTGTCCATCTCCCTCTCCTCTTGTCTCTCTTGCAGCTTTTTCACATCTTTCAAGATTCAGCTCAAAGATTATTTCTTCTGTGAAGTCTTCACAAGTAAAGGAGCTCACACTTTCCTCTGTGTCCTCACAGTATCCTCACTTTCCTCCACGGCAACTGCCATCTCTTCTACAGGAAATAAGTCTTGCTAAATTTTTTGTGCCAGTACAAAACACAGCTGCTGGCACATAATGAATGAACATTGCTTGTTGAATGAATAAACAAACTGTTTGCCACACTTGGATTTAAGCCCAGTTCTAGGATTCTTCCTACCACACCATATTGTTTCTCTCCTTACCTCATAAATTCTACTGAAACTAAATTAATTGCTCAATTGTGGAACTATCTATAATTTATATTGCATTATCCATAATTTCTTGGATTGTCTAGTTACTGTTAAAAAAGGGGGACACCTTTCTAATTGCCAATAACTTTATCCATTGCATATTAAATACACACACACACACACACCCCACACATACATACAATCACAGCTAGTAGCACTGAAGAAGCTACAAACAGCTCAAATGTTCTATGATAAGTATGGGCAAATTATAAAATAGCCATTTATATATATTGTTTACTCTACATTCTAATATTCATTAATTCTTCTAATGTGCCTAGTACCATCCTCAGATCTGGGGTTGCATTCACACTAATCAGGTAATGCCCTCACTCTCAGACCTCCTATCATAGAGGGGATAGACAGGAACTAACACAGTTGCACAATTACACACCCCAAAATTGTTAGAAGTGCAAAAAAAGAAAAGCACAGGATGTTATAAAATCAGAGTGACCCTATCTGGTCTGGAAGGTGAGGAAATCTTCCCCAAGGAGAAGTCTGAAGTGAAATAAGTAGGAACAAATAGATACAATGAGGGCAGGGAATTCCAGAGAGAGAGAATAGCATGTGCAAAGGCCTTGAGATGGGAACAATAATAAGATATCTTAGGAATGACAGGAGGCCAATGTGGCTGGATATCAGGAAGCTAGGGGTAGAAAGGTATATATGTGGAGAGGCAGATGGGAGTTGGATCATGTAGAACCATAGAGGCAAAGTTAAGGATTTTGTTCTCTATCCAAAGATCAATGGGAAGCCATTGAAAGATGACTATTCCTTAAATCCATTTTATCCATAGCATTGAAAATCTAAAATTGTGCCTTTCGATGACAGAGTAAATAGAACATCAACGGTCCTAATCACCTCTTCTCCAAGTATTCTGGCAGCACAAATGGATTTTCAATTTAAAGTACTTGAAGTAGGGAGGAAAGGGCTTCTGACTACTATTTCTAGAATGAGCAAGTCCTGCTTTAGAATCTGCCCACAAGAAAATCCTACGGGAGTTCCTTGACAAACATTATTGCCAAGCCAACTCAAATATCATCAACTTTCTTTTTCCCAGCCTCCCCTGTGGCTAGGGGTGAACATGTTAGATAATTATGGCCAACCAGATATAAGTTAAAGTCTTATGAGTGGGAATTATGCTTCCCTGATGAAAATAGAGATTTGGCAGAAGCCTCCTCCCCCTCCATCTTTCTTTGTCTATGGTTCAGATTTAAGCTGTGGAGATACAGCAACCATATTGCAACCCTAAGACCACAGCATGAAGACGAAAGGTCTCCTACTAAGGAAAGAAAAGAAAGAAGAAACCCAAAGATATGAAGAGGCTGGGTCCTTGATGACTTTGTCGGGCAGCGACAGCAACTTTAGGCCTTTCTGGGTTTCTTACAACAAAATTAAACCTCTAATTGTTAAAATGACTTCAGGTTTCCTGGTTTTCATTTTGTTTTGTTTTTACAACTAAACCCATTCCTAACTGATGCAGCAGGGTCTTTAGGAACTTTGGACAAGAGTGAAAAGGGTGGTCTAGGAGATCCAGGTAAATCAAGTATGAGCCTGCTTCTACCAAACTTCCTCTTCTGCTAGAAAACCAGAGTGGAAGGGGAATGGACTGTCAAGTCCATGACTATGCCAAATGTCATGCCCGGGGTCAGGTTCGAGCCCTAGCTGAGGTCCAAGGGGAGTGGGTGGATGGGCAGATAGCTGAAAGAACACTTGGGGTGGCGGGGTGCGTAGGCAGGTGAATATGGTTTTATTCAGCAGCTCTCTTAGCAGCAGCTCTCTTACACTGTCTGCGCTGTTCCGGCTGCTTTCTTCAGACGTTCCCAGGCACAGCTGCGTGGCCAGCTCTCCCTTTAGGGTCAGCAGCTTAATTCTTTCTCTCCCTGAGCACAAGCCAGTTTCTGGCTCCCCCCGACCATCCATCTGCAAGACAGACAGCTTTGATTTTCTCTCTTTCTCTGAGCGTGAGCAAGCCAGCACAGGAGCGCCTATATAGCATCCGCAGGGCAGTTATACCTTCTTTAAACAATAGTGGCCCTGAGCCCAGTATGAGCTTACAAAAACAGGTTATGTAGCAAGTGGAGTATGTACCTGCACCCTAAACTCGCTGAGTCATGCAGGCCTGGATGTCTGCCTCAGCCTAATTCTTGACCAAAGCACATCCATGTACCTTACATGGACCAAAGGTAGTTAGATTACAAGTGTCGACTTCAGCTTTCTACAAGCGAGAAGGAATAGTGTCATGCGATGTTAACTGCATTTTCTGCAATGTTTACTGTTTAAGAACAAAAGCATGCTGGAACCTTTGGCTTTCTTGGAAATATTATTACTCTGGGTTGCTTCCCGTGCACTTGCCAGGCCTTTGATGGTCCCGTCCTTCATCCTGGGACTCCAATTCTCAAAGTCAAAAAAGAAACATGAATGCTTGAGAATTTTCAAATGGTTTTTAACACATTCTTGAACATGGTTAGTGTTAACTTATGATGTGTCTTATTTATGTGCCTGATGAGACTTTAATACTTTCTTTAACTGTAAACTTTTCTTAATAGAAAAATCTTTTCATTCTCACCACAAAAGCAGTGCCGAGACTTTAATAAAGATACTTTCTTTAACTGTAAACTTTTCTTGATCGAAAAATCTTTTCATTCTCACCACAAAAGCAGTGCATGTTCATTGTAGAAAAAGTAGTCAGAAGACTTTCTCTTTATTTCAAGTCCTTTAAATTCAAAATCCATTTGTGCTGCTACAAGATTCTTTCAGAGCAGAGGTGCTAATGACCTTTGATATTCTGTTTACTCTCACATCAAGGGAATCTACAGAAAGAACATAAGGGTCTTGATGGGAAAAGTCTGAGTGAGTCACAGCTTGATTGCAGCTAGCTGCCCTGTACTCAGGGAGCTGCAAGGAGGCCAAGCTCACAGCTGATTTTTCTCAAATGGCTTGACTTTAAATTAAATGGGGTTGTGAAGACATCTGACTCCCAGCCTGAGCAGTACCTTTCTGTAGCACTTCCATGGAGGCGAGGATTGGGCTTTCTCATTTACTGCTGCATCCTCTGCACCTAGCATGATGCAAGATGCAGTGAAGACGGGTGCATTCTACACTTACTAAGAGTTGAATTAAACTCTCCTTGGAAATTATAGCCCAATATAAAAATCTCTGCAGATCACACCAAGTCATTGCGCTTTGTAATGGGTTCTTTTATTTGGGGATAAGAAAAGTATGTCTGGAGCTGGGCCCAGTGGTTCATGCCTGTAATCCCAGCACTTTGGGAGAACAAGATGGATGAATCACTTGAGGCCACGAGTTCAAGGCCAGCCTGGCCAACATGGCAAAACCTTGTCTCCACTTAAAAAAAAAAAAAATTTAGTTAGATGTGGTGGCGCACACCTGCAATCCAGCTACCTGGAAGGCTGGGGCATGATAATCGCTTGAACCCAGGAGGCGGAGGTTGCAGCAAGCCGAGATCATGCCACTGCACTCCAGCCTGGGCAACAGAGCCAAACTTGGTGAAAGAGAGACAGAGAAAGATAGAGAGAAAGAAAGGAAGGTAGGTGTATCTTGGGATGGGAGAGTCGTCTAAGCATCAGCAAGCAGATTTCAACACAAAAGATGGTCAAAAGAGTGTCTCCATCAATAATAGCAGTAATAGCTAATGCTTACAGTACTTACGGTATACAAGGCACTGTTCTAAATATTTTACAAATATTTACCAATTTAGTTCTCATAGCTGCCCCTATTATCTCATCCCTATTTAAGAAATGAGGAAGCCAAGACCCACAATGACTAAGTCACTTTACTCCCGGTCACATCACACACAGCTGGGATGGAATGCACAGCTAGCTCCAGAATCTGTCCATTGCTGCGCAAACCTCCTCTTAAAAGTGTGCTTAATACTAAGATCTTCCAGCTAAACTACATTCTGCAAGTTGTTTCCAGGAACTGTCCTAGAGTTTATTTCTCCTTTGACTGGGGTCCACAAAGAGCTAAGAATTGCACTTGGCTCTAAGATTCAGCAGCATTGAGTTGCTGAAGCTCAGGAATTCCACCTCATGAGTAAGAGCACTGGGCCTATTTGGTTCGGTCACACATACCCTATAGACTGCTACTGTGAGCTAAACCCTCCAGACCTACCTGACATCCAGTTTTGAGGCTCATGCTTAACTTCTCTTGCTGGTAGAGCACTGCATTCAGAGAGATTCAACGTTTGGGTGGCTTAACAACTACAGATGCTGTATTGGAGGGAGTTTTTGGAAGAACCTTCTAGAAGTCTCTCCACAGCCTTTCTGTCCTCTGCCAGAGGGCACAGTAATGGTGTAGCCAAGGACCCAAATCTGTCAGGGTCCTCATAGGAATAGATGGCACAATCCAAGTAGAATCCAGGAAGGGCTAATTTATAAGGTGACTAAGTTACAATAATACCAGTGAGGTGTAGGGGAAGCACGGGGACAGTACAGAAACTCTTCTGCTGTCCCCATTCCCAGAGCTGAGGGAACAAAGAGAACAAGTGGCCGTGGCATCTAGAAGGCAGCTCAGGCCTGTTGGTTGCTTTGAGAGGAGCACTGGCCTTCAATCAGGGATGCAGCCAGCCCCAGGAAAATCAGGGGAGTAAGTATCCATCCTCCTTCTCCTTTCTATTTCAGATCTCTTGACAGGAGTCCTCCCTGGCTGGACCCAAAAGGAAGCAAGGGAGATTGAGATTCCTTTGTTATAGTTCATACAAGTCAGCTTCAGGGGCAGAGAGCAATAAGGAAAAGGGAAAACGTGGATCTGGAAAGAGAAATGAACAGTATCTGGAAGCAGGATCAGCCAGACTGTTAACAGGCTGAGGCCTATGCCAACAAGAGAAGGTAATAAAGAGGTCCAAAGCAACAGAACAAACATCATGACAGAATGGCAGCCTTGTCTCCACTCTGTAAGAACTGCAAGCTGAGAGTACTAAGCTAGCCTACAGCTGGGGTCAGTGGGCCATTTTGTTCTCTGGGTATTGCACTAAAGGATGTGTAGAAAATATCTGGAGGTAGAAAAAAAAGTCTGTGTTGGGACAAAGGAACAACCATGCAGACTTGGCAGTTATGATCCCAGAGGTAATGTCAGTATAACCTGTATCCTTCAACCTGGCAGAAGTGCTTGCTGAAGACTGGTAGATGAACAACGTGCACTTTCATACATCATTATATACCAACTATAGGAAAATTTGAGACCTAAAGAAAAATTGTATCTGAGCCACATCTCTAGCATCTGAATATTAAACAACAAAGCGGTTAAAATAACAGTCGGCAAATAGCATCTAAGTGCCAATTCATCTTGCGTCTGTTTGTGTAAGTAAAGTTTTATTGGAACAGCACCATGGTCATTCACTAATATGGTCTATGGCAGCTTTCCTGCTACAGTGGCAGAGTTCAGTAGACAGAGACTGAGTGGTCCGCAGAACCCAGAAGATTTGTTTACTATCTGGCACTTTACGAATAGAGTTTACCAGCTCATGAATTCGGGTCAGTTTTTATAGATGCAATATGACCTACAGTAACATCATGAGTGGGTTTCAGATGACTGTGAGTCAATATCTACCGCTAGGTCCAAACTTGGAAAAGGCAACAACTATGTCTGTCTTATTCATAGCTCAATCCCTGGTGCATAGCACAGGCTTGGCACAGAATGGGGGCAGAGTGAATGTATGTTCTGTAAAGGCTTGAATGTTCCTGAGGGCAGAGGATATAGGCATTTAGAGAGGAACTTCCCTTTAAAGAGATGTGAAATAAACCACAGAACTTTATAGCATTTTTCCATAACTGGCTTTGTTTGGGCTTTTATCTTTATCTTCCTCCTTTAGTTTACTTGAAAATTTAATGTGAACTGTTTGAGGAAGAGAAGGAAAGTGGCAATTGTCAATTGTACATGGAGTAAATGAGATTTTTCATCTGTCTCTGTTCTCTGATTATGTTTCCCATGTTGTGTCTGGACCGCTGATTTGGTAAACGAGGACTGAGCCTAGCATTGCCCAGAAGGTTTCTCAGTAGTGTTAACAAAAGACCATGTGATCTGCGGAGGAAGAAAAGGACAGCTTTATTTCCTATAAAGGATTACAGGTTGGGAAATGAAGCCTCTGGCCTAAACCAAAAGCACTCACTTCAGAGAAAAATAAGGGGAGGCTAGCATTTATGCCTGACAGGTTAGCTACAGCTACATATTCAGTGGGTTATAGGAGAATCCATAAATATTTATGAGAGAAACCAAACACATGTGAATAAACATATATGTTACATACATCCCATGTTCACTTTGGAGTGGAAGTTTAACATTAAAATGAAGTGAAATTTGTCTCTTTATGTCAAAAGGTGAAACGCAGGGCACAAACCCATCTTGCGTGCAGTCTGAGTGGACTGGCCAGCACCAGTCTGTGGTGGGCAGTCACTCATTAAGAAGCAATGTTGGCCGGGCGCGGTGGCTCACGCCTGTAATCCCAGCACTTTGGTAGGCCGAGGCGGGTGGATCACGAGGTCAGGAGATTGAGACCATCCCGGCTAAAACGGTGAAACCCCGTCTCTACTAAAAATACAAAAAATTAGCCGGGCATGGTGGCGGGCGCCTGTAGTCCCAGCTACTTGGGAGGCTGAGGCAGGAGAATGGCGTGAACCCGGGAGGCGGAGCTTGCAGTGAGCCGAGATCCCGCCACTGCACTCCAGCCTGGGCGACAGAGCGAGACTCCGTCTCAAAAAAAAAAAAAAAAAAAAAAAGAAGCAATGTTTTGCAAGACTGGTTAGCAAAACCATAACGGGGGCAAGGGAGTTTTTGGCCACAACATTAAGGTGGTCTGTTAAGATTTGTGGAGAAATCTTCCAGACATTGTTTTTCAGGAACTGGTTTCTGTTTAATCATAGGAAAGCAAGTACTTCTAGCGGTTAGCAAGGTAGGAGAATATTGACTTCTGACTGACCTCCTGCCTTGCCCAAGCCAGAGAATCTGGTTTAAAGTTTTCTGGGATTTCTTTGTGCCACAAAGACTCTGTTTCATTCTGCCCTGGGGGTTTTAAGACTCTATTTCTATTTCACAGTGGTTCTAAACCCTCAGAAGTGACCATACTATTTGTCAAGTCTTTCTCAGCCTTTGCTATAAAAGGAGTGAGACCTCAAAGCCATTCAAGAGATCTAGCTTCTAGGTGGGTGGATTGGGAGAGAAAGTCAAATATTCACCTGAGAAAACACCATCTTCTGAGGCATTCATTCATTCAAAAAATATTTATTAGGTGCTTATTCTGTGTCAAGGAATCTTTCAGGTATAGGAGATACAATAGTAAACAAAAAGACAAAAATAAAATTCCTGCCCTCATGAACTTATATTCTCACGTGTGTGTAATAGAGAGAGGAATAGAGGCAAAATTTTTCCTTAAAATAAGTAAAATGTAGTACATTAAAGGGTGTAAGTTCTATGGAGAAAAATAAAGCAAGGAAGGACCCTAGAGGGTGCTAGATTGGGAATATGGGACATTTCCGTTAACTCTCATGGTGGTGGGTAAATGAGCTCATTCCTACTTTAGCATTTGGCATTACGAGAAGAAATATCATCATTGCACTAGAAAAGTATTTGGCTATTTGATCTTCACTTTAGGGAGGAAAGTATTGAAATCTCAGCTTTCTGGGAGTTTGAAATTGTTAGCGTGGTTACAGTAACAATTCATTCCCCTACCCTGAACCTCTTGTGTGCATCTTTGACATAACACACTTGCCCAAGTAGAAAATCATAACTTGGTCCACCAAGAAAACAAGAACACAGAACACAGAAGTTGGCTAAAGTCGGCCATTTGAATATGGACTGGCCAAACTCATATAGTAGTTTTCTTATCAGGGTCAGAAATCTCTGCAAGCCAGGCAACTATCCTTCATGCTCCCTTTACTTCATTAGGCATTTTCCAAACAGAAGGAAGGACCCATGTTTCAGAAATTCTGATCGGAATATTTGGGTGGCCACATATGAAAGTATTCCTTCGTGCCTGCCAATGCCCACTCAGCAGTGCCAAACCTTGCAAGAAAGCAGGGGCTTGGGGAGAGGGCGTGAGTTTGAAACATACTGCGAATGCATTGAAAACCATGAAAAAAATCTTCTCAACTTAATTGGCTTGGCCAATGAGATTGAATCATTTGCAAAACCACTTTTATGAAGCACTGTCCAGAGACTGAGGATACAGCATAAAGATCTAAACACCCCCCAGTCTTCTCCTAAGTAGTGACATGAGTCTTCAGTGTCTGATGAAACAAAACCAAATTCCATCTCTCAGAAGGTGGGAAGGGAGCCACATGACCTACACTGTACTCCAGAACCTCAGGTGATATGCTGAACGGGAATGGAGGGGAAATTGTGGAAGAGCTAGAGAAACTTCCATGGATGCTCCTGGGGACACTTGCAGTGAAATTGAGGATATCTGGCTTCCACAGCTCTCTAGGGAGCTGGTTGCAGATTTGATTCCTACAGCCTCTTCCCTGGAGTGGATTGGCCTCTTCTCCACTTCCCTCATTTTCGCCTGGGAGCCAACGAGTTTCCATAGTGTGGAATGGAGCTAGGATTTCCCAGGCCTGGGACGCAGTCCAGAAATCAAGAAGAGTAAGTTCAGAATTTCCCAAGCCTCTGCACTCGGTGTTCTTTCAGCTCAGCTGGTCCCACAGAGCAGCCTTCAGAGCCATTCAAATATGCATCATGTCCCTCCTGTTTTCCTATGGATTTGTTGCCCTTTCCCACACTAGAAGCAGAGAAAAAAAAAAAATCTGTATCCTTAGCTTCTCTCCTTCCTCATTTCTCTTCATTCTCCCTCCAAATTTGAATACAAGTTACCTAAAATTGTTCTTAAGATTTTTAAAGGTATGTATCAACAGAATCACTCTGTCAGCCTCCCAATTAAACAGTTTGGATGTGACCTTCTGCCTGAGTTTATCATTTGGGCAATATTTGCCCTGTTTGAGAGCAGTAATAACTCCAGCCCTCTTCTTGTACTTATGCCAAGCATGCTGCATTTAAACAGCACTGAAATTCCTCATGGCATTTTCTTTCTAATCTTTTAAATATTTGCTTATTTTTTCCCACAGGAAACTTTACAGTTAAATGTGCATTCCTAAATCAATCCTTGTTGGTTTCCTCCCCTTCTCTGCCCACTCCCCCCAGTACTTCCCTCTTCAGCAAA